>NC_000005.10:53234807-53859807 GCF_000001405.40 Homo sapiens | reverse complement strand
TTTGGCCGGGTCCTGGTCTTCGTGTAGAGACCTGGAGGTGCTTGGTTCTTAGGGTTCTCCAGGATTCCAGACTCGTAGCTGATATGCATGAGGTTCTCGTCCATGCTCCACGAGTTCTTGGGTGTGACCGGGATGGGAATCCTGTGTTGCTTTGCATATTCCATCAGGTCATTGCGGCCCTTGAGCTGGTTGTAGAATTTGGGCATCCTCCAGGGAGCAATGACCTTTATCTGGGGGGCTAGTGAGTAGCAAATGAGCTCAAACCGGACCTGATTGTTCCCATTTCCCGTGGTGCTGTGGGACATATACTTGGCCCCCTTCCACTGGGTGATTTCCATTTGTTTGCAGGCGATGCAGGGCCTGGCGAGAGGTGCCCAGAAGGTAGCGGTCCTCATACAGTGCACTGGACTGGATGGCCGGCCAGATGAACTCCTCCACAAACTCCCTGCCGACATCCTCAATGAACACCTTTTTAGCCCCAAACTTCAGTGCATTCTTCCTGGCTTCCTCGAAGTCTTCCTTCTGGCCAATGTTGGCCAGGTAGGCAATGACGTCATAGCCTTGTTCCTTCAGCCACAGGAGGGTGCAGGAGGTGTCCAGGCTGCCACTGTAGGCCAGAACCACGGAGCCTTTGGTGGACATAGCGTCTGAGATTGGAGGCATGACTTCCTGGCGTCCGGAATCTGTCTTCACCGTGCAGTGAACCACTCGGGTTCGAGCAGCGGTGGCAGGCGACAGAGCAGGCAGAACTTACCTGCTTTTATATGCACCTCTTCTAACACTTTCTACCTTTGGCTCACTGATGAGTCAAAAAGGACTTTAGAAGGCTTTTAAAGAAGCATACTCAAGAGTAAAGAAGAAAACAAAACTATGGGTTGCCCTACCCTCTCTCTTTTCTAATTTGTCATCATTTTCAGCCTACATGGTTGACTGATACAGCAAAGTAACAAAGGTGAGAAAGGATGTGATAGAGTTCCTTGTTAGTTCATGTTTCTTAGAATGCCCTTACCTTCTTTCTGTGTTCTGACCAAGACTGAACAGAAAGCATGGCTCGTCAGGTTTATCAGAGCCTCTGCTTACTCAGTCATGGAGGTAACACGCTTGCCTTGTACTCAATTTGTATCACACTGAGCTCCAATGCATTATGGGTCCACTGGGATTCTGTGCTCATGGGGCATCTTGAATGTTCTACGCACACAGGGAGGCAAGGGATGGCAAGGAATGACAAAACAAGATTGTGCCTGTATTGTCTGCTCATGCATATGGTCCATTGTCTCATTGAACTTCACTTACAAAATACAAACTTATTAAGAATTTCAGCACAATGATAGCGGGGAATTAAATGAAGTGCAGGAGGCTTCTGAGTTCACAAGCCTATGAAGTCGGCCCTGTTTCTGACTCCATCCCTTGCTTTCTATTCCCACAGCCACCATTCTAATTCCAACTTTCCTTATCTTACAACTCAAGGATCAATCGATTTCTAAATTGGTTCCCTGACTCTCACTTCCTTCTCTAGAAGTATCCTATAAATCAGGGGTCCCTGATTTACAACTGGTCTGTGACCCAGGGCCACAGACCAGTACCACTCCATGTCCTGTTAGGAACTAGGCCACACAGCAGGGGGTGAGCAGTGGGTGAGGGAGCATTGTGGCCTAAGACCTTCCTCCTGTCAGATCAGCCATGGCATTAGGTTCTCATAGGAGCACGAACCCTATTATGAACTGTGCATACAAGGGATCTAAGTTGCATGCTCCTTAAGAGAATCTAATGCCTCTGACACCATCCTCCCCAGTCTGTGGAAAAATTGTCTCCTACAAAACCAGTCCCTGGTGCCAAAAATATTGGGCATTGCTGCTATAAATTATTGCCAGTTTGATTTTCCTAAAGCAATACTGGCACACATGACTTCACTGCTTCAGTCCTTCAGTGGTATCCCACTGTCTATCAGGCTCAAACTCTTAATCACAAAATTCAGGGCCTTCCACATTCTGGCCTTAAGCCAATTTTTTTAAATCTTTCTTTCCCTCTGCACACTTGACCTCTATCCAGATACAAATCAAGCAGAACAAAGGTATTCCCCAATAGATTATGTCAGAGTTTGGGACACACTACCCCAAAGTATGGCACCTGGAAACTGAGAAAATAGCAGACACAGAAAGGTTGCTCTCTGACTTTCCCCCATCTTTCTGTGTGAGAACTGGCCATAAAGGAATTCTCCAACCTACCTTCCCTGAATTATGTCATAAGACCCTCATGTGTCAACTGTCCTACCCTATACCCAGAGGAAAGGAATACTACACAGAGAGGCCATTAAGAATCTGAACAAGCAGGCCTTGCTGAGTTCCTTTTATTTTATTATTATTTTTTTTTTGAGACAGAGTCTCGCTCTGTTGCTCAGGCTAGAGTGCAGTGGAGTGATCTTGGCTCACTGCAACCTCCCCATCCCAGGTTCAAGCTATTCTCCTGCCTCAGCCTCCCGAGTAGCTGAGATTACAGGCACCCACCACTATGCCCAGCTAATTATTTGTATTTTTAGTAGAGACGGGGTTTCACCATGTTGGCCAGGCTGGTCTCGAATTCCTGACCTTGTGATTCGCCTGCCTCAGCCTCCCAAAGTGCTGGGATTACAGGGGTGAGCCACCACGCCCAGCTTCCCCTTTAGTTTATTATCATCAGATCACATCCCCTTTTTGTCCAATCACATTTCTACATGTCTCCCTTCTTCATCGAATGTAAGCATAAAAAGACAGTGTTCCCTGGGTCTTTGGATCTTCATTTCTAAAGGCTCCTGTGTCACATAAGTCTTGGTTGAATAAATGTGTTATGATTTGTTAATCTGTATTTTATTAACTGGGATGCCAGCCACGTCCCTTGTGATGGGTGAGGAAAAAGTATTACCTTTTCTCCCCTACAATTGCTAACACCAATTGTGATGGTTAATATTAAGGGTCTACTTGATTGAATTAAAAGATGCAAAGTATTGTTCCTGAGTGTGTCTGGGAGGGTGTTGCCAGAGGAGATTAACATTTCAGTCAATGGACAGGGAGAGGCAGACACACCCTCAGTGTGGGTGGGTACCATCCAATCAGCTGCTAGCATGGCTAGAAAAAGCAGGCGGAAGAAGGTGGAATGAGTCAACTTGCTGAGTCTTCTGGCCTTCACCTTTCTCTCCTGTGCCGGATGCTTCCTGCCCTTGAACATCTGACTTTAGCTTCTTTGGTTTTTGGACTCTTGGACTCACACCAGTGGTTTGCCAGGGCCTTGAGCGCTTTCCACCACAGAATGAAGGCTGCACTGTCAGTTTCCCTACTTTTGAGGTTTTGGGACCTGGACTGAGCTACTAGTGGCTTCCTTGTTCCTCAGCTTGCAGATGGCCTATCGTGAGACTTCATCCTATGATCATGTGAGTCAATTCTCCTTAATAAACTCACTTTCATATATACATAAATCCTATTAGTTCTGTCCCTCTAGAGAACCCTGACTAATGCACCAACCCATTGTCAATATAATACAGCAAAATCCAGTTCATTCCTCAAAGCCAGATTTTACTCTTCAATGAAACATTCCTTAACCACCCCAGCCCACAGTAGTTACATTTTTTACTTTTAGTAGGCTGAGTAATAGCCACTGAAAGACATCAAACCCTATTCCCAAGAACCTATAAATGTTACCTTATAAGAAAGAAGTGTCTTTGCAGATGTGATTAGGCTATTGACATGGAGAGATTTCCCTGGGTTATCCAGGTGGGCTTGGATATCCAATAGTTAGTGAAAATACTATAACATATCCAATAGTGAGTGAAAATACTATCTTTTCTCCATTGTATTGTCTTTGATTTTTTTGGGGGGGGAGGCTGCTTTATTCTGTTCTATTGATCTATTTGTCTATTCTTTTACCAATATCACATTATCTTGATTACTGTAGCTTTATAGTAAGTCTTGAAGTTGGGTAGTGTCAGTCCTCCAACTTTGTTCTTCTTCAATATTGTGTTGGCTATTCTGAGTATTTTACCTCTTTATATAAACTTTAGAATCAGTTTGTGGACATCGATAAAATTTACTGGGGTTTTGACTGGATTGCATTATATCTATAGGTCAAGTTCAAAGAATTGATATTTTGACAATATTGAGTCTTCCTATACATGAACATGGTTTCATTTCTCAGAGTTTTGTAGCTTTCTCATATAGATCTTGTACATATTCTGCTAGATTTTTACCTATTTAATTTTTTGGTGTGCACATGTAAATTGTATTAAGTTTCAAATTCCACTGTTCATAGCTGGTATATAGGAAAGGAGTTAAGTTGTGTATAATAACCTTGTATCCTGCAACCTTGCTATAATCACTTATTAGTTCTAGGGTTTTTTTTAAATCAACTCTTTTGGATTTTCTGCATAGACGATCATGTAATCTGTGAACAGAGACAGTTTCATTTCTTCCTTTGCAATCTGTATACCTTTTATTTCTTTTTCTTGTTGCATTAGCTAGTATTTCCAGTGTAATGTTGAAAAGGAATGGTAACGGGACATCTTTATCTTGTTCCTGGTCTTAGTGGGAAAGCCTCTAGTTTCTTGCTATTAATTATGATGTTAACTGTAGGTTTTTGGTAAATATCCTTTATCAATTTGAATAAGTTCCCTTCTATTCCTAGTTTACTGAGAGGTTTTGTCATTAATGGGTTTTGAACTTTGAAGTCAAATGCTTTTTCTGCAACTATTGATATGATCATGCAAATTTTCTTTTTTAGCCTGTAGATGTGATGGATTGAATTAATTGATCTTCAAATGATGAACAAACTTCACATACCTGTGATAAATCCCACTTGGTCATGGGGAATAATATTTTTCATGTGCAGTTAGATCTGGTTTGCTAGTATTTTAGAGGATTTGTGCATCTATCTTCATGAGAGATATTGATCTGTAGTTTTCTTTTCCTGTGATGTCTTTATCTTATTAAAGTATCAGGATAGAGGATCATTCCAAGATGGCCGAACAGGAAGAGCTCTGGTCTGCAACTCCCAGCATGATCGATGCAGAAGATGGGTGATATCTGCATTTCCAACTGAGGTACCTGGTTCATCTAACTGGGACTGGTTGGACAGTGGGCGCAGACCATGGAGGATGAGCTGAAGCAGGGCGGGGCATCACCTCACCTGGGAAGCACAAGGGGTCAGGGGATTTCCCCTTCCTAGCCAAGGGAAGCCGTGACAGATGGTACCTGGAAAATCGGGGCACTCTTGCCCTAATACTGTGTTTTTCCAACAGTCTTAGCAAATAGCACACCAGGAGATTATATCCCGTGCCTGGCTCAGCAGGTCCCATGCCCAAAGAGCCTTGCTCACTGCTAGCACAGCAGTCCAAGATCGAACTGCGAGGTGGCAGCCTGGGCTGGGGGAGGGGTGTCCACCATTGCTGAGGCTTGAAAAGGTAAACAAAGCAGCCGGAAAGCTCGAACTTGGTGGAACCCACTGCAGCGCAATGAGGCCTGCCTTCCTCTGTAGACTCCACCTCTGGGGACAGGGCATAGCTGAACAAAAGGCAGCAGAAACTTCCGTAGACTTAAATGTCCCTGTCTGACAGCTCTGAAGAGAGCAGTGGTTCTCCCAGCATGGAGTGTGAGCTCTAAGAATGGACAGACTGCCTCCTCAAGTGGGTCCCTGACCCTCATGTAGCCTACTGGGAGATGCCTGCCAGTAGGGGCCAACTGATACCTCATACAGCTGGGTGCCCCTCGGAGATGAAGCTTCCAGAGGAAGGATCAGGCAGCAATATTTGCTGTTCTGCAGCATCCGCTGGTGATACCCAGGAAAACAGGGTCTGGAATGCTGGAATGGACCTCCAGCAAACTCCAACAGACCTGCAGCTGAGGAACCTGACTGTTAGAAGGAAAACTAACAAACAGAAAGGGATAGCATCAACATCAACAAAAATGACATCCACACCAAAACCCCATCTGTAGGTCACCATCATCAAAGACCAAAGTAGATAAAACCACAAAGATGGGGAGAAACCAGAGAAGAAAAGCTGAAAATTCTAAAAACCAGAGTGCCTCTTCTCCTCTAAAGGATTGCAGCCCCTCACCAGCAATGGAACAAAGCTGGATGGTGAATGACTTTGACAAGTTGACAGAAATAGGCTTCTGAAGGTCGGCAATAGCAAACTTATCCAAGAGAAGGAGGATGTTCGAACCCATTGCCAGGAAGCTAAAAACCTTGAAAAAAGATTAGATGAATGGCTAACTAGAATAAACAGCATAGAGAAGACCTTAAATGACTGGATGGAGCTGAAAACCATGGCACGAGAACTGTGTAATGGATGCACAAGCTTCAGTACCTGATTTGATCAAGTGAAAGAAAGGGTATCAGTGATTGAAGATCAAATGAATGAAATGAAGCAAGAAGTTTAGAGAAAAAATAGGAAAAAGAAATGAACAAAGCCTCCAAGAAACATGGGACCATGTGAAAAGATCAAATCTACGTTTGATTGGTGTACCTAAAATGATGGGGAGAATGGAACCAAGTTGGAAAACACTCTGCAGGATATTATCCAGGAGAACTTCCCCAACCTAGCAAGGCAGGCCAACATTCAAATTCAGGAAATACAGAGAACACCACAAATATACTCCTCGAGAAGAGCAACTCCAAGACAAATAATTGTCAGATTAACCAAAGTTGAAATGAAGGAAAAAGTGTTAAGGGCAGCCAGAGAGAAAGGTTGGGTTACCCACAAAGGGAAGCCCATGAGACTAACAGTGGCTCGCTCGGCAGAAACTCTACAAGCCAGAAGTGAGTGGTGGCCAATATTCAACATTCTTAAAGAAAAGAATTTTCAACCCAGAATTTCATATCCAGCCAACCTAAGCTTCATAAGTGAAGGAGAAATAAAATACTTTAAAGACAAGCAAATGCTGAGAGATTTTGTCACCACCAGGCCTGCCTTACAAGAGATCCCAAAGGAAGCAGTAAACATGGAAAGGAACAACTGGTACCAGCCACGGCAAAAACATGCCAAATCATAAAGACCATTTATGCTAGGAAGAAACTGCATCAACTAACAAGCAAAATAACCAGCCAACATCATAATGACAGGATCAAATTCACACATAACAATATTAACCTTAAATGTAAATGGGCTAAATGCCCCAATTAAAAGATACAGACTGGCAAATTGGATAAAGAGTCAAGATCCATCAATGTGCTTTATTCAGGAGACCCATC
The DNA here is from genome assembly GCF_000001405.40 of Homo sapiens. Taxonomy (NCBI): domain Eukaryota; kingdom Metazoa; phylum Chordata; class Mammalia; order Primates; family Hominidae; genus Homo; species Homo sapiens. The sequence goes on along the minus strand of NC_000005.10, from coordinate 53,852,592 downwards.
TCATGTGCAGAGACACACATAGGCTCAAAATAAAGGGGTGGAGGAAGATCTACCAAGCAAATGGAAAACAAAAAAAAAGCAGGGGTTGCAATCCTAGTCTCTGATAAAACAGACTTTATACCAACAAAGATCAAAAGAGACAAAGAAGGCCATTACATAATGGTAAAGGGATCATCAACAAGAAGAGCTAACTATCCTAAATGTATATGCACCCAATACAAGAGCACTCAGATTCATAAGGCAAGTCCTTAGAGACCTACAAAGAGACTTAGGCTCCCACACAATAATAATGGGAGACTTTAACACCCCACTATCAATATTAGACAGATCAATGAGACAGAAGGTTAACAAGGATATCCAGGACTTAAACTAAGCTCTGCACCAAGCAGACCTAATAGACATCTACAGAACTCTCCACCCCAAATCAACAGAATATACATTCTTCTCAGCACCACATCACACTTATTCCAAAATTGACCACATAGTTGGAAGTAAAGCACTCCTCAGCAAATGTAAAAGAACAGAAATCAAAACAAACTGTCTCTCAGACCACAGTGCAATCAAATGAGAACTCGGGATTAAGAAACTTACTCAAGGCTGGGCATGGTGGCTCATGCCTGTAATCCCAGCACCGTGGGAGGCTGAGGCGGGTGGGTCACGAGGTCAGGAGATCGAGACCATCCTGGCTAACACAGTGAAACCCCATCTCTACTAAAAACACAAAAAATTAGCTTGGCATGGTGGCGGGCACCTGTAGTCCCAGCTACTTGGGAGGCTGAGGCAGGAGAATGGTGTGAACCCAGGAAGCAGAGCTTGCAGTGAGCCGAGATAGCACCACTGCACTCCAGCCTGGGCGAAAGAGCAAGACTCTGTTTCAAAAAAAAAAAAAAAAAAAAAAGAAAAAAGAAAAAGAAACTCATTCAAAACCACACAACTACATGGAAACTGAACAACCTGCTCCTGAATGAATACTGGGTAAATAACAAAATAAAGGCAGAAATAAAGATATTCTTTGAAACCAATGAGAACAAAGACACAACATATCAGTACCTCTGGGACACATTTAAAGCAGTGTGTAGAGGGAAATTTATAGCACTAAATGCCCACAAGAGAAAGCAGGAAAGATCTAAAATCGACACCCTAACATCACAATTAAAAGAACTAGAGAAGCAGGAGCAAACAAATTCAAAAGCTAGCAGAAGGCAAGAAATAACTAAGAACAGAGCAGAACTGAAGGAGATAAAGACACAAAACCCCTTCAAAAAAATCAACAAATCCAGGAGCTGGTTTTTTGAAAAGATCAAGAAAATAGATAGACTGCTAGCAAGGCTAATAAAGAAGAAAAGAGAGAAGAATCAAATAGATGCAATAAAAAATGATAAAGGGGATATCACCATTGATCCCACAGACATGAAAACTACCTTCAGAGAATACTATAAACACCTCTACACAAATAAACGAGAAAATCTAGAAGAAATGGATAAATTCCTGGACACATACATCCTCCCAAGACTAAACCAGGAAGAAGTTGAATCCCTGAATAGACCAATAACAGGCTCTGAAACTGAGGCAATAATTAATAGCCTAGCAACCAAAACAAGTCCAGGACCAGAAGGACTCACAGCCAAATTCTACCAGAGGTACAAAGAGGAGCTGGTACCATTCCTTCTGAAACTATTCCAATCAATAGAAATAGAGGGAATCCTCCCTAACTCATTTTATGAGGCCAGCAACATCCTGATACCAAAGCCTGGCAGAGACACAACAAAAAAAGAGAATTTCAGACCAATATCCCTGATGAACATCGATGCAAAAATCCTCAATAAAATACTGGCAAACCAAATCCAGCAGCACATCAAAAAGCTTATCCACCATGATCAAGTTTGCTTCATCCCTGGGATGCAAAGCTGGTTCAACATATGCAAATAAATAAAGGTAATCCATCACATAAACAGAACCAAAGACAAAACCACATGATCATCTCAATAGATGCAAAAAATGCCTGCGACAAAATTCAACAGTCCTTCATGCTAAAAACTCTCAATAAACTAGGTATTGATGGGACGTATTTCAAAATAATAAGAGCTATTTATGACAAACCCACAACCAATATCATATTGAATGGGCCATAACTGGAAGCATTCCCTTTGAAAACTGGCACAAGACAGAGATGCCCTCTCTCACCACTCCTATTCAACATAGTGTTGGGTGTTCTAGCCAAGGCAATCAAGCAAGATAAAGAAATAAAGGGTATTCAATTAGGAAAAGAGGAAGTCAAATTGTCCCAGTTTGCAGATAACATGATTGCATATTTAGAAAACCCCATCATTTCAGCCCCAAATCTCCTTAAGCTGATAAGCAACTTCAGCAAAGTCTCAGGATACAAAATCAATGTGCAAAAATCACAAGCATTACCATACACCAATAACAGACAGGGAGCCAAATGATGAGTCAACTTCCATTTACAATTGCTTCAAAGAGAATAAAATACCTAAGAATCCAACTTACAAGGGATGTGAAGGGCCTCTTCAAAAAGAACTACAAACCACTGCTCAATGAAATAAAAGAGGACGTAAACAAATGGAAGAACATTCCATGCTCATGGATAGAAAGAATCAATATCATGAAAATGGCCATACTGCCCAAGGTAGTTTATAGATTCAATGTCATCCCCATCAAACTACCAATGACTTTCTTCACAGAGTTAGAAAAACTACTTTAAAGTTCATATGGAACCATAAAAGAGCCCTCATTGCCAATACAATCCTAAGCAAAAAGAACAAAGCTGGAAGCATCATGCTACCTGACTTCAAACTATACTCCAAGGCTACAGTAACCAACACAGCATGGTACCAAAACAGAGATATAGACCAATGGAATAGAACAGAGGCCTGAGAAATAACACCACACGTCTACAACCATCTCATCTTTGACAAACCCGACAAAAACAAGAAATGGGGAAAGGATTCCCTATCTAACAAATTGTGCTGGGAAAACTGGCTAGCTATATGTAGAAAGCTGAAACTGCATCCCTTCCTTACACCTTATACAAAAATTAATTCAAGATGGATTAAAGACTTAAATGTTAGACCTAAAACCATAAAAACCCTAAAAGAAAACCTAGGCAATACTATTCAGGACATAGGCACGGGCAAGGACTTTATGACTGAAACACCAAAAGCAAAGGCAACAAAAGCCAAAATAGACAAATTGGATCTAATTAAACTAAAGAGCTTCTGCACAGCAAAATAAAGTACCATAACAGGCAACCTACAGAATGGGAGAAAATTTTTGCAATCTACCCATCTGACAAAGAGCTAATATCCAGAATCTACAAAGAACTTAAACAAATTTACAAGAAAAAAAACTCCATCAAAAAGTGGGCAAAGGATATGAACAGACATTTCTCAAAAGAAGACATTTATGCAGCCAAGAGACACATGAAAAAATGATCATCATGGCTGGTCATCAGAGAAATGCAAATCAAAACCACAATGAGATACCATCTCACACCAGTTAGAATGGCAATCATTAAAAAGTCAGCAAACAACAGGTGCTGGAGAGGATGTGGAGAAAAAGGATCAGTTTTACACTGTTGGTGGGACTGTAAACTAGTTCAACCACTGTGGAAGACAGTGTGGCGATTCCTCAAGGATCTAGAACTAGAAATACCATTTGACCCAGCCATCCCATTACTGGGTATATACCCAAAGGATTATAAAGACACATGTTACTATAAAGACACATGAACAGGTATGTTTATTGTGTCACTATTCACAATAGCAAAGACTTGGAACCAACCCAAATGTCCATCAATGATAGACTGGATTAAGAACATGTGGCACATATACACCATGGAATACTATGCAGCCATAAAAAAGGATGAGTTCATGTCCTTTGTCAGGACATGGATGAAGCTAGAAACCGTCATTCTCAGCAAACTATCACAAGGACAGAAAACCAAACACTGCATGTTCTCACTCATAGGTGGGAATTGAATAATGAGAACACTTGGACACAGGATGGGGAACATCACATATTGTCACCTGTCATGGGGTGGGGGTAGGGGGTAGGGATAGCATTAATAGTAATACCTAATGTAAATGATGAGTAATGGGTGCAGCACACCAACATGGCACATGTATACCTATGTAACAAACCTGCATGTTGTGCACATGTACCTTAGAACTTTAAGTATATATATAAAAAAATGCTCCTCACTCAGTATATAGATAAGCAAACTATGATTCAGCTAATTTTATCATCCACTAAAGGGAATGTGTTATATCTTTATTAGTTGATTTGGAGGGGGTTTTACACTAGGTGTTCATGTGACCAAAACAGTTTTCTAATATTTTAAATTATGGTAAGGAGGGATGTGTAAGGGAGGGAGAAGAGAGGGATAAACAATTTAACAAAATGGTTAAAAAGTATTCTCAATGAAATACATGTAAAATATCTCATTTATTCAAAATTGTATATCTAAGTATTCATACATATGTCTGAAGAAATGTATTAAAGGATAGTTACCAGCAAAAATAAATAAAAATAAAAATAAAAATAAAGTATGAGGATAATGCTGGCCTCATAGAATGAATTAGAAAATATTCCCTCTGTTTAATCCTCTGAAAAAGACTAGAGAATTGGTACAATCTCTTCCATAAAGTGTGGTAAATTCACCAGTGAAGCCATCTCGGCCTGATGCTTTGTTTTTGAAGATTATTAAATTACTGATTTAATTTCTTTAATAGATGTAAGCCTATTTCGATTGTATATTTCTTCTTGTGTGAATTTTGGCAAATCAGATCTTTCAAGGAATTGGTCCATTTCATCTAGGTTTTCAAAATTGTAGGCCTATAGTTATTCTTTGTATTCCTTTATTATTCTTTTAATGTCCATAGGATCTGTAGTGATGTCCTCTCTTTCATTTCTGATATTAGTAATTCATCTTCTCTCTCTCTCTCTTTTTTTTAATTAGCCTGGCTAGAGGCTTATCAATTTTATTGATCTTTTCAATAAACCAGCTTTGGTTTCATTGATATTCTATATTGATTTTCTGGTTTTAATTTCATTGATTTCTGCTCTAATTCTTGCTTCTTTTCTTCTTAGTTTGGATTTAATTTGCCCTTCTTTTTCTAGTTTCATCAGATGGAAGCGTATTATTGATTTTAAATCTTTCTTCTTTTCTAATATATGCATTCAATGCTATCCATTTCCCTCTTAGCACTGATTTTACTGCATACCACATATTTTGATAAATTGTGTTTCTATTTTTTTTTTATTATACTTTAAGTTTTAGGGTACATGTGCACAATGTGCAGGTTAGTTACATACATATACATGGGCCTGGTGGTGTGCTGCACCCATTAACTCATCATTTAGCATTAGGTATATCTCCTAATGCTATCCCTCCCCCCTCCCCCCACCCCGCAACAGTCCCCAGAGTGTGATGTTCCCCTTCCTGTGTCCATGTGTTCTCATTGTTCAATTCCCACCTATCAGTGAGAACATGCGGTGTTTGGTTTTTTGTCCTTGCGATAGTTTACTGAGAATGATGATTTCCAATTTCATCCATGTCCCTACAAAGGACATGAACTCATCATTTTTTATGGCTGCATAGTATTCCATGGTGTATATGTGCCACATTTTCTTCATCCAGTCTATCATTGTTGGATATTTAGGTTGGTTCCAAGTCTTTGCTATTGTGAATAGTGCCGCAGTAAACATATGTGTGCATGTGTCTTTATAGCAGCATGATTTATAGTCCTTTTCATATATACCCAGTAATGGGATGGCTGGGTCAAATGGTATTTCTAGTTCTAGATCCCTGAGGAATCGCCACACTGACTTCCACAATGGTTGAACTAGTTTACAGTCCCACCAACAGTGTAAAAGTATTCCAATTTCTCCACATCCTCTCCAGCACCTGTTGTTTCCTGACTTTTTAATGATTGCCATTCTAACTGGTGTGAGATGGTATCTCATTGTGGTTTTGATTTGCATTTCTCTGATGGCCAGTGATGGTAAGCATTTTTTCACGTGTTTTTTGGCTGCATAAATGACTTGTTTTGAGAAATGTCTGTTCATGTCCTTCACCCACTTTTTGATGGGGTTGTTTGTTTTTTTTCTCGTAAATTTTTTTGAGTTCATTGTAGATTCTGGATATTAGCCCTTTGTCAGATGAGTAGGTTGCAAAAATTTTCTCCCAATTTGTAGGTTGCGTGTTCACTCTGATGGTAGTTTCTTTTGCTGTGCAGAAGCTCTTTAGTTCTATTGTTATTGTTTAAAATATTTTAATATTTCTTTTGAGATTTCTTCTTTGAGCCATTAGTTATTTAGAAGTGTGTTTAATTGCCACATGCTTTGGGATATTTCAGTTATCTTTCTGTTATTTATTTCTAGTTTAATTACATGTGGTCTGAGAGCAGACATTGAACAATTTTTATTTTTTTAATTTGTTAAGCTGTATTTTATAGCCCAGAATGTGGTCTATCTTGGTGAATGTTCCATGTGAGCTTCAGAAGAATGTGGATTCTGCTGTTGTTGGATGAAGTAATTTATAGATGTCAATTATATCCAGTTAATCGATGACGTTGTTGAGTTAAAGTATGTCTTTATTGATTTTCTGCCTGCTGAATCTGTCCATTTCTGACAGAGGGGCGTTGAAGTCCCCAACTATAATAGTGTATTTATTAATTTCTGCTTGCAAGTTCTATTAGTTTCAGCCTCAGTTAGTTTGTCATTCTGTTGTTAGGCACATACATGTTAAGAATTGTTATGTCTTTTTACAGAATTTATCATTTTATCATTATATAATGTCATTATCTCTGATAACTTTTTTTGCTTTGTCTGAGATTTATATAGTCACTTCTGCTTTCTTTTGAGTATGTTAGCATGGTATATTTTTCTCTATTTTCTTACTTTTATCTATCTTTAAATAAACTGGGTTTTTTTGTAGACAACATATAGTTGGGTCTTGATTTTTGGTTTGCTGTGACAATCTCTATCTTTTAATTAGGTGCATTTCGACCATTGACATTCAAAGTAATTATTGACATAGTTGAATCAGTATCTACCACCTTCGTTACTGTTTTCTATCTGCCACCCTTGTTCTTTTTTCCTTTTTTTGTCTTTCGCTCTTTTCTCCTCTTTATCTGCCTTTTGTGGTTTTAACTGAGCATTTTATATGATTCCATCTTTTTGTAATTTCTTAGCATGTCAGTTATCCTTCTTATAACTTTTTTTAGTGTTTGCCCTAGAATTTGTAATTGACATTTATAACTAATGGAAGTCCACTTTGAAATAATACTATACCACTTCACAGGTAGTGTGAATACCTTGCAATAACAAAATAATCATAATTTCTTTCTTCTTTTCCTTCTATCATTGTTGTTATTCATTTCACTGATATATAAGCATACATAAGCATAAATAATATATATACATAAGCATGCATAATTGAATACATCATGCTATTATTTTGTTAGCTCATTTTTTTATTTTACGAAGTAAAATAAATTTATTCATTTTCCAATGTTCTTTCTTTATGTAAATATATGTTTCTGACCTATATAATTTTCCTTCTTTCTAAAAATCTTCTTTTAACATTTCCTGTAAGGCAGGTCTACTGGCAACTAATTCCCTCAATTTTTGTTTGTCTGAAAAAAATCCTTATTCTTCCTTCATTTTTGAAGGATAGTTTCACAGGGTAGAGAATTCTATGTTGGGGTGTGTGTGTGTGTGTGTGTGTGTGTGTTTCTTCAATACTTTAATTATTTCATTTCACTCTCTTCTTGCTTGCATGGTTTCTGAGGAGAAATTTGATATAATTCTTTTCTTTGTTCTACTATAGTTAAGGTGTTTTTTTTACCTGACATATTTCAGTATTTTTTATTTAACTCTAACTTTCTGTAGTTAAAAATAATATGTCTGGGTGTCTTTTTTTTTATTTTAAATATTTATCCTGCTTGGTGTTCTCTGGGCTTCCTGGATCTGAGCTTTTATATATTTAATCAGGACCTAGTCTGCTGGGGTGTTATGAGAGACTAACTGGCCTGAGAGAAGGGAAATGCCTAACTTCAGCCCACCCTAGTCACCCTGTCACAACTAAGGGGGGAGGAAAATACTGAGAAAGTTCACAGTTTAACACACATGTGCAAATATCTTTTTCGTATAATGACTTTTTTTCCTCGGGGTAGATGCCCAGTGGTGGGATTGCTGGATTAAATGGTAGTTTTACTTTTAGTTCTTTAAGAAATCTCCACACTGTTTTCCATGTACTAGTTTACAATCCCACCAGCAGTTCCCTGTTGCAGGAGTAAGATGGTATCATATTGTGATTTTGATTTGCATTTCCCTGATCATTAGTGAGGCTGAGCATTTTTTTCATATGTTTGTTGGCCATTTGTATATCTTCTTTTGAGAATTGTCTATTCATGTCTTTAGCCCATTTTTTGATGGGATTGTTTGCTTTTTTTCTTGCTAATTTGTTTGAGTTCCTTGTAGATTCTGTATATTGGTCTTTTGTCGGATGTATAGATTGTGAAGATTTTCTCCCACTCTGTGGGTTGTCTGTTTACTCTGCTTATTGTTTCTTTTGCTGTGCAGAAACTTTTTAGTTGAATTAAGTCCCACCTATTTATCATTGTTTTTGTTGCATTTGCTTTTGGGTTCTTTCATGAAGTCTTTGCCTAAGCAATGTCTAGAAGGGATTTTCCAATGTTATCTTCTAGAATTTTTATGGTTTTAGGTCTTTGAATTTAAGTTCTTGATCCATCTTGAGTTGATTTTTGTATAAGGTGAAAGATAAGGATCCAGTCTCATTCTTCTACATATGGCTTGCCAATTATCCAAGCACCATTTGTGGAAAAGGGTGTCCTTTCCCTACTTTATGTTTTTGTTTGCTTTGTTGAAGATGAGTTGGCTGTAAGTATTTGGGTTTATTTCTGGGTTCTCTAGTCTGCTCCGTTGGTCTATATGCTTATTTTTATACCAGTACCATGCTGTTTAGGTGACTATGGCCTTACAGTAGAGTTTGAAGTCAGGTAATGTGATGCCTCCAGATTTGTTCTTTTTGCTTAGTCTTGCTTTTTCTATGCGGGCCCTTTTTTGATTCCATATGCATTTTAGGATTGTCTTTTCTAGTTCTGTGAAGAATGATGGTGGTATTTTGATGGGAATTGCACTAAATTTGTAGATTGCTTTTGGCAGTATGGCCATTTTCAAAGTATTGATTCTACCCATCCATGAGCACGGGATGTGTTTCCATCTGTTTATGTCACCTATGATTTCTTTCAGCAGTGTTTTGTAGTTTTCCTTGTAGAGGTCTTTCACTTGCTTGGTCAGGTATATTCCTAAGTATTTTATTATTATTATTATTATTATTTGCAGCTATTGAAAAAGTGGTTGAGTTATTGATTTGATTCTCAGCTTGGTGACTGTTGGTGTATAGCAGAGCTTCTAATTTGTGTACATTAATTTTGTATCCTGAAACTTTGCTGAATTTATGAGTTCTAGGAGCTTTTTGGAGGAGTCTTTAGGACTTTCTGGCTATACAATTATACAATTATATTATCAGCAAACAGTGACAGTTTGACTTCCTCTTTACTGATTTGGATGCCCTTTATTTATTTCTCTTGTCTGATTGCTCTGGCAAGGACTTCCAGTACTATGTTGAATAGAAATGGTGAGAGTGAGCATCGTTGTCTTGTTCCAGTTCTCAGAGGGAATGTTTTCAACTTTTCCCCACTCAGTATTATGTTGGCTGTGGGTTTTTCATAGATGACTTTTATTACATTAAATTATGTCCCTTCTATGCCAATTTTGCTGAGGGTTTTAATCATAAAGGGATGTCCCTTCTATGCCAATTTTGCTGAGGGTTTTAAACAGCAAAAGCTTTTAAAGGAATGCTGGATTTTGTCAAATGTTTTTTCTGCATCTATTAAGATGATCATGTGATTTTTGTTTTTAATTCTGTTTATGTGGTTTATTACCTTTATTGACTTCCATATGTTAAACCACCTCTGCATACCTGGTATGAAACCCACTGGATCATGGTGGATTATCTTTTTGATATGCTGTTTGATTCAGTTAACTAGCATTTTGTTGTGGATTTTTGCATCTATGTTCATCAGAGATATTGGTGTGTAGTTTTCTTTTTTGTTATGTCTTTTCCTGGTTTTGGTATTATGGTGATACTGGCTTCATAGAGTGATATAGGGAGGATTCCCTCTTTCTCTATCCTGAGGAATAGTGTTATTGGATTGGTACCAATTCTTCTTCGACTGTCTGATAGAATTCAGTGAATCCATCTGGTTCTGGACTTTTTTTTTTTTTGGCAATTTCTAAATTACCACTTCAATCTTACGCCTATAATTGGTCTGTTCAAAGTTTCTATATCTTCCTGGTTTAATCTAGGAAGGTTGCATATTTCCAGGAATTTATCCATCGCCTCTAGGTTTTCTAAGTTATGCATATAAAGGTGTTCACAGTAGCCTTGAATAATCTTTTATGTTTGTGTAGTGTCAGCTGTAATATCTCCCATTTCGTTTCTAATTGAGCTTATTTGGGTCTTCTCTGTTATTTTCTTGGTTAATGTCACTAATGTTCTATCAATTTTATTTATCTTTTCAAAGAACCAGCTTTTTATTTCATTTATCTTTTATAATTTTTTTATTTCAATTTCATTTAATTCTGCTCTGGTCTTGGCTATTTCTTTTCTTCTACTAGGTTTGGGTTTGGTTTGTTCTTGTTTCTCTAATTCCTTGAAGTATGACCTTAGGTTTTCTATTTGTGCTCTTTCAGACTTTTTGATGTAGACATTTAAGGCTATGAACTTTCCTTTTAGAACTGCATTGGCTGTGTCCCAGAGGTTTTGATAGGATGTGTCACTATTATCATTCAGCTCAAAAATTTTTTTAATTTCCATCTTGATTTCATTGTTTGACCCAATGATCATTCAGGAACAGGTTATTTAATTTCCATGTATTTGCATGGTTTTGAAGGTTCCTTTTGGAGTTGATTTCTAATTTTATTCCACTGTGGTTGGAGAAAGTACTGGATATAATTTCAATTTTCTTAAATACATTGAGGCTTGTTTTGTGGCCTATCACATGGTCTATCTTCGAGAATGTTTCATCAGCTGATTAATATAATGTATATTCTGTGGTTGTTGGGTATATAAATATCTGTTAAGTCCATTTGGTCTAGGCATAGTTTAAATCCATTGTTTCTTTGTTGACTTTTTCTCTTGATGACCTGTCTGGTGCTGTCAGTGGAGTATTGAAGTCCCCCACTATTATGATGTTGCTGTCTATCTAATTTCTGAGGTCTAGTAGTAATTGTTTTATAAATTTGGGAGCTCCAGTGTTAGGTGCATAAATATTTAAGATTCTGATACTTTCCTGTTGGACAAGGCCTTTTATCATTGTATAATGTCCCTTTTTGTCATTTTTAACTGCTGTTGATTTAAAGTTTGTTTTGTCTGATATAAGAATAGCTACTCCTGCTTGCTTCTGGTGTCCATTTGCATGGAATGTCTTTTTCCACCCCTTTACCTTAAGTTATGTGGGTCCTTACATAATCTGGAATGCAGTAAGTACTTGGTTGGTGAATTCTTATCCATTCTGCCATTCTATATCTTTTAAGTGGAGCATTTAGGCCATTTACATTCAACATTAGTATTGAGATGTGAGGTACTATTCTATTCACTATGCTATTTGTTGCCCGAATACCTTGGTTGTTTAAAAAATTATTTATTGTGTTGTTGTTTTATAGGTCCTGGGAGATTTATGCTTTAAGGAGTTTCTGTTTTGATGTGTTTCGAGGATTTGTTTCAAGATTTAGAGCTCCTTTTAGCAGTTCTCATAATGCTGCTTGGTAGTGGCGTATTCTCTCAGCATTTGTTTGCCTGAAAAGACTCTATCTTTCCTTCATTTATGAAACTTAGTTTCTATCTTGGTTTCACTGGATACAAAATTCTTGGATGATACTTGTTTAAGGAAGCTGAAGATTGGGCCCAATTCCTTCTAGCTTGTGCAGCTTCAGCTGATAAATCTGCTGTTAATCTGATAGGTTTACCTTTATAGGTTACCTTGTGCTTTTGCCTCACAACTCTTTTTTTTTTTGTTTTTTGTTTTTTGAGATGGAGTCTTGCTCTGTCGCCCAGGCTGGAGTGTGGTGGCGAGATCTCAGCTCACTGCTACCTCTGCCTGCCAGGTTCAAGTGATTCTCCTGCATCAGCTTCCTGAGTAGCTGGGATTACAGGCATGGACCACCATGCCCAGCTAATTTTTGCATTTTTAGTAGAGATGGGGTTTCACTATGTTGGTCAGGTTGGCCTCAAACTCCTGACCTCATGATTTGCCTGCCTTGGCCTCCCAAAGTGCTGGGATTACAGGGTTGAGCCACTGCACCCAGCCTTGCTTCGCAAGTCTTAATATTCTTTCCTTTGTCTTGACTTTAGATAACTCGATGACTAGTGCCTATACAATGATCTTTTTGCCATGAATTTCCCAGGTGTTCTTTGAGCTTTTTGTATTTGGAAGTCTAGATTTCTGGCAAGGGTGGAGAAGTTTTCCTTGATTATTCCTCCAAATATGTTTTCCAAACTTTTAGATTTCTCTTCTTCCTCAGGAATGTCAATTATTCTTAGGTTTGTTCATTTAACATAATCCCAAACTTCTTGGAAGCTTTGTTCATTTTTTTAAAATTATTTTTTCTTTGTCTTTGTTGGATTGGATTATTTCAAAAACCTTGTCTTCGAGGTCTGAAGTTCTGTCTTCTACTTGATTGATCCTATTGCTGAGACTTTCCAGTGCATTTTGCATTTCTATAAATGTGTCCTTGATTTCCAGAAGTTGTGATTATTTTTTATTTATGCTATCTATTTCACTGAAGGTTTCTCCCCTCATATCTTTTATCATTTTTTTAAATTTTCTTAAATTGGACTTCACCTTTCTCTGGTACTTCTTTGATTAGCTTAATAATTGACCTTCTGAATTCTTTTTTCTGGCAAATCAGGGATTTCTTCTTGGTTTGGATCATTTGCTGGTGAGCTAGTGTGATTTTTTTGAGGTTGTTAAAGAACCTTGCTTTTTCATATTACCAGAATTGTTTTTCTGGTTCCTTCTTATTTGGGTAGGCTATGTTGGAGGCAAGATCTGGGGCTCAAGGCTGCTGTTCAGATTCTTTTGTCCTGTGGGGTGCTCCCTTGATGTAGTACTCTTCTCCTTTTCCTAGGGGTGTGGCTTCCCAAGAGCTAAACTGTAGTGATTGTTATTTCTTTTCTGGACCTAGCCACCCAGTGGGGCTACCAGGTTCCAAGCTGGTACTGGGGGCTGTCTGCACAGAGTCCTGTGATGTAAAACATCTTCTGGTCTCTCAGCCATGGATAGCAGCACCTGCTCTGGTGGAGGTGGCAGGATTGTGAAATGGACTCTGTGAGGGTCCTTAGTTGTATTATTTTTGTTTATTGGACTAGTTTTGTGCTGGTTGGCTTCTTGCTGGAAGGTGGCACTTTCAAGAGAGCATCAGCTGTGGTATAGGGAGGATCATGTGGTGGGCAGGGTCCTAGAACTCCCAAGAAAATATGACCTTTGTCTTCAGCTACCAGGGTGGGTAGAGAATGACCATCATGTTGGGGCAGGGTTAAGCATGTCTGAGCTCAGATTCTCCCTGGGCAGGGCTTGCTGCAGCTGCTGTGGTGGATGGGTCCCCAGGTCAATGGAGTTATGTTCCCAGGATTATAACTGCCTCTACTCTGTCACCCAGGTTACCAGAGAAGTGGGGGAATGCCAACAGTTACAGGCCTCCGCAGGTCCCATGCAACCCAAAAGACCAGTCTCACTCCCATTGTGCCCCCAACTCCCAACAGCACCGAGTTTGTTTCCAGGCAGTGGATGAGCAGGGCTAAGAACTTGCTCCAGGCTACCAGCCTCTCAGCTGAGAAAGCACACAAGGCTTTCAAGTTTCATGCCTCACTGCCTTCCAAAGTCTGCACTTCGGATTTACCCCGTCTGGTATTCTGTCCAAGAATCTGCATTTTCAGTTGGAATTGTTACAAAGTTCAGCTGAAGGTTTCCTTTTCCCTGCGGTCTTTTCCCAGTTCCTCTGGCAGTCCTCCCCAGTGACACCTGTGAAACAAAGTCTGAGTTCTCTATTCTTTTAGTCTATCCAGCTTTTTACTTGTTGTTAGAATCGAGTGGCTACTTTTTTTTTTTTTAATAGAGATGGAGGTCTCACTATGTTGACCAGGCTGGTCTTGAACTCCTGGCCTCAAGCAATCCTTCTGCCTCAGCCTCCCAAAGTAGTGGTGTGTCCAGAATTGGTGGGTTCTTGGTCTCACCGACTTCAAGAATGAAGCCACAGACCCTCGCGGTGAGTGTTACCGTTCTTAAACGCGGCATGTCTGGAGTTTGTTCCTTCTGATGTTCAGATGTATTCAGAGTTTCTTCCTTCTGGTGGGTTCGTGGTCTCCCTGGCTCAGGAGTAAAGCTGCAGACCTTTGCGGTGAGTGTTACAGCTCTTGAGGCAGTGTGTCTGGAGTTGTTCATTTCTCCGGGTGGGTTTGTGGTCTCACTGGCTTCAGGAGTGAAGCTGCAGACCTTCGCAGTGAGTGTTACAGCTCATAAATGCAGCATAGAACCAAAGAGTGAGCAGCAGCAAGATTTATTGCAAACAGTGAAAGAACAAAGCTTCCACAGTGTGGAAGGGCACCCAAGCAGGTTGCCACTGCTGGCTTGGGCAGCCTGCTTTTATTCTCTTATCTGGCCCCACCCACATTCTGCTGATTGGTCCATTTTACAGAGCGCTGATTGGTCTGTTTTACAGAGAGCTGATTGGTCCGTTTTGACAGGGTGCTGATTGGTGCATTTACAATCCCTGAGCTAGACACAAAAGTTCTCCATGTCCCCACTAGATTAGCTAGATACAGAGTGTCGATTGGTGTATTTACAAACCCTGAGCTAGCCACAGGGTGCTGATTGGTGTGTTTACAAACCTTGAGCTAGATACAGAGTGCTGATTGGTGCGTTTACAATCCCTTAGCTAGACATAAAGGTTCTCCAAGTCCCCACCAGATTAACTACATGCAGAGTGCCCATTGGTGCATTCACAAACCCTGAGCTAGACACAGGATGCTGACTGGTGTATTTACAATCCCTTAGCTAGACATAAAGATTCTCCAAGTCCCCACCAGACTCAGGAGCCCAGCTGGCTTCACCCAGTGGATCCCGCAGGGGGGCGCAGGTGGAGCTGCCTGCCCATTCCGCTTAGTGTGCCCGCACTCCTCAGCCCTTAGGTGGTTGATGGGACCGGGTGCTGTGGAGCAGGGT
Source organism: Homo sapiens (assembly GCF_000001405.40). Taxonomy (NCBI): domain Eukaryota; kingdom Metazoa; phylum Chordata; class Mammalia; order Primates; family Hominidae; genus Homo; species Homo sapiens. The sequence continues at coordinate 53,837,260 of NC_000005.10, read as the reverse complement.
GCAGCACTCGCTGGGGAGGCTTGGGCTGCACAGGAGCCCATGGCAGGTGGGGGGACGCTCAGGCATGGTGGGCTGCAGGTCCTGAGCCCTGCCCTGCAGGGAGGCAGCTAAAGCCTGGCGAGAAATCAAGCACAGCAGCTGCTGGCCCAGGTGCTAAGCCCCTCACTGCCTGGGGCTTGCGGGCCAGCCAGCTGCTCCGAGTGCGGGGCCCGCCAAGCCCATGCCCACCCAGAACTCACGCTGGCCCGCAAGCGCCCAGGCGCAGCCCTGGTTCCTGCCTGTGTCTCTCCCTCCACACCTCCCCGCAAGCTGAGGGAGCCAGCTCCAGCCTTGGCCAGCCCAGAAAGGGGCTCCCACAGTGCAGCAGCGGGCTGAAGGGCTCCTCAAGTGCGGCCAGAGTGGGCACTAAGGCTGAGGAGGCGCCCAGAGCGAGCGAGGGCTGCAAAGGCTGCCAGCACACTGTCACCTCTCACTGGGATTACAGGTATGAGCCACCATGCCTGGCTGCTTTCAAGCTCCTTGAATGCAGAGCTGAATGTATTCATTGTCTTTTAAATATTACTTTTTTTCTTACATCTAAATTAGAAATCCCTCAGAACACAGAATTGTTTCTCTCTAATTTATCAGCTTTTCTAAAGCACCTTGCATAGTATTAAGTTTATTGAGGTATAATTTACAGAAATTAATAATCTCCCTTTGTAAGTGTTCAGTTCGATGAGTTTGCCAAATGCATACAGCTGCGTATCTTGGCCACAATCAAGATCTAGAACATTGCCTTCACCTCAGAAGATTTCTTGTGCCTCTTTACAGTCAATCTCTTCTTCCTACTCCTAGTTTTTGGCAACCACTGGTCTGATTTCTGTCCCTATAGCTTTGCGTTTTCTAGAATTTCATATAAGTAGAATCAAACAATATGTAGCTCCTTGTTTCTGGCTTTTTTCACTTAGCATAATGCTTGTGAGATTCCATCTATTTGTATGTACCAGTGATTTGTTTCCCTTGTGTGAATGTACCACAGTTTGTTTATCCATTAACCAATCGGTGTGTATTTGGGCATTTTCAGTTTGGGGCTATTATAAATAAGACTTATATATAATTCATGAACAGGTCTTTACTATAAATATTCACATTTACATCTTTGTATGGACATGTCTTCATTTCTCTTGGTTTAGGATTGCTGGGTCATATGGTAAGTGTATGTGTAACTTTATAAGAAACAGCTTAATTGTTTTTCCAAAGTAGCTCTACCATTTTTACATTCCAACCAACAAACTACAAAATTTCAAGTTGCTCTGCATTCTCACCAAATCTTCATATGATCAGTCTTTTAAATTTCATTTTAGCTATTGTATATGCGTGGTGGTATCCCATTATGGTTTACATGTGCATTTCTCTCTGGCAAGTTATGTAAAGTATCTCTCAGTGTGCTGATTTGCCATGGGTATGTCCTCTTTGGTGAAGTGTCTGTTAAAATCTTTTACCCATTTTTTAAACATTAGGTTTTTCCCATTAGTGAATCAAAAGATATGTAAATATACATATTCCAGATGTCCTTTATCAACTGTGTTTTGCAAATATTTTTTCCCAATCTGTGACTTATCTTTTCATTTTCTTAACAGTGTCTTTTAAAGAGCAGAAATGTTATATCTTGATGAAGTCCAGTTTATCAAGATTTTCTTTTCAGGACCATACTTTTTGTGACTTTTCTAAGAAACCTTTGTGTAACCCAAGGTCACAAGAATTTTTCTCCCGTATTTTCTAATGGAAAGTTTTATTTTTCTTATGGAAAGTCTTACATGGTTAGCTCTAACATTTAGGTCTGTGATCCATGTCTAGCTAATTTTTGCATATGACTAAGGAAACATATACTGTTTCATGTGTACCTATGTGTCCCAGAATACAACCATCAAACATCTAACGCAGAAACAAAAAGACACGCTTCCTAGAATGAAGACCAGAGCCCTGTAGGAAAGCTTGAAATTATTTTTCGGAGAACCCACATAGGAATATGTCTTCTACCATTTGGGAAGGGGTGGGTGAGAATTAGCATAGCTTTGTTATTTAAAGGTTTGCATTTCAATAAATTTTGAAATTTATTCAGATCACAAATGCTATAGGAGAGAAAAATACTTGTGGGCTGACAGATTAAGAACTCTTCTCTGGATAGTCTTGATTAACTGACTAGATGTTGAGAAAACTACAAACCTGTTTCATTATCTGTGAAATGGGTGTAATCATACTTGACACGAAGCTGCTTTACAGGCTTGTGTAGACCAATTGAGAAATCTTGTAGAGGGGTCATAAGGATCCCAAATTTCATTGTGATTATTGCTAATTATACTAATTCTTAATTTAAAATGCTGCCAGAAAGCCTGCAGATGACATCAGTAATAAAAGGTCCATTGATTTGCTTGTGTTGTGAGCATATTAATCATAATTATTGCTTTGGCAGCCACGATGTCTAACTCCAGAAGTGTTTATTCCGTTAGTGATTCATTATTTTCAAAGTACTATTCTGGTAATGATGAATCTGTGTTACAGACCAAGGCCTTATATGACGAAATGTCATTGTTTTGTGGGATTTGTGACTCCTCTCCCATGGGAGGCAACCTCAACATGACATGCCCTTAACAAATGACATAGTGGGTTAAAACGAGGATGGGAGAAAATGATTTCAGTTCAAATGCTGGATTTTTTTCATCCTGGGGGCAGGTGCCTTCCCATAAATATTTTCCTGAAATGAAAGTTACCATGGGAAATGGGTGGGTGGTTTAGATATCAGACTAAGGGCCTGGCAGCCAGGGGTCTGGATCTATCTTCGTGTCCAAAAACCCAAGACAATGGCAATAAATACATAATTCCAAAGGGGTGTTGTGGCCCTGAACCTAAACCCAACAAAAAGATAAAGAGAACTGCCTTCCAATGACCATTGTTAAACACTTAGCATTTTGTGTTTGTGACATGCTTTCAACCTTTACTTACTCTTCACTGCAGCCCTATGAGTTAGGGCAGGACTCACAATTGGCTCACAGGGAGAAAACAGCCTCTAGGAGGTGGTTGTCAGGGCCTCCCTCTCTGCCGGGCCTTTGGTCTCCACTAACATTTTGAATTATGAGTTTTTAGCATTCAGAGGACCCAGTTCTTTTTTTTTCTTTTTTGAGACGGAGTCTCGCTCTGTTGCCCAGGCTAGAGTGCAGTGGCGTGATCTCAGCTCACTGCAAGCTCCGCCTGCCAGGTTCAAGCAATTATCTTGCCTCAGCCTCCCAAGTAGCTGGGATTACAGGCGCGTGCCACCATGCCTGGCTAATTTTTTTTTTTTTTTTTTTTTGTATTTTTAGTAGAGACGGGGTTTCCCCATGCTGGCCAGGCTGGTCTCAAACTCCTGACCTCGTGATCCACCAGCCTCGGCCTCCCAAAGCGCTGGGATCACAGGCATGAACCACTGCGCCTGACTGGACCCCGTTTTTTGGTGAAGTTTTTTCCCCTCTGAACTTTTTAGTATAAAAAATATTTAAAATATTCAACAGTAGAAGAAAAGTTATAGTAAACTCCTATGTATTCATCTTCAGCAATTACAAAGACGTGGCCAATCTAATTTTATCTGTACCCCACCCACCTTGCCTCACCCTGGTGAATTATTTTAAAGCAAACCCCAGAACACATATTTTTTTTTATCTGTAAGTTTTGATCACTAAAAAGAAAGGATTTTTTTTAAAAAACGAATTATCACACATAAAAAATTACCAATAATTCCTTTATATCCAGTCAATTACTCTAAACATCTCATAAATATTTTTTCTTCGGTTTCTTTATTAGAATCAGGATTCAAGTGAAGTTCCACACATTACAATAGGTTAATGTCTCTGAAGCCTCCTTTAATCTAGGGGTTCCCTTTTGTGGTTTTTTTTTTCCCTCCTCACAATTTATTTGTCTAAAAAATCAAATCATTTTTTCTTGTGAGATTTTGTCCTGCGTATTGCTGATTGCATACCCACAGTATTTTTTGCTTTTCTTTTTTGTTTTTGCATACCCATAATATTTTTAATAATGTCATTTGTCCCTTGTGTTCTCTAGAAATTGGTGGTTGAATCTAGAGACTTGATTGAATTAGGTTTGATTTTTTTTCCCCCTAAGAGTGCATCGTGGTGTTGGATGCTTCCATCGGATAGCCCAGGGCTTTTCATTAGCAGCCATCAGTGACTGTTGTCTGGACCCATTAATTAATTACGAGTTGCAAAATGGCAACGTTCTTTTTTTTTTTTTTTTTTTTTTTTTTTGAGACAGAGTCTTGTTCTTATTGCCCAGGCTGGAGTGCAATGGCATGATCTCGGCTCACTGCAACCTCTGCCTCCTGGGTTCAAGCGATTCTCCTGCCTCAGCTGCCTGAGTAGCTGGGATTACAGGCACCCGCCACCACGCCTGGCTAATTTTTGTATTTTTAGTAGAGACAGGGTTTTGCCATGTTGGCCAGGTTGGTCTCGGACTCCTGACCTCGTGATCCACCCGCCTCGGCCTCCCAAAGTGCTGGGATTACAGGCGTGAGTCACCATGCCCGGCCAAAATGGCAACATTCTATCACATATTAGCTGGAACACTTCCATAAAGTTCCCCTCACCTACTTTTTGGTTACCCAGTCATACAGTTTACATAAGTCAGAATAAATGCTTGATTCTTTCCCTTATATTTTATCAAAATATTGAGTTAGTTCTCTAGTATACTCCACAGTTATCCAATTAGGTTTTAAAATTTTTTAAATAGGCCGGGCACGGTGGCTCACACCTGTAATCCCAGCACTTTGGGAGGCCGAAGCAGGTGGATCACGAGGTCAGGAGTTCAAGACCAGCATGACCAACATGGAGAAACCCCATCTCTACTAAAAAATACAAAAATTAGCCAGGCATGGTGGGGCACACCTGTAATCCCAGGTACTAAGGAGGCTGAGGCAGAAAAATCGCTTGAAACCGGGAGGCAGAGGTTGCAGTGAGTGGAGAATGCGCCATTGCGCTGCAGCCTTGGTGACAGAGTGAGACTCTGTCTCAAAAACAAACAAACAAACAAACAAACAAAATTTTAACTAACAATATAGGCCGGGTGTGGTGGCTCATGCCTATAATCCTAGCACTTTGGGAGGCCGAGGTGGGTGGATCACGAGGTCAGGCATTCGAGACCAACCTGGCCAACACAGTGAAACCCTGTCTCTACTAAAAATACAAAAAATTAGCCAGGCATGGTGGTGGGCACCTGTAATCCCAGCTACTCAGGAGGCTGAGGCAGAAGAATCACTTGAACCTGGGTGGCGGAGCTTGCAGTGAGCCGAGATTGTGCCACTGCATTCCAGCCTGGGCGACAGAGTGAGACTCCATCTCAAAACAAAAAACAAAAAAACAAAAAACAAAAAAAAAATAATTCTCTGGATTTAAACATGCCTAATTGTTTCACTTTATTGGAATTATTATGGTTGATGCCCAAATTGTCCCATATTTGGCCAGTGACAGCTGCTTCCAGTTGGCTTCTGAGTCTTCTTGACATAATTTCTATGTTAGTTTCGTAGGGCTGCTGTAACAAATTCCACAAACTGGGTGGCTTACTGCAGAATGTATTGCCTCACAGCTCTGGAGGCTGGAAGTTTGAAATCAAGACATTGGTAAGATTGGTTATTTTGGGAGACTCTGGGAGAGAATCTGTTCCATGCCTCTCTCCTAGCATCTGGCCATTGCCACAATCCTTGATGTTCCTTGCCTTGCGGATATCACTCCAGTCTCTGTCTCCATTATCACATGGCATTCTCTCCCTCTCTGTGTCTGTGTCCATACTTCCCTCTTCTTATTAAGATACCAGTCACTGGATTTGGACCCACCCTAGTCCAATATCACCTCATTTTAACCTGATTACATCTTTAAAGACTCTATTTTCAAATAAGGTCACATTCACATGTATAAGGGGTTAGATTTTGAACACATATTTTGGGGGAACACAATTCAACCCATAGCAACCCCAGTAATCTTTAATAGATTTTTTGCTTTCTGTTAAGACAAAATGTTACAGACTCTTTTTTTTATATTTCCTGTTGCAGACCCAGAATTGACCCTTTTAGGTTGGAAATGATATTTAGGGACCATAATCTGAGCACTGGGAGTGCTCATTGTTACTGGATTGGTCATCACTTCCAGGCCTTTGCAAAGGACAGAAGTTGGGAATGATTTTATTTCTTACAGAAAAAATACATTATAAATGTATAACTAACACTTCAAATTCAAATTGAAGACTTTAAGACTTAACCCCATCAAACCATCACCTATTTACCTTATCTTGCATTAGCAAGTCCTGGTTCTCAATGATACAATATAATTACTCTTTTTCTGCTGGGCACAGTGATATGTGCCTATACTCTCAACTACTCAGGAGGCTGAGGCAGGAGGATTACTGAAGACCAGGAATTCAAGGCTACCCTAGGCAATGTAGCAAGACCCCATCTCTCTCAAAAAAAAAATTATGTACAATTACTCTTTTATTTTATTTCGTAACATATACAGCACTGTCTAAAAATAACAAAACTAATGCTACTACCAACAATATGATTATTAAAAATAGTTTAATATTTTAAAAATTATCTTTGTAATTCTGTTTTTTTTTTTGATGGAGTCTTGCTCTGTTGCCCAGGCTGGAGTGCAGTGGTGCAATCTTGGCTCACTACAAGCTCCGCCTCCCAGGTTCATGCCATTCTCCTGCCTCAGCCTCCTGAGTAGCTGGGACTACAGGCGCCCGCCACCATGCCTGGCTAAATATTTTTTTGTATTTTTAGTAGAGACAGAGTTTCACTGTGTTAGCCAGGATGTTCTCTATCTCCTGACCTTATGATCCACCCGCCTCGACCTCCCAAAGTGCTAGGATTACAGGCGTGAGCCACTGCACCTGGCCTGTAATTCTTTTTTTCCTCAGTGTACATTCCACTCAGGATATACACTAAAATTATTTCATATTGAAATAGTTTTTCTATGTTTAGCTATGCTATGCTACCAGTTTTGTGGACAGTTGGGGTCATTTGTTCTCACTTATTTTCAGTTTTTAGGGATTGTCTTTTATTAATAGGCTTTCTATTTTAGAACACTTTTAGGCTCACAGCAAAATTGATAGGAAGGTACGTAGATTTATCACATATCCTATCCCTACACATGCATAGCCTCTCTCATTATCAATATCTTCCACCAGACTGGTACATTTGTTACAGTTGATGAACATACATTGACACATCATTATCACGTGAATAAGTCTCACGAGATCTGATGGTTTTATATGGGGTTTCCCCTTTCACTTGGCTCTCATTCTCTCTTGCCTGCTACCACGTAAGATATGCCTTTTGCCATGATTCTGAGGTCTCCGCAGCCGTGTGGAACTGTGAGTCCATTAAACCTCTTTTTCTTTATAAATTACCCAGCCTCGAGTATGTCTTTATCAGCAGCATGAAAACAGACCAATAAAGTTTATATTACTGGCTACTCATGCACTCTATTGCTATTCCAACATCTGTGCATTCATATAGACTAAATCCTATGGTAGTAATAAAAACAGCTAACACTAACTGAACTCTTAGTATGTCCTGAACGTTGTTCTAAGCACTATTTCCTCACTTAATTCCTATGCCCAGCCTATGAGATTGACACAATTATGATCCTGCTCTTGCAGATAAGGAAGGAATAGATAAGTAATTTGCCTAAGATAAATATCTAGAAAGTTGTTCTTAGCCATTATATGATACTGCCCTTCCAAGCATACCAAACATCTTGTGACAAATGCCTTGTCATGAGGACTTCCAAAGACCAGCTGATTTTGAATAAATATGTAGGACTAAATATTTTAGAACTATAAAAATAAATGATGTTCTCAATAAAGTGTGATGACAGGTTTTTAAAGCATTGATTTAGATGTGTGAATTTTAATACATCTGTTTGAAAACCAACCACGTTTCTGAATAGTCACACCTTCTATAATAGATTTATTAAATTAAAATGTACAAAAGTGCTCACAGTTGACTTTTTTCACCTGTAAAATTGCAATTTCATATGGTTCCATATAATACTTTTGCCACTATTGAAAAGATGAAGTCTCATCTTTTCTTTTCAGAGATCTGAGCTGTTTGTCAGTCCATCTGATAATCAACCCATTGGTTAACTGTGCCAAATGCCATATCAGTTCTGGGGTCATGAGCCATGCCTCTTAAAAGTTTATGTCTTGGGAAAAGTTACTTCTCTCAGCACTGATTTTATCTATAAGGTAAAAATTTTAATACTTGCCTCATAGAATTATTATGAAGATCAATTGCATAGTGTAAGTTAAAAGTTCAATCATATATGCCAAGTACTTAACAAATGGTGGCTATTTTTATTACTGTTGCTTATTTTACTTCTTTATTAACTAGCATATCACTAGACCATCATTATGGAGATGTTGACTTTATTTCCCCTGAAAGCAATTGGCCCTGTGGTTGGGGAATAAGTGCTGGGATTGCCTTGGTAGGTGACATATGACCTTAAAAAGCCTGCGACTTTTTGTCAGGCTATAGTGTGGTAATGAATTTTCCCAGAAGTCTATGGTATCTGCTTGTCATTTTGCAAGTGTGTGTGTGAGATTCAAGAGCAAGCTTGTAAGCACACAAAAGTTCCCAGATGGCTTTTCAAGGACTTTTGATGTCTGCAATCTTTGATTTGAATGTTCCCCAGAGATCTGAGAGCAGATTTCTTGTATCCTTAAACATGGCTGTACAAAATTGAGCAAATAATTGGCCTAGTTTAGACCATCTTGTTAAATGACAGCTAGATTCATGGCAGCAAGAGCAGCCTCACATCTGATATCATTGACTGAGTCATGATCCACTGGCATTGGGAGCTCTACAAACTTCTCAGGAGAGCCTTGAAAGAGGCTAACCAGGTGTTGACCTGTGGTCAGCTGGAATAAAAGTTTTAATTGAAGAATCTTGCCTGTGAAATGCGTGCCAGGTTTTGTCCTGCTGCAGTCAACTGTCTTGATTCTTGAGCAGTTTTATTAGCTTCACCCATAGCTGTAATGGATTTGAGATGACAGTTTAGGAGCTGCAAATATTGAGGTCCTGGAACACAAACATACAGTAAAGTCAGCCACAGTAAAACAAGACTTAGGGCAACATGACTCCCTCAGCTGGCTTCCTGCAGAGAATGGAGGCCAAAAGGAAAATTATCCTCACCTCTGCATGGTGGGCCCTTAGCCATGGGAGGGAAAGAAGGGTCTGAGTCTTAAGACCTGGAGTGCAACGAAAAGTAGAGTTTGGCTATCAGAGACTACTATTGTGAGAATGGCAGGCACTACAAAACATGAGTGTAGCCTCAATTCAGGGCATGAAATTGCTATTGTTTGCTAATCTTGTCTCAATATTTAAAGAATACTATGCAAGAGGTACATTGCTTATGTTGTATAAAGGGTTAACTAGAGATTCACTTTGGGGGAAAATGTGTTTTAGTTGTTCCGAAGCCTCTTCCGGCTTCTTTACAGCTGTGTTCTAATATAACCTTGGTGCCATCCAAGGCAATAAATAGCAAAGGAGTTGGGGTAAGTCCAGTGATTTTTCCACAGCATCTTTCATTGTAAGTATGCCGGATTTTAAAAAATGAGACTCCATAAACCACATCATCACAGAATCCTGTTGCCATCTCTGGGGGGTTTTGGCATTCCAAATCCTTGCCTTCTTGGACAGTGCATTGATGTGGCCCTGGGGACTGGTTAGAGTGTCTACAACCAATCCTGGCACTGGATCACCTTGTGGCTGAGGTGAAATGGGGATCTCGTTTTCAAAAGGTTGGAGAAGAACTCAGAGGAAAGGATCTGAGAGGAGACCACTGACTCTTTGGAGCTTAGGAGAGATTGACCCTTGACCTTCTCAATCTTCAGACCTTAGAAGCTCCTTGCTAGTCACACATGTTCACATCCATCTTGGCAGCCCGAACCCCCAACGTCCTTGGACATTCCTAGAAGTGTAAAGATCAAATCAGCCCCAGGATGTTGGCAGGATTCAGTGTGTTACTAAAAATGGGCCCTTGTGGATGAAGACTTAAGCATTTTAAGTGAAAAAAGAAAATCAAATTTATGTAATTATTAGTGACTCCAGTGATTTCAGTTGTTCTGAAATGGTTCATTACCAAAGATTGAAACAGGGTCACAGGAACACTGCTTCCCAGTGAGAGAGAAGCGTATCTCTCTGCAGCCCCTATTCCTCCCCTAGTCTCAGCAAAGAGTGACACTGGGGAATACTCCAGAAAACTATTCATGGGGGTTTGGATTTACAAGCTTCATAACTGTTCTCTTAACACTACAACCCACCTTTGCAGTGAGCGATTCAAAGCCACAGCCTCCTAGCTAACTTTGGGTCCTTCCCAAACACTAAATAATGGGATGGGGATAGAAGACAGTTGCTTTTCCAAAGTGCAGAGGCGGGAGGCTGGATGACTGCTCCAGGAGCTGGTCTAGCGCCAGCCCCTGGCTGATACCTGCTCTGGGGCAGCGTGCAGAGGCTAAGGCCTGGACAGAGCTGGGAGGTGGGGGAGCAGTTTTCCGTGACAGCCTCCCTTATTCATGGCTACCCTTCTCTCAGCCAAAACTGTGTTTCCTGGTACCTCTCTCGGGGTTGCAGACGAGGAGCAGTTGGATCATTTGATTAGCTTTTTCCCAGAACAGGGAGCCTCCCATCTCTGTTTACTTCCCAGTGAGTGAAGGAGGAGGCCCAAGAATGGGGCGCCTTCTGGGGCTGCTCCTGAAACAAAAACCACCCCAGAGTCAGCCCTGGTTTTGCTAAATGTGCCACATTTCCCACATCAGGTTGACACCTGCTGACCCTTTCCACCCTCCCTACTGCTGGGGAAAATACTTCCGGGTGGTCCCACTCCAGCTCTCCTCACCGAAAAAGTAAACTTTCTTTGCTCCTCGTAGATCACCTGTTTGGATTTTTGCTTTTGTTTTTAATTGTGGTAAAAATGCGTAACATAAAATTTACCATCTTAACTATTTTTAAGCATAGTTCAGTGTCAACTATAATCACATTGTTGCACATTGGACCTCTGGAACTTTTTCATCTTGCAAAACTGAAACTCTATATTCTCTGAACCACTGCCCATTTCCCTCTCCCTGCAGCCCCTGACAATTACCATTCTACTTTCTGTTTCTATGAGTTTAACTACTTTAGATATCCCATATAAATGTAATCACACAGGATTTGTCTTCTTGTGATTGGCCTATTTCCCTTAGCATAATGTCATCAAGGTTTGTCCATGTTGTAACATGTGACAGCATTTCTTTTGTTTGTAAGACTAAAAACCATTTCATTGTGTGTATATACCACATTTAATTCATTCATTCATCTGTGTATGGAGATTTAGGTTGTTTTCACCTCTTGGCTATTGTGAATAATGCTGTAATGAACATGGATGTGTAAACTTCTCTTTGAGATCCTGCTTTTGATTCTTTTGGATATACACTGGAAGTGAGATTGCTGGATCATAGGGTAATTCTATTTTTAATATTGTGAGGAATCTCCATGCTGTTTTCCATAGCAACTGCACAATTTTACATTGTCTGAGGGTGATTTTGAAGTGCCCTGGGCATAAACTTCAGGCCTTAGGCTTCCACTCTTGGATTCATTTTTGATATCCCTACATTCTTTCCACATCACCTACCCATAGCAATTAGTTGTAGCATGTAACCTTTCTCCAAGGTCAATCCCACAGAGCAGGGAACAAACAGCAGGCCTTACCCTGGTCCCAAGTGTAAGTAAAACATGGACTTTTCACTTCTAATCTGATGCTTCACTGGGTCCTTACCATAACAGGCAAATGCAAGCACTCAGCTCAAACACCCTCCATCCCCACATGGGCCTTTCTGGAGCCTCTAGCACTTCCCTTCATGTGGGGTGAAGTTCCACTGCTCTTTAGTCAGTGTCATTTTCCTGGAACTGGTCAGGACTCCCATCCTCATGCCTACATTAAAGGCAGGCCGGCATCTCTGGCTCTCTTCCCTGTGGTGGCGATAGCTCGTTAAATGCCTCTTGGTCACTTCTGTGAGACAGCCTGGCAGTGGAGGAGGGACTGCGGTTTGCTGGCTGCCCACCCAGGCTGAAGGGCTCTGATCTTTTTACAGAAGAGCCCATCTCTTTTATGCTACAGAAGAAAGAGTCAAGACTTGCAGGGCAATTGTGGGACTGTTTTCTTTTTCCTAACTGGCTCTCGGTGACATGGTTTTCTGGTCTAAGAGCTTATGTCTTTGATGAGATGTGTGTCCCCTCTGCTCCCCCTGGCCCCAACTCAGATGCCCCTTTAGCCAATTCTAACACACGCACGCGCGCGCACACACACACACACACACACACACACACGCACCAAAGGTTCTTGTCCACCCCAGCCTATGGTTTGCTTTCCAATCATTCATTCTATTCCCAGCTTCTGGCTTGGAATTTGGGCCTCCAAAAAGGAAATAAAAGGTACAATTCCTCAAGATTAGCTACCAATTTTTTTCATTCTATTTTATGTTCACCTTATTTACCAAAGTCACTGCTGGCTTTATATGCAAGTAGAGAAGTTTTCAGAGCAATTAGACTGCCACAAAATAGCTCCTTTCCAATTTGCATTGGAGCAAAAAGCCAACATTAGATAATCATTTCTTTGGTTTTGAATTGCCCTTTCTAGTTTTTTTAAAAAATGCGAATACACCTACTAGGAGTAACAAATTGCCACTAACCCTTCACTATAATTTAGTTTGTCAGATGGCTTCCTTCTGGGGCAAGTGGGTAGGGCAATGTGAGGGCTTGAATGGGAGAAAAACACAAAAAGTGGAGTTGGGGGAAACATTAACAAATTCCACTTATTTCCCAATTTTTCCTAAGATCAGCTTTGTATATGTTTCAGCTAGAATCTCATGAATCTGTGTATTTCAGCACTTGCCTATTTTAGGAAAAATTGAGCAAGTTAGCCAAATCGTTCTTGATGTCTTGATTTTACAGGCTGGTACCATGTTATGAAATGCTGTAAGGAAGGGAGGCATCCCTGAATTTATCTTTTGTCTCTTGTTTAAGTCCATATGGATCCCATGTGACTTCAAAGTATGGAGGCCATGTTGACTGGTTTTTTTTATTTTTTGGGGGATATTTTTCCTTTAATGTGTTGGTCTAATTAGAGAAGGAAAAAATCAATATTTGGATTTGAAAGTTACATACAGAGGAGAAATTGGCCCATAAACTGTGGAGGGAATAGATGAGCTCTAAAATCATCAAGAAGATAGTTCCTGGTATTAGTTCAGATACTTTTGGATGAAAGAAATATAAATCAATCTGAGCTAGCTTAAGCAAAATGTGGGGGGTGGTATAAGGATAACGGGTATCTCATGGAGCCCAAGAGCAGGAATAGCTTGTCAGCAACCCAGGAGCGAAGTCGGCCTCTCGTTTCTGCTGCTCTCAGAACATCTGCTTTTCCTTTTCTCTCTCTCTGCAGACCAGCTTTCTCTGGTTCTCTGGTCACATTGCAGAATGTGGTTGCCCCAAGGCTCCTAGATCAACATATTGTCTTCCCAGTCACATGAAGATTAATTAGCTATTAATTAGTCCTAGTTCTTGGGAGAAGGAACCTGAATCAGGGTCTACAGTGGCCTAATGAACTATAAACGAAGGGCAGTTGTCACAATCTATAAATGTGGGTGTTGGGGGCTTACCCTGGGCATCAGAGATACTTTTTCAGAGAAGCATGGTCCACATGCTGAGCTTTCAAAAGAAAATGAGCCATAGTTTTCTGTGTTTACTGTTTGTAACTTGAATGTCCCCAGGTCTTGTCAGCTATGGGCACAAATAGTCATGTCATGCTCATAACACCAGAGTAATAGGGGACCTCAGACTTCACACAAGTGCTGCCATGGGTTTTATATTATTTTATTTTCATTTATTTTTTTGAGACAGGGTCTCACTCTGTCCCCCAGGTTGGAGTGCAGTGGCATGATCTTAGCTCACTGCAACCTCTGCCTCGTGGGCTTAAGTGATCTTCCCATCTCAGCCTCCTGAGTAGCTAAAACTATAGGCGCATGCCACCAGGCGTGGCTTTTTTTTTTTTTTTTTTTTTTTGCCACATTGCCCATGCTGGTCTTGAACTCTTGGGCTCAAGCAATCCTCCTGCCTTGGCCTCCCAAAGTGCTAGGATTACAGACATGAGGCACGGTGCCCAGCCAGACCAGGAGTTTTCTTCAGTGTTCCTCCAAGCTCATGAATGGTCCACTCCAACTGAGTTCACCATCTCTTACCAGATACCTCAGTTCCCCACCAGGTATTACAGTCTTTGCCACTATTCTGCTGGGCACCAACCACAACAACAAGCCAAGTTTGATCCTTCACTAAGGGTGGCCATATATTTCTAGCTTATGCCCGTTGTCCTCATATAATTGTTAATTGTTAATAGCACCCTCTTTTATTCTCAGAGAAGCATAAGTTTTACAATAGTCAGAGGCAAGGAGGTTTTTGTGAATCCTCTGTTAGAGAAGCTCCCAAATGGCACAGTTTGTGTTCTCAACATTTTATACAGGGGCAGAGAAACCCAATTTTAAATTTAGAAACCTAAATTAACCAAAGGGAAGGCTATTGATTGATTGATATAACCAAAGTAGGGAAAAGGCAGTGGGTAGAGCGTTTCAGCAACCACTGGATTCAGAATCTCAAGTGTTAGAGAACTCACTTCTTCTCTCTTCGTTTCCTTTTTTTGTTGTTGTTGTTGTTTTGTCTCTGTTTCTCTGTGTTAAACTTATTCCCTTAGACTTGCCCCTATGAAGCTGGAAGCTTCAACACTAACACCAGTCCTAGGCCTACATCCTCAAAGCTTCAGAACCACAAAACTCAGAGGGCTCTTAAAGGGAATATCTTAGGAAAGAGCCTATTGACTATGGTTCGGTCGTATGCCCATCACTGGACCATTCACTGTGGCCAAAGCATTAGGAACTATGGTTGGCAGCCCCATCAGAATCCTACTAAAAAGAGGACAGTGCTGTTCCAGGCAAACAAAGCAACAAATGCCCACCACATAGAGCTCTTTCAGTGTTTAACCATCAGCCAATTTTCTCCAGAAGTGAGACCTGAGTCCAGTTGGGGAATGTCATAAAATAAAAGCAGTATGTGGTCCAACATTCCTCCTTCCCATTCTACAACTAGGATTTTTCTGACTGAGGCAAACTCTTCCTGATCCTTGATCCCTTCACTCATCCTATAGGGTCCACAGTTCTTACGCACGTTGGCTTGGTTAGGCTGCCCTAGCTGTTCACTGGACCCCCAGTGGTGGGCATAGCTTAGGCACAAGCTTAAAGATATCATTATATATATTAGCAAAACCAAACAGGATTAGGGAAACATGTACATTACATCCCGGACAAATCCTGAGTAGGTTCTTGAAATTAAACCATATGACTTCTTAGACCTACAGTTTGCATTCTGAAGACAAGCCAGTGGGATTCATACTCAGGGTAAGAAACCCTCCCCCGTGTGTGTGTGTGTGTGTGTGTGTGTGTGTGTGTGTGTGTGTGTGTGTATGTAAACCAGGATGCAAATGGTACATTTATTGGCTTCAGGCCCAAATGTTATTCACAGAAAAGAAAAGCTGATTCCTGCTCTGATATAAACTTGAACATTATTTTTCTGTTCATGGAAAATTCTATTTTTCTTTAGCATTGTTACTTAACCAAAAGACTTTTAGAAAATTGCAGCAGTGCTTTGAAGCACTCCGTGAAGTTGAGCTATTTCAGGCCTGTTCCAGAATAGGTTGTATGCCCATGTGGGTTTCCATATCTGCAGTGGATCTTCCATATCTGCAGTGGTGTTTTGGTTGACATTTAGGATCTTTTCAAGCTCATGGTTTTCATGAGTACACAGATGAAGCCAATTCACTTTGTGAAATCCACCTAGTTTAAAATTCCTTTCATCTCCTCTCAAACATATTTGAGAAAGTCATTACAAATCAAGAGACCAATGTGAAGCTTAAAATGCATTTTCTTAAATGTCCTTCAAAAAGAGATTATGTTTTGGACATAATGTTTTGGACTAAACCAGGAGGTGAACTGCTGAGCATCCAGAAGTTTCTAGAGGGTACAGCATTGTAGGTTTGTTATGTTTGGAAAACAGTGGCCTGGACTATTTGTATGCAGGCGGGGATATCCCCTTACTGGGGAGTGAGCACTCATCCTCAAAGCCATTTGCATGTTCTGCACCTTTCTGAACCCTTCCCAGTGCCAAGTCCAAAATGAGTCATGAGACTGACTGCATGCACCATATGGTAAACCTGAGAACCATCCCTCTACTGAAGGACGCACACCAGGGCATGATTTGTTTAAGGCTACACAACTTCTGCCGAAAGATGACTTTGCCACAGCTTTTAAACATATGATGCAAGTTTTGTGCTGTGAAAAGTCCCCACTTACAGTTTAAGTATTTTTGTTCAGAGGAATAAAAGAAAACAAATACGTAAGTCCTAATACAGGGCCTGTTTATAGCAATGGATCAGGCAGATCTCACTTCCCTTACTACATCCCTGACTGCTTCTAGCTGCATTAATTAGCTTAAAGGGGCTTCAGGGCTACTTGGTAATGAAAACAGCCATACCTTATGCAATTAATTATATAGAACAGTTACTTAGCTTCCATTTTTCTGCACCCCTCATGGTACTGACTTTCCACTTTCTGTTTTCATTTTTAGAAAATAAGTTGCTATGAAACTTACATCTATTGACTTTGAGGATGCTTCTAGAAAATCATTTGAATATTTTTAAAACCAAAGATTTCTATATTTCTGCTAACTTTTTAAAGAGGAGCCCAAGTCTGAGAGACACAGAAACCCAACTCTAATTATATCTGTGGTGCCTGGGAGACATCCCCAGCTTAGATGAGTAAATGTGAAAAGAGAAAACAATCATAGGCAATTAGCTGGGTCTTGGCTTAATGTCAGCAATGTATCCACTGTGAACCTCAAGCCCTCCCTGCTCTGTGGGCACCAGTCTCCCTCCCTCCCTTCCTCCCCTCAGCCACAGTTCCATTTAGCAAAGCAGAGAGGGCCTTGGACTCGTATTGTTACCCTGGAATTAGGCTAGACAATATTTTCCAGTGACTTCTTAAAAGTCTGTCCCTTCTTCTGGTCCCCTCCCCATGCATATCTCCCCCCCACCACAAACCCACGACTTGTTAAGTCATTTTACTGGAAAACTGCTTGGCACCTAGCACTTCTTCTTTCAATTACAGCCCCTTTTGAAGGTCTCATTGGCCCACACAGAATGCCACTGGCCGAGTGTAAATGCCAGAGAAATATATTTCTTTTAAAACACTCCACATTTCTACTGCAAATAGGAACCCTCCCCAAGTCCATCACATCTGATAACCACTGTCAGGCTAGACAGTGGACTCATGGTGCTCTCAGGGCGACCTCACAGGGGCTTGGCCGTGGCACTGAGGGGAGAGCCTGATTGGCTGGCTGTTTCATTGCCAGATCTCTGAAGGCCAATCAGGATTTGTAGCTCAGCCACCTGCTTTCTGAGGAGCACTGAGCAAGATGGCCACCTCCTGGTGGTAAGTCTCGCTCCTGGAGTTCCCATCTTGACCCTACAGCGGGACATTTTGCCGCCACCTCTTTGTGTGTTGGGAAGATGACGTCCTTTCTGCTCGTCCTGCTTCTCTGATTGGTGAGTTTGGGATGGAGAAATGGACACGTTCAGTTCAACCCCTTCCATTCTCACTTTCCAAGAAGCAAGGTTTCTCTGTCTCTGGAAGTTTTCTGGGACTGGACTTTGTCTTGGCAAAGGGAGAGGCTGCAATTTGGTTGGGAAATGTTAAGTAGGGCTGTGTGAGAAATCTTAGGTGCAGACTGGGGCTCTTCATCTAGCTTTATCAGCAATAGAGCAGACATTCTTGGCCCCAGCTTACAGCTCCAGCCTCTCTTGTCTACCTGTCAACTGCTTTGGGGCTTGGAGCAGAAAAGCAGGGAAGTAATTAATTGTCACCCTCTAACTCCAGCACTGCCCTCAGGAATGAAGAGAGGAGCCAGGGAACTCCTGCGGGAATTCCCTGAGAAGACCACAGGACTATAAAATATAATGAAGTGATGTGAGAAAAAATTGATAAACCAGCTTGGAGATTAAGGATGAAACTCAAGGATACAGGAAAGCTGAATCTCATGTTTTTCTCTTAGGAAATTCCTCTCAACTTGTGAAACAGGAAGACCGAGGGTTTCTCCTGGAGTTGTTTAAAGAGTGGCACTTTACAGAATTAGTTTCATGAAGCTTGTGAAAGGGAATCATCTGTCTAGTGCACCATCAAGTCATTATTAGAGTTTTCTTAGAATACTACCCAGGCACTGGTAGAAATTGATTTACACAAGTGTTCTTGTTGCACTTGAAGCAGAATTAGGAATTTAGCTAAAATCTTTCAGATACAAGAGATTAGACCTGCAAGAGAGGTAAGAGAATTTGGTGGAAGGTGGAAGCAGAGAGCATCCTTACTAATTTTAAGAGCTCACCCAAGACCAGTAGTTTTCCATCCATTAGAATCACCTAAGGAATTGCTGAACAATTCCAATATTTGGGTTCCTTCCCACATCATTCAAACCAGACACTCTGGTGATGGGCCAAGGAGTCAGTATTGTTAAAAACTGCCCAGGTGATTCTGTCTGGTGTGCAGCTGGGACTGAAAAACAGTATCCTGGTGGGCTAAGGAAGCACTGGTCATCTGTCCCTTGCCTTTGGGAGCAGCCACAGGTGATGGTGATGATGGTGGTGGTGGTGGTGAGTGGGGAATTTACATACTCTTTCTTCCCTAATGAATCTAAACTCTGCTACTTGAAGGGTGGTCCCTGGACTAGCTGCATCATCACTTAGGGCCTTGTTCAAAAATGCAGAATTTGGGGCCCCACCCTAGACCTAGACCTATTGAATTAGAACTGTAGTGGGGAAATGTTTCTTGAACTTTAATGTGCATAGGAAACACCTGGGATCTTGTTAAAATGCAGATTCTGTTTCAGTAGGTCTGGGGTGTAGTCCAAGGTCCTGCCTTTCTAACAATCTCCCAAGTGATTCCAGTGTTTCCAGTCCATGGACCACACTTTGAGCAGCAAGGCAGCTGAGGCCTTGGAGCAACCACAAATGGAAGTTGCTCGAAGAGCAGTGCTCCAGCTTTGGACTGCTCTGTAGGAATGGTGCTGAAAATGTTGCATGGTGCATCTTCAGGGACATAACAGACGCTGAAGATTTTATAGGAGTGGCTGCCATTCCCAGAACAGCCAATAGTAATTACCATCATCAGGAGATGCTGTTGCTGGGAACTTCCAGGAACTGCCAATTGGAGCTGGCACCAAAGGAAACTGCAATGGGAGAATCGAGTTAACAAGACTGCTTAGCAAGTTGGAACCCTCTCTGTATTCCAGCCCAAGTCACACTTGAGAATGAGGGAATTGGCTGTTCTTAATCACTTGCTATCTGGAGGAGAGAACCAGTCTTTCCATATACTTCACACTGAAATTAGAAAATAATTTTTCATCAAGATTCCTCTTGGGGCTTATGTATTCCTTTACTCCACAGATATTTTTGAGGACCTACTTTGTACCACGTAGTATGCTAAGACTTAGATTTGAATGTCTAGAAACTGAGTGAGGCTCCAGCCAGCAGTAGACACCTAGAACTGCAACTCAACTCTCATTGGAGAGGACACTGTGGCTTGAGAGAAGGTTATATTGGGATAGTGTCCATAAACATCTTAGCTATTATATAAACCTTGGGCCTAACATCAGTTGATGTCAATTTCAGAAATAAGACCATATATGATTCATTTGGAATCAGGCACTGGAAAAGCCAATGCTATTACTGGAAGGAATTTGACACCACTGAGCTACCCTAGGATAAAGGCTAAGTACACAATATTTTGCAATGAAATAGCAGCCATAGAAGATACTGTATGACTGCACTGGGGGTTTAGTACTATAACCAATTTGAGAATTTGGGAATGATTTGGTTCTGGGCAGGGAATATAAGTGGGAGCTTGAACCATGGGCTGTATTCCTCCTCCCCATATGGAAAGACTTGCCTGTATCATTCAGGATGTCCTTTCCCATCCTGCCCTTTAAACCAGTGTGCTCAGAAGAGGTATTGCTGGCCTCCAGAGACCTCAGACACCCTGCAGACAGTGTTTCTTATGACTTTTATAAGGCCAAGGGCTTCCTATTTGAAGAGCTATGCTCACCTGTTGTGAAGGCAGGAAGACATCTCAGTCAATATGTACTCTAGTGACCCAGAAACAGGGGAATGTCAAACAACAAAAAAATTGCTGATCAGGAGTTCTGAAACCTCAGCTGACCTTGGAACCCAGTGGGAACTCATTAGCAGTAGTGACCAGAAACCCTAAGGGGAAGCCATTATAATCCTCACCCCACCCCCCACCTCACCCTGGAAAGGTGTGTTAGAGTCCACAGCTCACCAATGTTAAATGACTCAAATAAAGTTACAGGGTAGTAGAAACAAGTGGAGAAGAACAAAGGTTTTCTGACTTCTAGTACCAGGGAAATTAGAAATGGTTAAGAAACAGAGAAACTGCAGAAGAAAAAGACCTGTCATTATAGTTGGGGGTGTGTGTGCAAAAGGAAATATGTAATCATCTCAATCTGAGGGACCTCCATGTGTGGGCACATACAACAGACTGTGAGAAGTTACAAAGGAGATGGAAGACCAAATGAGTGTGCAATATAACTGGAAATAGGACAGATATAATGGAAATACACAATAACATAAGTCACATAAGCACAAAATATATACCTAAGTGATGACAGCTGTATAAGGAGCCAGGTGGCATGGGGGAGAGAAGGAGGCTCGGGGAGGTAATTGGAAAAGTGTGTGGGTAGAAAAGAAATTGATAGAAAGCAGCAGTATTTGCATCTACCTGAGGAAAGGCACTTGCTGCTGAGGCAGGTTTAAGTAAGTTCCCTGGGGCAAAGAAAGAGTCTTCCAAAGAGCTCTGAGGTTCTAGGACTAGAGGAAGTAGAGCATGAAATTTCCTTCCAGGGACAGTCTGGTTTGAAAGGGAGGAGGAGAAATAAGAGAAAGCTCCGTGGTAATATACAAGACGAAAGGAAAAGAAAGACAAGTAAAAGGAATGATCTGCAACCACCTGGATATTGGAGCACAATTGTGAGAACAACTGGGTAAGAAGAGTCCATTTTCTTACCCTCCTTTTTCCCCCCTTTCCAAAGCATCCTATATTCCATTTTGGATTATTCTTGATAAGTTTCGTTTCCTATGGAATGTGCTACCTATCTATTAGCAACTGATGCTACCTCTCTTAGCTTCCAACTTGATAAAGAGGCATTATTAATATAGCTGCTGGATCCAAATTGAAGGGAAGGAATAATCTAGCAAAATATCCACAAATTAGCTGCACTTTCTTTTGTAACATAAGGCAGCTGTATTCACTCACCTGAGATGGGGTGGAAGATCTCACACACTGTTCTCTGCTTTCCTTTTCTGCTTTGTTCAGAGACACAAGATGTAGGCACCCTGCTGAGCATGGAACTCCTGGCTGCCTCCTCCACCTCAACATATGCTTGTTCAGGTAGAGCCCAGCTAGGGACTGACAGTGGTAGAGCATTGCTGATTTAGGTTCCTCACGTAAAGCACTGTAGACAAGGGCAGAGACAAAAATCTCTGGTAGTGTGCTTGCGGGGGATCTGAGTTTTTAATGTATTTGATTGGTTTAGCATGTCAAAGATCAAGTCTTGAAAGTAGGAGAGAAAAATTATATGTCTTTCCAGCAGAGCCAATGTAATGCTTGCCTGCGAGTAACCAGGAATTGTGCTATATGCTGTGCACATCTGTCTCACAGACCTAAGGTAACGGAACCTGCAATCCAGTGGACCATGGAACTGCTTGAGTTCTGGGCACCATCTGTGCCAGCATAGCCTGCTGAATCTCAGTATCTCTCAGGAGGGGGCCAGAAATCAATCTCACACATTCCCCAGATAATTCTGATACCTTTAGAACTACGACTTAGAGGGACTGCATAATAATAGAAATGACTTACTGGAAGGATAAATTTTTAGAAAATAGTTAAATTCATTTTTAGAAAATAGCATCCTCAATAATACATGACCTTAATGAAACAGAAACAGAAAGCCATAGATGGGAACATTGTGAAGTGAAGGGCTAACAATACAACAACTATACCACATGATACAACATAAAAATGAAAATGTTGAGAAGAAAGGGAAGTGGGAGTGGTAAAATAGGACTGCAAGGAAACAATACTTGGAGTAGCACAATTTAAATCTGCATCAGCGTCATAAACAGCAGAACTAACAGGGTAGAATTTAAATCAGTAATGTGGAGGATAAGCCTAGAAATTGTTCCAGAAGATAGTGAAAAGCAGGGGAAAAGAAATATGTTAAAATGAATAAAGAAATGGTGGGTAAGAAACTATTATTCAAAGGATACAGAGAGCCAACCAAGAACTGCAGATTTCTTTTATTAAAAAAACCCTAGAGTAGTTAGTTAATTGCTTCTCAGCCTTTGGGCTAAGATTAAGTGTATAAACTAGAGTAGTTAGAACAGAAGTGATAATCATGATGAAAAAGAATTTTTCAGGGAAGAAAAAAGATCCTGGATTCATAGATGAAAAGAGCCCCTTGGTTCAGCCAAAGAATATTCTGGAAAAAAAAAAAACTAGCAAAACCTTGAATTACAAGGATAAGTGAATAAATCTGCATGCATCTAGCCAGAAAAATATAACCACAAATGAACAAAATCAGAGAAACTTTCAACTTGTTTATGCAACTGTAAATGCCAGAAAAATAATGGTGCTGTGTTTACAAGATGTTGAAGGGAAAATTTATAAACTAAGAATATTATACACATTGTTTTTCATCTGTTAAGGCAACAGAAGTACATTTCTAGACAAAGATTTCAAAAATACACCTCCTATGTATTTCATCTTGAAAAAATTATTTGAGGATGTACCCTGGCTAATTGATGAATCAAAATTAAGATCCCGAGAAGAAAGAAGTAAATCTTAGTATAACTAAGACTGGCAGGGAGAATTGAAAATGGCAAAGCAAAAAGTTAAAATCTATATAATTGTAAATAAGTTGAAGCCTGTTGGTCAATTCCACTCCAAACAATATTGTCTTCAGTTGCATGGGCTCCGGTATACTAAATAATGCAAATTAGTTCTCCCTAAACTGTAAGCTGGGAGAGGGCAAGGGCCATGCCATCTTATTCACCACTTTGTCTCCAGTGTCCCTTCCTAGCTTGTGGTGATGCTTATTAAACATTTATTGGACTTTCTACATGAGTATTCTTTTAAACTTCTCTCAGCAGACAGGCCTTATGAATTCTATAATAACATTCTAGCTGGGAGATGGAAGATTTTGGACAACAAAATGAAGGAAGAGAAATATCACAAAACTTTCAGAGGAGAGAGCAAACTCCCCCACCGAGCCAAGTCATCTTGCCCTCTTTTCTTCATCAGGAAAGAGGCAGTAGTTCTGAGAGACCAAAAAAGTCATGTGCCTGTTTTTATAGGCACCAAGAAGTAGTAAGTTCTAGTTCCATTCCTCTGAAGATAGGGGTGGGAAGAGTCCAGCCTGTCTCTAAATAGGACAGCTATCAAGCCTCTGGCTGTTTCTCAGCTTCTGAAAGGCCTTGGGGCATAGGGGAAGTGTAGAGGGTGTGTCCTGGGCCCAGAGTGGTCCAGGGAGTGGCATACTCCTTTCCCACAGACTCTAAGATCCCATTCCTCAACTACCTGTCAACAGGTTCAAGGTCATAAATTCTTGGCAGTTTCTGGAAAACAAAGCCCCGTATCCTGGAGGAAGTGAGGTGGCTAGGTGTAAGTGATGTTATGTGTGGAATAATTTTCACCATATTTTTCAGCGAGGTATGCTTACAAATGGTCTTCATACTAAGAGTTGGAGCCCAAACCTAGAAACCAGGGAAGAGGAAAGATATGTGTATGTGTAGAAGGGATGGGGCAAGAAGTAACAGTCATGCGTGTACCTTTCCCTCAGTGCACTAAAAGAAATGCATTCAGGGAGCCGAGGAGAAATAGGGACAGCCAGGCCCAGGCTGTGAGCAGGTTCAGGGAGTCTCACTTAAACGCAGTTAAGCCGTAGTTGCCTTCCACACCTGATTTCACTTGGTCAGAACAAGCAGTCTCACAGAAGCAACTCCACTCCATGAATTAACTTACAGGGATTTATCAAGCATGTATCAAATATGGGACATTTCCATACCGGGAACTAAGGGCAAAGACACAATTCCTTGTTTTTATATGGCTTTGTCTATTAAGATGTAGGAGTGGCCATCTTCACCTTATTCAGTTAAAAGAATGACTTCTTTTTATTCTTAAAGACTTCATCTAGATGTTTTCTCTTTGTGGTCGCTCCTGACCTCCAGTCCCTCTGTTGAGCCCTCCTAGATTATTGTAAGGATGTAGGTGGAAGTGAATAAACTTGAAAAGGTGTGCCAGGCCTCAGGAGTCCTTGGAGAGAGACATGGAGGCTTGTGTTAAAAGTTTGTTAGAAGGTTTTCACTTTGAAGTTGAGAAATTCAGGCCAGTGAGCCAAGGCATGAGAGATGTAACCAGGTTTTGTTCCTGGGGGTTCAAAGCCAAGGGCAGCTGATGAAGTGACAGAACTGGCTCAGAAATCTGAGCAGCAGCAGCTTGAAGGTACTTAGATGGGTGGGAAAGTGGGACTCAACTGAGGTACCAAGGGGCCCCTCTGCAACGCACTAACTCTCTCAGTAACCACTATGGTCTATCCTTTTAAAACAACACAAATTTAATGTCTTTATATTAAAGCTAAGATTCAGCCTAGAAGCTGAAGTTTGATATTGAGGATGAATGCCACTTAGTGCAGTAGTTAGTTTGTTTGTGTGCGTGTGTTTTTTTTTTTTTTTTTTTTTTTTTTTGAGATGGAGTTTCGCTGTATCACCAGGCTGGAGTGCAATGGTGCAATCTTGGCTCACTGCAACCTCTGACTCCCTGGTTCAGGCGATTCTCCTGCCTCAGCCTCCTGAGTAGGTGGGATTATAGGCACACACCACCACGCCCAGCTAATTTTTGTATTTTTAGTAGAAATGGGGTTTCACCATGTTGGCCGGGATGGTCTTGATCTCCTGACCTTGTGATCCACCTGCCTCGGCCTTCCAAAATGTTGGGATTACCGGCGTGAGCCACCGCACCCGGCCCAGTGCAGTGGTTCTTAATCCTGAAGACATATTAGAATAATCTGAGACATTAAAAAAAATACCAATCCCTGGGCCCACCCCAAACTAAATAATTCAAATCTCTGGGCATGCAGACTGGGTATTGGTATATTTTTAAAACACTCCCTGGCTGACTCTAATCTCCAAAACTCTAACGGAAGAGAATTCGGAGGCAAGTAGGGGGCCTTGCTGCAAAATGTGGTCTGCACATCAACATCACAGGGAGGCTTGATGGAAATACAACCTCTCAGGCCCCATACCAGACCTACTGGATTAGAATCTGCATCTTAACAATGTCCTCAGAGCATTTGTAGGTACTTTGAGTATCACGATAGAGGAATACTCTGCAATGTTTCAGCAATGACTTGTTAAAATACCCCAGAATCAGAGAGCTAGAATTGATTTTAGTCACTGACTTCAGAGATCCCAATGTCCCCACAGGAATCAGGCAGAACAGTGAGAGTTAGGCAGGCATGCCACCCCAGCGGATCACATGGGCCTCAAAGACTCTAAACAAAGCGAAAGAAGGTAGGGAGTAGAGAAGACAGGGGGAGAGCACACAGCCCCACTAGAGAGGGAATCTGACTCCGCTCCAGCTTTGATTAGTTTCTCTGTGAAATTTCCTGGTTTTTAAATGTTGGCAACTAATTCATGTTTTAGAAGTTTTTTCTATAGGTGTGATGGTTAATTTTAGATGTGATCTTACTGGGTTAAGGGATACCCAGGTGATATGATTTGGATTTGTGTCTCCAGCCCAGTGTTGGTGGAGGGACCTGGTGGGAGGTGATTGGATCGTGGCGGCGGACTTCCCCCTTGCGACACTCATTAGAGTGTGTTCCTTCTCACGAGATCTGGTTATTTTAAAGTATGTAGCACCTCCCCCTTCTCTCTCTTACTCCTGCTCTGGCCATGTAAGGTGCATTTGATTTGCCTTCTGCCATGATTGAAAGTTTTCTGAGACCTCCAGCCATGCTTCCTGTACAGCCTGCAGAACTGTGAATCAATTAAACCTCTTTCTTTATAAATTACCCAGTTTCAGGTACTTCTTTATAGCAGTGTAAGAATGGACTAATATACCAGGTCGCTGGTAAAGCATTATTTCGGTGTCTGTGAGGGTGTTTCTGGAGGAGACTGGCATTTGAATGAGTGGACTGAGTAAGGAAGAGCCAACCTCACTCCATGTGAGTGGGCACCATTTAATCCTTCAAGGCCTAGAATAGAACAAAAAGGCAGAGGAAAGGTGAATTCATGCTGTCTGCTGGAGGTGGGCCATCCATCTTCTCCAGCCCTTGGACATCAGAACTCCAGGTTCTTGGGCCTTCAAACTCAGACTTATGCCAGTGGCCTCCTAGAATCTCAGGCGTTTGGCCTTGGCCTGAAAGTTATACCATCAGCTTCCTTGGTTCTCAGACATTTGGACTCCAACTGAATTATACCACCAGCTTCCCTGGTTCTCCAGCTTGCACGTGGCATAGGATGGGACTTCTCTACCTCCATAATCACATGAGCCAATTCCCATAAAAATTTCCTCTTACATATCTATAGATACTGACATATCTTCATCTATATCTGATTGGTTCCATTTCTCTGGAGAACCCTGGTACAATGGGCAAATCATGACACACTGTAGGACAGATTTTGCCCATGGAATACCACTAATCTAAACCAACTCTTTCATATTACAGATAAAGAAATTGAGTCTGGTTTTCTCATCCTCCACTTTCAGAAGAGAGTGACTCCAGTTTAAGTATCATTTAAATTTTCCACTTTTGTTTTAGGTAATAGAGAGCTGCTGTCTTACAGAATTCTAGAGCCATTGAAGGTGGAAGTGGCTCTGAGCAGGGGATCAGGAGGGGTTTCTCTGGAAAGACAATGAAAAAACTCAGATTCAGTACCCAGATGTGTTGTTTTTGGTCTACCAGAGGGGCGGACCAAACCTTTTCAGTTGACATTTCCTTCAACACCAGGCTTGTTTTGGGAGTCTGGGCCAGGTGACAATGATGGCACTAAGAGCTTGTTTTCCCAATTAGAGTCAAAACATTTGCTGAGCAACCCCATAAATTGGCTAGACAAAAGTAAATAGGAAGGAGAGACATGGGAAAGGTGAGGTACCACACAGCCCTGAGTGAAAAGAAAGTTGGAGGGAAGTACCCTGCAAAAAAAAAGCTGAGAGAGAAGATGCAGGGATGACTGGGCCAGCCAATTAGTCAACATTCAGCATTCATTCATCCCTCAACAGCTATTTATCATGCATCTATCATATCCCAGGCACAGCTCTTGATACTAAAGATACAACTGTGAACATGACTGACCAAGCACCTGCCCTCGTGGAGCTCACACCATTTTTCATGCAAGCATCCTACATCTATGAATCTTTATTTTTTTGAAACAGGGTCGCACTTTGGCCTAGACTAGAATACAGTGGCATCATCATGGCTCATTGCAGCCTTGACCTCCCTGGGCTCAGGTGATCCTTCCAACTAAGCCTACCAAGTAGCTGGGACTACAGGCATGTGCCTAGGTGGGTAGATCAGGAGGTCAGGAGTTCGAGACCAGCCTGGCCAAGATGGTGAAACCCCATCTCTACTAAAAATACAAAAATTAGCCAGCCATGGTGGCGGGCGCCTGTAATCCCAGCTACTCAGGAGGCTGAGGCAGGAGATTTCTCCAACCTGGGAGGTAGAGGTTGCAGTGAGCTGAGATCACGCCACTGCACTCTAGTCTGGGCAACAGAGCAAGACTCTGTCTCAAAAAAAAAAAAAAAGTATAATTATAGGTTTGTGTGATAGAATCTTCGTTCAGTTCATTTTCTTAATCAAGAAAGAATATGAAGAGCAATAGTGGTTTGTGACTGACTAGAAGCCTCAGTAAATTTTCATTCTTTGCATCTGTAGAGGTAAATTTCTCTGAACAATGCTATTAATCATCATTGCATGGGTTAATGTCTGCATCCATATAGGCAGCAGTAAATTACTTAAATGATTTTCCCACTGAGCATTAATAATAAATGGAGTTAATTTTTCCAGGAATTCACTTTATTTTTCCCTTTAGTATTTCTAGTTTGTACAAATTACTTTTTTTATTATTATACTTTAAGTTCTAGGGTACATGTGTACAATATGCAGGTTTGTTACGATGGTATACATGTGCCATGTTGGTTTGCTGCACCCATTAACTTGTCATTTACAGTAGGTATTTCTCCTAATGCTATCCTTCCCCCAGCCCCTCACCCCATGACAGGCCCCGGTGTGTGATGTTCCCCTCCTTGTGTCCAAGTGCTCTCATTGTTCACTTCCCACATATGAGTAAGAACATGCGGTGTTTGGTTTTCTGTCCTTGTGATAGTTGGCTCAGAATGATGGTTTCAAGCTTTATCCATGTCCCTGCAAAAAGGACATGAGCTCATCCTTTTTTATGGCTGCATAGTATTCCATGGTGTATATGTGCCACGTTTTCTTAATCCAGTCTATCATTGATGGACATTTGGGTTGGTTCCAAGTCTGCTATTGTGAGTAGTGACACAGTAAACATACACGTGCAGATGTCTTTATAGTAGCATGACTTATAATCCTTTGGGTGTATACCCAGTAATGGGATGGCTGGGTCAAATGGTATTTCTAGTTCTAGATCCTTGAGTAATTGCCACACTGTCTTCAACAATGGTTCAACTAGTTTACACTCCAACCAACAGTGTAAAAGCATTCCTGTTTCTCCACATCCTCTCTAGCATCTGTTGTTTCCTGACTTTTTAATGATCGCCATTCTGACTGTCATGAGATGGTATCTCATTGTGGTTTTGATTTGCATTTCTCTTATGACCAGTGATGATGAGCATTTTTTCATGTGTCTGTTGGCTGCATAAATGTCTTCTTTTGAGAAGTGTCTGTTCATATCCTTTGCCTACTTTTTGATGGAGTTGTTTGCTTTTTTCTTGTAAATTTGTTTAAGCTCTTTGTAGATTCTGGATATTAGCCCTTTGTCAGATGGGTAGATTGCAAAAATTGTCTCCCATTCTGTAGGTTGCCTGTTCACTCTGATGGTAGTTTCTTTTGCTGTGCAGAAGCTCTTTAGTTTAATTAGATCCCATTTGTCAGTTTTGGCTTTTGTTGCCATTGCTTTTGGTATTTTAGTCATGAAGTCTTTGCCCATTCCTATGTTCCGAATGGTATTGCCTAGGTGTTCTTCTAGGGCTTTTATGGTTTTAGGTCTAACATTTAAGTCTTTAATCCATCTTGAATTAATTTTTGTATAAGGTGTAAGGAAGGGATCCAGTTTCAGCTTTCTACATATGGCTAGCCAGTTTTGCCAGCACCTTTATTAAAGAGGGAATCATTTCCCCATTTCTTGTTTTTGTTAGGTTTGTCAAAGATCAGATGGTTGTAGATGAGTGGGGTTATTTCTGAGGCCTCTGTTCTGTTTCATTGGTCTATGTCTCTGTTTTGGTACCAGTACCATGCTGTGTTGGTTACTGTAGCCTTGTAGTATAGTTTGAAGTCAAGTAGCATGATGCCTCCAATGTTGTTCTTTTTGCTTAAGATTGTCTTGGCAATGCGGGCTCTTTTTTTGTTCCATATGAAATTTAAAGTAGTTTTTTCCAATTCTATGAAGAAAGTTGTTGGTAGCCTGATGGGGATGGCATTGAATCTATAATAACTTTGGGCAGTATGGCCATTTTCATGATATTGATTCTTCCTATCCATGAGCATGGAATATTCTTCCATTTTTTTGTGTCTTCTTTTATTTCATTGAGCAGTGGTTTGTAGTTCTCCTTGAAGAGGTCCTTCACATCCCTTGTAAGTTGGATTCCTAGGTATTTTATTCTCTTTGTAGCAATTGTGAATGGGAGTTCACTCATGATTTGGCTGTTTGTCTGTTATTGGTGTATAGGGATTCTTGTGATTTTTGCACATTCATTTTGTGTCCTGAAACTTTGCTGAAGTTGCCTATCAGCTTGAGATTTTGGGCTGAGATTATGGGGTTTTCTAAATATACAGTCATGTCATCTGCAAACCTGGACAATTTGACTTCCCCTTTTCCTAATTGAATACCCTTTATTTCTTTGTCCTGCCTGATTGCCCTGAGCAGAACTTCCAACAGTATGTTGAATAGGAGTGGTGAGGGCATCCCTGTCTTGTGCCAGTTTTCAAAGGGAATGCTTCCAGTTTTTGCCCATTCAGTATGATATTGGCTGTGGGTTTGTCATAAATAGCTCTTATTATTTTGAGATATGTTCCATGAATACCTAGCTTATTGAGAGTTTTTAGCATGAAGGACTGTTGAATTTTGTCAAAGGCCTTTTCTGCATCTATTGAGATAATCATGTGGTTTTTGTCATTGGTTCTGTTTATGTGATGGATTACATTTATTGATTTGCATATGTTGAACCAGGCTTGCATCCCAGGGATGAAGCCCACTTGATTGTGGTGGATAAGCTTTTTGATGTGCTGCTGGATTTGGCTTGTCAGTATTTTATTGAGGATTTTTGCATCAATGTTCATCAGGGATATTGGTCTAAACTTCTCTTTTTTTGTTGTGTCTCTGCCAGGCTTTGGTATCAGGATGATGCTGGCCTCATAAAATGACTTAGGGAGGATTCCTTCTTTTTCTATTGATTGGAATAGTTTCAGAAGGAATGGTACCAGCTCCTCTTTGTACCTCTGGTAGAATTCGACTGTGAATCCATCTGGTCCTGGACTTTTTTTGGTTGGTAAGCTATTAATTATTGCCTCAATTTCAGAGCCTGTCATTGGTCTATTCAGAGATTCAACTTCTTCCTGGTGTAGTCTTGGGAGGGTGTATGTGTTGAGGAATTTATCCATTTCTTCTAGATTTTCTAGTTTATTTGCGTAGAGATGTTTATAGTGTTCTCTGATGGTAGTTTGTATTTCTGTGGGATCGGGGGTGATATCCCCTTTGTCATTTTTTATTGCGTCTATTTGATTCTTTTCTCTTTTCTTCTTTATTAGTCTTGCTAGTGGTCTATCAATTTTGTTGATCTTTTCAAAAAACCAGCTCCTGGATTCATTGATTTTTTGAAGGGATTTTTGTGTCTCTATGTCCTTCAGTTCTGCTCTGATCTTAGTTATTTCTTGCCTTCTGCTAGCTTTTGAATGTGTCTGCTCTTGCTTCTGTAGTTCTTTTAATTGTGATGTTAGGGTGTCAATTTTAGATCTTTCCTGCTTTCTCTTGTGGGCATTTAGTGCTGTAAATTTCCCTCTACACACTGCTTTGAATGTGTCCCAGACATTCTGGTATGTTGTGTCTTTGTTCTCATTGGTTTCAAAGAACATCTTTATTTCTGCCTTCATTTCGTTATGTACCCAGTAGTCATTCAGGAGGAGGTTGTTCAGTTTCCATGTAGTTGAGTGGTTTTGAGTGAGTTTCTTAATCCTGAGTTCTAGTTTGATTGCACTGTGGTCTGAGAGATGGTTTGTTATAATTTCTGTTCTTTTACATTTGCTGAGGAGTGCTTTACTTCCAACTATGTGGTCAATTTTGGAATAGGTGTGTTGTGGTGCTGAAAAGAATGTATATTCTGTTGATTTGGGGTGGAGAGTTCTGTAGATGTCTATTAGGTCCGCTTGGTGCAGAGCTGAGTTCGGTTCCTGGATATCCTTGTTAACTTTCTGTCTCGTTGATCTGTCTAATGTTGACAGTGGGGTGTTAAAGTCTCCATTATTATTGTGTGGGAGTCTAAGTCTCTTTGTAGGTCTCTAAGGACTTGCTTTATGAATCTGGGTTCTCCTGTATTGGGTGCATATATATTTAGGATAGTTAGTTCTTCTTGTTGAATTGATCCCTTTACCATTATGTAATGGCCTTCTTTGTCTCTTTTGATCTTTGTTGGTTTAAAGTCTGTTTTATCAGAGACTAGGATTGGAACCCCTCCCTTTTTTTGTTTTCCGTTTGCTTGGTAGATCTTCCTCCATCCCTTTATTTTGAGCCTATATGTGTCTCTGCACGTGAGATGGGTTTCCTGAATACAGCACACTCATGGGTCTTGACTCTTTATCCAATCTGCCAGTCTGTGTCTTTTAATTGGAGCATTTAGCCCATTTACATTTAAGGTTAATATTGTTATGTGTAAATTTGATCCTGTCATTTTGATGTTAGCTGGTGATTTTGCTCGTTAGTTGATGCAGTTTCTTCCTAGCCTTGATGGTCTTTACAATTTGTCATGTTTTTGCAGTGGCAGGTACCAGTTGTTCCTTTCCATGTTTAGTGCTTCCTTTGGGAGCTCTTTTAGGGCAGGCCTGGTGGTGACAAAATCTCTCAGCATTTGCTTGTCTGTAAAGGAATTTATTTCTCTTTCACTTATGAAGCTTAGTTTGGCTGGATATGAAATTCTGGGTTAAAAATTCTTTTCTTTAAGAATGTTGAATATTGGCCCCCACTCTCTTCTGGCTGGTAGAGTTTCTGCCGAGAGATAAGCTGTTAGTCTGATGGGCTTCCCTTTGTGGGTAACCCCACGTTTCTCTCTGGCTGCCCTTAACATTTTTTCCGTCATTTCAACTTTGGTGAATCTGACAATTATGTGTCTTGGAGTTGCTCTTCTCGAGAAGTATCTTAGTGGCGTTCTCTGTATTTCCTGAATTTGAATGTTGGCCTGCCTTGCTAGATTGGGGAAGTTCTCTTGGATAATATCCTGCAGAGTGTTTTCCAACTTGGTTCCATTCTCCCCGTCACTTTCAGGTACACCAATCAGACGTAGATTTGGTCTTTTCACTTAGTCTCATATTTCTTGGAGGCTTTGTTCATTTCTTTTTATACTTTTTTCTCTAAACTTCTCTTCTCACTTAATTTCATTCATTTCGTCTTCCATCGCTGATACCCTTTCTTCCAGTTGATTGCATTGGCTCCTGAGGCTTGTGCATTCGTCATGTAGTTCTCGTGCTGTGGTTTTCAGCTCCATCAGTTCCTTTAAGGACTTCTCTGCATTGATTATTCTAATTATCCATTCGTGTAATTTTTTTTCAAGGTTTTTAACTTCTTTGCCATTGGTTCAAACTTCCTCCTTTAACTCGGAGTAGTTTGATCTTCTGAAGCCTTCTTCTCTCAACTCGTCAAAGTCATTCTCCATCCAGCTTTTTTCCATTGCTGGTGAGGAGCTGCGTTCCTTTGGAGGAGGAGAGGCGCTCTGATTTTTAGAGTGTCTGGTTTTTCTGCTCTGTTTTTTCCCCATCTTTGTGGTTTTACCTACCTTTGGTCTTTGATGATGGTGATGTACAGATGGGTTTTTGGTGTGGATGTCCTTTCTGTTTGTTAGTTTTCCTTCTAACAGTCAGGACCCTCAGCTGCAGGTCTGTTGGAGTTTGCTGGAGGTCCACTCCAGACCCTGTTTGCCTGGGTATCAGCAGCGGAGGCTGCAGAAAAGCGGATATTGGTGAACCGCAAATGCTGTTGCCTGATCGTTTCTGTGGAAGTTTTGTCTCAGAGGAGTACCCAGCCATGTGAGGTGTCAGTCCGCCCCTACTGGGGGATGCCTCCCAGTTAGGCTACTTGGGGGTCGGGGACCCACTTGAGGAGGCAGTCTGCCCATTCTCAGATCTCAAGCTGCGTGCTGGGAGAACCACTACTCTCTACAAAGCTGTCAGACAGGGACATTTGAGTCTGCAGAGGTTACTGCTGCCTTTTGTTTGTCTGTTCCCTGCCCCCAGAGGTGGAGCCTACAGAGGCAGGCAGGCCTCCTTGAGCTGTGGCAGGCTCCACCCAGTTCGAGCTTCCTGGCTGTTTTGTTTACCTACTCAAGCCTTGGCAATGGCGGGCGCCCCTCCCCTAGCCTCACTGCTGCCTTGCAGTTTGATCTCAGACTGCTGTGCTAGCAATGAGCGAGGCTCCGTGGCCGTAGGACCCTCTGAGCCAGGTGTGGGATATAATCTCCTGGTGTGCTGTTTGTTAAGCCCATCGGAAAAGCGCAGTATTAGGGTAGGAGTGACCCAATTTTCCAGGTGCCATCTGTCACCCCTTTCTTTGACTAGGAAAGGGAATTCCCTGACCCCTTATGCTTCCCGGGTGAGGTGATGCCTCACCCTGCTTCAGCTCATGCATGGTGTGCTGCACCCACTGTCTGGCACTCCCCAGTGAGAAGAACCTGGTACCTCAGTTGGAAATGCAGAAATCACCCATCTTCTGCGTCACTCATGCTGGGAGCTGTAGACTGGAGCTGTTCCTATTCAGCCATCTTGGCTCCCTGTTTTTTTCTTTATTAGTCTTGCTAGCGGTCTATCAATTTTATTGATGGGGGTCTGTTGTGGGGTGGGGGGAGCGGGGAGGCCTAGCATTAGGAGATATACCTAATGCTAAATGATGAGTTAATGGGTGCAGCACAGCAGCATGGCACAGGTATACATACGTAACTAACCTGCACATTGTGCACGTGTACCCTAAAACTTAAAGTATAATAATAATAAAATAAAAAAATAATAATAATTTAAAATCCAAAAAAAAAATTTTTTATTGATGTCTTCAAAAAACCAACTGCTGGATTCATTGATTTTTTTGGAGGGCTTTTGTGTCTCTATTTCCTTCAGTCCTGCTCTGATCTTAGTTATTGCTTGCTTTCTGCTAGCTTTTGAATTTGTTTGCTTCTGCTTCTCTAGTTCTTTTAATTGTGATGTGAGGGTGTCGATTTTAGATCTTTCCTGCTTTCTCTTGTGGGCATTTAGTGCTATAAATTTCCCTCTACACACTGCTTTAAATGTGTCCGAGAGATTCTGGTATGTTGTGTCTTTTTTCTCATTGGTTTCAAAGAACATCTTTATTTCTGCCTTCATTTCGTTATGTACCCAGTAGTCATTCAGGAGCAGGTTGTTCAGTTTCCACGTAGTTGTTTGGTTTTGAGTGAGTTTCTTAATCCTGAGTTCTAATTTGATTGTACTGTGATCTGAGAGACAGTTTGTGGTGGTTTCTGTTCTTTTACATTTGCTGAGGAGTGCTTTACTTCAACTACGTGGTCAATTTTGGAATAAGTGTGATGTGATGCTGAGAAGAATGGATATTCTGTTGATTTGGGGTGGAGAGTTCTGTAGATGACTATTAGGTCTGCTTGGTGCGGAGCTTAGTTCAAGTCCTGGATATCCTTGTTAACCTTCTGTCTCATTGATCTGTCTAATATTGACAGTGGGGTGTTAAAGTCTCCGGCTCTAAGGACTTGCTTTATGAATCTGGGTGCTCCTGTATTGGGTGCATATATATTTAGGATAGTTAGCTCTTCTCGTTGAATTGATCCCTTTACCATTATGTAATGGCCTTCTTTGTGTCTTTTGATCTTTGTTGGTTTAAAGTTTGTTTTATCAGAGACTAGGATTGCAACCCCTCCTTTTTTTTTGCTTTCCATTTGCTTGGTAGATCTTCCTCCATCCCTTTATTTTGAGCCTATGTGTGTCTCTGCACGTGAGATGGGTTTCCTGAATACAGCACACTGATAGGACTTGACTCTATCCAATTTGCCCATCTGTGTCTTTTAATTGGGGCATTTAGCCCATTTACATTTAAGGTTAATATTGTTATGTGTGAATTTGATCCTGCCATTATGATGTTAGCTGGTTATTTTGCCCATTACTTTATGCAGTTTCTTCCTAGCCTCAATGGTCTTTACAATTTGGTATGTTTTTGCAGTGGCTGGTACCAGTTGTTCCTTTCCATGTTTAGTGCTTCCTTTGGGAGCTTTTGTAAGGCAGGCCTGGTAGTGACAAAATCTCTCAGCATTTGCTTGTCTGTAAAGGATTTTATTTCTCCTTCACTTATGAAGCTTAGTTTGGCTGGATATGAAATTCTGGGTTGAAAATTCTTTTCTTTAAGAATGTTGAATATTGGCCTCCACTCTTTTCGGGCTTGTAGAGCTTCTGCCGAGAGACCCACTGTTAGTCTGATGGGCTTCCCTTTGTGGGTAACGAAACCTTTCTCTTTGGCTGCCCTTAACATTTTTTCCTTCATTTCAACCTTGGTGAATATGACAATTATGTGTCGTGGAGTTGCTCTTCTGAAGTATCTTAGTGGTGTTCTCTGTATTTGTTGAATTTGAATGTTGACCTGCCTTGCTAGGTTGGGGAAGTTCTCCTGGATAATATCCTGCAGAGTGTTTTCCAACTTGGTTCCATTCTCCCTGTCACTTTCAGATACACCAATCAAACATAGATTTGGTCTTTTCACATAGTCCCATATTTCTTGGAGGCTTTATTTATTTTTACTCTTTTTTTCTAAACTTCTCACTTTATTTCATTAATTTGATCTTCAGTCACTGATACCCTTTCTTCCCCTTGATTGAATCAGCTATTGAAGCTTATGCATGTGTCATGTAGTTCTCGTGCCATGGTTTTCAGCTCCATCCGGTCATTTAAGGTCTTCCCTACACTGTTCGTTCTAGTTAGCCATTCATCTAATCTTTTTTCAAGGTTTTTAGCTTCCTTGCGACGGGTTCGAACATCCTCTTTTAGCTCAGAGAAGTTTGTTATTACTGACCTTCTGAAGCCTACTTCTGTCAACTCATGAAAGTTTTCTCCATCCAGGGT
The DNA here is from genome assembly GCF_000001405.40 of Homo sapiens. Taxonomy (NCBI): domain Eukaryota; kingdom Metazoa; phylum Chordata; class Mammalia; order Primates; family Hominidae; genus Homo; species Homo sapiens. Next base: position 53,800,485 of record NC_000005.10, on the reverse strand, counting down.
TGTTCCATTGCTGGCAAGGAGCTGCTATCCTTTGGAGGAAAAGAGGCACTCTGGTTTTTAGGATTTTCAGCTTTTCTGCTGTGGTTTCTCCCCATCTTTGTGGTTTAATCTACCTTTGGTCTTTGATGATGGTGACCTACAGATGGGGTTTTGGTGTGGATGTCGTTTTTGTTGATGTTGTTGCTATTCCTTTATGTTTGTTAGTTTTCCTTCTAACAGTCAGGTCCCTCAGCTGCAGTTCTGTTGGAGTTTGCTGGAGGTGCCCTCCAGACCCTGTTTGCCTGGGTATCACCAGCAGAGGCTGCAGAACAGCAAATGTTGCTGCCTGATCCTTCCTCTGGAAGCTTTGTCTCAGAGGGGCACCCGGCTGTATGATGTGTCAGTTTGCCCCTACTGGGAGGTGTCTCCCACTTAGGCTACACGGGAGTCAGGGACCCAGTTGAGGAGACAGTCTGTCTGTTCTCAGAGCTCCAACACGGTGCTGGGAGAACCACTGCTCTCTTCAGAGCTGTCAAACAGGGACATTTAAGTCTGCAGAAGTTTCTGCTGCCTTTTGTTCAACTATGCCCTGCCCCCAGAGGTGGAGTCTATAGAGGCAGCAAGCCTTGTGGTGCTGTGGTTGGCTCCGCCCAGTTCGAGCTTCCAGGCCACTTTGTTTACCTACTCAAGCCTCAGCAATGGCAGACGCCCCTCCCCCTGCTGGGCCGCTGCCTTGCAGGTTGATCTCACTGCTGAGCTAGCAGTGAACAAGGCTTCATGGGCGTGGGACCTGCCAAGCCATGCGGGGGATATAATCTCCTGGTGTGCTGTTTGCTAAGAACGTTGGAAAAGCGCAGTATTTGAGCAGGAGTGTCCCGTTTTTCTAGGTGCTGTCTGTCACAGCTTCCCTTGGCTAGGAAAGGGAAACCCCATGACCCCTTGTGCTTCCAGGGTAAAGTGACGCCCCGCCCTGCTTCAGCTTGCCCTCCGTGGGCTGTATCCGCTTTACAACCAGTCTCAATGAGATGAACCAGGTACTTCAGTTGGAAATGCAGAAATCACCCATCTTCTGCATCAATCATGCTGGGAGCTGCAGACCAGAGCTGTTCCTATTCAGCCATCTTGGAATGGACACCTCAAATTACTTTTAACCATAGTGACAATAACAAAATTCTTCCGTGTCTGCTTAATCTAATATACCCACAGAACCCCAAAATGTCTACTAAATAAGGGGTCATGGTGTCTGCACCTTGCTTCTTATAGGTTTTGAGGTGTTGAGATTGAATTCATTCTTTATATGTTACCATTGCCTTACAAGGAAAATTGGTGCAATGCCTTTTATTGCATGTTCCACTGCTTATACTGTGCTTTTTTATACACAGCATTGCTCATTCCCTCCTAGAACTCTGCCCTCTTCCCTTCAGCCCATTACCAAGCTTGTTTCTTGCCTTCCTTGAGGGCTTTCTTATATAGATATTATTCCTAAGAAATACTGTCAATGCTTTCCTGGAGAGCAGAGGCTTGAAGCAAACTCATAGTGTAGAACAAGGCAGACACTGCTGGTCTTGTCTGCTGACAAGAAGAACCACAGATCCAGGGATTGAAACAAGATGTATGCACCCTCCGGGCCCTGGTCAGCTAAGGAGGACAGCTAAGAGACTAACTTCTGTCTCTCTGCTGGTGGCAAGCTAGCCATACTGAGTGGGCAACCAGAAGCCCAAACCATCTGGACAGTCTTGGACTCCCAGACTGGTTGGCTGTAGGTCTCATAACAAAGAGTATCCCCAGCCAAAGTCATGAGGCTGACTGTGGATTCCTAGGAACGGAAACTATGCCCTATCTCCTTGGTATCCTGCTTGGCACAGTGCCTGGCACATCAAGATCCCTCAGTGGACATTTGCCAAACCTTTAACTAGATAAGATTTTTTCCATCACTCCTGGTCACCCCACACAGCCCTTGGGATTGCCGGGCATCTGTCCGTCCATACCTTAAGAAAACAGGCGCCGGGCGCGGTGGCTCACGCCTGTAATCCCAGCACTTTGGGAGGCCGAGGCGGGCGGATCACGAGGTCAGGAGATCGAGACCATCCTGGCTAACACGGTGAAACCCCGTCTCTACTAAAAATACAAAAAATTAGCCGGGCGTGGTGGCGGGCGCCTGTAGTCCCAGCTACTCGGGAGGCTGAGGCAGGAGAATGGCGTGAACCCAAGAGGCGGAGCTTGCAGTGAGCCGAGATCGCGCCACTGCACTCCAGCCTGGGCGACAGAGCGAGACTCTGTCTCAAAAAAAAAAAAAAAAAAAAAAAAAAAAAAGAAAACAGGCATAAGTCATCATCAATTTGAAGTTTAATAGGTCACCTCTTCATTCTTGGAGCTTTTTTTGTTATTTCTGAAGAGGAAGACAAATGTTTAAGTAAAGAGGATTTTTTTTTTTTTTTTTTTTGAGACAGAGTCTTACTCCATTTCCCAGGCTGGAGTACAGTGGTGTGATCTCGGTTGACTGCAACCTCCACCTCCTGGGTTCAAGTGATTCTCCTGCTTCAGCCTCCTGAATAGCTGGGATTACAGGTGGCTGCCACCACTGGCTAGTTTTTGTATTTTTAGTAGAGAGGGGTTGGTTTCACCATGTTGACCAAGCTGGTCTCGAACTCCTGACCACAAGTGATCCACCCACCTCAGCCTCCCAAAGTGCTGGGATTACAGGCATGAGCCACCATGCCTGGCCTTGGAATACTATTTTTTAAATAAGGAGACAAATAGCCATAGTGACCAGACAGTTGAACTCTCTATGTGTCTTTCCTTGCAGGAAACGTTCATGGTGCAGTAGATACTTTTGGTTGCATTTTGTATCTAACAGCCATTTCCCCAGGTTTTCTAATTAGTAGAATTCTGATACATTCATGTGTGACTCTGTGTTTTAGGAAAGCTGGGCCCATGTTCAGGACCAAAAGGCGATTAGTCTTGATTAGTCCAAGTTGATCATGGTGACTGTGTTCTCCTTGCTGACAGTTGGCTTAGAAAAAGATTTGGGAACAATTATGACTAATAAGGTACAAAGGTAAGGTTTTTGAAAAGGGTTGGGGGGAGGCCTGGGAAAGTTTTCTTGTTGGCAAAGAAATATCATTTTCACTATGGACTTCACATTTTGTTGTGTGAGGATGCTATGGTGAAGGTTGTTGTCACTGTTTTTTGACCATAAGGAGACAAGCTAGAGGACCAAAGCCAACACCCTAAGTATTGCAGTGCAGAATTATGAGAAGGATCTGGTCCTTGCTGATGTTGTTGAGCCTCTAAATTTACCAACCCTAGACCTACAGTACCTCAGACTGCTCCTCATTTGAGAAAATGATACTCTTAATTTTTAAGCCAGTTTTGTTTAAGTCTGTTACATACAGCCAAAAAAATAAAGATGAGGAAGCCAACTCTCATCAGGAGATTGCTAAGTGTGCAAATATTCAAACTGAAGGGAGCCAGTTGAATACTTTAAATTGCAAATAGTCCATAGATCTCTGATGCATCCATTTTTCCATAGGGATCAGACAATCAAGTCTTCCGGTGAGCTGTCTCTTTCCCTGAACTCTGAACAGTGCACACTGCCAAATTGAAATCCATTTTTTGTAATTTAGGAATCTTTTCAGGTGGATTTAAGCCCTGAGAACTAAGGGATTTCTCCTAGTCTTCTAAAGTCACAGTCTATTTAGGACTGCCTCCTCTGTCTGGTGGCTGCCATGGCCAGGGTTCTGACATACCTGTCTTCCCAGCTCTCCACACTGTGGGTATGGGGAGGCACATGGAGGGCTGAGAAAGAGGCTACCACTCCCTCTGTCCCTGACTCCAGGGGCCACTGAGATGCTTTCAGCCCTGGACTGTCAGCTAGCAGCTTTACTCGCACATAGATACTTTCTTTGGGGAGAAATAGTTTTCTCTCTTGCTCTCTGATAAATTTCCTTTAAATTTGTCTCACTATGTTTAATATCTTTTATCACTACTGGAAAGGAAATTGGTGGTTTCAGACACTCTACTTGTACTTTTAACTCAATATGCCTCCTCCATATACACTTTTAGGGTCCTGTATTAGTTGCAAATGGCATAAGAGTAAACTGTCCTTCCCAGGCAAACCTTTGTTGAGGAATATCAGCTAAGGTAAGACGAGGTAGGAAACAGGATTTAGATAGCGCGATCTGAGCATGAAGACAGTGGTACTTCTCATGAGGGGAGTCGTTTATGAGCCTCTAGTTGAAGATTGCCCTTCTACAGCTGAAAGAGGGAATCAGTATATCATGAATCAAGCAAAGACTTATAAAGGCATCTTAAAGATGAGAAAAGAACTCCCAGTTTGGTAATCACATATAGGCGTTACAAGGCAAAGAAGAGCCCAACAAAAGGGACGTTGATCATTTATGGAAGTGGATATAGCAGGGAACTATGCTGAGATGCTGAGAAGTCACTATTTCCTGAGCAGCACTGATAGCTTTTTATCTGTCCTATTTCAGGGAGAGAACAGTTATAGTCTAAGACAAAGAAGTCATTGCTCAGCTCTGAGTTTCAAAATAGTTTTTAAGTTCATAAGAGACATAGTAATATAAAAGTCAAAGTGCTTTTGACTTGTTATTATTAGGCAGGCTTTGATGGGAGAGAATTTCTGCTGGGATTCCAAAATCTAGCTTTTTTATATCAAGAGCAAAGGTAGAGAACTTACCACATAGAGTTTATACATTAAACTTAAAGTAGGAAAGAATGCATGCTGATCCAAGTACAGGTGTATAGTTCATACAGAAAGATAAAACCCTTCTCTGGGCAGATGGAGCAGGGAGAAGATGGAAAGAAAAAGAGGACATTCAGATGCTGATATTGAGCACTGCTCCCTGTCAATCCCATAATTCAGCACACTCAGGATGAAACCCTAAGGGTGAAAACAGAAACCGTGTTAAATAGTATATTAATATGGTTAATTGCATGATTCACACATTCAACAGATATTTATTGAGTGCCTTCAAAGTACCTGACACTGTTATAGGTGTGTGAACTATATCAGTGAACAAAACAGACAGTGATGCCTGCGCTCCTGGAGCTCATATTCTAACTGAGGAAAACAGATATAAAAAATAAACATAATAATTGATTTAATATGATCTGGTGATAAAAAAAAAATAAAGTAAGGATTCAAAGCCAGATTGGAATTCTAAACCTGCACTCTTAACCACTGCACTATAGTTTTCTATTAGTTTTTTGACCATGGGAGATCTACAAAGAAACTTCTCATTAGTGATGCTAAACAGCTGGGTCTGAACTGTTTCTGAGGTGAGGGAGACACATACATGTAACCTGTTTTGAACATAATAAGAATCACCCATGAAAATACATAAAGACAGGAAATGGCATAGGGAAGGGCACAACCCAGCAGTGCATCCTGGAACCTTAAATTTCCTCTATGTTCTAAACACTGCTTTTGGAAAAGCAAGAGACACCCACAAATTAAATCCAAATGTCCAAAAAAAAAAAAAAAAAAAAAGACCTGAAGAATGAGCAATGGCATACATCTGATTTACACCCATGTTGGCTCCCTAGGAGGGCTGACCCTCAGCTAGACCAGCCTCCATTCTGCAGGATTTGGCTCTTTGCAAATGTAAACCCACTACTGGCCTCTTCCCAGCAGTCACTGCCTAATATTGCAGGGGCTTCCTGAAATACTCATTTGTGTTACCTTGTTCTCTTTTCTAAACTCACAACCGAGAAAATATTTAATAAGTAAAATTACCCATGGTATATAATTTTATCCACATTTCTTACAAAGATTGTCTCCTCCACACTTCAGCAACTAGTTGAAGCCACCAGGAAGGGATTACTGTTGTTATAAAATGTGTAAACAATTAATATATGAAATTCTCATTCATCTTGGTATCTGACAGGCTCCCCATATATTCAAGGGTTCATGTGCATATACCCACACACAACATGGAAGGTGCTTACCCCAGAGTGGGTGACCAGTAAATGCAGAACTGAATTGTCAGTTTTCTTTGCCTCACCATTCAGCCTAAAAAGATTATCTCACCCTGGAAAGAATAAACATCTGTAGATATATAGCACATGTATTGGTTTGGGGTTGGGGTGCAGGGAGGGAGTAATCTATCCTCTGATATGGTTTGGCTGTGTCCCCACCCAAATTTCATCTTGAATTGTAGCTCCCATAATTTCCATGTGTTGTGGGAGGGACCCAGTGAAAGATAATTGAATCATGGGGGCCGTTCCCCCCATGCTGTTCTCCTGGTAGTGAATAAGTCTCACAAGATCTGACGGTTTTGTAAGGCGTTTCCCCTTTCACTTGGCTCTCATTCTCTCTTGCCTGCCACCATGTAAGACATGCCTTTTGCCTTTTACCATGATTGTGAGGCCTCCCCAGCCACGTGGAACTGAGTCCATTAAACCTCTTTTTCTTTATAAATTACCCAGTCTTGGGTATGTATTAGCAGTGTGAAAACAGACTAATACATCATCCTTCCACAGATATGGAACATGATTCAGGCCTGATTAATTGTAATTCCTTCCCCCTGGCCATGGAGATTGGCTCAGAGATGGACACAGCATCTTAGCCAGGCCATTAAGAGTCTTCCAGGACTTTTGGCACTATCTAGAAAGAGGTTTGTTCTTCCACTTGAGCCACTAAGCTGGTGGAATGTGAGTCTGAAGCTTTGACAACTTTGTCTCCATGTGTTTCCACCTGAGGACAAAGCCAGGAGTTAAAGAGGGACCTAGGGTCTTGAGAGGTCACTTGAGTCTCTGGCTATTGCTTCTTCTGAAGCTAGATGGCCTTCCCAGTGATATAAATTAATACATTTCCGTCTTTGCTTTAACTAGATTGAGTTTCTGTCACTTAAAACCAAATCAGTGCTAATACATGATGATAAACATATGCTATCATTTGTTAGTATCTACCATATGCTAGGCACAGTGCTAGGTACTTTACATAGAGTGTCTCACAATTGTACTCTTAGTTGAGTAACATTCTGTTTTAGAACAGGAAAATAAGAACAAGACAGTAAGATTAAGCAGCCTGTACAAGTGTTATTAAGTGGTCCAGGCTCCCAAGTCCATGCTCTTTTCCCCCTATCCTGACACTAGGCAACAGCTGAAGCATGGTGGGAAATGGAATTGGCATCAGAAGAGTGAGTCACTTAGTCGTGACTTTTGGAGGTTCATTTACTTAGTTCATAATACCTCATGAAGTAAAGAATATGAACAAGATTGGCAAATGATAAGTCTATGCCAATTATTTTTTTTAAAGATAGCTTTATGGATATATAATTAATATACCATATAATTTATCTACTTGAAGTCTACCATTCTATGGGTTTTAGCATATCCGTAGATATGTACAGACCTCACCACAGTCAATTTTAGGACATATTCCTCACATCAAAAACCCTGTACCTTTTAGCTGTCATCCCCATCTCTTCTTATTCCCCCACCGCCAACCTAGCCCTAAACAACCACTAATCTACTTTCTGTCTCTATAGATTTCTTTATTCTGGACTTGCATATGAATAAAGACATATAGTATGTGGTCTTTTGTGGCTTCTTTCATGTTTTCAAGGTTCATCCATGTTGTAGCATGTATGAGAACTTCATTCCTTTTTATTATACCAGTGATTCTTGACCTCTCTTGGGATTAAGGGGTCTTTTGAAAATCTGCTGAAAGCCAAACATTCCTCCCCCTGCAAACATACATATGTAACAGTTTCCAAGGCTTCCTAGATCCCTTGAAACTCATTCACAGAACTCAGTATAATTGTATGAACCTAAGTATCTCTAAAAGACAAGACTTTAAATGGCACTTCTTTTCAATGTGCTGTACTCTCTACATTTGTGTAACTCTGGCCAAAATAGGCCCAGAGTTAAGCAGTATCTGTAAGGAGACAGCTTGCCTGGGAACCTAGTCCAAGCAGGGCCGCTGGGTACACACCACCATCACCAACAACAGCTGCAGAAGTTCTTGACGGACTTTATGAAGATACAAAAGGATTAAATGAGAATGACTAAACACACTATGAAATAAGAACTGTGTGCAGTTTACTATATAATAAACACATACAGTGTGTTTGCATAATAGGCTATAAATGATATATAAAGGGTTCTGGTAAGAGTTTCCAATTCCTCTTCACTAGTTACTGGTGAAATCTTATCAGGTGTGGCTGAGAAAATAATCTCTTTTCTGGATGAGTTGGAGTTCTGATGATCTGTGGTTTCCCACACTGTCCTTGTAACCCAGCAGCCTGTACTTGGAATGTGTGGCTTCTTTATATCTGGGCCCTTGGTACCATCAAAGAATACTTCTTATCCAATAGTTAGTACGGTGGCTATCAGATAATTGAAAAAATTGGTTTAAGAGGAGAATTACATAAGAAAAATATGTGCATTACCCTTAACATTTTATTTTTACTTAAAACATATTAGGTTCATATAAGCATATGAAAGTGTGAATATTCTACTATTTCTTACACTCCAAGTAGTACTTTCATGGGTTACAACCTGAAATGAAGATCTTTATTTCATACAGCTTTTCTGATCAGGTTTCTAACCATTTTACTTGCATTATCAGCTACACCCATATTGCATCACCTACAATTTTTTCAATTTTTGTTGTTGTTGTTGTTGAAGTGGACCAGAACTTAAAGGCATTTGCTCTAGAATCTGAATACGGAATCTATTTCTAGGTTTTTTCCCCTCTAATCTTTTTTTTTTTTTTTTTTTTTTTGAGACAGGGTCTTGCTCTGTCACCTAGGCTGGAGTGCAGTGGTACAATCATGTCTTACTACCGCCTCAGCCTCCTGGGCTCATGTGATCCCCCCCACCTCAGCCTCCCAAGTAGCTGGGACTACAGGCATGCACCACCACACCCAGCTAATATTTGTAATTTTTGTAGAGACGAGGTCTTCCTATGTTGCCCAGACTGGTCTCAAACTCTTAGGCTCAAGTGATCCTCATTCCTCAGCCTCCCAAAATGCTGGGATTACAGGCATGAACCACCATAGCCAGACTCTCTCTAATACGTTATAGTTGTCTTGTTTATACCTAATCTGATAGCAACTTTTTCTTTAGAGACTCACCTCTGTTGAATCCTTCTAAGTTTTCCTTTTGTTTGTTTGTTTTTTTGGAAATGGAGGCTCACTCTGTCACCCAGGCTGGAGTGCAGTGTTGCTATCTCGGCTAACTGTAACCTCCACCTCCTGGGTTCAAGCAGTTCTCCCACCTCAGTCTCCAGAGTAGCTGGGACTACAGGCGCACACCACCACGCTTGACTAATTTTTGTATTTTTAGTGGAAATGGGGTTTCACTGTGTTGGCCAGGCTGGTCTCAAAGTCCTGACCTTGGGTGAACCACCTGCCTCAGCATCCCAAAGTGCTGGGATTACAGGTGTGAGTCACCATGCCTGGCCCTAAACTAACTTTCATAGAAACAACTACCGTTTTGCTCTCATGTTTCACTTGTATAATTACAAATGAATTACATTATTACAGGAACAAGGCCAGGATACAGACTCTAAAAAGTGAAGTCTGGGTAAATTGACAGTTCAGTTGGTAGATCCAGAAGTAGAGAAGTATAGTAGAAAGAAGCCTACTAGCTACTAGTATTAAGAGATAAAATGAAATATATATGTGGAATATATGTTATATGCATATACAATATAGTCATATATAGGGCTTTGACTTTTATACATATGTACGACTGTTTTAGGGGGCTATGTAATAGGTTTCTGAATGTGCATGTAAACTAAAATTCATAATTCACATTTGAAATATATACAGACTCCTCTTTCTTTTTTTCTTTTTTTTTTTGGAGATGGAATCTTGCTTTGTTGCCCAGGCTGGAGTGCAGTGGCGCAATCTTGGTTCACTGCAACCTCTGCCTCCCAGGTTCGAGCAATTCTCCTGCCTCAGCCTCTGGAGTAGCTAGGATTACAGGTGCGTGCCACCATGCCCGACTAATTTTTGTATTTTTAGTAGAGACGGTGTTTCACCACATTGGCCAGGCTGATCTCAAACTCCTGACCCGCCTGCCTCGGCCTCCCAAAGTGCTGGGATTACAGGCTTGAGCCAGCACACCCAGCCCAGACTCTTCTCTTAAAGGAAGCATTTGCAGAATTCTTTTCTATTACAACTAAATTCCTCCTAACATAACTATTAGCATAACTACTAAAAATCATCAAGTTGGTCAGTTACCTTCTTCCTAACTACCCTACTCACTTCCCACTGCTCATTCCGGTCAGACCTGTCAGGGATGTATGTGCCAAGACCCACCTTCTCAGGGTGGGATGAGATCCTCACATGGCTGTCTTGCATGCCTCTGCCTTGTCTCTGTGACCTGAGGCGTCTTCACTGTTACTTTGTCTACAGATATTAGGATATTTCAGCTTCTTTTCAATCTTGCTGCCACCACCTTGGTCCAATCTACCATTGTCTCCATTCAGATGTCTGCAGACTTCTTACCTGTTTCACAGAATCCTCTGTGACTCAATCCAACACATTCTTTTTTTTTTTTTTTTTTTTTTATACTTTAAGTTCTGGGATACATGTTCACAACGTGCAGGTTTGTTACATATGTATACATGTGCAATGTTGCTGTGCTGCACCTGTTAACTTGTCATTTGCATTAGCTATATCTCCTAATGCTATCCCTCCTCCTTCCCCCCACCCCACGACAGGCCCTGGTGTGTGATGTTCCCCTCCCTGTGTCCAAGTGTTCTCATTGTTAATTCCCACCTATGAGTGAGAACATGCAGTGTTTGGTTTTCTGTCCTTGTGATAGTTGGCTCAGAATGATGGTTTCCAGCTTCATCCATGTCCCTACAAAGGACATGAACTCATCCTTTTTTATGGCTGCATAGTATTCCATGGTGTATATGTGCCACTTTTTCTTAATCCAGTCTATCATTGATGGACATTTGGGTTGGTTCCAAGTCTTTGCTATTGTGAATAGTGCCGCAATAAACATACGTGTGCATGTGTCTTTATAGCAGCGTGATTTATAATCCTTTGGGTATATGCCCCATAATGGGATGGCTGGGTCAAATGGCATTTCTAGTTCTAGATCCTTGAGGAATTGCCACACTGTCTTCCACAGTGGTTGAACTAGTTTACAGTCCCACCAACAGTGTAAAAGTGTTCCTATTTCTCCACATCCTCTCCAGCACCTGTTGTTTCCTGACTTTTTAATGATGGCCATTCTAACTGGTGTGAGATGGTATCTCATTGTGGTTTTGATTTGCATTTCTCTGATGGCCAGTGATGATGAGCATTTTTTCATGTGTCTGTTGGCTGCATAAATGTCTTCTTTTGAGAAGTGTCTGTTCATATCCTTTGCCCACTTTTTGATGGGGTTGTTTGATTTTTTCTTGTAAATTTGTTTAAGGTCTTTGTAGATTCTGGATATTAGCCCTTTGTCAGATGGGTAGATTGCAAAAATTTTCTCCTATTATATAGGTTGCCTGTTCACTCTGATGGTAGTTTCTTTTGCTGTGCAGAAGCTCTTTAGTTTAATTAGATCCCATTTGTCAATTTTGGCTTTTGTTGCCATTGCTTTTGGTGTTTTAGTCATGAAGTCCTTGCCCATGCCTATGTCCTGAATGGTATTGCCTAGGTTTTCTTTTAGGGTTTTTATGGTTTTAGGTCTAACATTTAAGTCTTTAATCTATCTTGAATTAATTTTTGTATAAAGATATAAGGAAGGGATCCAGTTTCAGCTTTCTACATATGGCTAGCCAGTTTTCCCAGCACCATTTGTTAAAGAGGGAATCCTTTCCCCATTTCTTGTTTTTGTCAGGTTTGTCAAAGATCAGCTGGTTGTAGATGTGTGGTATTATTTCCAGGGGCTCTATTCTTTTCCATTGGTCTATATCTCTGTTTTGGTACCAGTACCATGCTGTTTTGGTTACTGTAGCCTTGTAGTATAGTTCGAAGTCAGGTAGCGTGATGACTCCAGCTTTGTTCTTTTGGCTTAGGGCAATCCAACACAATTCTTTATATGGCAGTCACAGTGGGTCTTTCTGAAATATGAATCGTTCATATCACTTTCCTTTTAAAGTGGATTCTTCAATGCTTCTCATTCTCTTAGAGACCAGACTTTTCAACAGTACCCTCAAGATCCTTTGTAACATGGCCTCTTCTACCCTTCTAGCCTCTTTGTGTCACAACACTCTTCACTCACTCTTTCTGTTCTAGCTATTTTCATCTTCTTTCAGTTTCTTGTGTATCCTATACTCTTCTCTACCTCCAGACCTCTGGTTCCTTCTGGAACATCACCTGCATTGTCACTCAGTTGTCCCAGGGAGCCCTTCTCTGAGCCCCCCAGCCTAAACTCCCACAGCATCCCATACTACCCCGCTTTTTGATGTTCTTCAGATGGAGACTTCCTAGTCCAACAACTGACTCTCCCAATAGACCTTAAGATCCATGAGGGCAAGAGGTATGTTTGTTGTGATCATTGCTGTATCCCCAACACAGTATCTGACACTCAATAGATGCTAAAAATTATCTGTTGGATCAGTAAATGTGTATCATACTCTTCTCTGTTGTTTATCTTTGAATGGGGGTCTCTAGGTAACACAGAACCCTAACCTTTAAGCACCCAAGTAGGCTAATTAGTAAGGAGCCTTTTCATCTGCCCACTAGATTACAGTGGGGAACTAGGAGCATTGCATGCCACCAAGAACACGTTTTGAATTCATCTCTTCCCAGTTCTCTTATCATCTTTATGTCTCAAATTCATCAACCTGTCTAAAGAGTCCTGGGTTCATTCTCTTGAGAAGGTTCTGGGGGACTCCATAGTTTAATTTACATTTGTATCTGCCACCTGTAGAGCCCATTAAAGATAAAATGACAGTGGCAAGAACATGGCTGTGGAGAAACTTCCTGAAATCTGCCAGTGATTATAGCCACAGAATGACTTCAGTGTTTTTTTTTTAATGTTTGGATCTTTTGGCTCTCCATGAATGTGGTGACCTTGTGGTGACTTCCACCTTTCATTCAAAACTGACTTACAGACAACTTGGGTTTCAAAGACTATAGCAATAACTTTAGATGTGGAACTTGAGTTTCCTTCTCTGTGCACTCACCTGTTTTTTGTTTATAGCTACACATATTTTCTTTTCTTTTTTTAACCTGGAAGAGGAGAGGCATTGTTTCAGATATCTCAAACAAGGTTGAAAAATGTCCACAGCCAATTCCCAGGAAAAATGACCCTTTCTGTCTAGTAGTCTCTCCCATTTTAGTTCCTTGTATTTGTATGAGTTTCCTTCCTTCTCTTGTACTTCTTGATGTTCATGAAACATATACCCAGTACCTACCTGTTCATGAAATCTGTACTCAGTATGCTCTCTGGCCAACTACTTCGTAGTCCCCTGAGAGCACAGCCAGTCACATTTGGTAGAAATGGAGAAGCATCTCCTCTCTCCTGCCATGCAGACTGGCTTCAATCTCCTCAACATCACTTCAGTCAACTCTAGTCTTAGGCTTTGACATAATGTAACCGCCCAACATGTTCACCTTGCCTGCTGCCTAGAGAGAGCTGATTTATGAAGACAGGGGAATTGCAAAAGAGAAAGAGTAATTCACAGAGCAAGCTGTGCGGGAGACTGGAGTTTTATTATTACTCAAGTCAGTCTTACTGAGAACTTGGGGATCAGAGTTTTTCAGGATAATTTGGTGAGTAGGTGGGTCAGTGAATCGGGAATTCTGATTGGTCAGGTCTGAGATGAACTCATAAGGAGTTGAAGCTGTCCTCTTGCACTGAGTCAGTTCCTGGGTCAGGGTCACAAGACCAGATGAGCCAGTTTATCAGTCTGTGTGGTGCCAGTTGATCCATCAAGTGCAGGGTCTGCAAAATATCTCAAGCACTGATCTTAAGTTTTACAATAGTGATATTATCCCCAGGAGCAATTTGGGGAGATTCAGAATTTTGTAGCCTCCAGCTGCGTGACTCCTAAATCATAATTTCTAATCTTTTAGCTAATTTGTTAGTCCTGCAAAGGCAGTCTAGTCCTCAGGCAGAAAGGGGGTTTGTTTTGGGAAAGGGCTGTTAACATCTTTGTTTCAAAGCTAAACCTAAACTAAGTTTCTCCCAGAGTTAGTTTGGCCTATAGCCAGGAATGAACAATGACAGCTTGGAGTTTAGAAGCAAGGTAGAGTTGGTTAGTTCAGATCTCTTTCACTGCCTCAATTATAATTTTGCAGTGGCGGTCTCAACAATGTGATGCTGTATCTTTAAGAGAGAAAGTAAGTCACAAAATAAAGTATAACCTATATTTGCAATGATAATTGAAATGAGGTTGCTTTGGTATAGTGAAGACTAATTTTTCACTTCATTTTCCATTTTACGGCCCATCAGTAACTTCCTGTATCTTCTTTTTGGCAGACGTCCTTGACCACAGAGGAGAAACTGGCAATTTAAAAACAGCCAGATATCTGGTGCTATTTCAAAGTTATAATAGAGACCTGTGATACCTTGCTGTGGTGTTGGACTTAGTTTATGTCTTCCATCTCCCTTTGGTAGACAGAAGAATTAGTCTGGTTTATGATGAATTTTGTATATGTTTACTGGAAAGTGTTCTGCCTTAAAGAAAGTTTTCGTAATAGCCAAAAGCACATTGCAGGAAGATGCCCTGCATAGACCTGTGTGTGCTTGTAAGTGGCAAGTTTCAGACATCAGAGAATGTGGCTTTCTCTTGTGTTTGAAAGTACAGAGAGTTTTATGGATTCCCAGATGCTAGGCTAAGGACGATTAATATATAGTCTGTTGGCCTCAGTCATCTCTAGCTATTCATCACCCGATGATACACTCAACCATGTTCATGAGTTTAAAGAATCAGAAAGTCAGAAAAGGGTAAGGGCAAATGATCTGAAATATATCAATGGAAGCTCATTTCTAATTGGTGCTATCGTTTAGGTTTATGACAGGTTCTTCATAAACCACTATGTGTGTGTAAAACACATCAGAGACTTCTCACACCAGAGCAAACCAGACTAGACAGAGTTATTTCACACAGTAATCACCAAACATTCCTATCTTTTAAATATAAGGAGCCAATCTATTGTAACCTCCTCTGCAAACACTGTTGTATTTATTCTTTCTCTTTTAATGCTTGACACTTAACCTGAATGGCTTCTTTTATGTATTCAGTTTGAAAAAACAGGATATAGAAAGCATCATTTGATTTTTAAATTTCCATTCCTGGGTAGATGTTTTGGTTATTAAAAAATAGCTCAACCCTATTTGTTTGAGACATATATGCAGGTAAATGGGTACATTTAGGGATTTATTTATTTATTTATTTTGTCTTTCTATTTCCCTGTCCACATTTGTGCTTGTAGATCTGTGTCTCTGGAGATCCCTTTGCTCAGCCATCAGATCAAGCAGGCATCCATGGTTCAGAATGGTAAGCAAGACCATGCAGTTAAAAAAAAAAAAAAAAAAAAGTTGGTGAGCAGGAAGAATATATAGGCACCATGAGTCTGCACTGAACAGAGCAGGAGCAGCTTGTCCAGGGAAGTCAGAGTCGCACCAGGGGTGTAGCTGGAGCATCTACCACAGGATGGTTGTGTCTGCCAGGGTCACTAATTATTTTGCAGTCAGAAAGTGCCTGGTGAAAGGCTTAAAGGAGAAATTCAATGCAGTTTCCTTTTATCTGCCTCTCCAATTGATGTCTATACAGAGCAAACAGGGCTCCCCAAACACGCCAGTCTGTTTCAGATACACAAGATTAAGTAGCTAGTGACATTCAAGACCAATCGGCCCACCCAGGAGGATTGAAACCAGTGGAAAAGCTGTCAGATTTCGCCTTTTCTCCATTAATCTTAAAGCTTTTCAGTGGTGCCAGGTCGCATCTCCATCAGACAAGCTGAGAAGAGTGTCCCGCAACTTTCTACACCCCCCACCCCCACACCAAGGAGAGTAACCCCTTCATTGCTGAGCTGATCTCTTAGGATATAGGGGATTCTTTTCACGGCCAGGAACAGATCTTCACTGGCTCCACTGCTTTTCAATACTGGAGGAAGCTGGGAGCAGAAGGCGGGGTCTTTCTTCCTTACAAGTTCATGGCTGGTCCACTCCCTGGAGGCTGTGCCACACAGACCCCAGAGATCAGCTGCCCTTGAGAAGAGATGGCTTTAGGGGTGACCGTGGGACAGCTAAGGAAACAGGTGTTCCCCTAGTAGTCTGGAAGCTTCACCTACCTGACACAGTGTGTGGAAAGAGAGAGGGAAAGCTAGAGGGAGAGAACACAGGGAAAGATGAGAGAAAAGAAGAAAGAAGGTGTAAATAAAGAGAATGAAGTGCGAATTTGTAACGGTCCTTTCCCCATGCCTCATTTTAAATCCCTTTGGAAGCAGGTGATGACCTGGGCAAGAGCTCACCAGTAAGGAGCAAAGGGGCCCGCCTGCCACTCTTAAGCAGAGCGCCTGCTGAATCAGGATTTCCAAGGCTCCGGCTGAGTGCCTGGCTGGGGGCTGTGTGTGCAGATGCCACAAGATGGACAAGACTGAGGACGCAGGTGAGCATTTCTCGGTGCAGTCAGGAGTGGGAGAGGCCTGTGGCTTCCAGAAACCCAGCTTTGCCTTTGAAGACAGAACTCAGAGAACTGCTGGCTGGAGGGAGCCAGGGTCTTTTCCTGCTTTCTAGTTACCCCTGAGAGCCTTTTCTGTGGTGTTTATATCGCTGTCAGCCCGAGTCTACCCTCAACAATAGGTGTCTCAGAAAGCCGTGGGCCCAGTTCCTACAGCTGGGTTGATTTACACCAGCAGGTATAGACTGATCCCGCTCAAAATCAAAACTCTGGCCTCCACTAAAATCTTTCACAGCTCATATAGTTTTCACACACACACACACACACACACACACACACACGCACTGTTAGTTAAAAATCACCCATTCTTGAGCAGCATAGATCACTGTCTGGATGGGTTATCTTGTTCCTGTTAGTAGGTGTGTGCTTCCCACAGCTCCTACCCCACCCCAGATGGCTGCTGGCAGCAAGGCCTCAGCCTTTTTCCAATGTGCAGGGATTATAAAATAGACCTCTGGGTGACTTGTTTTTAGGGCAACTTTCCGTACAGTCCCTAGACTCATTTAAATATCTTTTGTTACATCAAAGAAGTCACCCTTCACAGCAGTCCCGGGGAACCAGGCCATCACCCAGAGTTATAGCATCACTTATAGATTAAAATGTTAATAAGCACAAAACTATGCAAAGGTAGACTTGTGGTGTTGTCAGTCTCACCTCACCTGTAGGGAACAGATGTGCCGTTGTTGTGTATATTAATATCTTTTCTCAAAGGAATATTAACCCAGAAGGAAACAAATAATAGGCATAATTATATCTAGGCATAATAACATATATATTGAATACTACCTTTGTCAGTATTATGCAACCGCATTTATCCTAACTGACCATTATTGAATACTTTGATAAACACCCACTAATAAAAGGGTGCCCAGCACAAGACTGTGCATAGAGTTGATGCTCAGTAATTTTCCAATTTATTATGGGCATGTCCTGACTAGTGCATTCAGTATACAAAGCACTTAGGTATTTGTATGGAATGTAAATTCTAGTATCAGCATCATCCGCCCTCTAATATTACAGTTAAGAAAAAGATAAGGACTCCTACAAAGGGAACTTAAAACCCTGAGGCCAGGTGTTTTGTCTAGGAATTTAACAGAGGCTTTGTGTGATAAGAGTCTCTCTAGGAAGGGCCAGCACTCAAGATCGTATTACCATTACAATGGCAAAAACCGCAATTACTTTTGCGCCAACCTAATAATCACCCTGTATAGCTGCAGTCCAGTCTGGGTTGCTGGGCCAGCAGATCATCCTGCTTAACATCTACCCCATAGCATCTGCTAAATTTAGGACACAGGAGATCCCAGATAGGTAACTGGTGAAGGAATTGAATGAGCATCTGAGAAGGTAGCCAGCTTCTGGACACAGATGGCCAGCAGGATATCTCCATAGGAGCAGCCTCTACTACTTTTTGCTTTTAAACGTGTGAACACATCTTTGCACTCTTGCAGAAATTCAGAATTGGGCCAGTACTACTTCCTGTTAAAAGGAGAAAGCAATCACTCCTTGGCTGCTGGTGACTGGGGAAGAAAGGTGAAGGGCCTGACTCTGCCATGTGTGGACCTCCCCACACAGACCCTTACACAGCAAGTTGCTAGAATTGCCTCCTCACCGTAGAGAGGAAAGAGAAACGGGGCAGCTTTCTTCTATCATCTCCATCTTCATCACAGGCCCTCACACTGACAGTTGCTCAAAGCGCTTGCTAACCAAATTCTTGGGCCCTTCCAGGTGGATAATAAGATATTATTTCTTGATCACTCAATATAGGATTTGTGTTATAAGGGCATATGTGAATTTAATATCAGTGTTATAACTTTCTCAGTGACTTCCAAAGAAATCTATGGTTTAACTTTATTTGTATTATGAAAGGAAAAAAGTTGTAAGCAGTGTAGATTTAGAAATAAAGCGGTGGGAGTGGAAAAGCCAGCAGCCCAGCATCACTTGTTTAAAACTCTTTCTACGATTGTGAAGAACCTGCACTTTTCCAGAATTTGTCTCTCTTATCTCCCTTCCACCTTGTTCTATATTTTGACCTTTCATGACCACATCTCCTACCATCTTTATAGTCTATCTTGTGTGGGTAGGGACCTATTTTGGCCAGATCCAGAATCATCTGGCTCCTTCTCTTTCTTGGTTCTTTTTACTTTATATGTTATTCTGAGCATGGGTCACCCCTCAGCTCCCTTCTTACCTTCTCCTAATCATAGTCACAGGACAATCATTGTCAGGAACAACATCTAGTTCTAATCACATTGAAATATGCAGTAACATCTAGTTGGATAATTTTCAATAAATCTCTACTAGGAATTGAGCTATTTTTGCCCTTAACTTTCCCGATAGCTTCATCAGAAAAGCAGCTCATTTAAAATAAAATGTGTTGGGGGCATTTGGAAACCATCCCTGCCATCAGCATCTTCTAGGCCAGGCCTTGACTTCCAGGGCTTATCATATGCAAGTTCGGAGTTTCAACTGATAACTTGATGGAACAGAAACAGGTGGGGCAAGGCTTGCAGAAAAAAAGGACATAGCCAACCTGGAGGCAGGGGCCTGGGGTCCTCCCTGAGGGTGCTGATACAAGTTAGATTCTTTATTGCTCACATGAAACAGCCTTTATGGTCCACACACTGGGCCTCCACAACAATGGATTTTCAGTCAACAATCTGAGGGGGTCATGGTATTTGTTAGATGCCTTAAGTATATATTTTCTGGCAAAATGGTTTCTGTCAAAAGTCAGGATAAGTCAAGGGATATTCTTGAGGGGAATTTAATGCAATGGAGAGGCTTTCAACATTTCAAAAAGTGTTGGCAGTAAAACATTTGTTCATAATAAGACATGAACATTTAAAAATATTTAAAAGTGCATTTAGTTAGCAAGAAGTGTTTCAAACTAATTGACTCAGTTGGATCTGAAGAAGTTGATAAAAGGGGTTTTGAGGGTGAATAGGCCCAATATGAAACACAGGTGACTTTAGGAGGCTGTAAATGCTATCCCTATGTTAAGCACCTAGATCACCAGAAACTTCATTTTTGTATTATATTTCTCTGGACCCCTAGAGACTCAGCTTTACAGAGTCAGTCTTTAAAAGAGCTTGAGAGACCGGGCACGGTGGCTCACGCCTGTAATCCCAGCACTTTGGAATGCCAAGGCAGGTGGATAACCTGAGGTCAGGAGTTCGAGACCAGCCTGGCCAACATGGCAAAATGCCATCTCTACTAAAAATACAAAAATTAGCTGGGCGTGGTGGCGCTTGCCTGTAATCTCAGCTAGTTGGAAGGCTGAGGCAGGAGAATCACTTGAACCCAGGAGGCAGAGGTTGCAGTGAGCCGAGACTGCACCATTGCACTCCAGCCTGGGCAAAAAGAGCGAAACTCCATCTCAAAACCAGAAAAGCTTGAGATAAGCTGTGGGGGTTGTGGCGGTGGAAGGGAGACGATATAAGAAAGGCGCCACTCTCTCTCTTTCTTTATATGTGTTTGTGTGTGTGCATTCAGAACTGCTTCAGTGAAGTTGCTTACTGCCTCATACCTAAGCATAGCTCAGGAGCAAGAAAAAGTTTGTCTAGCCTCCTCTGAGTAGACATCAAGAATGATATAATTCACTGTGTTTTGCCTTAGACTTGAGCATGCTAGCATCTAAAGCCAGGATTTGGGCTCCATTGCTGTTATCTTTCTTTTGCCAGAGCTTCTTGATATGATTTTCCCCCTTTTGAACTTGCTCTTGGTCATGCTAAGGTACTGATATATCGGTTCCAATGCTTATAATGACCTTACCATCAAGACTTTGCATGCTATCTGTGGTTTATAGAGTGTAAACATGCCAGGAAGTGTTTGGATGGATTGGAAGGATTTTGAAACCACTTCTTTTGCTTTAGAACAGAAAACATCTAAAACTATGTGCTGTGGAGTACCTGGAGAACCTTCCAGAGGCCCACACAGAAAAGAACCTTTGATTTGGTTACTGGAACTGCTCTCAGCATACAATAGTCCTAACCTCCTTTGGCTGCTCTGCTTCTTTGACTCACTTCCTGACCCAGACTTCCGTTTAGAAAGGAATCCTGTTTCTGGTCATTTCCCAACAGGCTGTTCTGCCTGGTTGGCTGTTTAAAGATGTGGTGCTTTGTGATGTGTTGCTCTCAGGGCATCTTTGAGGCATTTCTTCTGACCACCCTGCTTGCAGCTGCCCACTTCCTCTCCCTTCCAACAGCTGTTCTGATGTCCTGCTGTCATCCTCTCTGTATACAGCAGACAAGCAGTCTCGCTGCAGCTAGCATCCATCCTGTCAGTGTCGGTGGGCTGGCTGCATTCCAGGACATGGGTAGACGGATACAAGAGGACAAGCTTGGGAACCAAATGTTGGCAAGGGAATGGAATGAACACAAAGCCCTTTGCTAGTGATCATCAAGGAGGGTGATAGGAATATCTCTCTCAGTTGATGACCTTTGAATTCTCAGTCTCTGGAAGAACTTTGACATCCAGGGAGCCTTTGTGGGATAATGTCCCCTAAAAGGAATCTTTGTGTGATAGTGTCCTCTAAGGGCACATGTTTTCTTTAAAGCCTTGTTGTTTTGCAAACTCAGAAAGGTTTCTACTAGCTCTAATAAGCTTGTGGCTTCCCAGCAACCTGGACCCAGCCCCTGTATATTCCAAAAGCAGTGATCACAGAATTAGACAAGCAAAGAAGCTAATCTGACGATGTACACAGTTTGTAAGCATGTGTTAAACTTCAGGATAAGGAATGTGTAAAGCAGAGAAGAAGTGGCAGCTTATACCTTCCTACTCCAACTTTCAGGATGAACTGAGAGTGCTGATGTTCCTTTCCTTTCAAAACTTGCACAAGGAAAATTTTGGAGAAGAAATTGGAGGTCATGCCACAAATCCTGAGCTGGGGAACCACATGCTGTGGTGGAAATAGGAGCGCAGAGGCTAGATTTCCAGGACATTCTGCAGTGGGAGGTGGATGGGGCATTGTGTGTGATAGCTTTAGTTTTCAGGAAAGAGGAATGAGGAACAGAATGGAAAATGGTGAGACAAATGAGACAAATGCAACTGACATTTGTCATTTTTGGCTACCTAGTATATGAACTACCTTTTGTGTTTGAGAAATTTCCTGCCTAAAGGCCAGAAAACCCCCTTCACTAGCCCTCCCTGCAGCTCAAGTGTAGGCATGTGCCCTAGGGTGGATCCCTCAGATGCATCACCCCAGCCTTTGAACAGGGAGCCAGTGGCGCAAAGAAGCAGAAACAGGAGAGAACCCATTTGGTTGTAGTGGTGGCAATACTGCTAACATTCAGCTCCCTGTATTCCATGGGGACTGGAGAGCCTCACTGGTCTTGGGTCTCTGCTCCCACCTGTCCTCTGAGCCCAGTGTTCTTGAAGAGTTTGTGAGCTACCTCATATCCTTTGAAAAAAGTGTATTTTCTGCTTAAGTCAGACATAGTTTCTGTTGCTGGCAAAATGAAACTTCAAAATGAAACCAGAGCTGCCTCTGACTCTCACCCCACATATTTGAATCAAACTCAGATTTCCTACAACAGCAGACTTCTGATGCCCAGGCCTCAGTTCTGAACTCTGGAGGCTACAACCTGGCCTGCTTATAGACGGTGGACCAAATGAAGGTGAAGAGGAGACGGGTGAGGAGAGGACTGGGTGGCAGGGACATATGATCTGGTCAGGGAACAAGAACAAGCAAGTGGCAGCACTAAGGGTTCAACACAAGGAGGGGCTGAGAAGATTGAGGCATGAGCAGGGTGGCGGGCATGGTTTGTGACTCTGCCAGATTCAGAAGGTTAGGGATGAGGGACTCACCCTGAGTTGTGTTTGCCCAGGAAGCCCAGACCGGCTGAGCAGGCCAAGCCCAGGGTAAACAAAGAAAAGCATGCCAGTTTTCTAGACGAGGAAGGCAATGTGTCAAACTCTCACTTTGGCCATCCCAGTGGAGAAAGGCAGAACTCAATGAAAGACCATGTTCTCTTCTTCCCTGTGCTTTGGGGGCTAATGTTGATAACTGGGGTTTAGCACATTAAAGAATAAGTCATGCAACCCACCATCTGGAGAATCTATGCAATTCCCCTTCAATCGGAGCTGACTGTACACACACACCTTGAGACCTAAACAATCTAATAGCACCAGATGGTTCCCTAGGAAGCAAATTAATTAGACATTTCTCTGAAGATATAGTCCAGTTGGGGTTAAAGTTTGGAAAAGTTCTTTGTAGTATTGGGGGCAAAGGAACCAAGGTTTTATTTGAAGTAGAGAGTGGCTGAAATTATGGCACAATCTGCAGGCCAGGCAACATTCTGAAGTTTTGTTTTAGGCTAAGAATAGGTGCTTGGCTACGCAGTTGCTGGAATTAGTACTCCAGCTACCTATACAGCCCTCCAATATTTAGAAGAGTGGCCCAGGTATTAGGAAGAGCATGGCAGAGACTTATGAATTTTCTAGAGATAGAAGAATTCATTAATTTATCTACTCATTTGACAAATATTTATTAAACACTTTATACACTAGGCACTCTTGCCTGGGCCTTTCTCACCAGGAAAATTGAGATAATGCTCTTATTTAATCCACACAATAGCCCTGATTTAGGTCTATTTGTTATTCTCATTTTACAGATGAGGAAACTGAAGCAACTGTTCAAGAAGAGGATATAAAAAGGGACAGGCATTGATGATGATATCAGAGCTTCTTCCTGGGGAATCTCAGCCTCACATGATGGAGTATGACTAAAGGAAAAAAATAAGGCTCTTCACATACTTTCTTGGCAGTCTGTGAGGGTCAGGGTTGATTTTGTGTCCCTAAAATGTCACATGAAGTTCATAGGCACTTCCAAAGGGGCAGTCTAGCAAGTTAAAGAGTAGATGTGGGGCTGTGTGGAGTCCATTGTTTGGGTAATCTTTTTCAAACAGTAGGAATATACCAGCTTGTAAAGATTTGCCCACTTAGCTTCAAGTCTCTCTGAACACATTTCCCCCCGCTCTATGAATAGATGAAGACATACAAATGGAACTCTTGATATTCTTAAGTGAAAAACATGATATGGAATAGCAGATAAATACAAACAATTTCTTATCCAGCAAAGAGCTCCAGAAATATTTTGACTTCATTTAAAACAGTTATATAAATATTTGCTGGTGGAATTTTTTTCTAAACCAAATACCCTGAAGGATTTTAGTTGTCTATCTACAACTTTTTGCTTGTGGAAAATGTTGACTTCCTGGTTACTTTGACTTGTGTTCACCTGAAATTTTGCTTTTGCAGTAGTTTTTCTTATGATTTAGTGGCATTGCCTGTCCAGTGACAGGAAGTGGTGTTCTTATTGGGACTAATATGTGTTATGGCCCTAGAACCAGCAGAAGCCACTCCTGCTTTTTTCCACACTCTTCTTTCTATAGAAGAGAAGGGAATGAGGATCCCACATGGCATTCACTGCCTTGAGCATACTGAGATTTCTTTGCAAAAGGAGAAACAGCACCAGCAACTAAGCATTTTATCCCATTTTATTTTACTTCTTCTATGATTCTTTGCCACTTAGCAATGCCAATTAATTGATTTGGGACTGGAAATACATTTCTTATACAATCTTCAAGTTTTCTTTCATAAGAACATAACTTTCATCTGATATTGTTCCCCACTTCTCTCTTTTCAAATGTAATATTTGGGCCAGTCCTTGAAAGTGAACTGAGTTGAGTTCTCATGGCCCATAAAAGAACATATTCAAAATGTATCATTTTCTTTATGTCACAGATAAAAGATCATTAATTGTATATAAAATTTCCATATAATTTTTAAAATTTTTATTTTGCAATAATTTATTTTAGATTTACATTAAAGTTGCAAGGAAGGTACAAAGAGTCTCTGTATGCCTTTCACTCAGTTTCTCCTAATGTTAACATCTTACGTAATCATGGTACCGTTTTCAAAACTGAGAAATTAACATTGGTATTTTGCTATTAACAATAGACTTTACTCAAATGTGAACAGTGTTTTCATGAATGCCCATTTTTATTTCTAGGATTCAGTCAGGATACCACAGTGTATTTAGCTCAAATGTACTCTATAACTTTATCAGATTCATTTATTAGTTTTAACAGTTTTTTGATGGAGTCTTTAGGGCTTTCTATATATAAGATCATGTTGTCTAAAAGCCAAGAACAGTTTAATTTATTCCTTTCTGATGTAGTTGCTTTTTATTTCTTTCCTTTCCCTGATTGCTCAAGCTAGGTTTTTCAGTACTATGTGGAGTAGAAGTGGCAAGAGTGGAGATCCTTGTCTGCAGCCTCTACCTCCCAGGTTCAAGCAATTCTCTTGCCTCAGCTTCCTGAGTAGCTGGGACTACAGCACGTGCCACCACGCCCAGCTAATTTTTGCATTTTTAGTAGAGATGGGGTTTCACCATGTTGGCCAGGCTGGTCTTGGACTCCTGATTTCAGGTGATCCACCCGCCTCAGCCTCACAAAGTGCTGGGATTATAGGTGTGAGCCACCACCCCTGGTAGGTTTATGATATTTTTAATGTGCTGTTGAATTCAGTTTGCTAGAATATTTTTGAGGGCTTTTGCACCTATGTTAATCAGGGAAATCGGACTGTAATTTTATTTTCTTCTAGTATCTTTGTTTGGCTTTGATATCATGGTAATGCTGGCCTTGTATAATAAGTTGGGGAGTATTTCCTTCTCTTCAGTTTTGGGAAAAGCTTGAGAAGGATTTGTATTCTTTTTAATGTTTTGTAGAAAGCAGCAGTGAAGCCATCCAGTCCTGGGCTTTCCTTTGGTGGGAAACTTTTTATTATTGATTCAGTTCTCTTAGCCATTATTTCTTTGTTCAGATTTTCTCCATGATTCAGCCTTGATAGCCTGTATGTGTCTAGGAATTTGTTTTTTCCAGGTTTTCCAATTTGTTAGTGTATAATTATTCATAATAGTCTCTTATGATTGTTTATACTTCAGTTGTAATGTCTACTTTTTCATTTACAACTTCGAGTCTTCTATTCTTAGTCCATCTAAAAGTTTGTGAGTGTCCTCTTTTCAAAAAACCAATCCTTAGTTTCATTGATCTTTCTATTGTTTTTCTAGTCTCTATTTCATTTATTTCTGTTGTGATCTTTATTATTTCCTTTCTTCTACTAACTTTGAGCTTAGTTTGTTGTTAGTCTAGTTCCTTGAGGTGTAACATTAGCTTGCTTATGTGGACTTGTTTTTTTTGATGTAGGCATTTACTGCTATAACCTTCCCTCTTAGAACTGGTTTTGCTGCATCCTGTAAGTTTTGCTATGTTTTACGTCTACTTTCATTTATCTTAATGTTTTTTCATTTCTTTTTAAATTTCTTCTTTGACCCATTCATTGTTTAGGAGAATGTTGCTCAATTTCTATGTATTTGTGAATTTCCCAAAATTTCTCCTGTCACTGATAAGTACTTTCCTACCATTGTGGTAAAAAAATGACACTAGACATGATTTAAAACTTCTTTCATTTGTAAGACTTGTGGCTTAACATATGATCTGTCTTAGAGCATATTCCATGTGTGCTTGAGAAGAATATGTATTCTGCTGCAGTCATATGAAATGTTCTATGTGTGTCTATTAGTTTTATTTGGTCTAAGGTATAGTTTACATCTGATATTTCATTACTGATTTTCTGCCTGAATGATAAGTCCATTGCTGAAAGTGGGATGTCAAAGTCCCCCACTATTATTGTATTATAGTCTTTCTCTTTCTTCAGATCTATTAATATTTGATTTATATAGTTAGGTACTCTGATGTTAGGTGCATTTATATTTACAACTGTATATTGTCTTATGAATTGACCTTTTTATTATTATATAATGAAATTCCTTGTCTCATTTTACAGTTTTTTACTTTAAAGTCTATTTTATTTGATATAAGTATAGCCAACCCTGGTCTCTTTTGGGTTCCAGTTGCATGGAATATCTTTTTTTCATTTCTTCACATCTTCAGTTTGTCCATAAAGGTGAAGTGAGTACTTTGTAAGCAGCATGTAGTTGAGTCCTGTTTTTATCCATTTAGCCATTCTATGTATTTTAATTCAAGAAATTCATTTACTTTTAAGGTAATTATTGGTATGTAAGAATGTATTACTGCCATTTTCTTACTTGTTTTTTGAGTGTTTTGTTGATCCTTTGTTCCTTTCTTCCTCTCTTGCTGTTTTCCTTTGTGATTAGGTGAGTTTCACTAATAGTATATATTGATTCCTTTTTATCTTTTGTGTTTCTACTAAAGATTTTTGTTTTCTGGTTACCACGAGGCTGACATAAAACATGTCATAATTACAACTGGCTGTTTTGAGAGAATAATAACTTTGATTGCATAAACACATTTTACACTTTTATTCAACCCTCCTCAGTTCTTTTGTTGTCACAACTTACATCTTTTAATATTATGTATCCCTTAACAAATTATTGTAACAATAGTTATTTTTAATATTTTTGTCTTTTAATCTTCATACTAAAGATGTAAGTGATTTATATACCACCATTACAGTATAAGAGTATTCTAAATTTGGTTTGTTCGTTCTTTTTTTTCTTTTTTGAGATAGAGTCTCGCTCTGTTGCCCAGGCTGGAGTGCATTGGCATGATCTTGGCTCACTGCAACCTCTGCCTCCCAGGTTCAAGCAATCCTCCTGCCTCAGCACCCCTAGTAGCTGGGATTACAGGCACTCGCCACCACGCCTGGCTAATTTTTGTATTTTTAGTAGAGACAGGGTTTCACCATGTTGGTGAGGGTGGTCTCGAACTCCTGATCTCAGGTGATCCACCTGCCTCGGCATCCCAAAGTGTTGGGATTACAGGCGTGAGCCACTGTACCTGGTGGGTTCTTTCTTTTACCAGTGAACTTTATACTTTCATATTTTTTGTGTTACTAGCATTCTTTTCTTTAAGCTTGAAGAACCCCCTTTAGCATTTCTGGTAAGATGAGTCCAATGGTAATGAATTCCCTCAGCTCTTGTTTGTCTAGGAAAGTCTTTATCACTCCTCCTTTCCTAAAAGACTAGTTTTGCCAGTTAAAGTATTCTTGGTTGAGAGGATATTCCCTCCTCCCGCCCATCCCACATTTTGTATATATACCATCTACTCTCTCCTGGCCTATAAGGTTTCTGCTGAGAAATCCACTGCTAGCCTTATTGCAACTCCTTTTATGTGATACGCTTCTTTTCTCTTGCAGCTTTCAGGATCCTGTCTTTGTCTTAAATTTTTGGTAGTTTGATTATAATATGTCTTGGTGTAGTCTACAATTTTGTTTGTATTGAATCTGATTAAAAACCTTTGACCTTCCAGTATCTAGATATTTCTGTCTTTCCCCAGATTTGGAAAGTTTTTTGCTATTATGTTTTTAAATAAACTTTCTGGCTCTTTGTCTTTCTACTTCTTGAACTCCTATAATTTGAAACTTTGCTCTTTTGATGCTCTCCTATAAATTCTATAAGCTTTCTTTAATTCCCCTTCTTTCTTTTTCCTTTTGTTTCTCTGACTGGGTAATTTCAAATGTCCTATCTTTGAGCTCACTGATTCTTTCTTCTGCTTTATTGAATCTGTTATTGGAGCTCTCTATGGAATTTTCAAGGTCAGTTACTGTGTTTTGTTAGCTTTCAATTTTTTTTATAGTTTCTATCTCTGTTAAACTTCAAATTTTGTTCATATATTGTTTTCCTGATTTTGTTTCATTGTCTGTCTTCCTGATTTTGTTTTGTTGTCTATCTGTATTCTCTCGTAGCTCACTGAACTTCTTAAAGATGATTACTTTGAACTCTTTGTCAGGCAGTTTATAAATCTCTGTTTCTTTAGGATCAGTTTGTTGGTATATTATTTTGTTCCTTTGGTGGTGTCATGTTTCCCCGATTGTTCTTGATCCTTCTGATTATACATTGATGTCTGTGCAGACTGGAAAACTCTTTGTCTGGGAAAACTCTTCACCAATCAGTCTGTCCAGAGATTTTGGGCAGAGCTTCTGATATGGTCTGCACGTGGGCTTGTGCTGGAATCTTAAGGCAGGTTGACCTAGGTGCCTGTGTCAGCAGGTGGGTGGTCCTGGGGCCTACGTCTGTAGGGTTGAGATTGGAGCCTAGAGCCACTGGGATGGATCTTTTGATTGAGTCTGCAGGGGTGGGCCTGGAGCCTACAGGGGCCAGCCTGAGGCCTGGCTATGCAGGGGTCAGCCTGAAACCTTAGTTTGCAGATGCCAGCCTGAAGCCTGGGGATATGGGGTCATGCCCAGTGCTGGGGGTGGTTTGGAACATGGGGCCACTGAGGATGGCCTGGCCCTGGGGTGTTCACATCAGAGCCTGAGTCTGCGAGGGCTGATCTGGTGCTGGAGTTTGCCTGGGGTGGGGCCACTGTGGTGGGCCTAGGGCTTCTGGGTCCAGCCCATTCCTGGGGCCAGTCTGGAACCTGGAGCCACTGGGGTCAGCCTGGTAGTAGTGGGGGCCTAGAGGCTCAGTCTATGGGTACTGACCTGAAGTCTGGGGCTATGAGGACCTGCCCAGCCCTGAATTTTACTGGATCAGGCCCAGTGTTGGGGTCCAAGGCAAAGTCCAATGCTCACTTCCTTCTGTTTCCTCCAGGTATCTCAATTCACATTATGCTACCTGGATTAGGGAAGGGATGATGTGGGTAATGTGTAACTGTCTTTCTTATCCTCTTCAATGCATTGTTTCTTAGTTCTGTGTTATGCCCAGGTGCTGTAATCTCCTAATTTCCTCAGCTCTGTGAAGGCATTTTTATACATGTTATTCAAACTGATGTTTGCTGGAGGAATGAGTGCTGGAAAGTCCTATGCTGCCATTTTGCTGATGTCTGTACTCCTGTTTAGTTGTTGAAATTACTGATGTGGTTTGATTTATTTTTAAATTTTAATGTGCAAGATTTTATATATACACACACTGCTTTTTTTCTTCTTTCTTGCTGTTAAATAGATTCATTAAGGTTTTCTTATTTTGTCTTTTCTCCCTCTGTTAGTTTAGAAGTCTTTTTCCATTCTTACAATATTGTTCATTTAAAAAAATGCATACTTGTCTTAACAAAGTCTAAAGTTAATATTGCTTCCCTTCTCCTGAGAGTTAAACTCTTCACTAATCCCCATCTTCCATATTATTGTTGTCTAATATAGTAGTTGCACTTTTTTTTCAACCCTCTCAAGTTAGCCCTTATTTTTATTAACAGTCAATGCTGATTTATATATACTTACAATTATAAATGTATTAATTCGTCATTGTTCCCAGCTTCTTCCTTGGTTCTTAAAAAAGGTCATGCATTAGTGGTTCCTTCAGAAAATGGTTTTCAAACTTTGCTTGAAACCTTATTCATTTCTCGCCAGTCTTGAATGATAAGTATAGAATTTTGGATAGTTATATTTTATCAGCATTTTGAATAAATTTTTATATTATCTTCTGGCCTTTGATATTGCTGATAGAAAATCTATTTTTATTTTAATTATTTTTAAGGTAGGAAATCTATATTTTCCTTCTGGTTGTTTTGAAGATATTCTTTGCTGTTTGACATGTCTAAATGTGAATGTATTTGTATTTATATTATTCAAGACCTATGCTTCTTCAAACTGAGGATATATCTCTTTAACCATTTTGAAAAATTCTCAACTATATTATTTTCGGGCCAGGTGTGGTGGCTCATGCCTATAATCCCAGCACTTTGGGAAGCCAAGGCAGGTGGATCACTTTAGGTCAGCCATTGGAGACCAGCCTGGCAAACATGGTGAAACCCCA
Source organism: Homo sapiens (assembly GCF_000001405.40). Lineage (NCBI taxonomy): Eukaryota > Metazoa > Chordata > Mammalia > Primates > Hominidae > Homo > Homo sapiens. The sequence continues at coordinate 53,770,165 of NC_000005.10, read as the reverse complement.
TCTCTACTAAAAATACAAAATTTAGCTGGGTGTGGTGGCAGGTGCCTGTAATTACAGCTGCTCAGGAAGCTGAGGCAGAAGATTGCTTGAACCTGGTAGGTGGAGGCTGCAGCGAGCTGAGATGATTCCACTGCACTCCAGCCTGGGAGACAGAGTGAGACTCTGTCTCAAAAAATTTTCTCTATATATAATTTTCAAATATTCTATTCTTTCCACAACTCTTGTTGCATACATATTGAGTATTTTAAGTCTCTCCTTCATTTCTTTTAATATTCTTTTATATTTTTGACATCTTTATCTCCCTGCTTCATTTTGCATAATCTATCCTCAGATAGATTCTCAGATAGATCCTCAGATTTATCCACCAGTTCACCAATTGTTTCTTCAATTTGTCTAATCTGCCTGCTGTTTAGTCTTCCTATAAATGTTTTTTCTTTGTTTTAAAGTCTTTTCATGTATAGAAGTGATATTTGGTTCTTTTTCACATCTTTCTATTCTTTGTACATAGTATCTTCTTTAAAGTTTCTCTTCGTTTTTAAAATCACCATAATAATTGTAAACATAGCTATTTTATATTTTCTTTCAGAATTTACTATTATCTTCAGAAACTTTAATGCTAATACTTGTGTATGTTGTGTCTCCTTATGCTATGTGCTTTATAGTGAACTGTATCCTCATATAGTTTAATTTCTTTTCATTATGAGTACATCTTTATCAGTCATCTCTCTCTGTGTGTGTATGTGTGTGTGTGTGTGTCTTTGTGTGTGTGGAGAGATTCAACATGCCTGGGTTGTAAAAATATTGCTACAAGAGGAGTGTCAGTTGTTCAGGATTCCTTTGAACAGTAATTTCTCATAGAAGCTCTCCTCCTCTAGAGCCTTAGGCAAGTTTATCTCTATTTCTTTAGATTGGAGTATAGCCCTTTTGATCATTCTTTCAAAGAAAAGGCAGTCTTTCCAGGGTTGGAGGACTTCAGTTCTAGATTTCTATCATCTGCAGGCCCATGACCCCATTTAATCCCATCTGGACATTAACGCTGTCTTCCTTCTACCACCTTATGTAAGGAGCGTCCCAGCCACTGCTGACAACTCAAGCTATAAGTTCTTCTTTTGTTTCTGGCTGAGGACTTGTCTTTTCTTTTTTTCATTCAACTATGTAGTTAATGTTTTGTATATTTTTTCTGACCTGTTTATACATTTATAGCTGAAGAAGGGTGTCTATTATCTCAATCTGTATGTTGTGGAAACTGAAAATTCCCTAATTACATTTGCATGGGTCTTACCTCTCTTTGTACCTATTGTTCAGACCATTCCTAAAATCTCTAAATCTTTGTGAAGCCTTTCTAGGTTTTTTCTAAAGAGCATTTTTTACATAAATAGCTAACATTTAGTAAGAACTATGTACTTGACTAGAGTCTAAGCATTCTACATATTCCATGTAATCTTCACAAAATTCTGTAAGTTCCTTCATACAATTATTATGCTGATATTCAGGTAAAGATAATGAGGCATTGAGAGGATACACTTTTTCAGGGACACACAGCTATTGAGTGGTGGGTGCTAGGATTTAAATCAATGTCTGTCTGTTGCCAGAGTGCCCTAACTCCCAATGTGACTATATTTAGAGATTGGGTCTTTAAGGAGGTAATTACGGTTAAATGAGGTCATAAGTGTAGGGTCCTAATAAAACAGGACTGGTATCCTTATGAGAAGAGGAAGATACCAGGAGTACATGTACAGAAGTAAGGCTCTGTGAGGACACAGTGAGAAAGTGGTCATCTACAAGGCAAAGTGAGAGGTCTCTCCAGACACTAACTCTGCCGGCACCTTGATCTTGGAATTACAACATCCAGAACAGTGAAGAAATAAATTTCTGTTGTGCCACCAATTTGTGGTATTTTGTTATGGCAGCTCTAGCTAACTAATACGTGCTCCTTTCCTTTCTACCACAAAGTATTTGAACGCTTAATGTATAATATTCTATCTAAGCAAAATACAATTCAAGCAAGTGTATTAGTTCATTTTCACACTGCTATAAAGATTACTACCTGAGACTAGGTAAATTATAAACAAAAGAGGTTTAATTGACTCAGTTCTGCATGGCTGGAGAGGCCTAAGGAAGCTTACAATCATGGCAAAAGACGAAGGGGAAGCAAGACACGTCTTACATGGTGGCAGACAAAGAGACAGTGCAAGGGAAACTGCCGCTTTTAAAACCATCAGATCTCATGAGAACTCCCTCACTGTCACAAGAACAGCATGAGGGAAACTGCCTCCTTGATCCAATCACCTCCCACCATTCCCTCCCTCGACAGGTGGGAATTACAATTTGAGGTGAGATTTGGGTGGGGATACAGAGCCAAGCCATCTCACCAAGTAAACACTGAAAACAAACTACCCATCAATCAGCCTGAACTATATATACTGTAAGGAAATTTACATTATTGTGACATAGAACGTATCAACAGTGTAGCCAGTTAATGTTCAAAAGCACTCAATTATTTCTCGAATTTTGAAGTTACATGGAAATCCTTCACACAGCAAGTATTCTGAAAGGATGAAAACTAGAAACTTAAGCAGTTTTCATTTATAGACATGAAAATAATGTTTAATAAGTCACTTAAGAATTTAACAAATTTAAGGTTTCATAAAAATAAATGGATGTTCTCTTCTTCACTTAGGGACTAGTCCAGTGTACCAGTGAAGACAGCTGCCTTTACGTGCATATATTTTGAATATAAACTATGTGAGCAAGAATCTGACTTCTAGCCAGTCCTTGGTCATGGAAATCAGGCCTAACATATGTAGAGACATTTATAGCTCCCCTTCAAGTTAGAGTAATTTAGGTTCTGTTGATTCAACTTACCGCTAAGGAAGTTTCTTCACCGGAGATCAACACTTGTGTGTTCTTCAGAAACACAAGCCATTTCTACTTAAAGAGTATGATTTGCTTTGCATTGAATATAGCTAGGAAGAGAAAAGCTCCAGTTTCTTTGTTCTAAGACCAGGATTGGATTTGAGTGGGACTTGAATGCTGGTGCTGTGTAGCTAGAATAGAATACATGCCAGTAGCTCACATTAGAAATTGTCTCTGGTGAAGCTGCTCTTCCAGGTGGAAACATATTTTCATGAAGAAGGAAATGTTTTTCTTTTTGTAAAGGATCAAAAGACTTAATCAGAAATTTTCTTAAGCCTGGGCTTGCTTTTCCCTCTGCTCTGTGTACTAGCTGATGCTCTGCTGCAGAGGCTCCTGGGTGAACTTTGGTCCATCGTAAACACTCTCCTGCCACTTCTCATTTGCTCTCCACCTCGTGATTCCTCTGGCTGTTCCTTGCTTTTCTCCCTGGGAGCTGGTTCTCAGAAGCTCTGTCATGTTTTCCTTTACTGCCTGTTGGACATCTACAAGATACTCCTGGGCCAATAATTTACAAGACCAAATGACATAATCCTTGACTCCAAGGGTTAATGGTTTATGCCTAATGGCCTCAAAGGCCTGAGCCAATTGGAGGGAAAATGACATTTGCGTTCTTCTGGAGTGTTTATACTCTCCAGAGCACTGACTAGTCCATTGACATGGTCTATATCTTTCCCCTCTAAATAGTTCACAATGCAGCACCAAGATTTGGTAATGGAGCCACATCTAGCTTAGAGGGGGCTATCATTTGCTCTGAGAAAGACTCTTTTTGTTTTGTTTTGTGGCACATTTTCTATGGAGGAGAGGGCTTTGAACACAAGTCCTAAATAAACCTTGACAACAATCCCTATACAATAAGTAGAAATTATGTTCTCTATCAACATTCATGAATAATGAGGCAGATATGTGGTATGATTTTGAAAGTGATTTTAAAACTCCTAAACAAATACTCTAATACCCTAAATATGCTGCTCCACTTGCCCCAGTGCCTGAATTTCCGCCATGAGTTAGCTAAGGAAACAGACTGGATAACGAGAAGCCAGGTCACACTAGGGTGTTTTGGACAGTTAGGCCTGATCAGAAAGTGGTGAGTAGATGATTTTTTTTGAAGGGGAGGGATTGAAGGTGGAGTTCATTTGAGCAGGAAATTGGTAGGCAGGTAAGTGGCAAAGAGTAAGGAAAGACACAAAAGGGAAGAAGAAAAGATGTCAGCAGGCTAGAGTAAGATCTTTCAAAGGCTTAAATGCCAGAAATAAATGTAAAAATGATATTTAACTGTAAAACACAAAATATTAAAATAGCTTTTTTTGTTGTTGTTACATATTCTGATTGCAACATTCTAGAAAGTACATCCGAGCTGAATAAACTTTTCTCTTTTTCACTGGCCCTCCCTTGCTGATTCCCTCACCCAGGACTGGGTCAGTGTAGTGGGCATTCATAGAAGGGAAGTGTGTCTGCTGATGTACAGGACACAGTGTAGGGCTATAAAGGCTGTGCAACATATAACTCCAGGGAGTCCCGTTCACAAGGGCTATGATATGAATGGCTGCCCATGGAGTCATGCAACATGGGGGCCCTGGGATTCAAGTTCTGATTAATATTGACTGTGCTGAACAAAGTGTAGTCAGAAGCCTCTGCCCTGGACTCACTAGAGCACTTGTTAAAATGCAGATTCCTACAGGTTTAAACTGGGTGGGAGTAAAGGAGAGCTGGAATTTCAATATTAAAATAGAATTCTTGAGCTCACTGGCAACACATGGTAACTACTTTTACGGGAAGTTATCACCCGCTGCTTCCCTTTTCCCCCCAGGAAAGCTCCAAGTTAGAGAGGCCTGAACTTCTGCTCTGGGAGCCAGTTCTGGCATGGCCTGCCCCAGCATCTGGTCAGCCACCTGCAGCCATTCCATATTCTGACCTAAGCCAAAAAAGCACAAAACCCATGTCAAAGGGCTATATCAGGAACTCTGGAGGACAAGGTTTTAAGATCTGGGCCTCAATTCCAGCTTTGCCACTGAAATAGTTTGGATATTTCCCCCCCAAAATTACATATTGACATTTGATCCCAGTGTTAGAGTTGGGGCCTAGTAAGAGGTGTTTGGATCATTGGGGTGGGTCTCTCATGAACGACTTGGTGACCTCCCCATGATAATGAGTGAGTTCTCACTTTATTAGTTCTTGTGAGATCAGATTGTTTAATAGAGCCTGGTCTCGCCTTCCTCTGTCTCTCTTCCCCCTTCTCTTACCATGTGACATACCTGTTCCCCTTTGCCTTCCACCGTGATTGGAAGCTTCCTGGGGTCCCTCACCAAAAGCAAATGCTGGCACCATGCCTGCAGAACAATGAGCCAAATAAACCTCTGTTCTTTATAAATTACCCAGCCCCAGGTATTCCTTTATAGAAATGCAAACTGGCTAAAACATCTACTAACTGTATGGTACTATTTAAATTATAAAATTTCTCTGGACATGTTTTCTTGTGTGTTTGATTGGAGTATAAGTCAGAATGCATCTTCCAGGCCTTGATCTAAACCACCTCTCTTTTTTAAGTTATGAGGGTGAAAAAAGTACACCCCATAGGTCCAAAATTCAGAAACTCCTGGGGGCAAATGTGTTTTGAATTCAGAATCTGTTGTTTTTCTTTAGAAATGTAATATAATGCATATATATTATGGAGTACCTTTAGCAGGGTCTGAGCAGGATCTGTAATTAAATATGTTAATTATTTCTATAGCAAAATATGTGAATATTTGCCATTAATGTGATAAATAAAGCTATAGATAGTCTTCATTCAGGTTTTGCTGCCAAATTAGATGTGTCTAAAACTTCAAAAACCCTTCTAGATTTTAGAATATTTTAATTTTGGAATTTTAGGATAAAGAATTGTAGACTGGTACTAATGCCAGCTCTTTTTTTTTTTTGTATAGAATTGTTTTATTCAAGTCAAATTTACATAGAGTGAAATACACAAATCAGTATATAAGGCTTTTGACAAACACATATACCTATATAATGCACACTTCCATCAGTCCATAAGGTTCCTTTCTAGGCAGTTCCCATCCCCACTCCCTAAGAGACAACCACCATTCTGATTTTTCCCCAAAGATTAGTTTTGCCTGATTTGATAAATGAGCTCATATACCACAGTATTTATTGTATAAATACTATCTGTCTGGCTTCTTTGACTTACATTTTTTAAGTTCTTCCATATTGTTGTGGATCAACAGTTCTTTTTTAACTACTCAGTAATATTTCTTTATATTAATATACTGTAAATTATTGTCCATTTTTCTGTTGGGGCTAGTATGAAGAAAACTGTTGTGATAATTCTTATACAAGTTTATGTGAATACATTTTTTATTTTTATTATACTTTAAGTTCGAGGGTACATGTGCACAACATGTAGGTTTGATACATAGGTATACATGTGCCATGTTGGTTTGCTGCATCCATCAACTCGTCATTTATATTAGGTATTTCTCCTAATGCTATCCCTCCCCCAGCCCCGCACCCCCAACAGACCCAGGTGTGTGATGTTCCCCTCCCTGTGTCCGTGTCTTCTCATCATTCAACTCCCACCTATGAGTGAGAACATGCAGTGTTTGGTTTTCTGTCCTTGTGATAGTTTGCTGAGAATGATGGTTTCTAGCTTCATCCATGTCCCTGCAAAGGACATGAACTCATCCTTTTTTGTGGCTGCGTAGTGTTTCATGGTGTATATGTGCCACATTTTCTTAATCCAGTCTATCATTGATGGACATTTGGGTTGGTTCCAAGTCTTTGCTATTGTGAATAGTGCCGCAATAAACATACCTCTGCATGTGTCTTTATAGTAGCATGATTTATAATCCTTTGGGTGTATACCCAGTAATGGGATTGCTGGGTGAAATGGTATTTCTAGTTCTAGATCCTTGAGGAATCACCACACTGTCTTCACACATGCTTGAACTAATTTACACTCCCACCAACAGTGTAAAAGTGTTCCTACTTCTCTACATCCTCTCTAGCATCTGTTGTTTCCTGACTTTTTAATGATCGCCATTCTAACTGGCATGAGATAGTATCTCATTGTGGTTTTGATTTGCATTTTTCTGATGGCCAGTGATGATGAGCATTTTTTCATATGTTTGTTGGCTGCATAAATGTCTTCTTTTGAGAAGTGTCTGTTCATATCCTTTGCCCACTTTTTGATGGGGTTGTTTGTTTTTTTCTTGTAAATTTGTTTGAGTTCTTCGTAGATTCTGGATATTAGCCCTGTGTCAGATGGGTAGATTGCAAACATTTTCTCCCATTCTGCAGGTTGCCTTTTCACACTGCTGATAGTTTATTTTGCTGTGCAGAAGCTCTTTAGTTTAATTAGATCCCATTTGTCTATTTTGTTGCCATTGCTTTTGGTGTTTTAGTCATGAAGTCTTTGCCCATGCCTATGTCCTGAATGGTATTGCCTAGGTTTTCTTCTAGGGTTTTTATGGTGTTAGGTCTTACATTTAAGTCTTTAATCCACCTTGAGTTAATTTTTGTATACAGCATAAGGAAGGGATCCAGTTTCAGCTTTCTGCATATGGCTAGCCAGTTTTCCCAGCACCATTTGTTAAATAGGGAATCCTTTCCCCATTTCTTATTTTTGTCAGGTTTGTCAAAGATGAGATGATTGTAGATGTGTGGTGTTATTTCTGAGGTTTCTGTTCTCTTCCACTGGTCTATATCTCTGTTTTGGTACCAGTACCATGCTGTTTTGTTTACTGTAGCCTTGTAGTGTAGTTTGACGTCAGGTAGCATGATGCCTCCAGCTTTGTTCTTTTTGCTTAGGATTGTCTTGGCTATACAGGCTCTTATTTGGTTCCATATGAACTTTCAAGTAGTTTTTTCCAATTCTGTGAAGAAAGTCATTGGTAGCTTGATGGGTATAGCATTGAATCTATAAATTATCTTGGTCAGTATGAATGCCAACTCTTATGTCTTAGCTAAAGCCTATACTTTTGGTACAGTATACATTTGTGAAGTTTAAGGAGAGAGCATTAAAGTGGAATACAGGTGCCAGTGGGCCACAGCATCATGGTTATGAGAACAGTACTGCAGCTTAAGTTCACAAGCCCTGCCTTGCCTCTAATAGACTGCGACCTTGGGCAAGTTTATTAACCTCTTTGTGCCTCACTTCTCCCACCTGTAAGTCATAGAGTTGTTGTGAGGATGAAATAATCTATTATATTTTAGGACCTAGAAGACTGCTTGGCACATAATACTCAACAGGTGTCAGTTTTCATTATCCAAGGAATTGTGTTAACTTGTTTTATTTGCTTATTTGTATGTGGGGGTGGGGTCAGGGAGAGGAGGTCTAGAAAATGAGAGATTATTTGACAGAGGGCACTGGTCAAACTGTTCTCCTCCTTGTATTTGTCCTCCAGTCCTGCTCCAGGTATACTGTTTGGTAACTCCCCTTTCTACCCATCTCTGTGCTTGACTCCATCTATTAAACTGGAAATGTCATTCTACGTACTGATAAGATTATGTAAAGGAAACAGAGTGAATTTTTAGAAAGGGAATTATTATTTCCTTGAAAGGTAAAGCTGTATTTATGTCACTAATTGTAGCAATCTATGGGTTGCTGGGAAAAATTAAGCAAAGGAGGGGCCTGAAGGACCTGCCTTGTACTTAACCTATGTGTCTAATCCAAATGAATTCATATTAAACAATGAAAATGTTTAACTGAAAATGAAATGGAGTGAGTTTCCATGAACTCACTCATCTTCCCCACAGCCCAGGAAACTGCATATAATTTTAAAGCTCACAAGCCAGAGGTCTGTCCCTCCTCCTGATCCTAAGTTTTATATGGGTTGTGACTCATGTGGCCACTGAAGGCAAATCACTGATTCTAGAATCAAAACTCAGCAAGAGCAGAATATAAATCAGCTCCAAACCAGAGCTCTGGGTGGAAGCTACAAGCTAGGCTGAGTAGCATGTAAGCATTGGACATGGTTTTAGTCTCACTGATAGGATGTTTCTTCTCAATCTGATATTTATGTGATGAAAGTGTTTTCTTTTTTCCTTCCTTACAGAAATGCAGTTCTCAAGTTAAGTGATTGGTAAGCACCATAGTAGCGGATGTTTTAATTTACATATGTACCACAATCTAAAGCTTCACTTCTTCCACATGGAATCCAGTCATTTGCTGGAGTCTTTCAAATTTATTTCTTAAAAAAAAAAAGACATGAAAAGTCCAATTACACTGAATGAGTATTATTCTACCTGAGGAATAAGGATTGCTAAAGGAAGATATGAAAAGAGGGTTTTCTTTTCATTAGTAAATTCCAAAAAATTTGCTTACCTTTGCATCACTGCCAGACATGACAAAACCTTTGAAATGGAAAAAATTCTTTCTGTGGTTTCAGATCAGCCATTTTTAATCCCCCTTTGCTGCCTAACTTAATTAGATTTTCCTTAAAAAGTATTGCTGTGGGCTAAATATTTGTATGCCAAATGTCAGCCTTAAGCATATTTTCACTATGAAATTATTAACCCCTGAGAAACTTAATAGAATTTTAATTATACTGATGCTATTAGGAACTCCTATAATAGCCTTTGATCCCCTTTTCTGTCTGTAACTTCCCTGGGTTTGATTTACATTTATTTTAACCAAGGTCATTAATTCATAACCTAATGAACCCCCACCTACAAGAAACCACAGTCACAACATAAAGAATCGCTCATTCAATGATTTTTAAACACTCTGTAAATACATTACAAACTCTTAATTACCTGCAAAATTAACTTAATTTATCCATTATTGAAAGATATTTCCTAATAAGGTAGGAAATAACCAAATCACCATTTTCTAGGATACTTGGGCAGGCAACAATGAAAGAAAGCAGTAATTGATTTTGAAAAACAATGTTTGCTTTTTTAAATGACCACAGCTAAGCAAATCTGCTAGTGAAATTCCACTAAACAGTTGCTTGCCCCTTGGTAAACCAATTAGCTTAAATCTCTATCATGAAGGTGTCTTTTGGTTCTAACAAGTGACCATAGAGGTAAAGTACTTCTCTACATCCTTCCAACTCTAGGATGGGGTTGTACAGATCTTGAAGAAAAAGCAAAGCTGTATAAACCTACTTGTAGTTAGAACTGTCCCTAACCCTTCAAGATGGACCGGCTGCATGTGGTGGCTCACGCCTGTAATCCCAGCACTTTGGAAGGCTGAGGTGGATGGACCATAGGTCAGGACTTTGAGACCAGCCTGGCCAACATGGTGAAACCCCATCTCTACTAAAAATACAAAAACTAGCTGGGCGGTGATGGCATACACCTGTAATCTCAGCTACTCAGGAGGCTGAGGCAGGCGAATCACTTGAACCTGGGAGGTGAAAGTTGCAGTGAGCCAAGATTGTGCCACTGCACTCCAGCCTGGGTGACAGAGCGAGACTCTGGCAAAAAAAAAAAAAAAAAAAAAAAAAGAGAGAGAAGGAAGGGAGGAAGGGCGGAAGGGCCAGCGGTGGCTCACGCCTGTAATCCCAGCACTTTGGAAGACCGAGGTGGGTGGATCACTTGAAGTTAGGAGTTCCAGACCAGCCTGGCCAACGTGGTGAAACCCTGTCTCTACTAAAAATATAAAAATTAGCTGGGCGTGGTGGTGTGCACCTGTAATCCCAGCTACTCAGGAGACCAAGTTGGGAGAATAGCTTGAACCTGGGAGGCGGAAGTTGCAGCGAGCCGAGATCACGCCATTGCACTCCTCAAGGGAGACAGAGCGAAACTCTCTCTCTCTCAAAAAAGAAAAAAAAAAAAAAAAAGATGGGCCTTTTGCCATGTTTATGTAAATTATTATGGCAGTATCACCATGATATATTTTGGTCAAAATTGTTAAACCTGAGTTTTGCCAAACCTTAAGACTGAACTTTCAGTTTATAGGAAATATGGGGAGCCAGGCATGGTGGTGCGTGCCTATAGTCCCAGCTACTTGGGAGGCTCAGGCGAGGATATCTTGAGTCAGGAGCTTAAGGCTATAGTGAGCTGTGATTTTGCCACTGCACTCCAGCCTGGGTAACAGTAAGATCCTGTCTCAAAAAAAAAAAAAAAAAAAAAAAAAAATCGTATTAGCCAGAAACAATGTACAAACGCTTTTTTTGGATTCAAGTCCAAAATGTTAACTGTAGAATTAAATTTGGTGGTGGTGGTAGGGAACCATTGGGGAAATCTGAATATGAACTAGATATTAGAGTATAATAAGGATAAAATGCTATGATGTCTGGAATTTGCTTTAAACAACTTGAACAATATGCTAGCAAATAATAGCAAAATATTAATGTCAGTTTAAATAGGGCATACGGGGATTCACAATACCAGTCTCTCTAGTGATTCTTTGAAAACATTCATGATAAAAATAAAAATAACACATGAAAAAATATATGAAAGAAAAGAGAAAATTCTACAGCTTTCTTTCAGAGACATACTTTAATTTCTTTATACCACTCATAGTCAGGATGTGTTTGTATAGATAACCTAACTTTCATGCTTGTTCCCTTTGGTTCTGCTTCCTATGAAAATACATAACAAGTAAGATTATAATTTGTGCTCTTGAAACAAGTGGTCCATGGACCCCTGGGTTTCCTTGAGACCCTTTCAGGAAATCTATGAGGCCAGAACTCTGGATAGTAAGAGTAAAATATTATTTGCCTTTTTATTGTGTTGACCATTTGCATTGATAGTGCAAAAACAACAGTGGGAAATTGCTGTTTGACAGTGTTAAAATAGGTTTCCCAAAGAATATATTCAAACATTATGGTCATGATTATCAGTTTATTAAACTAGAGAAAATACTTTTATAGTATTTGTAAATAAAATTAAATATTCTTTAAAGGAGAGGAAAACTGCTAGTATCTGAACATGAGAGAGAGAGGCTGGGGGGAGATTTTTTTCTAAACCATTTGACAATAAATTACATATGTCATGGTCGTTTACTCCTAAATACTTCAATACGTAATTCCCATGAATATTCTTTCACAATTTTATACGTTTGTCAATGTCAGTAAATTTAACTTTAATTATAATATTTTAACCTAATCTCTCTGCATTCCAGTTTTATCAAATGAATAATAATGCTCTTTGAAATATCTTCCCCCAGTCTAAGATCAGTGTTAACGTTTAATTGTCATGTCTCTTTAGCTTCCTTTAATCTGGAGCATTTCCATAGATTTATTTGTATTTTATGACACTTTTGAATAATATATCTCCTCCTCCTTTAATTAAACATTCCTCATTTTCAGTTTGTCTAACGTTTTATATTGTGTCCTCAGGGTATCAGAATTGGTGGTATCTGATGTCCATCTGACTTTCATTGGTGATGTTTTTTTTATTCTTATTATTTTTTATTATACTTTAAGTTCTAGGGTACATGTACACAACGTGCAGGGTTGATACATAAGTATACATGTGCCATGTTGGTTTGCTGCACCCATCAACTCATCATTTACATTAGGTATTTCTCCTAATGCTATGCCTCCCCCAGGGCCCACCCCCCGACAGGCACCAGTGTGTGATGTTCCCCGCCCTGTGTCCAAGTGATCTCGTTCAACTCCCACCTATGAGTGAGAACATGCGGTGTTTGGTTTTCTGTCCTTGTGATAGTTTGCTGAGAATGATGGTTTCCAGCTTCATCCATGTTCCTGTAAAGGACATGAACTCATCCTTTTTTATGGCTGCATAGTATTCCATGGTATATATGTGCCACATTTTCTTAATCCAGTCTATCATTGATGGACTTTTGGGTTAGTTCCAAGTCTTTGCTATTGTAAATAGTGCCTCAGTAAACATACCTGTGCATGTGTCTTTATAGTAGCATGATTTATAATCCTTTGGGTATATACCCAGTAATGGGATTGCTGGGTCAAATGGTATTTCTAGTTCTAGATCCTTGAGGAATTGCCACACTGTCTTCCACAATGGTTGAACTAATTTACACTCCCACCAACAGTGTAAAAGTGTTCCTATTTCTCCACATCTTCTCCAGAATCTGTTGTTTCCTGACTTTTTAATGATCGCCATTCTAACTGGTGTGAGATGGTATCTCATTGTGGTTTTGATTTGCATTTCTCTGATGACCAGTGATGATGAGCATTTTTTCATGTGTCTTTTGGCTGCATAGATGTCTTCTTTTGAGAAGTATCTGTTCATATCCTTTGCCCACTTTTTGATGGGGTTGTTTTTTTCTTGTAAATTTGTTTAAGCTCTTTGTAGATGCTGGATATTAGCCCTGTGTCAGATGGGTAGATTGCAAACATTTTCTCCCATTCTGTAGATTGCCTTTTCACTCTGATGATAGTTTATTTTGCTGTGCAGAAGCTCTTTAGTTTAATTAGATCCCATTAGTCAATTTTGGCTTTTGTTGCCATTGCTTTTGGTGTTTTAGTCATGAAGTCTTTGCCCATGCTTATGTCCTGAATGGTATTGCCTAGGTTTTCTTCTAGGGTTTTTATGGTGTTAGGTCTAACATTTAAGTCTTTAATTCACCTTGAGTTAATTTTTGTATATGGTGTAAGGAAGGGATTCAGTTTCAGCTTTCTGCATATGGCTAGCCAATTTTCCCAGCACCATTTGTTAAATAGGGAATCCTTTCCCCATTTCTTGTTTTTTTGGGTTTGTCAAAGATCAGATGGTTGTAGATGTGTGGTGTTATTTCTGAGGCCTCTGTTCTGTTCCACTGGTCTATATCTCTGTTTTGGTACCAGTATCTTGCTGTTTTGGTTACTGTAGCCTTGTAGTACAGTTTGAAGTCAGGTAGCGTGATGCCTCCAGCTTTGTTCTTTTTGCTTAGGATTGTCTTGGCAATGCGGGCTCTTTTTTGGTTCCAGATGAAGTTTAGTTTTTTCCAACTCTGTGAAGAAAGTCATTGGTAGCTTGATAGGAATGGCATTGAATCTATAAATTACTTTGGATACTGTGGCCATTTTCATGATATTGATTCTTCCTATCCATGAGCGTGGAATGTTCTTCCATTTGTTTGTGTCCTCTTTTATTTTGTTTAGCAGTGGTTCGTAGTTCTCCTTGAAGAGGTCCTTCACATCCTTTGTAAGTTGGATTCCTAGGTATTTTATTCTCTTTGTATCAATTGTGAATGGGAGTTCACTCATGATTTGGCTCTCTTTTTGTCTGTTAATGGTATACAGGAATGCTTATTTTTTTAATTTTTTAATTTTTTTATTTTTTGAGATGGAGTCTCACTCTGTCACCTAGGCTGGAGTGCAGTGGCACGATCTTGGCTCACTGCAAGCTCCCCCTCCTGGGGTCATGCCATTCTCCTGTCTCAGCCTCCCAAGTAGCTGGGACTACAGGCACCTGCCACTATGCCCAGCTAATTTTTTGTATTTTGAGTAGACAAGGTTTCACCGTGTTAATCAGGATGGTCTTGATTTCCTGACCTTGTGATCCACCTGCCTTAGTCTCCCAAAGTGCTGGGGTTACAGGCTTGAGCCACCTTGCCTGGCTGGAATGCTTGTGATTTTTGCACATTGATTTTGTATCCTGAGACTTTGCTGAAGTTGCTTATCAGCTTAAGGAGATTTTGGGCTGAGATGATGGGATTTTCTAAATATACAATTATGTCATCTGCAAACAGGGACAATTTGACTTCCTCATTTCCTAATCAAATATCCTTTATTTCTTTCTCCTGCCTGATTGCCCTGGCCTGAACTTCCACTACTATATTGAATAGGAGTGTTGAGAGAGGGCATCCTTGTCTTGTGCTGGGTTTCCAAGGGAATGCTTCCAGGTTTTGTCCATTCAATATGATATTGGCTGTGGGTTTGTCATAAATAGCTCTTATTATTTTGAGATATGTTCCATCAATACCTAGTTTATTAAGAGTTTTTAGCATGATGGGCTGTTGAATTTTGTCGAAGGCCTTTTCTGCATCTATTGAGATAATCATGTGGTTTTTGTCGTTGGTTCTGTTTATGTGATGGATTATGTTTATTGATTTGCATATGTTGAACCAGCCTCGCATCCCAGGGATGAAGCCAACATGATCATGGTGGATAAGTTTTTGATGTGCTGCTGGATTCAGTTTGCCAGTATTTTATTGAGGATTTTTGCATCGATGTTCATCAGGGATATTGGTCTAAAATTCTCTTTTTGTTGTGTCTCTGCCAGGCTTTGTTATCAGGATGACGCTGGCCTCATAAAATGAGTTAGCGAGGATTCCCTCTTTTTCTATTAATTGGAATAGTTTCAGAAGGAATGGTAGCAGTTCCTCTTTGTAACTCTGGTAGAATTTGGCTGTGAATCCATCTGGTCCTGGACTTTTTTTGGTTGGTAGGCTCTTATGCCTAAATTTCAGAGCCTGTTACTGCTCTATTCAGAGATTCAACTTCTTCCTGGTTTAGTCTTGGGAGGGTGTATGTGTCTAGGAATTTATCCATTTCTTCTAGATTTTCTAGTTTATTTGCATAAAGGTATTTATAGTATTCTCTGATGGTAGTTTGTATTTCTGTGGGATCAGTGGTGATATCCCATTTATCATTTTTTATTGTGTCTATTTGATTCTTCTCTCTTTTCTTCTTTGTTAGTCTTGCTAGTGGTCTATCTATTTTGTTGATCTTTTCAAAAAACCAACTCCTGGATTCACTGATTTTTTTTGAAAGTTTTTTTGTTTCTCTCTTTCAGTTCTGCTCTGATCTTAGTTATTTCTTGCCTTCTTCTAGCTTTTGAATGTGTTTGCTCTTGCTTCTCTAGTTCTTTTCATTGTGATGTGAGGGTGTCAATTTTAGATCTTTCCTGCTTTCTCTTGTGGGCATTTAGTGCTATAAATTTCCCTCTACACACTGCTTTAAGTGTGTCCCAGAGATTCTGGTACATTGTGTCTTTGTTCTCATTGGTTTCAAAGAATGTCTTTATTTCTACCTTCATTTCATTATTTATGCAGTAGTCTTTCAGGAGCAGGTTGTTCAGTTTCCAAGTAGTTGTGTGGTTTTGAGTGAGTTTCTTAATCCTGAGTTCTATTTTGTTTGCACTGTGGTCTGAGAGACAGTTTGTTGTGATTTCTGTTCTTTTACGTTTGCTGAGGAGTGCTCTACTTCCAATTATGTGGTAAGCTTTAGAATAAGTGTGATGTGGTACTGAGAAGAATGTATATTGTGCTGATTTGGGGTGGAGAATTCTGTAGATGTCTGTTAGGTCTGCTTGTTTCACAGTTGAGTTCAGGTCCTGGATATCCTTGTTAACCTTCTGTCTCATTGATCTGTCTAATATTGACAATGGGTTGTTAAAGTCCCCCATTATTATTATATGGGAATCTAAGTCTCTTTGTAGGTCTCTAAGGACTTGCTTTATGAATCTGGGTACTCCTGTCTTGCGTGCATATACATTTAGGATAGTTAGCTTTTCTTGTTGAATTGATCCCTTTATCATTATGTAATGGCTTTCTTTGTCTCTTTTGATCTTTGTTGGTTTAAAGTCTATTTTATCAGAGACTAGGATTGCAACCCCTCTTTTTTTTTGCTTTCCATTTGTTTGGTAGATCTTCCTCCATCTCTTTATTTTGAGCCTTTGTGCGTCTGTGCACGTGAGATGGGCCTCCTAAATACAGCACACTGATGGTCTTAACTCTTTATCCAATTTGCCAGTCTGTGTCTTTTAATTGTGGCATTTAGCCCATTTACATTTAAGGTTAATATTGTTATGTGTGAATTTGATCCTGTCATTATGATGTTAGGTGGTTATTTTGCCTGTTAATTGATGCAGTTTCTTCATAGCACTGATGGTCTTTACGATTTGGCATGTTTTTGCGGTGGCTGGTACCAGTCGTTCCTTTCCATGTTTAGTGCTTCCTTCAGGAGCTCTTGTAAGGTAGGCCTGGTGGTGACAAAATCTGTCAGCATTTGCTTGTCTGTAAAGGATTTTACTTCTCCTTCACGTTTGAAGCTTAGTTTGGCTGGATATGAAATTCTGGGTTGAAAATTCTTTTCTTTAAGAATGTTGAATATTGGCCCCTACTCTCTTTGGGCTTGTATAGTTTCTGCCAGGAGATCCACTGTTAGTCTGATGGGCTTCCCTTTGTGTTTAACTTGACCTTTTTCTCTGGCTGCCCTTAACACTTTTTCCTTCATTTCAACCTTGGTGAATCTGACAGTTATGTGTCTTGGGTTTGCTCTTCTCGAGGAGTATCTTTGCGGTGTTCTCTGTATTTCCTGAATTTGAATGTTGGCCTGCCTTGCTAGTTTGGGGAAGTTCTCCTGGATAATATCCTGAAGAGTGTTTTCCAGCTTGGTTCCATTCTCCCCATCACTTTCAAGTACATTGTTTCGGTAAGTCAGGGACCCCGAATGGAGGTATTGGCAGAAGCCATGGCAGAAGAACATAAATTGTGAAGATTTCGTGGACATTTATCACTTCCCCAATCAATACTCTTGTAATTTCCTATCCCTGTCTTTGCTTTAATCTCTTAAACCTGTCATCTTTGTAAGCTGAGGATATATGTCCCCTCAGGACCCTGTGATGATTGTGTTACTTGCACAAATTGTTTGTAAAGCATGTGTGTTTAAACAATATGAAATCTGGGCGCTTTGAAAAAAGAACAGGATTACAGCGATGTTCAGGGAACAAGGGAGATAACCATTAGGTCTGACTCCCTTAGAGCCAGGTGGAACAGAGCCATATTTCTCTTCTTACAAAAGCGAATAGGAGAAATATCGCTGAATTCTTTTTCTCAGCAAGGAGCAGCTCTGAGAAAGAGAATGCATTCCCAGGGATAGGTCTCTAAAATGACCACTCTGGGAGTGTCTGTCTTATACAGTTGTAGATAAGGGATGAAATAAACCCCGTCTCCCGTAGCGCTCCCAGGCCTATTAGGATGAGGAAATTCCTGCCTAGTAAATTTTAGTCAGACTAGTTGTCTGCTCTCAAACCCTTTCTCCTGATAAGATGTTATCAATGACAATGTGTGCCTAGTGGGACACGAAACTTCATTAGCAATTTTAATTTTGCCCCCATCCTGTGATCTGCCCCCATTTGCCTTGTGATATTTTATTGCCTTGTGAAGCATGTGATCTCTGTGACCCACACGCTATTCGTACACTCCCTCCCCTTTAAAAATCACTAATAAAAACTTGCTGGTTTTGCGGCTCATGGGGCATCACAGAACCTGCCAACATGTGGTGTCTCCCCCAGACACCAGCTTTAAAATTTCTCTCTTTTGTACTCTTTCCCTTTATTTCTCAGACCGGCCGACACTTAGGGAAAATAGAAAAGAACCTACGTTGAAGTATTGGGGGCTGGTTTCCCCCGATAGTACACCAATCAAATGTAGATTTGGTCTTTTCACATAGTCCCATGTTTCTTGGAGGTGTTGTTTGTTTCTTTTTACTCTTTTTTCTCTAACTTGTCTTCTCACTTAATTTCATTAATTTCATACTTGTGCATGCGTCACGTAGTTCTTGTGCCATGGTTTTCAGCTCCATCAGGTCATTTGAGGTCCTCTACACTGTTTATTCTAGTTAGCCATTTGTCTAATCTTTTTCAAGGTTTTTAGCTTCCTTGCGATGGGTTTGAACATCCTCCTTTAGCGCAGAGAAGTTTGTTATTACCGACCTTCTGAAGCCTACTTCTGTCAACTCGTCAAAGTCATTCTCCATCCAGCTTTGTTCTGTTGCTGGCGAGGAACTGCAATCCTTTTGAGGAGAAGAGGTGCTCTGGTTTTTAGAATTTTCAGCTTTTCTGCTCTGGTTTCTCCCCATCTTTGTGGTTTTGTCTACCTTTTTTCTTTGATGTTGGTGACCTACAGATGGGGTTTTGGTGTAGATGACATTTTTGTTGATGTTGATGCTATTCCTTTCTGTTTGTTAGTTTTCCTTCTAACAGTCAGGTCCCTCAGCTGCAGGTCTGTTGGAGTTTGCTGGAGTTCCACTCCAGACCCTGTTTGCCTGGGTATCACCAGCAGAGGCTGCAGAACAGCAAATATTGCAGAACAGTAAATATTGCTGCCTGATCCTTCCTCTGGAAGCTTCATCCTGGAGGGGCAGCTGCCTATATGAGGTGTCAGTCGGCCCCTACTGGGAGGTGTCTCCCAGTTAGGCTACACGGGGGTCAGGGACCCACTTGAGGAGGCAGTCTGTACTTTCTCAGATTTCAAACGCCATGCTGGGAGAACCACTGCTCTCTTCAGAGCTCTCAGACAGGGACGTTTAGGTCTGCAGAAGTTGTCTGCTGCCTTTTCTTTCAGCTATCCCCTGCCCACAGAGATGGAGTCTAGATGCAGTAGGCCTTGTTTAGCTGTGGTGGGCTCCACCCAGTTCGAGCTCCCGGCTGCTTTGTTTACCTCCTCAAGCCTCAGGAATGGCAGACGCCCCTCCCCCAGCCAGGCTGCCACCTCGCAGATCTCAGACTGCTGCGCTAGCAGTGAGCAAGGCTCTGTGGGCATGGGACCCACTGAGCTGGGCATGGGAGAGAATCACCTTTTTGCCAGTTGCTAAGACCTTGGGAAAAGTGCAGTATTTGGGCGGGAGTGCCCCGCTTTTCCAGGTAGTCTGTCACAGCTTCCCTTGGCTAGGAAAGGGAAATCCCCCAACCCCTTGCACTTCCTAGGTGAGATGATGCCCTGCCCTGCTTTAGCTCACCCTCTGTGGGCTGCACCCACTGTCCAACCAGTCCCAATGAGATGAACCAGGTACCTCAGTTGGAAATGCAGAAATCACCAATCTTTGATCACGCTGGGGACTGCAGACTGGAGCTGTTCCTTTTCAGCCATCTTGGAATGCTGCTCTGGTGATGTTAAGTTTGAATATCTGATCAAGATGTTTTCTGATTCTTCACTGTAATAATTACTGTTTTCCCTTGCAATAAAGGAGGAACCTGTGGAGAGACAGTCTAAGACCATGCAAATATCCTTCCAGTCATCAAAATGTCCCTCTAGATTTAATATCCATTGATGAATTTTGCCTGATCCAACCTTATAAAAATGCTTTCTTAAGGTATAATCTACCTGCCATAGAATTCATTTTTATACATATCCAATTCAAATAATTTTAGTACATTTACTGTTGTACAGCCATCACTGCAATCTAATTTTAGAACATTTCCATCATCCCAAAAAGAAATCTTGTGCGCATTTGCACACTATTCTTTTTCACATTTTCTAGTTTCTTAAGGTAGAAAGTTAGATTATTCAAAATCTTTCTTCTTTGTAATGTAGACATTTATAGCTATAAATTTCCCTCTGAACACTGTACTAGCTATATCCTATCAATTTGCTATGCTGTGTTTTTTATTCAGTTCAAAATATTTTATAATTTCCCTTGTTCTTTATTTTTGATCCATGAGTTATTTAGACATGTGTTGTTTAATTTCCACATATTTTTGGATTCTCCAAATTTGCTGTGGTGTTGATTTGTAATTTCATTCCATTGTGGTCAGAGAACATTCTTTGTATAGTTTCAATCCTTTTAAACTGAGGCTTGTTTTTATGGCCTACCATATGGTCTATCCTGGAAAATGTTCCAAATACATTTGAGAAGGATTTGTATTCTTCTACTGCGGATGGAATGTTCTACAGATGTCATTTAGGTCAGTTGGTCATGTAGTGTTGTTTAAGTCTATTACATACTTTCTGATTTTCCATTTAGTTGTTCTACCCATTATCAAGAGTAGGGCATTGAGATCTCCAACTATTACTATAGAATTGTCTATGTCTCCCTTTAATTCTGTCAGTTTTTGCTTCATTTTGGAGCTCTGTTGTCACGCCAATATATACATTTATTGTAATATCTTCCCAATGAACTGACTGTATTTTAAGATGCCTCTCTTTGTCTCTAGTAACAGTTTCTGTCTTAAAGCCTATTTTATCTGATATTAGTATAGCCACTTCAGTTCACTTATGCCTGCTGTTTGCTTAGCATTGGCATATCTTTTCATAACCCTTTGTTTTCAACCTACGTTTAAAAAAAAAAACAACAAAACCCTAAAGTATGTCTCTTGTAACATCATAAAACTGAATTTTGCTTGTTTTTTTGTAATCGAGTCTTACAACCTGTGCCTTTTCTTTGGAGTGTTTAACTCATTCACATGTAATGCCAGTATTGATATAGTTAGGCACATGTCCTCCATTTTGTTATTTGTTTTCTACAGGCCTTCTATCTTTCTGTTCCTCTATTTCTCCTCTATTGCCTCCTTTTGTATTACATGATTATTTTCTAGTATACCATTTTAATTTCTTTCTTAATTTTAAAAATCAATTTTAAGTCATTTCCTAATGGTTCTTCTATGGGCTTATAACATACACCTTGTCAGAATGTACTTCAGATTATAGGAATGTAATTCCAGTAAGATAGAGAAACTTTATTCCAGTATAGTTCCATTCCCTCTCCACACCTTTGTGCTATTATATACATACAATAATATAACATTATAAATATTATTTGAGCTTGGCCTGGTGGCTTGCACCTGTAATCCCAGCTATTCAGGAAGCTGAGACAGTAGATTCCTTGAGGCTAGGGGCTTCAAACTAGCCTGGACAACACAGCAAGACCCTGTCTCTAAAAAAATTTTAAAGATTAGCTGGACATGGTGGTGCATGCCTATAGTCCCAGCTACTTGGGAGGCTGTAGTGAGAGGATTGCTTGAGCATATGTTGAGTCATCCTTGCATCCCAGGGACAAATCCCACTTGATCATGATTTAAACTCCCTTCTAATTTGCTGTTGAATTTAGTTTGCTAGTATTTTGTTGAGGATTTCTACATCTATGTTCATCAGAGATACTGGCTTGTAATTTTTTTTTTTCTTGTCTGGCTTTGGTGTCAGGGTATTGCTGGCTTTATGAGTTTGAAAGTATTTTTTCCTCTTCAGTTTTTCAGAAGAGTTTGAGAAAGATTGACATTCATTCTTTTTTGAATATTTGGTAGAATTCATCAGTAAAGCTGTCTAGTCCTGGGCTTTTCATTGCTGGGAAGTTTTTGACTACTGGTTCAATATCCTTACTCATTATTTGACTGTTCAGATTTATTATTTTTTTCATTATTCAGTCTTGGTAGGTTGTACGTTCTAGAAATTTATCCTTTTTGCTTAGGTTTTCCAATTTTTTGGCATATAATTGTTCATATCAGTCTCTTATGATCCTTTGTATTTCTGTAGTATCAATTTTAAAGTCTCCCTTTCATTTATAATTTTGAGTTTTCTTTCTTTTTTTCTTAGTCTAGCTAAGGGTTTGCCAATTTTGTTCATCTTTTCAAAAAACTGTAATTGATCTTTCTACTCTTTTTCTAGTCTCTATTTTATTTAATTCTGCTCTAATCTTTACTATTTTCTTTCTTTGTTAATTTTGAGCTTACTTTGGTCTTCTAGGTCCCTGAGGTATAAAATTAGGTTGTTTCAAGATTTTTTTTTTTCCCTAATGTTGGCATTTATCACTATAAACTTTCCTCTTGGAACTGCTTTTGCTGCATCCCATAAGTTTCAGTGTGCTGTGTTTCTATTCTCATTTGTCTCAAGATATTTTTGATTTCCCTTTTGATCCACTTGTTTAGAGATGTGTTAATTTCCCATTTATTTGTGAGTTTTCAGTTTTTCCCCCTACTTCTAGTTTCATACCATTGTGGAAAAAAAAGATACTTGATATGATTGCAGTCTTCTTAAATGTGTTAAGACTTGTTTTGTAGCATAACATGATTTATCCTGGAGAATGTTCTTAAGATTGTGTTTTCTGCTGCCATTAAATGGAACGTTTTGAATATTTCTGTTAAGTCCATTTGGTTTATAGTGTTTTCCAGTCTACTGTTTATTGATTTTTCTATCTGACCTGTCCATTGTTGAAAGTAAGGTATCGAAGTCCCCTACTATTATTGTATTGCTGTCTTATTTCTTCCTTCAGTTCTGTTTATTTACTTCATATATTTAGGAGCCTAATTTTGGGTTCATATATATTTATAATTGGTATATCCTCTTGATGAATGGATCCCTTTATCATTATGTTATTATCTTGTCTCTTGTGAGAGTTTTTGACTTGAAGTCTATTTTGTCTAATATAAGTATAACCACACTGCTCTGTTTGTGTCCTTAATGCTAAAGTGAGTGTTTTTTAATCCATTCTGTCACTCTGTCTTTTGATTAGAGAATTTAATACATTTACACTGAAAGTAATTATTGATAGTTAAGGATTAATATTGCCATTTTGTTGACTGTTTTCTGACTGTTTGTAGTCCCTTTGTTCCTTATGCTGTCTTGCATTGTGATTTGACAATTTTGTTTGGTAGTGATAATGGTTTGATTTCTTTCACTTTATGTATCTGCTACAGGTTTCTTTTTCTTTGTGATCACCATGAGGCTTACATAAAACATCATATAACAGCCTGTTTTAAGCTGACAACAACTTAACTTTGTTCACAAAAATTCTACACTTTCACTTCTCCCCCATTTATGTTTTTGATATCACAGTTTACATATTTTTATATTGTGTATCCATTAACAAATTATTGTAGCTCAAATTATTATTACTTTTGTCTTTTAACTTTTATACTAGAGTTAAAAGTGATTAGATACCACCATTACAGTATTACAATATTCTTAATTTGACTATATACTCAGTGTTACCAGTGAGTTTTATAGTTTTATATATTGTCTTTTTTTAAAAAAAAACTATTTTTCTTATGAGGACCATCTCTAGAATCCAGGAAGTCTCTGGATCTGAGGGATGGAAAGTTCTTCCTGCTATGAATGAGAGTGGACTCTTCCCATCACCCCCAACTGAAACCACAAACACCCAGAATTTTCTGGGATTCTGACTTAGAGTCCTTGTTATATAAGACCTTGTTGCTATGGAACATGAAACTGTGTCTGTCAGATGGAGAGATTCCCTTAACTTAAGAGCCTTAAATAGCCCTGAAAGTACTCCAGAATGGAATTTGCAATGGAATTAAAATTAGAAGTGAATATTTTTGGTGCCCTTGAAGCTTTCTGGGGACTCAAAATTATCAAGAGTCAGGGACAGTCCAGAGGAAGAGCGTCTGCAAAACTGGGTTCCTAGAAGTACGGACAGACGTGGCTTTTTGTAGAACTTGGTAGGGAGCAGCACCTCATGAGAGCAGAATGGCCTGGCGTGGCCAGTGCTTCCCGGCAGCACGCAGCTCTGCCGGCCTCCAGAACTCCCCCGTTCTGAGCTTGATGCCCCTAGCCTGTCCCCTGCCTATTTCCTCCCCTCCCCTCTAGCCCTCTCACAGGGGTGATTGATACCTTTCACTTTTCTTGGGCCTAGGCAAGTTTTAGAGGAGTTCCCAAGCATTGTCATGAGGCCAGTGTGCTCGAGGCCAGTGTGCTCGCTGGGCAGGATGGCCTGGGCTTGTGCGTGGCCCGAGGGCTCTCCTAGGGCCTTCCCTTTTCCCAGTCACCGTCTGAGCCACAGAAGCAGTGCATTCATTGGATGCACTTAACATAGCTTCTGTTCTTAACATAGCTTCTCTTTCTACGTTAAAAAAAATCATTATTGCATTTTGGAAAGCAGTGCTCGTCAAAAGCAACTTTTAGGACCTATTTTATTGTCCCTTTAAATGTTCTCTTCCACTGAAACTGGCCTGGAGAGGCTAGCCGCTGCTCTTCCATTTCCCCACATCAGGGTATTCTCCATGTCACTGAGTGGAGATGACTCCAGATGTGTTTAAAGACTGGACAATTCACCTATACTGTGTAGGAAATTACCTCCTTAATTACCTGGTAGAATTGTGAGCAGACATGTTCATCCGATGATAGTACTGCAGTTTTCTATTAATAATTTGCAGACTTTAACCTGCTTTCATGTACAGATTATTAAAAGTTTTAAAATGTAACTGATCAGTATTGATCAATCATTGTCTTGATTTTTTTTTTACAGTGTATATTTCTAATCATATTTTTTAAAGCCAAGAGAACTGGTTGAATGAATGTTTATTTTCCTGAAGGTATTTTTAAGATAAAGCTTCCTAATGGCCTGTAAACTTTGCATATGTATGTAGTTTGATACATATTGTCACATCTGAAAATCTTGTGAGTTGTAACTGGTTTTATACAAAATATCGAATAGTGGAAATTGTTTAATTACAATCATGTAATTAAAAATATTAATCCCCCAAAAATTTAATTTTTATTTTTCCATAAGTTATTGGGGTATTGGGGTATGGGTGGTATTTGGTTACATAAGTTTTTTAGCGGTGATTTGTGAGATTTTTGGTGCACCATCACCCGAGCAGTATACACTGCACCATATTTGTAGTCTTTTATCCCTCACCCCCTCCCATCCTTCCCCCCAAGTCCCCAAAGTCCATTGTATCATTCTTATGCCTTTGCATCCTCATAGCTTAGCTCCCACATATCAGTGAGAACATACAATGTTTGGTTTTCCATTCCTGAGTTACATCACTTAGAATAATAGTATCTCATCCAGGTCACTGCAAATGCATTATTCATTCCTTTTGATGGCTGCATGGTATTCCATTTTGTGTGTGTGCGTGTATGTGTGTGTGTGTGTGTGGAGATATATATATCTATATATATATATAGATATATATAGATGTATATATATATAGATGTATATATAGATGTATATATATATAGATGTGTATATCTATATATAGATATAGATATAGATATATATACCTCACAGTTTCTTTATCCACTCATTGATTGATGGGCATTTAGTTGGTTCCATGATTTAGCAGTTGTGAATTGTGCTGCTATAAACATGCATGTGCAAGTATCTTTTTTAAATAATGACTTATTTTCCTCTGGATAAATACCTAGTAGTGGGATTGCTGGATCAAATGGTAATTCTACTTTAAGTTCTTTATGGAATCTCCACACCGTTTTCCATAGTGGCTGTACTGGTTTACATTCCCACCAGCAGTGTAGAAGTGTTTCCTGTTCACCACATCCATGCCAACATCTACTGTTTTTTTTTTTATTTTTTTGATTATGGCCATTCTTGCAGGAGTGAGGTAGTATTGCATTGTGGTTTTGATTTGCATTTCCCTGAGCATTAGTGATGTTGGGCATTTTTTCATGTATTTGTTGCCATTTGTATATCTTCTTTTGAGAACTGTCTATTCAGGTCCTTAGCCCACTTTTTGATGGGATTGTTTTTTTCTTACTGATTTGAGTTCGTTGTAGATTCTGGATATTAGTCATTTGTTAGATGTATAGATTGTGAAGATTTTCTCCCACTCTGTGGTTGTCTGTTTACTCTGCTGACTGTTCCCTTTGCCGTGCAAAACTCCTTAGTTTAATTAGGTCCCAGCTATTTATCTTTGTTTTTATTGCATTTGCTTTTGGGCTCTTGGTCATGAAATCCTTGCCTAAGCCGATGTCTAGAAGGGTTTTTCCAATGTTATCTTCTAGAATTTTTACAGTTTCAGATCTAAGGTTTAAGTCCTTAATCCATCTTGAGGTGATTTTTATATAAAATAAGAGATGAGGATCCAGTTTCATTCTCCTACATGTGGCTAGCCAATTATGCCAGCACCATTTGTTGAAAAGGGTGTCCTTTCCCCACTTTATGTTTTTGTTTGCTTTGTCAAAGATCAATTGGCTGTTTAAGTATTTGAGTTTATTTCTGGGTTCTCTATTCTGTTTCATTGGTCTGTGTTCCTGTCAATGCTGTTTCTATACCAGTTCCATGGGGTTTTGGTGACTATGGCCTTAAGTATAGTTTGAAATCAGGTAGTGTGATGACTCCCGATTTGTTCTTTTTGCTTAGTCTTGTTTGTCTGTGTGGGCTCTTTTTTTGATTCATATGAATTTTAGAATTATTATTTCTAATTCTGTGAAGAATGATGGTGGTATTCTAATGGAGATTACATTGAGTTTGTGGATTGCTTTTGTCCTATGGTCATTTTCACAATATTGATTCTACCCATCCATGAGCATGGGATATGTTTCCATTTGCTTGTGTTGGCTATGATTTCTTTTAGCAGTGTTTTGTAGTTTTCCTTGTAGAGATCTTTTGACTCCTTTGTTAGGTATATTCCTAAGTATTATATTAATTTATTTTGCAGCTACTGTAAAAGGGATCGAGTTCTTGATTTAATTCTCTGCTTGGTTGCTCTTGCTGTATATAAGAGCTACTGATTTGTGTACACTAATCTTGTATCTGGAAACTTTGCTGAATTCTTTTGTCAATTCTAGGAGCTTTCTAGAGGAGTCCTTAGGGTTTTCAAGGTAAACAATCACATCATCATCAAACAATAGCAGTATGACTTCCTCTTTACCAATTTGGATGCCCTTTATTTCTTTTTCTTGTTGAATGCTCTGCCTGGGACTTCCAGTACATGTTGCAGAGGAGTGGTGAGAGTGGACATCCTTTCTTGTTTCAGTTGTCAGAAGGAACGCTTTCAACTTTTCCCCATTCAGTATTATGTTGGCTTTGGGTTTCTCATAGATGGCTTTTATTACATTAAGTTATGTCCCTTGTGTGCTGATTTTGCTGAGAGTTTTAATCCTAAAGTGATGCTGGGTTTTGTCAAATGCTTTTTCTGCATCTATTGAGATGATCATGTGATTTTTGTTTTTAATTCTGTTTTTGTAGTGTATCACATTTATTGACTTGCATATGTTAAACCATCCCTGTATCCCTGGTATGAAACCCAATTAATTATGGTGGATTATCTTTTTGATATGTTGTTGGATTTGGTTAGCTAGTATTTTGTTAAGGATTTTAGCATCTATGTTCATCAAGGATATCAGTCTGTTGTTTTCTTTTTTGGTTATGTCCTTTCCTGGTTTTGGTACTGGGGTGATGCTGGCTTCATAGAATGAATTGGCGAGGGTTCCTTCTTTCTCTATCTTGTGGAATAGTGTCAAAAGGATTGGTATGAATTCTTCTTTGAATATCTTGTAGAATTTTTCTGTGAATCCATCTGGTCCTGGACTATTTTTTGTTGGTAATTTTTTAATTACCATTTTAATCTCTCTGCTTGTTATTGGTATGTTCAGGTTATCTAATTCTTCTTTATTTAAGCTAGGTGGGTTGTATTTTTCCAGGAATTTTTCCATCACTTCTAGGTTTTCTAGTTTATATGCATAAAGGTGTTCATAGTAGTCTTGAATGATTTTTTGTATTACAGTGGTGTCAGTTGTAATATCTCCTGTTTCATTTCTTAGTGAGGTTATTTGGATTTTCTCTGTTCTGTTCTTGGTTAATGTTGCTAATGGTCTATCAATTTTATTTATCTTTTTAAAGAACCAGCTTTTTGTTTCATTTATCTTTTATATTTTTTGTTTCAATTTTATTTAGTTCTGCTCTGATCTTGGTTATTTCCTTTCTTCTGCTGGGTTTGGGTTTGGTTTGTTCTTATTTCTCTAGTTCCTCAAGGTGTGACCTTAGATTTTCTGTTTGTGCTCTTTCAGGCATTTTGATGTAGGCATTTTGATGTAGGCATTTAGGGCTATGAACTTTCGTCTTAGCACCACTTTTGCTGTATCCCAGAGGTTTTGATAGGTTGTGTCATTATTGTCATTCAGTTTGAAAAATTTTTAAATTTCCATCTTGATTTCATTTTTGACCCAGTGCTCATTCAGGAGCAGGTTATTTAATTTCCATGTATTTGCATGGTTTTGAAGGTTCCTTTTGGAGTTGATTTCCAGTTTTATTCCACTGTGGTGTGAGAGAGTGCTTGATATAATTTCAATTTTCTTAAATTTACTGAGGCTCAATTTATGACCTATCATATGGTCTATCTTGGAGAAAGCTCCATGCACTGTTGAATAGAATGTGTATTGTGCAGTTGTTAGATGAGTTCTGTATATATCTGTTAAGTTCATTCGTTCCAAGGTATAATTTAAATCCATTGTTTCTTTGTTGACTTTCTGTCTTGATGACCTGTCCGGTGCTTTCAGTAGAGTATTGAAGTCCCCTACTATTATTGTGTTGCTGTCTATCTGATTTCTTAGGTCTGTTAGTAATTGTTTTGTAAATTAGGGAGCTCCAGTGTTAGGTTCATATATGTTTAGGATTGTGATATTTTCCTGTTGGACAAGGCCTTTTACCATTATGTACTGGCCCTCTTTGCCTCTTTTAACTGCTGTTGCCTTAAAATTTGTTTTGTCTGATATAAGAATAGCTATCCCTGCTTGCTTTGGATGTCTGTTTGCATGAAATGTCTTTTTCCACCCCTTTACTTTAAGCTTATGTGAGTCCTTATGTGTTAGATGAGTCTCCTGAAGGCAGCAGATAGTTGATTGGTGAGTTCTTATCCATTCTGCAGTTCTGTATCTTTTAAGTGGAGCATTTAGGCCATTTACATTCAATGTTAGTATTGAAAATGTGGGGTACCATTGCTTTCATCGTGCTTTTTGTTGCCTGTGTACTTTGGTTTTTTGTTTTTGATTTTTAACTTGTATTTTTGTTTTATAGGTCCTGTGTGATTTATGCTTTAAATAGGTTCCATTTTGACGTGTTTCCAGGATTTGTTTCAAGATTTAGAGCTCCTTTTAGCAGTTCTTGTGGTGGTGGTTTGGTAATGGTGAATTCTCTCAGCATTTGTCTGAAAACGACTGTATCTTTCCTTCATATATGATACTTAGTTTTGCTAGATACAAAATTCTTGGCTGATAATTGTTTTGTTTGAGGAGGCTAAAGATAGATGCCCAAGCCTTTCTAGCTTGTAGGGTTTCTGCTGAGAAATATGCTGTTAATCTGATAGGTTTTCCTTTAAAGTTACCTGATGCTTCCGTCTCAAATCTCTTACGATTCTTTCCTTTGTCTTGACTTTGGATAACCTGATGACAATGTGCCTAGGTGAAGATCTTTTTGCAATGAATTTCCCAGATGTTCTTTGTGCTTCTTGTATTTGGATGTCTAGGTCTCTCATAAGGCTGGGGAAGTTTTCCTCAATTATTCCCCCAAATATGTTTTCTGGACTTTTAGAATTACCTTCTTCCTCAGGTATACCAATTATTCTTAGGTTTGGTCATTTAACATAATCTCAGACTTCTTGGAGTCTTTGTTCATATTTTCTTATTCTTTTTTCTTTGCCTTTGTTGGATTGGGTTAATTCGAAGGCCTTGTCTTTGAGCTCTGAATTTTTACTTATTCAATTCTATTGCTGAGACTGTCCAGAGCATTCTGCATTTCTAAAAGTGGATCCAAAGTTTCCTGAATTTTTTATTATTTTTTCTTTAAGCTATCTGTTTCCATGAGTATTTCTCCCTTTGCTTCTTATATCATTTTTTGGGGGGTTTCCTTGCATTGGGCTTCACTTTTCTCTTGTCCCTCCCTGATTAGCTTAATAACTAACCTTCTGAATTCTTTTTCAGGTAAATCAGGGGTTTCTTCCTTGTTTGAATCCTTTGCTGGTGAACTAGTGTGATTTTTTGGGGGGCATGAAGAGCCTTGTTTGTCATTTAACCAGGGTTGGTTTTCTGGTTCCTTCTCATTGGGATAGGCTCTGTCAGAGGGAAGGTCTAGGGCTGAAGGCTGTTGTTCAGATTATTTTGTCCCACGGGGTGTTCACTTGATGTAGTATTCTCTCCTTTTTCCTATAGATGTGACTTCCTGTGAGCCAAACTGCAGTGTTTGTTGTCTCTCTTCTGGGTCTAGTCACCCAGTGAATCTACCTGGCTCCGGGCTGGTACTGAGTGTTGTCTGCACAGAGTCCTGTGATGTAAACTGTCTATGGGTTTCTGATCTGTGGATACCAGCGCCTGTTCCAGGGGAGATGGTGGAGTGTGCAGTGGACTCCATGAGGGTCCTTAGCTTTGGTGGTTTAATGCTCTATTTTTGTGCTGGTTGGCCTCCTGCCAGGAAGTTTTTGCTTTCCAGAAAGCATCAGCTATAGTAGTTACGGAAAGGGACCGGTGGTGGGCAGGGCCCTGGAACTCCCAAGATTATATTCCCTTTGTCTTCCACTACCAGGGTGGATCGGGAAGCACCATCAGGTGGGGACAGGGCTAGGCATGTCTGAGCTCAGGCTCACCTTGGGTGGGTCTTGCTGCAGCTGCTGTGGTGAGTGGGATGACATTCCCAGGTCACTGGAGTTGTGTACCTAGGAGGATTATGGCTGCCTGTGCTGAGTCATGCAGGTTGTCAGGAAAGTGGGAGAAAGCTGACCGTCATAGGCCTCACTTAGTTCCCATGCAAACAGGGGCCAGCCTCACTACCACCATACCCTCAACCCTGCCTGCCAATAGCCCCAAGTCTGTTTCCAGGCAGACTTTGAACATATTATCCCATTCTGCTGGTCTGCAAGGTTTCTGTTGAGAAATTTGCTTAGAGTCTTATGGGGATTTTGATTGCATGAAATGAATTGCTTTTCTCTTGTTGCTTTCAAAATTCCCTCTGTCATCGACCTTTTTTTTTTTTTTTTTTTTTTGAGATGGAGTCTTATTCTTCTGTCACCCAGGCTGGAGTGCAATAGTGTGATCTTGGTTCACTGTAACCTCCACCTCCCAGGTTCAAGTGATTCTACTGCCTCAGCCTCCTGAGTAGCTGGGATTACAGGTGTGTGCCACAACGCCTGGCTAATTTTTGGATTTTTAGTAGATATGGGGTTTTGCCATTTTGGTCAGGCTATTCTTGAACTCCTGACCTCAAGTGATCTGCATGCCTCAGCCTCCTGAAGTGCTGGGATTACAGGCATGAGCCACTGACTTTTGACAATTTGTTTATAAAATGTCATGCTGAAAACTTCTTTATGGTCAGTCTATTTGTAGTTCTTTTGGATTCATAAATCTAACTGTTCATTTCCCTCCCCAAATTTGGTAATTTTTTTGTCATTATTTTTAAAAATAAGCTTTCTATTCCTTTATCTTTCTTTGCTCCTTTTGAGAATCCCACAGTGGATATGTTGGTCAATTGATGGTGTTTCATAAGTTCCATAGGCTTTCTTCACTGTTTTTCATTCTTTTTCACTTTGTTCCTCGACTGAATAATTTCAAATGACATGAATTTAGTTAGCTGATTCTTTCTTCTGCTTGGTCAATTCTGCTGTTGAAACTGTTGTATTTTTTAGTTGAGTCATCGTATTCTTCAGCTTCAGAGTTTCTGTTTGGTTCTTTATTATTATTATTTTTTTGTTAAAGAAAATTTTTCGTGTATTGTTTTCTTGATTTCTGTAGTTGCTTATCTGTGCTCTCTTATAGCTCACTGAACTTTTTTTGTTATACTTTTTTTTTACAATTCAAACTTTATTCTTTAAATCAAAAAAGTAAAGGAAAATTACAACATTAAATCCTAGAATAAAATATTTGATGATTATACATACAAAATAGCATAATTAAAAAATTCTTAGTAAAAGGGAAAAATTCTGCAAATATACTAATCAACAAAAACATTAGAAGTATTTCAATAAAGTTAAAAGAGGGAGTGGACTGGCCTCTCACAATTCACTACTGTGTGAGATGTCTGAGTGGGGACCAAAACAAGGAAGAGAAAAAAAAACCAGGAAAGAAGCTGATTCAAAAACTCTGATTTGTAGTTATTCACAGAAGACATGGATGTTAACTAGAAAAGCAAGAAAATATATTTTACTCTCAGAACATGAACTGTTAGAATAACAACATCCAGAAAATTGGGTAAATGCATGGTCAAAATACTACTCTTCAGTAGTAATAATGGATAAACAACAAGAATAACAACAGCATAACATAGACAATCAACATCTATCTTGATTAGCAAATATACCAAAAAAATACATTTTCTTTTTTTTTCATTTTACCTAGTTCTTTTATCTCCTTTTAATATACTTTAAGTTCTGGGATACATATGCAGAACGTGCAGTTGCCACAGTGGTTTGCTGCACCCATCAACCTGTCATCTACATTAGATATTTCTCCTAATGCTATCCCTTCCCTAGTCCCTCACCCCCTGACAGGCCCTGCTGTGTGATGTTCCCCTTCCTGTGTCCATGTGTTCTCATTGTTCAACTCTCACTTATGGGTGAGAACACATGGTGTTTGGTTTTCTGTTCCTGTGTTAATTTGCTGAGAATAATGGTTTCCAGCTTCATCCATGTTCCTGCAAAGGACATGAACTCATCCTTTTTTACAGCTGCATAGTATTCCATGGTGTATATGTGCCACATTTTCTTTATCCAGTCTATCATTGATGGGCATTTCGGTTAGTTCCAAGTCTTTGCTATTGTGAATAGTGCTGCAATAAACATATGTGTGCATATGTCTTTATAGTAGAATGATTTATAATCCTTTGGGTATATGCCCAGTAAAGGGATTGCTGGATCAAATGGTATTTCTGGTTCCAGATCCTTGAGGAAGCACCACATTGTCTTCCATAATGGTTGAACTAATTGACACTCCCACCAACAGTGTAAAAGTATTCCTATTTCTCCACATCCTCTCCAGCATCTGTTGTTTCCTGATTTTTAAATGATCACCATTCTAACGGGCATGAGATGGTATCTCATTGTGGTTTTGATTTGCATTTCTCTAAGGACCAGTGATGATGAGCATTTTTTCATATGTTGGCCGCATAAATGTCTTCTTTTGAAAAGAGTCTGTCTGTTCATATACTTCGTCCGCTTTCCAATGACAAAAACCACATGATTATTTCAATAGATGCAGAAAAGGCCTTCAATAAAATTCAAAACTCACTTCATGCTAAGAACTCTAAATAAACTAGGTATTGATGGAACGTATCTCAAAATAGTAAGCGTTATTTATGACAAACCCACAGCCAATATCACACTGAATGGGCAAAAGCTGGAAGCATTCCCTTTCAAAACTGGCACAAGACAAGGATGCCCTCTCTCACCACTCCTATTCAACATAGTTTTGGAAGTTCTGGCCACAGCAATCAGGCAAGAGAAAGAAACAAAGGGTATTCAAATAGGAAAAGAGAAGTCAAATTGTCTCTGTTTGCAGATGACATGAGTGTGTATTTAGAAAACCCCATCGTCTCAGCCCAAAATCTCCTTAAACTGATAAGCAACCTCAGCAAAGTCTCAGGATACAAAATCAGCATGCAAAAATCACAAGCATTCCTATACACCAATCATATACAGAGACCCAAATCATGAGTGAACTCCCATTCACAATTGGTACAAAGAGAATAAAATACCTGGGAATATAATTTACAAGGGATGTGAAGGACCTCTTCAAGGAGAACTACAAACCACTGCTCAAGGAAATAAGACAATACACAAACAAATGGAAAAACATTCCATGATCATGGATAGGAAGAATCAATATCATGAAAACGGCCATACTGCCCAAACTAATTTACAGATTCAATGTTACCAATGACTTTCTTCACAGAATTAGAAAAAACTACTTTAAATTTCATATGGAACCAAAAAAGAGCCCACATAAGCCAAGACAGTCCTAAGCAAATAGAACAAAGCTGAAGGCATCAGGCTACCTGACTTCAAACTAAACTATAAGGCTGCAGTAACCAAAACAGCATGGTACTGGTACCAAAACAGATATACAGACCAATGGAACAGAACAGAGGCCTCAGAAATAACACCACACATCTACAACCATCTTATCTTTGACAAACCTGACAAAAACAAGCAATGGGGAAGGATTCCCTATCTAATAAATGGTATTAAGAAAACTGGCTAGCCATATGCAGAAAACTGAAACTGGACCCCTTTCTTACACCTTATATAAAAATTAACTCAAGATGGATTCAAGACTTAAACATAAGACTTAAAATCATGAAAACCCTAGAAGAAAGCCTACCCAATACCATTGAAGACCTAGTTATGGGCAAGGACTTCATGACTAAAACACCAAAAACAATTGCAACAAAAGCCAAAATTGACAAATGGGATCAAATTAAACTAAAGAGCTTCTGCACAGCAAAAGAAACTATCAGCAGAGTAAACAGGCAACCTACAGGATGGGAGAAAGTTTTTGCAATCTATCCATCTGACAAAGGGCTAATATCCAGAATCTACAAGGAACATAAATAAATGTACAAGAAAAAAAGCTCACTGAACTTCTTTAACATGATTATTTTGAATTCTTTTTCAGGTAATGCATAGATTTTCATTTATTTGTGGTCAGCCACTGGAGATTTATTTTGTCTCTGGTGGTATCATGTTTCCTTGATTTTGTATGTATGCTTCTGGAAATTTGCACTGCTGTCTTGGCATTTGAAGTAGTCACTTCCTCTAGTCTTTACTGACTGGCTTCAGGAGAGAAATATCTTCTCCAGTCAGCCCAGCTAGAATCTAGGGGTTTCTCATACCTTTTACCTGGATGTGCTTACTCCACTACTCCTTTGTTTTCTCTTGAAGGGGGCATCTTAGGATTGTGTGCTTTCTCTCAATATTGCAAATCTAATAGGGTGCTGAAAGTCTCCTGCTTATTTATCATAGGACAGTGCCCTTGAATGTTTAAGGTTTTGTGCTTTTTTCCAACTAAGCAGAGTTGAGTTATCAGCTTATATCCATGTGAATTCTGTGGAGAATTGCATGCAGTGGTTATGGGGAGAAAGAAAGTGGTGCACAATGCTGGGGACACTTGTTGGCTAGTTAGTAGGAGGTGGTCTCCCAATAAGGTGTCTAAGAGCTTGTGGTTAGGCTCTTAGGTCCATGTGTCTGTTAGTAGAATCTGTGCTGATTCTTGAGATCTGCATGCTGGTTGCTATGATTCCCTGTCCATTTTCACTGCTCCTAGTTGTCTTCAGATGATTTAGCTATGTTGATCTCAGTGTTCTGGGTAGACAATACAGAAGTGGGTCTCTTGAACAGTATGTCATAAGACTGGGGAACTTGGGCACTTATTTCACTCTCTTTCCCAAGAAAGAAATTGTAGATTAAAGGGGTCTGTATTGGCAGAGTTGTGCTACCTGAAGGAGGAGTGATGCACATAAAGTGAAACTGTTCTTTTTACCTTCTATGCATCTATACTTGGATTTTTTGGCTCCACTAGGGTGGTGGAACCTCTGAGCTGGACTATGTGCATCACATAAACATATTATTCTCATGGGTAGGTTGTTCAAATCAGTGTTTCTGTGGGGGCTTGAATACAGGAACCTCCTATTCTACCACCTTCTAGATGTCACTTCTTTGTTTTAAATAGTGTCCCTGCTTTTTTCATGTTCTGTTGCTAATAAAGTTAACCCTGTCGGGCAGGGTCAAGGAGCTGCCACTCTTACATCATGCTATGTCCATCCTGGACAGACCTGTCACAACACAAGGCAGAGCCATGAGGGTAGGAATGAGAGCTACTGCTCTTCCCAACCTGCTGCAGCCTCTCCTGGAGTGACACCTGTGTGCTATGTCTGGAACTGCTGAGGGAGGATGGTAGCTACCAGTCCTCATGGCCTGCCCATCTGCACAGTATAGAATTTCTGCAACATGGAGATGGAGAAGATAGGAGCAACCCCTGGCATGAATGACACAGACTCACACTTTTCTTACTGAGATGCAGCAGATTTTCTGAGCAGATGTTTTTCAATTTGTTACATGCCCTGTGGTCAGTTTCTAGAGACTTTATTTTTTATTATTAATTAACTAATTTATGTATTCATCCAATTTTATCACTGTTTCTTTGAGAAGAGGATCTGTTAACTTTCTCATATAGGCATTTCAGAATTCCTGCTTCCTAATTAAATCTTGCCTATAATGATCACAAATTTCTGATTTTCCAATTCTAGCATTCTTTCTGTATTTACCACTCAGGATTTGGCATTTTACAAGCAAGAGCCCTCATCTCTTCCCCATTGTTTATCTCTATTTATTATCAGTATAGATTCATGAGTTCTTATTTTTCACTCCAATGGTTTATATTTTGTTACTGTACAGAAATTTTTGTTTAATTTTTTCAGATTTGACAAGTGGCAGCCCCTTTAATTTGGATCCTGTGTTCTTGTTCATTATCCTTTTGTAATGTGTTCTTGCTTTCTAGTATATCAAGATGTTCTAGACTGATCTCATATTTACCCTGCCCTAGCCCTAAGCTCAGTCATTTTTCTGAGAAGCTTTAATTCATTTCAGGGAGAGAGGATATTACAGATCAAGATCTTGATGCTAAATGTGCTATAGTCATGCTGAAGTGTCTTTGCTCATGCTCTTAAGTGGACAAAATTAGGAAACTTATGTATATGTAAATATACAAGTATACAGACACGCATAGACATATTTTAGAAATGGGTTTACATTTATTCCTCCGATTCCAGTTCGCCCCACAAAAGTTATTTCTTTCCTTTCCATGTTCCATATTAGTTTGTCCCTTCTTCTTCAGTAAAAACTCTGAATCTTAACAATATCAATACATTTATTCATTTGCTCAATCTTATAATACATCCAAATTTGTTTCAGAATTTTGTTGCCCGTACCACTATATTTTAAAATGCTACGAAAAAGAGTTAAGGATTTGTTTGAAATTCTCTCCCACTATCCCACCCAATCCAAGACTAGGTAAAAAGTAAAATAGTGGGTTCAAAGTAACTAGGATAAATTCATTCTTTTTTTCCTCTTCATTGTGGTTATGGTATTCATTTAAAATACATGCGGGACCATTTGGTCCAGTTTGCTTTACATTTTAGGACTTCTTTTTTCTCTTCTCACCCCTATTGATTTAATTTTTTAAAAAACATGTAGAACATTAGCATGCTTCCAAGAATCAAAATAATACTAAAAGATATATTTGGAGAGGTATCACTCACTCCCATATCCCTTCTGCATGTTTTTCTCCCATCCCTTTAGTAGGTAAAGGGTTTCATTGTTTTCTGGTTTTGTCTTTTTGTTACACAAAAGGCAACATTAATATGTAAGTATGTATATATGTGTGTGTGTGTATATATATACACACACACACATATCTGGGTCTCTGTGTGTATGTATATATGTGTGTATATATACTGTATATGTGAATATCTTATATACAGTGTGTGTGTGTACATATATATAACGTCTTGTACTTGTTCTTTCAGTAAGCAATGTCTTCTAGAAATCATACCATATCAGTTAATATGAAATTTTTTCTCATTCTTTTTTAAAAGCATCTATATAATACCCAGTTGTGTGGATGTTCCATAGTTTATTCATACAACTTCTTATGCTTAGATATTTAAGTAGTTCCCAACATTTTTCAATTACATTAATGCTGTAATCAGTTTGTGTATATGTATGTATTTTTATGTTTTCTGGAGGTGTATTTTAATATGTATTGGAGTTGTATCTTCAAGATAAATTCTTACAAGTATTATTATAAGTGCCTACAAGTATAAGTCTAAGAATATACATAGTTTGTTATCATTTAGCATTCTCACCAACAATGTACAAGAGTGCCTGTTTCTCTATAGCCTAAACAAAAGTATATTGTCGAGCTTTTGAACTTTTGTCTGTCAGCTGGGAGAAAAGTAAAATCTCAAGATAATTTTAAATAGCATTTTTCTTTATTATGATCACAATTACATCTTTACCTATGTTTAAGGGCCATTTTTATGCCTCTTCTTGTGAATCATCTGTTCGTGACTTTGACTCATTTTTCTGTAAGATTTTTTGGTCTGTCTCTCACCAATTCTTAAAAGTCCTTAGTACATTAGAAATCAGCTATTGAACTACAATATATGTTGCAAATATTTCCCCCAGTTTATTTGCTTTTTAACTTTGATTGTGGTTTATCATCTCAGATATTTATATTTTTATGAGGTCAAATGTATCACTTCTTTTATTACATCTGAATTTTGAGTCAGTTAAAAAGCCTTGAATTATAAGTAAAAAGCCTATTTTTACTGAGGCTATAGAAAAATTCACTCATGGTTTCTTCTAGAACTTACATAATTCCTGCCTTCCTTCCTCCCTCCTTCACTCCCTCTCTCCTTCCCTTCCCTTCTTATTTAGATCTCTGATCCATTTGGAGCTTATTCTTGTGTATGGTATGAGTGGTATGAGGAATGGATCAAATTTTATCTTTTTCAGTTGTCCTAACACCATTTATTAAAAAGATAATCTTTATCCCAAGCACTAAGAGAGATTACTTCCACCACATATTAATTTTTATATGTAGGTGGTTGTATTAGTTCATTCTCACACTGCTATAAAGAAATCCCTGAAACTGGGTAATTTATAAACAAAAGAAGTTTAATTGGCTCACAGTTCTTCAGGCTGTACAGGAAGCATGTGGCTTCCGCTTCTGGGGAGGCTTCAGGAAAGTTACAATGATAGCAGAAGGTGAAGGGGAAGCAGGCATGTCTTACATGACTGGAGCAGGAAGAGAGATGGGAGGTGCTAAACACTTCTAAACAGCCAGATCTTGTGAGAACTCACTCATTGGAACAGCACTAGGGGCATGGTGCTAAACAATTAGAAGCTGCCCCCATGAGTCAGTTACCTCCCATCAAACCCCACCTCTAACATTGGTGATTACATTTCAACATGAGATTTTGGTGGGGACACAAATCTCAGATCCAAACCATATCAGTGGTCTATTCTCAATTTTATATTCTATCCCATTAGCCTATCTATTCATGTTCCAGTACCAAATTGTTTTAGTTTTATAGAGGCTTTGTAGTATATCCTCCCTGACAGTTTTCTTTTGTTAGTGTTTTTTAAAGCTATTCTTATGTGTTTGTTTTTACATACAAACTTTAGGATCAAATTATTTAGATCCATGAAAAGTTTATTAGAATATTGAAATTTTGACTGGAATCAGATTAACTTTATAAATTAATTTAGGAAAAACTGACATCTTTATGATTTTGAGATATCCTATTAAAAAGGATAATTTCTCATTTATTCAAGTCTATTTTTGTATCTTTCATAAATGTTTTATAATTTTCTTCATAGAAATCTTGGATATCTCTTATTAAATTTATTCCTAAATATTTTATCTTTACTCTTCTTTATTGCTATTATGATCAGGGTTCTCTTGTCTATTATATCTTCTAACTGGTTATTGTTTGACCAGATGAATGCTGTCAGTTTTTTGTGTCAAACACATAACATTTGCCATTCCATCATTTTGTTTTTTTTGTTCCTGAGACAGTGCCGTAGCACTGTCTCAGCCCACTGCAACCTCCACCTTCTGGGTTCAAGAGATTCTCCTGCCTGCTCTCCCAAGTAGCTGGGATGACATGCATATGCCACCATGCCAAGCTAATTTTTGTATTTTTAGTAGAGACTGGGTATCATCATGTTGGCCAGGCTGGTCTTGAACTCCTGGCCTCAAGTGATCCATCCACCTTGGCCTCCCAAAGTGCTAGGATTACCGATGTGAACCACCATCCCCAGCCTACCATTCTGTCAAGTTTTAAGTATACAGTTCAGTAATGTTAAGTATGTTCACATTGTTGTGAAATAGATCTTCAGGGCTTTTTCATCTTGCAAAAAACATTTTTGGTCTTTACCATGAGAGCCTTGTTGAGTGTCTTTGAGGTAAACCCGAAGAAATATGGTGGCCTCACTGAAACTACGGTCTTAAAGAAGTTCTCATTCTCAAGCTAGTCTACACTCAACCTCCAGCAATTTGTCAAAATTATCTTTTAAATGATTCTGCCAGTTTATGTCTTCAGCAACTTTTCTAGGTAAGCTGATCTTGGCCATGACTCTCTGGGTTTGCTTGTCTCTTTAGATCTCGATGCCGTGGTTTACCTTGAAATCTACAACTTTTCTTGAATCTATCAGAGAACTTCAGTTGGTCTAGGTGGTCAGGTGTTCTAGTTCTCTCTTGTAAGGATGGAATGATAACTTTTAAGCTCTTTACATGTTGGAGCTAAGGCCAGAAGTCCCTCATAATTTTTGAAAGCATAAAGTGGTCCTAAGACCAAAGCATTTGAGAACCCTTGCTATATGCTATTATTAAATTATCTTTTTTAAAACTTAAAGAAATTTAAAATACAATCTACCTTTTAGCATTTAGCTGTTGCTGTTTTCCTCTTTGGAATTTCATCATTCTAACCATATATCTCTTTGAGAGTTGTATTCTAAAGCAAAGTGCGACATGGACTTGATCCTTCAGAAGCTTAACTGAAGCAGTTCTTCACTTACTCCATTTTAACCTTTATTTAACATGCAGTGACATTATATTATACACTCTTAGGAGTCCTTTCATACTGTTAAATATTTACTTAATTCATACTCATCTTATTGTCCTCTATGATCCTTTCTTTTTTTTTTTTTTTTTTTTTTTTTTTGAGACAGGGTCTTGCTCTGTCACCCAGGCTGGAGTGCAGTGGTGCAATCTCGGCTCACTGCACCCTCCACCTTCTGGGACTACAGGCATACCACCATGCCTGGCTAATTTTTGTATTTTTTGTAGAGGCAGGGTTTTGCCATGTTGTTCAGGCTGGTCTTGAACTCCTGAGCTCAAGCAATCTACCTGCCTCAGCTTCCCAAAGTGCTGGGATGAGAGGTATGAGCCACTGTGCCTAGCCAGTTTTCTTCTTTCTCTTGTAAAGTTCAGTCAGTCATTCCGTGTCTTACATGTCTATAATTTATATTTCCCAAGTGTACTGCTTTGTGTGTCCTTAGATGAAATGCCATTTGTAAGTAGGACTAAAGCATACTATTACTCGTGGCACATATTAGTTTAGGCTGATGTGGAAATCCCTAGGAGTCATTTGATAGTGTTGTATTTTCACAATGTTTCCCCCATTTAGGATTATAAACTGGTATCAAGAACACTTTTGTTT
Source organism: Homo sapiens (assembly GCF_000001405.40). NCBI lineage: Eukaryota > Metazoa > Chordata > Mammalia > Primates > Hominidae > Homo > Homo sapiens. Next base: position 53,728,715 of record NC_000005.10, on the reverse strand, counting down.
GGTGTTCATATTTGTAGGCTTTACTTTAAATGTTATTAACGCTTTTAGATTGGTTGATTCCTGCTTTTGTCAATCACTCTCACACTTAAAGGAATCTACTTACAAAGATACACTACAAACTTCTGACTTATCAATTAATGACAGTGACTAAAATGCAACTATTCATGAATTCTATCACTGTTAGCAAGAACAAAAGTGACATTCATTCTGAAGAGGTAACTGTTTAAATTATAAAGATAAACTGAAATTTACCTTGTGACTATCTTCTTTGATTTTAACAAAATATAATTTTCTTCCTTCATACATACTCTATCAAGATTTATAAAATCTTCAAATTTAAACTCATAAACATTTAGGAGCTGATAGTTACATATTGATATTGAAAAATGTCAGCAGATATTATATTGTAACCTATTGTTGGCATTTTTCTCTAGATGAAAAGATTTCACTTGAGTAAATTTGAGTTAGATACTATTAATGAAATGATACTATATCACTTTATATTCATACATTGTTTCCAACTCATTGCTTATCAATAAAACAATTAATTCAAGAATTCACAACAGGTTGTATTTTTGGGAAAAACCCTCAAACCATGCTTTTCCCTCTGCTCTCACACCACAACAATCACCTTCACATAAGACCTCTGATGAAATGTATGGTGGCTTTTCCCCACACACCAAGCAGTGGACACCAGCTTGGGTGTCCTCCAGAGATAGAGACAGATTCCACAGGTTGACAACTCAGTCCCACAAGACCACTCCCTCCTTCCCACCAGTCACAAGCCTGGACTTCCAAAACTTCTGATTGGCTTCAAGTTGGGGCTCCCCAGACCCCTGCTTTGAGTTCAATTAATTTACTTCAGTAGCTTACAGAAGTCAGGGAAACACTTATGCTTACCAGTTTATTATGATGGATATCTTAAAGGATACAAGTAAACAGCCAGATGGAGAGATATATAGGGTGAGGTTTGGGACAGTCCTGAGTACAGGAGCTACTGTCCTTGTGGAGTTGGGGGTTTGCCACCCTGCAGGCACATAGATGAGTACATCTTCCTGTCAACCTCCATGTGTTCAGTGCTTTGGGAGCTCTCTAACCCTGTCCTTTGGGCCTTTGATGGAGACTTTATTGATTGTCCATGATTGAAGCAGGGACAACTGTGTCAAAATGTGATTCAACAAAAAGAGTATTATCTAAACCCAGCGCATTAGTCTGTTCTCACATTGCTATAAAGAACTACCTGAAACTGGGTAATTTATAAAGAAAAAAGGTTTAATTGGCTCACAGTTCTTCAGTCTGTATGGGTAGGCTGGCTGGGGAAGGCCTCAGGAAACTTTCAGTCATGGTGCAAGGCAAAAGGGAAGCAGGTATATCTCCACATGAAGCAGGAGAGAGATAGTGAAGTGAGAAGTGCTACACACTTTTAAACAATGAGATCTTGTGAGAACTCAATCACTATCACAAGAACAGCAAGGGGGAAGTCTGCTCCCATGATCCATTCACCTCCCACTTCCAACACTGAAAGATTACAGTTCAACATGAGATTTGTGTGGGGACACAGAGCCAAACCAAATTACATTACCCAGCAATGCCTGCCTGTTCAGATTCCTCTTGGCCTCTCTGTGCAACATTCCTTCCTCCAGAATATGGGGCAGGACCCTCTCTGGAATAAGGGTCTTATGACCTACAATCAGGTTAGATTCCTTGTTTGGGCAGGAGAAGGTGAGAGAGAGAGAGTGATTGATTGATTCTGTTTCCTGAGGCCTGTTTCTGAGGCCTAAGACACCCCAACATTATAACAAAAGACTGTAACAAAGGTTATGGGAGCTATGAGCTAGGAACCATGGATGAAAATACATGTGTGTGTATATATATATATCTCACAGGTCAGTAGGTCTTCTTTATTCTCAATTATAAACACAACTTTGAATGTTAAACTGTACATTATTTTATTTAAATTCTTCTGATATCTGTAGACATCTTGCTTTATCTTTATATCTCACATTAAGGTTTAAAAAATTACTAAAATAGAAATATTAGGTTAAATTTATGTGTGTCTGCTAATGCCTGGCCACATGGTAGACAGTCAAATAATATTTAATGAATGATGTAAATTTTCATGAAAAAGAAAGTGCCCAACATTTATTAAGCATCTATCAAGTGCTTATTTATTCAATGTCATTTGACGAAGACACTAAGGCTCAGATTGGTCAAGTACAGATGGCACATCTGAGATTTGATCTAAGGGTTGTCTTGCTTTAGAATGCCATGTTTTTGGCTCTTTTCCAAAGGGGAAATTAAATCTAATAAACTTAACTTTTTACTGTATTTACTTATTTAGTTTAGACTTTTCTTGGCTCAAACAACCCTCACTTTGTCACGGTGAGGTCAAAATGGGCATGTGGCCATTCTAAGAACTATTCAAAAGAACAGACAGCATGAGGCTTCATTTTGATGAAAAGATTGGCTTTGTAAACTTGCACAATTTACTCCTTGTTCCACAACTTTATTTATTTTATTTAAAACACAGACAGAGTTTCGCTATATTGGCCAGGCTAGTCTCAAACTCCTGGCCTCAAGCGATCCTTTTGCCTCAGCCTCCCTAAGTGCTGGGATTATAGGCATGAGCTACCATGCCTGGCCACCATAGCTTTAATTATAGCTATTTAAAATCCTTCTGAAAAGTAATGCTTCATGTAAATGCTGATAAGTATGATACTACCAAACAAACTTGACAGAGATTAGCAGCCTGAAGAGTGATGTGGTTCTGGAACATTTTTTATGGTTTTATTTTCCCACATTTTGGATTATCTGAATGGATCCTAAATGTAATCAAAAGTGTCCTTATAAGAGGGAAGCAGACGGAAATTTGACCTGAGAAGGGACAGGTGATGAGAAGACTGAAACAAGATGCTACTGGTTTTGAAAATAGAGGAAGGGGCTACAAGCCAAAGAAATGACGCTCTAGAAGCTGAAAAAGACAGAAAGTGGATTCTCCCCTAGGGCCTCTGGAGGAAATGAAGGTCTCTCAACACTTTGGTTTTGGCCAGTGAAAGATTCTGGACTTGCGACCTCTAAAACTGTAGAATGTTGTTTTAAGGCACCGAGTTTGTGGTAATTTGTTACAGCAATGACAAGAAACTGATACAAAGACTAAACGACCTTTATACTTCCTATCAGGACTACATTGTCTTTATGAAGTTACGTCTAATTTTGCTCATTTCTGACATTCTAGTAATCTTGACTCTAAAAACAGTAGGGGTGAAAACTGTAGTTGGTGCAAAAGTAATTACGGTTTCAGCCTGTGAATTTTAAATCATAAATAGGTTCAAACACATCTTTATTAACCAAAACAGGAATCATTACAATGAACACATTTTTTCCAAAGAGAAATAAGTTTGTTTATTCCTGTAGGGTAAAAATCCATGCTTTGGGATTCAACGAACCCTTGGGAAGCATTTTCTGCTTCCTGCTGGTTGTGGAAGCATTTTCGCTGCAAAAAGTTGTCGAGGTGCTTGAAGAAGTGGTAGTCGGTTGGCGAGAGGTCAGGTGAATATGACAGATGAGGCAAAACTTCGTAGCCCAATTCATTAAACTGTTGAAGCATTGGTTGTGCAACGTGCAGTCAGGTGGTGTTGTGGAGAAGAATTGGGCCCTATCTGTTGGCAAATGGCAACTGCAGGCATTGTGGGTTTTGGTGCATCTCATTGATTTGCTGAGCATATTTCTCAGTTGTAATGCTTTTGCCAGAATTCAGAAAGCTGTAGTGGATTAGACTGGCAGCAGACTACCAAACAGTGACCATGACCTTTTTCTCGTGCAGTTTTGGCTTTGGGAAGGGCTTTGGAGCTTCTTCTTGGTCTAACCACTGAGCTGGTTGGTCATCACTGGTTATTGTATAAAATCCACTTTTTGTTGTACATCATAATTCGATTGATACATGGTTCATTGTTACTGCATAGAATGAGAGATGACACTTCAAAATGATGATTTTTTAAAATTTTTGCTCAGCTCATGAGACACCCACTTATCAAGCTTTTTCACCTTTCCAATTTGCTTCAAATTACAAATGACCATAGAATGGTTGGTGTTGAGTTTTAAGGCAACTTCTTGTGTAGTTGTAAGAGGATCAGCTTCAAAGATTCTCTCAATTGGTTGTTGTCAACTTCCGATGGCCAGCCACTATGCTTCTCATCTTCAAGGCTCTCATCTCCTTTGCAAAACTTCTTGAACCGCCACTACATTGTATGTTCAGTAACAGTTCCTGGGCCAAATGCTTTACTGATGTTGCGAGTTGTCTCCACTGTTTTACGACACATTTTGAACTCAAATGAGAAAATTGCTCAAATTTGCTTTTTGTCTAACAGCATTTCCATAGTCTAAAATAAATATAAGATAAACAGCAAGTAATAAGTCATTAGCAAAAAAAATAAAGTGAGAAACATGCGTTAAAATGATGTATAACATAACCACAGTTATGTAAGAATGAATTCGAATATCAAATAGCAAATTTCAACAGTGCAAAAACTGCAATTGCTTTTGTACTAACCTAATATCTTTTCCTTGCCCATCATAAGGGTCATGACTGATACCCCATAAAAAAAGACAGATTAACAAGAGAAATACATAACTTTATTTAACAGTGTTTTACGGGGAGTAGGAGACTTCAGAAATGAAGACTCAAAGACCCAGGGAAAACTGTGTACTTTTATGCTAAGCCCCATGAAAGAAGTAGACATTTGTGGAGAAATATGATTGGAAAAAGGGGTATGATCTAATGGTAATAACTTTGGGGAACATAAAAAGGTTCTTTGTTAAGATTCTTCTTCGCCTCTCTCTGCAGTACTCTTTTCCTTTGGGCACATGGCAGGACAAAAGGGTCTCACTTTTAGGGAAGGTAGGTCAGAAAGTGACCTTTTTAGATTTCATGGCTTGCTTTAGGGGTAAGGATTTTTAGTTTCTATGACCACTTCAGGGAAGAGTTCTGGTTTTTATGATATGCCTTGGGGGAGAAAGGAGGATGTAAGGGAGATTAGAGAGACCTTGTTTCTGATGCCCTTCCAATCTTTTTCAGTTGAAAGAACTCAGCACGTGCCAAGGCACCCATACTCAGGGTGTCATTCTCTGACCATTGGCAGCACCTATCAATCTATAAAGAAGCATGTAGCCTTGAGCCTAAATGCAAGTCTTTTCATTAAAAAAAATCCTTTATTGGCTTTCTCTATTCCTTATTTATCACATCTTCCTCTTTCTTTACCAGAAATATTTTCCCTCAAGAGACTGTACTTGGCCTCTCTTCTCTTCCTCTTAGTCTTGCCTCTATTGTCCCGTTTACTGCCATAGCTTTAATTTTTACAGTATAGCCAATGCTCTTGGTCAGTTTGTTAGGCTTCAAACCCACACTTCCTGTTGTCTGCTATGCATCTTCAGCTGGATAGCTCATTGGCATTTTGTATTCAATAAAACTAGAAATGAATTCATCTTCTCATGCACTGATTTATAAATGGAAAACCAAGTCACACCAGAAAACAAATGCTTCATCAAATAAGATATGTTAAGAATTTTGTTTTGTTTTGTTTTACACAATAATGGAAAACTCCAAAAGTATCATCTTATTCTTTTGTTTTTGTAGACGTTAATTTTGAGTAATATTTCTTCCAACATTTCTTCACTTTGCCTTGCTCCACATGGGCCATCCTAGTCATGGAATGGAAAATCTGACTTTAGATCACTCTGCATATAAATTCTAACAATATGATCTTCTCAACCAAGTAACCAATTAATTCAAGTAACTTGAGACAGAGTACTCTGACTTTATCTCCTCTATAATTTTTATTCTGAAGACAAAAAGAATCAAGTAAAAACATCTTGAACTTTACCTGTAGTTTGTTGCTGGTGGTATTAGAGAGGTAATTTAAAAAAAGAATCTATGGTTCGATAGTAACTAACAAAAACAATGATGGCAACAACAAAAACCTAGTGAGTCCAGCCAGTAACTGTAGAAGAAATGATAGCATAGAAAATGACCATCTTACAACCATCAGTAATACGTAATTCAGGCAAGGATAATCAAAAGATGTTAAAACAATTTGGTGAAATTTTGTGGGGAATCAGGATTCATGCAATATCAAAGCATCAACCCTTAGATTACATAACGTATGATGGAGAAATCTGGTATGTACCACTTTAACTGAGTGATCAAACTTAACATCAGGAATAATTACTGCCTTTATGTACCTCCAGAAGGGACTCTTTGAGAAAAACATATTACATATATAATATTCTTACCAAAAATGCTTAACTTTAATCTAATTATGAGGAAACAACCAGAGGAACCTAAATCACAGAACATTCTATAAAATGACTAACCTTGGATTTCTTAAAAATTCTGAATATCATGAAAGAAACAAAAAAGCAGGTGAACTGTTCAAGATTAGAGGAGAATAAACCCAATGTATGATTACGGATTGGATCCTGTATTTTTAAAAATTGGTATATAGTATCAGGGAAAACTGGGGAAATCTGTCAATTCCCCCTCCCCATCTGTCTGTTTTATTTTATTTTATTTTATTTTATTTATTTTTCTTTAAGTTCTGGGATACATGTGCAGAATGTGCAGGCTTGTCACATAGGTATACACGTGCCATGGTGGTTTGCTGCACCTATCAACCCATCATCTAGGTTTTAAGCCTGCGTGCATTAGGTATTTGTCCTAATGCTCTTCCTCCCCTTGCCTCCCACCCCCCCAACAGACCCTAGTGTGTCATGTTCCTCTCCCTGTGTCCATGTGTTCTCATTGTTCAGCTCCCACTTATGAGTGAGAACATGCAGTGTTTGGTTTTCTGTTCCTGTATTAGTTTGCTGAGAATGATGGCTTCCAGCTTAATCCATGTCCCTGCAAAGGACATGAACTCATTCTTTCTTATGGCTGCATAGTATTCCACAGTGTACATGTGTCACATTTTCTTTATCCTGTCTATCATTGGTGGGCATTTGGGTTGGTTCCAAGTCTTTGCTATTGTAAATAGTGTCACAATAAACATACATGTACATGTGTCTTTATAGTAGAATGATTTATAATCCTTTGGGTATATACCCAGTAATAGGATTGCTGGGTCAAATGGTATTTCTGGTTCTAGGTCCTTGAGGAATGGCCACATTGTCTTCCACAATGGTTGAACTAATTTACACTCCCACCAACCGTGTAAAAGCGTTCCTATTTCTCCACAGCCTCTCCAGCATCTGTTGTTTCCTGACTTTTTAATAATCACCATTCTAACTGGTGTGAGATGGTATCTCATTGTGGTTTTGATTTGCATTTCTCTAATGACAGTGTTGATAAAGTTTTTTTTTATATGTTTGTTGGCCACATACATGTCTTCTTTTGAGAAGTGTCTGTTCATATCCTTCACCCACTTTTTGATGGTTTTTTTTTTTTTTTTTTTACTGTAAGTGTGTTTAAGTTTCTTCTAGATTCTGGATATTAGACCTTTGTCAGATGGGTAGATTGCAAACATTTTCTCCCGTTCTGTGGGTTGCCTGTTCACTCTGATGATAGTTTCTTTTGCTGTACAGAAGCTCTGTAGGTTTAATTAGATCCCATTTGTCAATTTTGGTTTTTGTTGCAATGGATTTTGGTGTTTTAGTCATGAAGTCTTTGCCCATACCTACGTCCTGAATGGCATTGGCTAGGTTTTCTTCTAGAGTTTTTATGGTTTTGGGTTTTGGGTTTTACATTTAAGTCTTTAATTCATCTTGAGTTAATTTTTGTCTAAGGGATAAGGAAGGGGTTCAGTTTCAGTTTTCTGCATATGGCTAGCCAGTTTTTGCAGCATCATTTATTAAATAGGGAATCCTTTCCCCATTGCTTGTTTCTGTCAGGTTTGTCAAAGATCAGATGGTTGTAGATTTGTGACATTATTTTTGAGGTCTCTGTTCTGTTCTATCATCCTATGTATCTGTTTTGGAACCAGTACCATGCTGTTTTGGTTACTGTAGCCTTGTAGTATAGTTTGAAGTCAGGTAGCGTGATGCCTCCAGCTTTATTTTTTTTGCTTAGGATTGTCTTGGGTATATGGGCTCTTTTTTGGTCCATATGAACTTTAAGGCAATTTTTTCTAATTCTACAAAGAAAGTCAATGGTGGCTTGATGGGAATAGCATTGAATCTACAGATTACTTTGGGCAGTATGGCAATTTTCACAATATTGATTCTTCCTATCCATGAACATGGAATTTTTTTTTTACATTTGTTTGCATATTCTCTTATTTCCTTGAGCAGTGGTTTGTAGTTCTCCTTGAAGAGGTCCTTCACATCCCTTGTAAGTTGGATTCCTAGGTATTTATTCTCTTTGTACCAATTGTGAATAGGGGTTCACTCATGATTTGGCTGTCTGCTTGTCTATTGTTGGTGTATAGGAATGCTGGTGATTTTTGCACATTGATTTCGTATCCTGAGACTTTGCTGAAGTTGCTTATCAGCTTAAGGAGTTTTTGGGCTGAGATTATGGGATTTTCTAAATATACAATAATGTCATCTGAAAACAGACAATTTGACTTCCTCTCTTCCTATTTGAATACCTTTTATTTCTTTCTCTTGCCTGATTGCCCTGGCCAGAACTTCCAACACTATGTTGAATAGGAGTGGTGAGAGAGGGCATCCTTGTCTTGTGCCGGTTTTCAAAGGGAATGCATCCAGTTTTTGCCCATTCAGTGTGATACTGGCTATGGGTTTGTCATAAATAGCTCTTATTATTTTGAGATATGTTCCATCAACACCTAGTGTATTTTAACATGAAGGGATGTTGAATTTTATCAAAGGTCATTTCTGCAACTATTGAGATAATCGTGTGGTTTTTGTCATTGATTCTGTTTATGTGATGGACTATGTTTATTGATTTGCATATGTTGAACCCAGCTTTGCATCCCAGGGATGAAGCCGACTTGATTGTGGTAGATAAGCTTTTTGATGTACCACTGGATTCAGTTTGTCAGTATTGAGGATTTTCGCATTGATGTTCATCAGGGATATTGGTTTGAAATTTTTTTTTGTTGTATCTCTGCCAGGTTTTGATACCAGGATGATGCTGGCCTCATAAAATAAGTTAAGGAGGAGTCCCTCTTTTTCTATTGTTTGGAATAGTTCCAGAAGGAAAGGTACCAGCTCCTCTTTGTATCTCGGGTACAATTCGGCGTGAATCTGTCTGATCCTGGGCTTTTTTTGGTTGGTGGGCTATTACTACCTCAATGTCAGAAATTGTTATTGGTCTATTCAGGGGTTCGACTTCTTCCTGGTTTAGTCTTGGGAGGGTGTACATGTCCAGGAATTTATCCATTTCTTCTAGATTTTCTAGCTTATTTGTGTAGAGGTGTTTATAGTATTCGCTGATGGTTATTTGTATTTCTGTGGAATCAGTGGTGATATCCCCTTCATCGTTTTGTATTGTGTCTATTTGATTCTTCTCTCTTTTCTTCTTTATTAGTCTAGCTAGTGGTCTATCTATTTTGTTAATTTTTTTCAAAATACCAGCACCTGGATTCAATTATTTTTTGAAGGGTTTTTTGTGTCTCTCTCTCCTTCAGTTCTGCTCTGATCTTAGCTATTTCTTGTCTTCTGCTAGCTTTTGAATGTGTTTGCTCTTGCCTCTCTAGTTCTTTTAATTGTGATGTTAGGGTGTCTATTTCAGATCTTTCCAGCTTTCTGATGTGGGCATTTAGTGCTATCAGTTTCCCTCTTAACTCTGCTTTAGCTATGTCCCAGAGATTCTGGTATATTGTCTCTTTGTTCTCATTGGTTTCAAAGAAGTTCTTTATTTCTGCCTTAAGTTTGTTATTTACCCAGGAGTCATTCAGGAGCAGGTTGATCAATTTCCATGTAGTTGTGTGGTTTTGAGTGAGTTTCTAATCCTAAGTTCTAATTTGATTGCACTGTGATGTGAGAGACTGTTTGTTATGATTTCCATTCTTTTACATTTGCTGAGCGTTTTACTTCCAATTATGTGGTCAATTTTAGAATAAGTACCATGTGGCACTGAGAAGAATGTATATTCTGTTGATGTGGGGTAGAGAGTGCTGTAGATGTCTATTAGGTCTACTTGACCCAAAGCTGAGTTCATGTACTGAATATCCTTGCTAATTTTTTGTCCTGTTGATTTGTCTAATATTGACAATGGGGTGTTAAAGTCTCCCACTATTATTGTGTGGGAGTCTTAAGTCTCTTTGTAGGTCTCTAAGAACTTGCTTTATGAATCTGGGTGCTTCTGTATTGGGTCCATTTATATTTAGGATAGTTAGCTTTTCTTGTTGCACTGATCCCTTTACCATCATGTAATGCCCTTCTTTGTGTTTTTTTTTATCTTTGTTGGCTTAAAGTCTGTTTTATCAGAGACTAGGATTGCAACCCCTGCTTTTTTTTCCTTTTCATTTGCTTGGTAAATATTCCCTTATGCCTTTATTTTGAGCCTTTGTGTCTCTCTGCCTGTGAGGTGGGTCTCCTGAACATAGCACACCAATGGGTTTTGACTCTTTATCCAGCTTGGCAGTCTGTGTCTTTTAATTGGGGTATTTAGCCCATTTGCATTTAAGGTTAATATTGTTATGTGTGTATGTGTGAGTTTGATCCTGTCATCATGATGCTATCTGGTTATTTTGCAAACTTATTTATGTGGTTGCTTCATAGTGTCGATGGTCTTTACAATTTGGTATGTTTTTGCAGTGGCTGGTACTGATTGTTCCTTTCCATGTTTAGTGCTTCCTTTGGGAGCTCTTGTAAGGCAGGCCTGATGGTGACAGAATCCCTCAGAATTTGCTTGTTTGTAAAGGGTTTTATTTCTCCTTCACTTATGAAGCTTAGTTTGGCTGGATATGAAATTCTGGGTTGATAATTCTTTTCTTTAAGAATGTTGAATATTGGCCCCCACTCTCTTCTGGCTTGTAGGGTTTCTGCTGAGAGGTCTGCTGTTAATCTGATGGGCTTCCCTTTGTAGGTAACCTGACCTTTCTCTCTGGTTGCCCTTAACAATTTTTCCTTTGTGTCAATCTTGGAGAATCTGATGCTTATGTTTCCTGGGGTTTGGAGTATCTTAGTGGTGTTCTCTATATTTCCTGAATTTGAATGTCAGCCTGTATTGCTAGGTTGGGGTAGTTCTCCTGGATAATATCCTGAAGTGTGTTTTCCAACTTGGTTCCATTCTCCCTGTCACTCTCAGGTACACCAATCAATTGTAAGTTTGGTCTTTTTACATAGTCTCACATTTCTTGGAGGCTTTGTTTGTTCCCTTTCATTCTTCTCCAATCTTGTCTTTATGCCTTATTTCAGCAAGTTGATCTTTAATCTTCGATACTTTTGTTCCGCTTGATCAATTCAGCTATTGATACTTGTGTATGCTTCACAAAGTTCTTGTGCTGTGATTTTCACCTCCATCAGTTCATTTATGTTCCTCTGTAAACTCTAGTTATTCTAGTTAGCAGTTCCCGTAACCTTTTGTCAAGGTTCTTAGCTTTCTTGCCTTGGGTTAGAAGATGCTCCTTTAGCTCACAGGAGTTTGTTATTACCTGCCTTCTGAAGCCTACTTCTGTCAATTCATCAATCTCATCTCTGTCCAGTTTTGTGCCCTTGCTGGAGAGGAGTTGCCATCATTTGGAAGAGAAGAGGCATTCTGGTTTTTGGAATTTTGAGTGTTTTTACGCTGGTTTTTCCTCATCTTCATGGATATATCTATCTTTGATCTTTGAGGTTGGTGACCTTTGGATGGGGTTTCTGTGTGGGTTTTTTGGTTGTTGTTGTGTTCTGTTAGTTTGTTTTTTTTCTAACAGTCAGGTTCCTCTTCTGCATGTCTGCTGCATTTTGCTGGAGGTTCACTCCAGACCGTGTTCACCTGGGTATCACCAGTGGAGGATGCAGAATAGCAAAGATTGCTGCCTGCTCCTTCCTCTGGAAGCTTCGTCCCAGAAGCCTGATGCCAGCTGGAGCTCTCTTGTATGAGGTTTCTGTCGATCCCTGTTGGGAGGTGTCTCCCAGTGAGGAGGCATGGGGGTCAGGGACCCACTTGAGGAGGCAGTCTGTCCCTTTGTAGAGCTGGTGCACTTTGCTGGGAGAATCGCCCTTGTAAGGATCAGCTGCTCTCTTCAGAGCTGGCAGGCAGAAAAGATTAAGTCCGCTGAAGCTGCGCCCACAGACGGCCCTCCCCACAGGTGCTCTGTCCCATGAAGATGACAGTTTTATCTGTAAGCCTCTGACTGGGGCTGCTCCATTTTCTTCAGAGATGCCCTGCCCGGTGAGGAGCAATCGAGAGAAGCAGTCTGGCCACAGCCGCTTTGCCACACTGTGGTAAATTCTGCCCAGTCCTAACCTCCTAGTCTCCTTAGCACTGTCAGGGGAAAACCACCTACTAAAGCCTCAGTAATGGTGGATGCCCCTCCCCACTCCAAGCTGCATCATCCCACGTCAACTCCAGACTTCTGTGCTGGCAGTGAGAATTTCAAGCCAGTGGTTCTTAGCTTGCTGGGCTCCATGGGAGTGGGACCCGCTGAGTGAGACCACTTGGCTCCCTGGCTTCAGCCTCCTATCCAGGGGAGTGAATGGTTCTGTCTTGCCAGGGTTCCAGGCACCACTGGGGTATGAAAAAAAAAAATCTCCTGCAGTTTGGTGCCTGCTCAGCCACCCAGTTTTGTGCTTGAAACCCGGGGCCCTGGTGGTGTAGGCTCATGAGGGAATCTACTGATCTGCAGATTGCAAAAACCATTAGAAAAGCATAGTACCCAGGCTGGGTAGCACAGTCCCTCACAGCTTCCGTTGGCTGGGGGAGGGAGGTCCCTTGCACTTCCTACGTGAAGTGACGCCCCATCTTGCTTCTGTTCACTCTCTGTGGGTTGCACCCACTGCCTATCCAGTCCCACTGAGATGAACTGGGTACCTCAGTTGGAAATGCAGAAATCACCCACCTTCTGAGTTGGTCTCGCTGGGAGCTGCAAACCGGAGCTGTTTCTATTCAGCCACCTTGGCCCCTCCCCTCCCATCCATTTAAAAAAACTGTGACAATTGCTATTGTAGTTAATAAAGAATAATGTCTTTTTTTTTTTCCTGAAGAGATCCACTCCGAACTATATTTAGAAATGAAATCATGATGTCTACCTCACTTTTATTTTAATTCATTTATTTAATTTTTAAAAATAATTTCAACTTTTATTTTAGATCCAGAGGGTACATGTGCAGGTTTATGGTACATTGCATAATGCTGAGGGTTGGGGTACAAATGATCCCACCACTTAGATAGTGAGCATAGTACCCAATAGGTAGTTTTTCAGACCCTTTCCTCTCTTTCCCACAGCTCCAGTAGTCTCTAGTCTATTTTTCCTATCTTTATTTTTCTATAGTCTAGTCTATTTTTCCTATCTTTTATTTTTCTATAGTCTCTAGTCTATTTTTCCTATCTTTATGTCCATGTGTACCCAGTGTTTAATTCTCACAAGTGAGAACATGTGGCATTTGGTTTTTTGTTCCTGCATTAATTTGCTTAGGATAATGGCCTCTAGCTGCATCCATGTTGCTGTAAAGGACGTGATTACATTCTTTTATATGGTTGTATAGTATTCCATGGTATATATGTACCACATTTTCTTTATCAGATCCACTGTTGATAGGCACCTAGGTTGATTCCGTGTCTTTGCTATTGGGAATAGTGCTGCAATGAACATATGAGTGCATGTGTCTTTTTGACAGAGTGATTTAGTTTCCTTTGGATATATACCCAGTAATAAAATTGCTGGGTCCAGTGGTAGTTCTGTTTTAGGCTCTTTGAGAAATCTCCAAACTGCTTTCCACAATGGCTAACATACTTTAGATTCTCACCAGCAGTGTATAAGCATTCCCTGTTCTTTGCAGCCTTGGGAGCACCCATCTATCTTTCTGACTGGTGTGAGATAGCATCTCATTGTGGTTTTTATTTGTATTTCTCTGATGATCAGTGATGTCAAGCATTTTCTCATATGTTTGTTGGCTACTTATATGTCTTTGAGAAGTGTCTGCTCATGTCCTTTGCCTACTTTTTAATGGGTTTTTTTTTTTTTTTTTGCTTGTAAATTTAAGTTCTGGATATTTGACCTTTGTCAGACCATAGCTTATGAATATTTTCTCTCATTTTGTAGGTTGTCTGTTTACTCTGTTGATAGCTTCTTTTGCTATGCAGAAGCTCTTTGGTATAATTAGGTTTCATTTGTCAATATTTGTTTTTGTTGCAATTACTTTTGAGGACTTAGTCATGAATTCTTTGCCCAGGCTTATTTCCAGAATGTTATTTCCTAGTTTTTCTTCTAGAATAAGTATACTTTGAGGTTTTACATTTAAATCTTCCCAACACTGCGAATTTTGTATATGATTAAAGGTAGGGGTCCAGTTTCATTTTGCTGCATATGGCTAGCCAGCTAATCCAGCACCAGTTATTGAACAGTGACTCATTTCCCCATTGCTTATTTTTGTCAACTTTGTTGAAGATCAGATGGTTTAAAGTGTGTGGCTTTATTTCTGGGTTCTCTATTCTGTTCCATTAGTCTGTGTTTGTTTTTGTACCAGTACCATGCTGTTTTGGTTACTGTAGCTTTATAGTTTGAAGATGAGTAATGTGATCCTCTGCCTTTGTTCTTTTGGCTTAGGCTTGCTTTGGCTATTTGGGCTCTTTTTTCGTTCAATCTGAATTTTAGAATAGTTTTTTTTTTTCTAATTCTGCGAATAGTGGCATTGATAGATTGATAGAAATAGCATTAAATTTGTAGATTGCTTTGGGCAACATAACCATTTAAATGATACTAATTCTTTCAAACCATGAGTATGAAATGTTTTTCCATTTGTTTGTGTCATCTGTGATTTCTTTCTGCAGTGTTTTGTAGTTATCCTTGTAGAGATCTTTCACCTCCTTGTATACCTTACCTTTAAACAAGAGAGAGTGCGTGAGAGTGTGTGTTTTCCAATGCACAAATGGAGAGGGAAGGCAGGGAGGTGAAAACATGTGATAAAATGTTTACTAGTAAACTTAAGTGATAAATGAATGTTCATTTACAACATTTTAATAATTTTTATGATAAAATTGAGGGAAACTGTAGTTTAAAAAATATCTTAAAATGCCATCAGTAACCTTTAGTAGGAGAAAGTCTATTGATATAATACATTATTATTACCAAGTGCCATCGTTGGCATACTTTGTTCACAATATCAGCTTTGTGTACTTCTTACAATAATAAAATCTCCTGGATTAATTTTTCTTAAATGCCTTGACAACTGGAGACAAGGAAGCTTCTTACCAGTTGTAGTAGTCCCAAAATTGCCATAAATCTCAGCATTCAGTTTCCTTAGCCTAGATCCACACCTAACTGGAGTTGAAAGAACAGATGTAATCATTTCTATATTTATGGGTAATCAATTAAACCACAAATCAATCTGCCCCCATGATTCAATCACTTCCCATGAGACCCCTCTTCCAACACTGGGAGTTACAATTTGACAGATTTTGGTGGGAACACAGAGCCAAAGGATAGCAACACATATTTTAAAGAAACAATTTTAACTTTTTTGGGTGGGTGGGCCAAGATGGTTGATTAGACGCAGCTGCAGTCTGCAGCTCTCACAAAGTGAAATAAAAACAGCAAGTGAATTATGCACCTTCAACTGAGGAATCCAGGTTCTTGCATTGGGACTGACTAGGTGGACAGCTCAACCCATGGAGAGCAAGGAAAAGCAGGGTGGGGAGATATCCCATCTGGGAGAGGCACAGAGCCAGGGGAGCCCACATTCCCAGCCAAGGGAGGTGATGACTGACTGTGCGACCCCACCTGGGAAAGCATGCTTTTCCCATGGATCTTTGCAATCCATAGATCAGGAGATCCCCTTGTGAGCCCACCCCTCCAGGGCCTCTGGTCCAAAGCACAGAGTGTGTGGTCTTGGCGAAGTGGCTGCTTGGGCACACACAGAGACCCAGGAGCTTTGCATACTCTGGTCTTGGGAATTCTGGCAAGGTGGGAGATCCATTTCCTAGGAAGGGGGCTGAATCCAGGGAGCCAAGTGGTGTCATTATGCAGGCCTCACTCCCATGGCACCTCACAAGTTAAGACCCACTGGCTTGGAATTCCAGCTGGCCAGCAGCAGCAGGCTGGAGACTGCCTGAGGCGGATCTCTGCGGTTTGAGTTGGCAGTTCTTGCCGGCTGGCTGTGGGGAGTCCAAGTGGTCCAGACTGGGAGGAGTTCCCCACAACATAGTACCGCTACTGTGCCAGATCATGGCAAAACTGCTTCCTCAAGTGGGTGGGACTCCAACCCATCCCTCCTTACCAGGCAGGGCCTCCCTGTGGGAATTTTAGCAACTCCAGCCAGAGTTACATGGATGGAACTCTGATCTCTCCCTGGGACAGAGCCCCTGCAAGGAGGGGCAGCCACTATCACTACAGTTCAGTTGACTTAGTCTTTCCAGCCTGCACTCTGGAGAACCTGGGGGGTCTGGATGAGGCAGGGATCCCCCCCAGAGCATCTGTTCTGCCAAGGGGCAGCCAGACTGCTTTTTAAAGCAGGTCCCTGATCCCGTTACTCCTGACTGGGTGAGACCTCCCAACAGGAGTCTCCAGATACCTTCTACAGGAGTGTTCAGGCTGGCATTGGGCTGTTGCCTTACTGGGGTGGAGCTGCCAGAGGAAGGAGCAAACTGCCATCTTTGCTGTTTTGCAGCCTTCGCTGGTGCACAACTCCAGGTGTGGGAGGAACTGAGGCAACAATAAGCTGGAGTGGATCCCCAGCAAACAACAGCAGCCCTATGGAAAAGTGGCCTGACTGTTAAAAGGGGGGAAAACAACAACATCAACAAAAAGAGACCTCATTAAAACCCCATTCAAAGGTTAGCAACCTCAAATATCGAAAGTAGGTAAGCCCACAAAGATGAGAAAGAATCAAAGCAAAACCCCTGAAAACTAAGAAAGCCAGAGTGCCTCTTCTCCTCCAAGTGACCACAGCACCTCTCCAGCAAGGGCACAGAACTGGGTTGAGGCTGAGATGGTTGAATTGGCAGGAGTAGGATTCAGAAGGTGGGTAATAACAAATTTCACTGAGCCAAAGGAGAATGTTCTAACCCATTGCAAAGAAGCTAAGAATCATGATAAAACAATACAGGAGCTGATAAGCAGAATAGCCAGTTTAGAGAGGAACATAACTGACCTGATGGAGCTGAAAAACACACATGAAAACCTCACAATGCAATCACAAGTATCAATAGTAGAATAGACCAAGTGGAGGAAAAAATCTGAGCTTCAAGACTGTCTTTCTGAAATAAGACGGACAGACAAGAATAGAGAAAAAATAATCAAAAGGAATGAAAAAAACCTCCAAGAACTATGGGATTATGTAAAAAGACCAAGACTATGACTGATTGGGCTACCTAAGGAGGTGGGAAAACAGAACTAAGTTAGAAAACATACTTTAGGATATCATCCAGGAGAACTTCCCCAACCTAGCAAGATAGTCCAAAATTCAAATGCAGTAGCTTCAGAGAACTCCTGTAAGGGGTTCCTCTCCATGAGAAAATCAACCCCAAGACACATAATCATCAGAACCTCCAAGGTTGAAATGGAAGAAAAAATGTTAAGGGCAGCCAGAGAGAAAGGTCAGGTCACCTACAAAGGGAAGCCCATCAGACTAACAGCAGACCTCTCAGCAGAAACCCTACAAGCCAGGAGTTTGGAGGCCAATAGTCAACATTCTTTAAAAAAAGAATTTCCAACCCAGAATTTCATATCTGGCCAAACTAAGCTTCATAAGTGTAGGAGAAATAAGATCCTTTTCAGACAAGCAAATGCTGAGGGAATTCATCACCACCAGGCCTGCCTTGCAAAAGCCCCTGACAAAAGCACTAAATATGGAAAAGAAAAACTGTTACCAGCAACTACAAAAACCCCCTGAAGTATATAGACCAGTGACACTATGAAGCAACCACATAAACAAGTCTGCAAAATAACCATCTAGCATCATGATGACAGGATCAGATTCATACATAACAATATTAACCTTAAATGCAAATGGAGTAAATGCCCCAACTAAAAGACACAGAATGGCAAGCTGGATAAAGAGTCAAGACCCATTGGTATGCTGTCTTCAAGAGACCCATCTTACATGCAAAGACATACATAGGCTGAAAATAAAGGAATGGAGGAAAATTTACCAAGCACATGGAAAACGGAAGAGAGCAGGGGTCTTAGTTTCTGACAAAACAGACTTTAAACCAACAAAGATCAAAAAAGACAAGGGCATTTACATAATGGTAAAGGCTTCAGTGCAATGAGAAGAGCTAACTCTCCTAAATATATATGGACCCAATATAGGAGCACCCAAATTCATAAAGCAAGTTCTTAGAGACTTACAAAGAGACTTAGACTCCCACACAATAATAGTGGGAGACTTTAACACTCCACTTACCATATTAGATCATGAAAACAGAAAATTGACAAAGATATTCAGGACCTGAACTCAGCTCTGGATCAAGCCGACCTGATAGATATCTACAGGACTCTTCACCAAAAAGCAAAAGAATATACATTATTTTCATTGTCACATGGCACTTACCCTAAAACTGATCACATAATTGGAAGTAAAACACTCCTCAGCAAATGCAAAAGAATGGAAATCATAACAAACAGTCTCTTAGACCACAGTGCAATCAAATTAGAATGCAAGTTGAAGAAAGTGACTCAAAACCACACAACTACATGGAAGTTGGACAACCCGCTCCTGAATGACTTCTGGGTAAATAATGAAATTAAGGCAGAAATCAAGTAGTACCCTGAAACTAATGAGAACAAAGAGACAGCATATCAGAATCTCTGCGATGCAGTTAAGGCAGTGTTGAGAGGGAAATTTATAGCACTACATGTCCACATCAAAAAGCTAGAAAGATGTGAAATCAACAACCTAACATCATAACTAAAGTAACTAAACCAAGAGCAAACACCAAAGCTAGCAGAAGACAAGAAATAACCAAGATCAGAGCAACCCACACAAAAAGACAACCTTACACAGAAAGAACTGAAGGAGACAGAGACACGAAAAACTCTTCAAAAAAATCAACAAATCCAAGAGCCAGTTTTTTGAAAAAAATAACGAAATAGATGGCTAGCTAGACTAATAGAAGAATCAAATAGACACAATCAGAAATGACAAGGGGATATCACCACTGACTCCAAAGAAATACAAATAACCATCAGAAAAATACTATAAACACTTCTATGCAAATAAACTGGAAAATCTAGAAGAAATGGATAGATTGCTGGACACATACACCCTCCCAAGATTGAACCAGGAAGGAATTGAATCCCTGAATAGACCAATAACAAGTTCTGAAATTGAGGCAGTAATAAATAGCCTATCAAGCAAAAAAAGCCCAGGACCAAATGGATTTACAGCTGAATTCTATCAGAGGTACAAAGAAGAGTTGGTATGATTTCCACTGAAACTATTCCAAGCAATTGAAAAAAAGGAACTGCTCCCTAACTCATTTTATGAAGCCAGCATCATCCTGATACCAAAACCTGGCAGAGATACTACAAAAAAAGAAAACTTCCGGCCAAGATCCCTGATGAACGTCAATGCAAAAATCCTCAATAAAATGCTAGGAAACCAAATTCAGCAGCAATCAAAAAGCTTGTCCACCGCGATCAAGTTGGCTTCATCCCTGGGTTGCAAAGCTGGTTCAACATATATGCAAGTCAATAAATGTAATTTATCACAGAAACAGACTAAACATAACATCACATAAACAGAACTAAAGACAAAAACCACATGATTATCTCAATAGACACAGAAAAGGCCTTGGATAAAATTAAACATCCCTTCATGTTAAAAACTCTCAATAAACTAGGTGTTGAAGGAACATACCTCAAAATAATAGCCACACATGACAAACCCACAGCCAATATCATACTGAATGGGCAAAAACTGGAAGCATTCCCCTTGAAATCCAGCACAAGACAAGGATGCCCTTTCTCCCCACTCCTATTCAAGATAGGAAGTTAAATTATCTTTGTTTGCAGATGACATGATCCTGTATCTACAAAACCCCATCATCTCAGTGCAAAAGCTTCTTAAGTTAATAAGCAACTTCAGCAAAGTCTCAGGATACAAAATCAATGCACAGAATTTGCCAGCATTCCTATACACCAACAAAAGGTGAGCAGATAGCCAAATCAGAAATGAACTCCCATTTGCAATTGCTATAAAGAGATTAAAATACCTAGGAATACAGCTAACGGGAAGTGAAGGATCTCTTCAAGAACTACCAACAATTGCTCAAGGACATTCAGAGAAGACACAAACAAATAAAAAAAATATTTCATGCTTGTGAGTAGGATGAATCAATATTGTGAAAATGGCCATATTGCCCAGAGTATTTTATAGATTCAATGCTATTCCCATTAAACTACTATTGCCATTCTTCACAAAATTAGGAAAAACTATTTTATATTTCAAATGGAACCAAAAAAAAAGAGCTTGGAAAGCCAAGACAACCCTATGCAAAAAGAACAAAGCTGAAGGCATCATGTTACCTGACTTCAAATTATACTACAAGGCTACAGTAACCCAAACATCATGGTACCAGTATAAAAAAATGACACATAGAAATGAAACAATGAAACAGAATAGAGAACTCAGAAATAAGACCACACACCTACAACTATCTGATTTTTTACAAACCTGACAAAAACAAGCAATAGAGGAAGGATTACCTATTTAATAAGTGATACTGGGAGAACTGGCTAGCCATATGCAGAAAAAATTAACTCAAGATTGATTAAGGACAAATATAAAACCCCAAACTACTAAAACCTTGGAAGAAAATCTAGGTAATACCATTCAGGACATAGGCAGGGGCAAAGATTTCATGATAAAATGCCAAAAGCAATTGCAACTAAAGCAAAAATTGACAAATGGGATCTAATTAAACAAAACAGCTTCTGGACAGCAAAAGAAACTATCATCAGAGTGAACAGACAACCTGCAGAATGGGAGAAAAATTTTGCAATCTATCCATCTGACAAAGGTCTAATATCCAGAGTCTATAAGAAACTTAAACAAATTTACAAGTGAAAAACAACCCCATTAAAGTGGGCTAAGGACATAAACAGACACTTCTCAAAAGAAGACATAAATGCGGCCAACAGACGTAGAGGAAGAAAAGGTTAACATCACTAATTATTAGAGAATGCAAATCAAAGTCACAATGAGATACTATTTCACGCCAGTCAGAATGGTGATTATTAAAAAGTCAAGAAACAACAGATGCTGGCAAGGTTGCAGAGAAAAAGAAATGCTTTCACGCTATTGGCGGGAGTTTAAATTAGTTCAACCATCGTGGAAGGCAGTGTGATGATTCCTTAAAGATCTAGGAGCAGAAATACCATTTGATCCAGAAATCCCATTAATGGCTATACACCCAAAGGAATAGAAATCATTCTGTTATAAAGATAAATGCATGTGTATGTTTATTGCAGCACTACTCACAACAGCAAAGACATGGAATGAACCAAAATGCTCATCAAGGATAGACTGAGTAAAGAAAATCTGGTACATATACACCATGGAATACTATGCAGCCATAAAAAGGAATGAGATAATGTCCTTTGCTAGGACATGGAAGAAGCTGGAAGCTGTATCCTCAGCAAACTAACACAAGAACAGAAAACCAAACACCACATGTTCTCATTTTTAAGTGGGAACTGAATGATATGGACACATGGTCAGTGAACAACACACACTGGGGCTTGTCAATGGGGGCAGGAGGAGGGAGCACATGAGGAAGAATAGCTAATGGATGCTGGGCTTAATACCTAGGTTATGGGTAGATCTGTGCAGCAAACCACCACGGCACACATTTCCCTGTGTAACAAACATGCACATCCTGCACATGTACCCTGGAACTTAAAGTTGAAAAAAAATAATTCTAAATATAATTAACAATACAAAGCAGTATACACCAAGCACCAAACAAATTGTTCTGTTAGTTCTGTAAGAATAGTTTGAAAGGGCTGGATTACTTCTACTTCTTGGTTGTATGCTACTATAAGCAGGTTGTTATTGAAATTTAAACTCATTCTCTTTGAAATATTTGTGGAATGACTACTTTTTTTTTACTAAAACAACACAAATTTATTGCTCACAGATTTAGAGGCTGGGAAGGCCAATATCAAGGTGCCAACTGATTTAGGTTCTAATCAGGGCTGTCCTCCAAGCTTACAGAAAGTTATGTCCTCACATGGTGAATAGAAAGAATGATCTCTCCTCCTCCTCTTATAAAGCCAATGTCCTATCAGATTAGGGCCCCAACTTCATTACTGCATTTAACCTTTTTATTTAGCTTTTAAGATATTTTTAGGCAGATGCAGTTTCAAGATAGCCAAATAGGAACAGCTGCAGTCTGTAGCTCCCAGCATGATCAGTGCAGAAGATGGGTGATTTCTGCATTTCCAACTAAGGTACTGGTTCATCTCACTGGGACTGGTTGGACAGTGGGTGCAGACCATGGAGGTTGAGCTGAAGCAGGGCAGGGCGTCGCCTTACCCAGGAAGCACAAAGGGTCAGAGGATTTCCCTTTCCTAGCCAAGGGAAGCCATGACAGACTGTACTGGAAAAAAGGACCTAAATACTGGGCTTTTCCAATGGTCTTAGCAAATGGCACACCAGGAGATTATATCCCATGCCTGGCTCAGCGGGTCCCATGCCCATGGAGCCTTGGTCACTGCTAGTGCAGCAGTCTGAGATTGAACTGCGAGGTGGCAGCCTGGCTGGGGGAGAGGCAACCACCATTGCTGAGGCTTGAGTAGGTAAACAAAGTGGCCAGGATGCTCGAACTGTGTGGAGCCCACTGCAGCTGAACGAGGCCCACTTGCCTCTGTAGACTCTACCTCTGGGGGCAGGGCAAAGCTGAACAAAAGGCAGCAGAAACTTCTGCAGACTTAAACGTCCCTGTCTGACAGCTCTGAAGAGAGCAGTGGTTCTCCCAGCATGGAGTTTGAGCTCTGAGAACAGACAGACTGCCTCAAGTGGGTCCCTGACTCCCGTGTAGCCTAACTGGGAGACACGTCCCAGTAGGGGCTGACTGACACCTCATACAGCTTGGTGCCCCTCTGAGATGAAGCTTCCAGAGGAAGAATCAGGCAGCAATATTTGCTGTTTTGCAGCCTCTGCTGGTGTTACCCAGGCAAACAGGATCTGGAGTGGACCTCAAGCAAACTCCAATGGACCTGCAGCTGAGGGACCTGACTGTTAGAAGGAAAGCTAACAAACAGAAAGGAATAGCATCAACATCAGCAAAAGGGACATCCACACCAAAACCCCATCTGTAGGTCACCATCATCAAAGACCAAAGGTAGATTAAACCACAAAGATGGGGAGAAACCAGAGCAGAAAAGCTGAAAATTCTAAAAACCAGAGTGCCTCTTCTTCTCAAAAGGATCACAGCTACTCGCCAGCAATGGAACAAAGCTGGATGGAGAATGACTTTAACGAATTGACAGAAGCAGGCTTCAGAAGGTAGGTAATAACAAACTTCTCCGAGCTAAAGGAGATGTTTGAACCCATAGCAAGGAGGCTAAAAACCTTGAAAAAAGATTAGATGAATGGCTAACTAGAATAAACAGTGTAGAGAAGACTGTAAATAAATGGATGGAGCTGAAAACTATGGCACGAGAACTACATGATGCATGCACAAGTTTCAGTAACCAATTACATCACGTGGAAGAAAGGGTATCAGTGATTGAAGATCAAATTAATGAAATGAAATGAGAAGAGAAGTTTAGAGAAAAAAGAGGAAAAAGAAATGAACAAAGCCTCCAAGAAAGATGGAACTATATGAAAAAGCCAAATCTATGTTTGACTGGTGTACCTGAAAGTGATGGGGAGAATGGAACCAAGCTGGAAAACACTCTTCAGGATATTATCCAGGAGAACTTCCCCAACCTAGCAAGGCAGGCCAACATTCAAATTCAGGAAATACAGAGAACACCAAGATACTCCTCGAGAAGAGCAACCACAAGACACGTAATTGTCAGATTAACCAAGGTTGAAATGTAGGAAAAAATGTTAAGTGCTGCCAGAGAGAAAGGTTGGGTTACACACAAAGGGAAGCCCATCAGACTAACAGTGGATCTTTCAGCAGAAACCCTACAAGCCAGAAGAGAGTGGGGGCCAATATTCAACATTCTTAAAGAAAAGAATTTTTAACCCAGAATTTCATATCCAGCCAAACTAAGCTTCATAAGTGAAGGAGAAATAAAATCCTTTACAGACAAGCAAATGCTGAGAGATTTTGTCACCAGCAGGCCTGCCTTACAAGAGCTCCTGAAAGAAGCACTAAACGTGGAAAGGAATGACCAGTACCAGCCACTGCAAAAACATGCCAAATTGTAAAGACCATTGATGCTAGGAAGAAACTGCATCAACTAGCAGGCAAAATACCCAGCTAACATCATAATGACAGGACCAAATTCACACATAACAATATTAACCTTAAATATAAATGGGCTAAATACCCCAAATAAAAGACACAGACTGGCAAATTGCATAAAGAGTCAAGACCCATCAGTGTGCTGTATTCAGGTAACCCATCTCACGTGCAGAGACACACATAGACTCAAAATAAAAGGATGGAGGAAGATCTACCAAGCAATTGGAAAGCAAAAAAAAAAGCAGGGGTTGCAATCCTAGTCTCTGATAAAACAGACTTTAAACCAACAAAGATCAAAAGAGACAAAGAAGGCCATTACATAATGGTAAAGGGATCAATTCAACGAGAAGAGCTAACTATCCTAAATATATATGCACACAATACAGGAGCACCCAGATTCATAAAGCAAGTCCTTCGAGACCTACAAAGAGACTTAGACTCCCACATAATAATAATGGGAGACTTTAACACCCCACCATCAACATTAGACAGATCAACAAGACAGAGGGTTAACAAGGATATCCAGGACTTGAACTCAGCTCTGCACCAAGCAGACCTAATAGACATCTACAGAATTCTCCACCCCAAATCAACAGAATATCCATTCTTCCAGCACCACATCGCACTTATTCCAAAATTGACCACATAGTTGGAAGTAAAGCACTCCTCAGCAAACGTAAAGGAATAGAAATCACAGCAAACTGTCTCTCAGACCACAGTACAATCAAATTAGAACTCAGGATTAAAAAATTCACTCAAAACCTCAAAACCAAACAACTACATGGAAACTGAACAACCTGCTCCTGAATGACTACTGGGTACATAACGAAATGAAGGCAGAAATAAAGATGTTCTTTGAAACCAATGAGAACAAAGACACAACATACCAGAATGTCTGGGACACATTCAAAGCAGTGTGTAGAGGGAAATTTACAGCACTAAATGCCCACAAGAGAAAGCAGGAAAGATCTAAAATTGACACCCTCACATCACAATTAAAAGAACTAGAGAAGCCGAAGCAAACAAATTCAAAAGCTAGCAGAAGGCAAAAAATAAGCAGAACTGAAGGAGATAGAGACACAAAAAAAACCTTCAAAAAAATCAATGAATCCCAGGAGCTGGTTTTTTGAAAAGATCAACAAAATTGTGACACCAGTAGCAAGACTAATAAAGAAGAAAAGAGAGAAGAATCAAATAGATGCAATAAAAAATGATAAATTGGATATCACCACTGATCCCACAGAACTACAAACTGCCATGAGAGAATACTATAAACACCTCTCTGCAAATAAACTAGAAAATCTAGAAGAATTGGATAAATTCCGGGACACATACACCCTCCCAAGGCTAAACCAGGAAGAAATTGAATCACTGAATAGACCAATAACAGGCTCTAAAATTGAGACAATAACTAATCGCCTACCAACCAAAACAAGTCCGGGACCAGAGGGATTCATAGCCCAATTCTACAAGAGGTACAAAGAGGAGCTGGTACTATTCCTTCTGAATCTATTCCAATCAATAGAAAAAGTGGGAATCCTCCCTAACTCATTTTATGAGGCCAGCATCATCCTGATACCAAAGCCTGGCAGAGACACAACAAAAAAAAAGAGAATTTTAGACCAGTATCCCTGATGAACATCGATGTGAAAATCCTCAATAAAATACTGGCAAACTGAATCCAGCAGCACATGAAAAACTTATCTACCAAGATCAAGTTGGCTTCATCCCTGGTATGCAAAGCTGGTTCAACATATGCAAATCAATAAATGTAATCCATCACATAAACAGAACCGATGACAAAAACCACATGATTATCTCAATAGATGCAGAAATGACCTTTGACAAAATTCAACAGCCCTTCATGTTAAAAACTCTCAATAAATTAGGTATTGATGGAATGCATCCCAAAATAATAAGAGCTATTTATGACAAACCCACAGCCAATATCCTACTGAATGGGCAAAAACTGGAAGCATTCCCTTTGAAAACTGGCACAAGAGAGGGAGGCCCTCTCTCACCACTCCTATTCAACATAGTGTTGGAAGTTCTGGTCAGGGCAATCAGGCAAGAGAAAGAAATAAAGGGTATTCAATTAGGAAAAGAGGAAGTCAATTTGTCCCTGTTTGCAGATGACATGATTGTATATTTAGAAAACCCCATTGTCTCAGCCCAAAATCTCCTTAAGCTGATAAGCAACTTCAGCAAAGTCTCAGGATACAAAATCAATGTGCAAAAATCACAAGAATTCCTATACACCAATAACAGACAAACAGAGCCAAATCATAAGTGAACTCTCATTCACAGTTGCTACAAAGAGAATAAAATACCTAGGAATCCAACTTACAAGGGATGTGAAGGACCTCTTCAAGAACTACAAACCACTGCTCAATGAAATAAAAGAGGATACAAACAAACGAAAGAACATTCCATGCTCATGGATAGGAAGAATCAATATGGTGAAAACAGCCATACTGCCCAAGGTAATTTATAGATTCAATGCCATTTCTGTGAAGCTACCAATGACTTTCTTCACAGAATTGGAAAAAACTACTTTAAAGTTCATATGGAACCAAAAAAGAGCCCACATTGCCAAGACAATCCTAAGCCAAAAAAACAAAGCTGGAAGCATCACGCTACCTGACTTCAAACTATACTACAAGCCTGCAGTAACCAAAACAGCATTGTACTGGTACCAACACAGAGATATAGACCAATGGAACAGAACAGAGCCTTCAGAAATAACACCATGCATCTACAACCATCTGACCTTTGAAAAACCTGACAAAAACAAGAATTGGGGAAATGATTCCCTATTTAATAAATGGTGCTGGGAAACCTGGCTAGCCATATGTAGAAAGCTGAAACTGGATCCTTTCCTTATACCTTATACAAAAATTAATTCAAGATGGATTAAAGACTTAAATGTTAGACCTAAAACCATAAAAACCCTAGAAGAAAACCTAGGCAATACCATTCAGCACATAGGCATGGCCAAGGACTTCATGACTCAAGCACCAAAAGCAATGGCAACACAAGCCAAAATAGATAAATGGGATCTAATTAAACTAAAGAGCTTCTGCACAGCAAAGGAAACTACCATCAGAGTGAACAGGCAACCTACAGAATGGGAGACAATTTTTGCAATCTACCCATCTGACAAAGGGCTAATATCTAGAATATACAAAGAACTTAAGCAAATTTACAAGAAAAAATCAACCCCATCAAAAAGTGGGTGAAGGATATGAACAGATACTTTTCAAAAGAAGATATTTATGCAGCCAACAGACACATGAAAAAATGCTCATCATCACTGGTCATCAGTGAAATGCAAATCAAAACCACATGAGATACCATCTCACACGAGTTAGAATGACAATTATTAAAAAGTCAGGAAATAACAGGTGCTGGAGAGGATGTGGAGAAATAGGAATGCTCTTACACTATTGGTGGGAGTGTAAACTAGTTCAACCATTGTGGAAGACAGTGTGGCATTTCCTCAAGGATCTAGAACTAGAAATACTATTTGACCCAGCGATCCCATTACTGGGTATATACCCAAAGGATTATAAATCATGCTGCCATAAAGACACATGCACACGTATGTTTATTGCAGCACTGTTCACAATAGCAAAGACTTGGAACCCACCCAAATGTCCATCAATGATAGATTGGATTAAGAAAATGTGGCACATATACACCATGGAATACTATGCAGTCATAAAAACGGATGAGTTCATGTCCTTTGTAGGGACATGGATGTAGCTGGAAACCATCATTCTCAGCAAACTATGACAAGGACAGAAAAACAAACACTGCAAGTTCTCACTCATAGGTGGGAATTGAACAATGAGAACACTTGGACACAGAATGGGGAACATCACACCACTGGGGCCTGTCATGGGGTGGGCCGATGGGGGAGGGATAGCATTAGGAGAAGTACCTAATGTAAATGACGAGTTAATGGGTGCAGCAAACCAACATGGCACATGTATCACATGTATACATAGGTAACAAACCTGCATGTTGTGCACATGTATCCTAGAACTTAAAGTATTTAAGAAAAATTTAAATTTACTAATTAAAATTGTATATATTGTGTAAAACAGGATGTTTTAAAATATGTATACATTGGGGAATGGCTGTAGCAAGCTAATTTACATATACATTACCTCACATATTCATCTCTTTTTCATGGTGAGAACACTTAAAATATACTCTTAGCAATTTTCAACAAAGTAATACATTGTTATTAACTATAGTCACCATGTTGTACAATAGATCTCTTCAACTTAATTCTCCTAGCTAAGTGAAATTTTGTATCCTTTGACCAATATTTCACTAGCCCCTGGTAACCAGCATTGTACTCGGCCTCTATGAATTCAACATTTAATTTTTATTGCATTAAAAAAATTAACTTTATGATGAAAAAACACAGAAAATGATATGGAAGCAATAGTTGACCTCTAAATAAAAACTGATTATATTTAAGGTATGTAGCATGATGTTATAGGATGCATGTAGATAATAAAAAGGTTACTATATGGAAGTGAATTATATCTTTCACCTCACTATTTGGGGTTTGTTTTTGTGGCAAGAATAGCTTAAAATGTCATTTAGCATTAATCCCATACACAGTACAACTTTATTACCTATAATTTGTTACCTGTAGTTCTCATGTTGTACATTAGGTCTCTAGACTACTTCATCCTGCATATCTGATACTTTCTTTCCTCTGACCAACATCTCTCAATTTCCTCCCCAAATCCCCTGCCCCTGGTAACGACTGTTTTGTTACTATTGTATATTCCAGATTCCACATATATGTGAGATCTTACAATATTTTTCTTTTTGTGTCTTACCTCACTTAGCAATATGCTCCCAGGCTCATCCATGTTGTGGCAAGTGGCAAAATCTTGGCGTTTTTTAGGGGTGAATAATAATCTGTTTTATGTATGTATGACAGTTTCTTTGTTCATTCAATATTCAGTGGACACTTAGATTGTTTCTATATCTTGGCTATGGTGAATAATATTGCACATGGGAGTGCTGATATCTTTATGAGGTGACGATTTCACTTCCTTTGGGTATAGTCCCTGAAGAGGGATTGTTGTGTTATATGGTCGTTCTATTTTTAGTTTCTTTAGAAACCTCCATACTGTTTTCCATAATGTCTGTATCAATCTGTATCCTCACCAACTGTGTACAAGAATTCCCTGTTCTTCATGCCCTTGCCAGCATTTGTTATCTTTTGACTTTTTGATAATAGCCATCCTAATGGGTATGAGGTGGGATCTTATAGTGGTTTTGATTTTCATTTCCCTAATTTTTAATGATGTTGAGAAACTTTTCATATACCTGTTGGGCATTTTAATGTATTCTTTAGAGAAATGTCTATTCAGGTGTTTTGCCAGTTTCTAAATTGAGTTATTTGTTTTTCCACTCTTGAGCTGTATCAGCTCTTTATAAATTCTGGACATTAACCACTTATCAGACACACGGTTTTCAAGATTTTTTCCCAATTTGTAGGCTGCTGTTTCATTTTGTTGATTGTTTCCTTTGTGATGCACAGGCTTTTTAGTTTTTTGTAGTCCTGTTTATTTATTTTTGCTTGTTATGACCTCAGCTTTTGGTGTGATATCCAAAAAATTATTGCCAAAGCTAATGTCCAGGAGCATTCCCCCTATGTTCTGTTCTAAGGGTTTTGTAGTTTCTGGTCTTATTTTTAGGTCCATTATCCATTTTGAGTTGAATTTTCTGTATGGTGTAAAATAAAGATCCAATTTCATTATTTTGCATGTGGAAGTCTAAATTTTCCCAGCACAATTTGTTGAAGAGACTCTCCTTCCCCTTTTGTGTCCTCTTGGTGCCCATATCAAAAATTCGACCATATTATGTTTGGATTTATTTCTGGGCTCTCCATTCTGTTATGCTGGTCTATGTGTCTGTTTTTATGTCAGTATCATACACTTTTGATTGTAATTTTGTGATATAATTTTAAATCAGAAAGTGTGATGCTTTCAACTTTGTTTTCTTGCTCAGAATTGCTTTGGTTATTCAGGATTTTTTATGATTCTATACCAATTTTAGGATTGCTCTATTTCCACGAAGAATGCCATTGAAATTTTGATAGGAATTACATTGAGACGGTATATTGTTTTGAGTAGTCTGGACATTTTCACAATATTAATTCTCTGATCCATGCGTACAGGACATCTTTCCATTTTTTTGTGTCTTCTTCAGTCTCTCTCAGCATGTTTTGTAGTTTTCGGTGTACAGATCATTCTTTTACCTCCTTGGTTAAATTTCTTCCTAGGTATTTTAATTTCTTTGATGTTACAGATTTTCTTGATTTCTTTTTCAGTTACGTCACTATTTGTGTATAAAAATGCTACTTATTTTTGTATCTTGATTTTGCATCCTGCAACTTCTTTGGATTCATTTACTAGTTCTAACAGTTATTCTGTATGTGAATATGGAATCTTTGAGGTTGATTATATGTAGGATTATGTCACCTGCCAATACAGATCTTATATCTTTCTGATTTGGATGTCTTTTTTTTATTTCTCTTGTCTGATTGCTCTTCCCAGTACTTCCAGTACTATGTTAAATAGAAGTGGCAAGAGTGGTATCTTTGCCTTATACTAGATCTTAGTTGATAAGCTTTCAACTTTCCCCCATTGATTATGCTAATGATGGGTTTTTCATAAATAATCTTTATTACGTTGAGCAACTTCTATACCTAAACTAAGACTTTTTATCAAGAATGAATGTTGGTTTTGTAGAATGCTTTTTCTGAATCAATTAAAGATGATCATGTGGATTTTTATCTTCCATTCTGTTAATGCGATGTATCATATTGATTTCATGTATGTCAATAAAAGGGTTTGGAAGTATTCCTCTTGCTCCTTTTATTGGAAGAGTTTTAAAAGTATTGTCATTAGCTTTTCCTTGAAGTTTGTGTAGAATTTAGAGATAAAGCCACTTGGTACTTTGCTTTTCTTTGTTGGGAAGTTTTGTTTTTTTTTTTTTCTTTTTTTTTTTTTTGAGATGGAATCTCTCTCGTTGCCCAGGCTGGAGTGCAATAGCGTGATCTTGGCTCACTGCAACCTCCACCTCTTGAGTTCAAGTGATTCTCCTGCCTCAGCCTCCTGAGTAGCTGGGATTACAGGTGTGCACCACCACTCCTGGCTAATTTTTGTATTTTTGGTAGAGACAGCATTTCACCATGTTGGCCAGGCTGGACTCGAACTCCTGACTTCAAGTGAGCCACCCACCTCAGCCTTCCAAAATGCTGGGATTACAGGTGTAAGCCACCATGCCCAGCTGTTGGGAAGTTTTTGGTGACTCCTTTAATTAAATTTTAATTTAATTTTTTATTGGTCTGTTGAGGCTTTCTATTTCTTCCTGTGTCAATCTCAGTAAGTTGTATTTTTCTAGGAATTTATCCATTTCTTCTAGGTAATCCAATTTGTTGGCATATAATTGTTCATAATAGTTTCCTGTGATCCTTTTTCTGAGGCATCTGTTGTAATGTTATTTTTTATTTTAAGTGCATCCTCTCTTATTTTCTTAGACTAGCTAAGGGTTTTTCAACTTTTTCAAAAAACAAACTGTTTTATTCTTTCTATGGCTTTTCTGTTCTCTATTTGACTTATTTCTGTTCTGATTTTTATTATTTTCTTCCTTCTGCTAAATTTGGGTTTAGTTATTCTTTTTCTGGTTTCTTGAGGTGTAATGTTAAGACTATTTATTTGGGATCTCTCTTCTTTGATTCAGGCATTTATTGCTATAAATTTTAATGCAGATGTTTATTGCCATAGAACTGGTTTTATTGTATTCCATAGGTTTTGGTATGTTGTGTTTCCATTATTGTTTGTCTCAGTATACTTTAAAATTTTTGCTTTGATTTTTTTTTACCCATTGCTTTCTCAGGAGCATCTTGTTTAATATCCACTTATTTGTCAAGTTTCCAAGATTTCTCTTGTTATTTTTAGTTACATAACATTGTGGTCTGAAATAATACTAGACATGATTTTAATTTTAAATTTGTTAAGACTGCATTGTGGCCTAACACATGCTCTATCCTGTCAAATGTTCCATGTGCACTGGAGAAAGAAAATGCACATTCTACTGCTGTTGGATGGAAAGTTGTGTATATGTCTGTTAGGCCCATTTGGCCAAAAGTACAATTGAAATCCAGTATTTCCTTATTAATTTTCTGTTTGGAAAGTGGGGTATTGAAACCTCCTATTATTGTGTGCTACCTATTTCTCCCTTCAAGTCCATTAATATTTGCTTTATGTACTTAGGTGCTCCAGTGTTGGGTGCATATATATTTATAATGGCTATTTCCACTTGATTATCTGATCCCTTTATCATTAAATAATGACTTTTTCTCATGACAGTTTTTGACCTGAAGTCAATTTTTATCACATATAAGTATAGCCACCCCCGTTCTCTTTTGGTTACTATTTGCACAGAATACCTTCTTCTATCCTTTCACTTTCAGCTTACGTGTGTCCCTAAAGCATATGTGGGTCTCTTGTAGAGAGCATATAGTTCGATCTTGTTTTTGTTTTAATCCATTTAGCCACTTTATATCTTTTGATTGGAGGATTTAATCCATTTACATTCGCAGTTATTATTGATAAGTAACAACTTCCTATTTGTATTAGTCCATTTTTGCATTGCCATAAAGAAACACTAGACACTAGGTAATTTATAAAGAAAAGAGGTTTAATTGTCTCACAGTTCTGCAGGCTGTACAGGAAGCATGGCGCTGGCATCTGTTCAGCTTCTGAGGAGGCTGTAGGGAGATTTTACTCATGGCAGATGAAGCAGGAGTGAGCATTTCATATGGTGAAAGCAAGAGAGACAGTTGGGGAGAGGAGGTGCCACACTTTAGAAGAACCAGATCTCATGAGAACTCACTACTGCCAGGACAGCACCAAGCCATCCCACCTCCAACACTGGGAATTACAATTCAACATGAGACTTGGAAGGGGCATATATTTAAACTATATCACTGCTACTGGTTGTTTTGTAGCTCTTTTGTTCCTTTCCTCCTCTCTTGTGGTCTTTTGATGTCACAAGTTACATCTCTTTATATTGTGTGTTCCTTGAGAAATTATTTTAACTTTAGTTATGTTTGACCATTTTGACTTTCATACTAAAGTTATGTATGATTTACAAACCACCATTATAGTATTGGAGTATTCTGGATTTGACTATGTATTTATCAATATTAGTGAACTTTACACTTTTGTATGTATTCGTGATAGTAATTATCTTTTCATTTCCACTTGAAGAACTCCATTAAGCATTTTTTGTAAGGCAGGTCTAGTGGTAATGAATTCCCTCAGCTTTTTCTTGTTTGTGAAAGACTATTTATCCTTCATTTTTAAATGACATCTTTGCTGGGTATACTATTCTTGGCTAGCAGGGTTTCTGTTTGTCTTTTTAATTTACCACTTTGAATGTATCATTCAATTCTCTCCTCACCCACAGGTTTTGGCTGAGAAATCCACTGAGAGCCTAATGGAGATTCCCTTATATGTGATTTGATACTATTCTCTTGCTGCTTTTAAAATTCTCTTTGACCTTTGACAGTTTGAGTATAATGTGCCTTGGGGAGGACTTCTTTGGGTTCAGTCTTTTTGGGGACTTTTGAGCTTCATGGAATTAAATGTCCAGATCTTTGCAAAGATTTGGGAAGTTTTCAGCAATTATTTTATTAAATAAACTTTGTCTCCTTTTTTTGTTCCCTTTCCTTCTGAAACTCCCATAATGTGGATGGTGGATGTTCATTTAATAATATCATATACATCTGTTAGGCTGTTTTCACTTTCTCATTTTTCTTTTGTCTCTTCTGACTATTTCAAAAGATCTGTCTTCAAGTGTATAGATTCTTTCTGCTTGATCCAGTCTGCTGTTGAAGCTCTCAATTGTATTTTTTATTTAATTAGTTGAATTCTTCCATGCCAAAAGTTCTATTTGGTTCTTTTTAATGATATCTATCGCTTTGTTAAATTCCTCATTCAGGTCATGAATTATTTTCCAGATTTCTGTGAATGTTTATCTGTACCCTCCTGTATCTTGCTAAGTTTCCTTAACATTATTACTTTGAATTCCTTTTCAGGCAATTTGTAAAATTTTTCTGAACCATGAACACAGCATATCTTTCCATTTATTTGTGTCACCTTCAGTGTCATTTATCAACGTTTTATAGTTTTCAGTTTACAGAACTTTCGTCTCCTCCATTAAATTTATTCCTTGTATTTTATAATTTTTATAGCTATTGTAAATGTGATTATTCTCCTGATTTCTTTTTCAAATAGTTTATTGTTAGTGTTAAAAATGCTACCAGTTTTTCTTTGTTGATTTTGAATTCTGTAACTTTACTGAATCTATTTATTAGTTTTAACTATTTTTGGTCAAGTCTTAGGGATGTGTACACAAACACAGTCATGTGCCACATAATAATGTTTGGGGCAATGATTAACCACATACACAACAGTGATCCTGTAAGATTATATCAGAGCTGAAAAATTCCTATTGCCTAGTTATGCTGTAGCTGTAATAATACAAAACAATACCCACATGTTTGTGTTAATGCTGGTATAAACAAACCTACTAAGCTACTAGTCGTATAAAAATATAACACATGGCCGGGCATGGTGGCTTGTGCCTGTAATTCCAGCACTTTGGGTGGCCAAGGTGGGCAGATCACCTGAGGTCAGGAGTTTGAGACCAGCCTGGCCAACATGGTGAAACCCCATCTCTACTAGAAAAAAATAAAAAAATTAGCTGGGCGTGGTGTTGCATGCCTGTAATTCCAGCTGCCTGAGGGGCTGAGGCAGGATAATTGCTTAAGCCTGGGAGGCAGAGGCTGCAGAGGCTGCAGTGAGCCAAGACTGTGCCATTGAACCCCAGCCTGGGCAACAGAGCAAGACTCCATCTCCAAAAAAAAAAGTATATATTACATATAAATATATATTATATATATTTATAATTATATATAATTATATATTATATATTATAAATATATAATATATAAATATGTAACATATTTATATTTATTTTATATATAAATATAAAAATATATAAATATATAATATATAGTATATATAAAATATATATACTATATATTATATATACAAATATATAATATATATTTATAAATTTATATATAAAATTTTATATTTTTAATATTTATATATAAATATATATTTATATATAAATATATATTGCATATTTCTATATAATATATATTATTTATGTATTATATATATATGTATTTTTTTTTTTTTGAGATGGAGTCTCACTCTGTTGCGCAGGCTTGAGTTCAATGGCACAGTCTTGGCTCACTGCAGCCTCTGCAGCCTCTGCCTTCCTGGCTTAAGCAATTATCCTGCCTCAGCCCCTCAGGTAGCTGGAATTACAGGCATGCACCACCATGCCCAGCTAATTTGTTTATTTTTTTCTAGTAGAGATGGGGTTTCACCATGTTGGCCAGGCTGGTCTCAAACTCCTGACCTCAGGAGGTTTTATATATATAAATATATATGTTTATAAATACATATAATATATAAGCATATATATTATATATATCTCACATATAATTATGGACAGTACATAATACTTGATAATGATAACTATGTTACTGGATTTTGTATTTACTCTATTTTTATTATTTTAGTGTGTACTCCTATTAAAAAAGAAGTTAGCTGTATAACAGCCTCAGGTACGGAGCCTACTTTCAGGAGGTATTCCAGAAGAAGGCATAATAGGAAATGACAGCCCATTTATTATTACCCTTGAAGACCTTCCAGGGACAAAATGTAGAGGTGGAAGATAGTGATGATTGATGATCCTGACTCTGTGTAGGCCTAAGTTAATTGTGTGTCTGTGTCTTTGATTTTAACAGTTTAAAAAGTAAAGTAAAAATAACAAATTTTAAAAATAAAAGCTTATGACACAAGAATATATGAAAGAAAATATTTTTGTAGCATTGTACAATGAACTGATTGCAGCTAAGTGCTATGAGTCAAAACATTTAAAAAATTAAGGTTTATAAAGTTAAAATTTCAGTAAACAAAAGTTTATTGAAGAAGGAAAAATATCTTCTAAAAATTTAGTGTAAGTGCAACTGTTTATAAAGCTTACAGTAGTATACAGTAGTATACAGTAATGTCCTAGGCCTTTACAATCAATTCACCGCTCATTGACACCCAGAACAACTTCCAGTCCTACAAGCTCCATTCATGCTTAAGTGCCCTATATAGGTATACCAAGTTTCATCTTTTATACTATATTTTTACTATATCTTTTCTATGTGTAGATATGTTTAGATATACAAATACCTCCCATTGGATTACAATTGCCTGCTGTATTATTCTTATAGTAACATGCTGTACAGGTTTGTAGCCTAGGAGCAATAGGCTATACCATATAGCCTAGGTATGTAGTAGGCTATCTACTATCTAGGTTTGTGTAAGCACACTCTATGATGTTCAAAGATGAAATTGCCTAATGACGACCCATTTATCAGAACATATCCGTGTTATTAAGCAACACATGACTGTATGTGTGTGCGTGCATGTGTAGAGACAGAGATTGGGGGTGGGGGGCGTGGAGAGAGTGAGTCTGCAAAAAAAATAAGGACAATTTAACTTCTTCCTTTCCAATTTGGATGTTATACTTTTTCTCTGGCCTAACTGATCTGGCTACAACTTCTAATACTATGTTGAATTGAAGTGGCAAGGGTGAACATCCTTGTCTTGTTCCTGATCTCTGGAAAAAAGCTTTCAACTTCTCCCTATTGAGTATGTGTTAGCTGTGGGCTTCTCATGTATGGCCTTTATTATGTTGAGGTACATTCTTTCTATACCTGATTTGTTGGGAGCCTTTATCTTGAACAGGTGTTAAACTTTCTCAAATGTTTTTTGACATCTGTGGATATGATCATATGGTTTTTGTCCTTCATTCTGTTACTGTGGTATATCACATTTTTAGATTTACATATGTTGAACCATCCTTGCATCCCAGTGATAAATCCCACTTGATCATGATTTATAATCCTTTAAATGTGTTATTGAATTTGTTTTGTAAGTACTTTGTTGAGAATTTTTGCATCTGTGTTCATCAAGGAAACTGGCCTGTAATTTTCTTTTCTTATAGTGTCTTTGACTGGCTTTGATATCAGGGTAATGCTGGCCTTGTAAAATGAGTTGGGAAGTATTCCCTCCTATTCAGTTTTCAGGAAGAGTTTGAGGATTTATATTAATTCTTTGAATGCTTAGTAGAACTCAGTAGTGAAGCCATCAGTTACTTGGATTTTCTTTGACGGGAGACTTACTACTGATTCAATTTTCGTACTCATTGATTTGTTGACGTTTTCTATTTTTTTTTTTTTTCACTGTTAACAGCCTTGATATGTTGTATGTGTCTAGAAATTGATTTACTTCTAGGTTATCCAATTTGTTAGTCTATAATTATTCATAGTGGTCTTTTATGATCCTTTGTATTTCTGTGGTATCAGTTGTAGTATCACCCCTTTGAGTCTTTTTTTCTTAGTCTAGCTAAGGGTTTATAAACATTATCTTTTCAAAAAACCAATTCTTGGTTTTGTTGTTTTCTATTGTTTTTCTAGTATCTACTTCATTTCTGTTGTGATTTTTATTATTTCCTCCTTCTACTAACCTTGGGTCTAATTTGTTCTTTTTATACTTTCCTGAGGTGTCATTAATTGAGATGTTTCTTTTTTGATGTAGGCATTTATTGCTATATCCTTCCCTCTTAGAACTGCTTTTTGCTGCATGGTATGTTTATGTCCAATTTCATTTGAAAACAAAATGTATATATATATATTTGAGACAGGGTCTTGCTCTGTCACCCAGGCTGGAGTACAGTGACATGAATATGGCTCACTGCAGCCTCAACCTCTTGGGCTCAAGTAATCCTCCCAACTCAGCCACCCGAATAGCTGGAACCATAGGCACACACCACCAGGCCTGGCTAATTTTATTTTTTGTAGAGATGCACGTATGCCCGTATCAAACATATTGGCCTGTTGCCATGTCGCTCAGGCTGGCCTGAACTCCCGGGCTCAAGCAATACTCCTGCCTTGGCTTCCCAAAGTGCTGGGATTACAGGTGTGAGCCATCGTGTCTGGCGGAAGGTGAAATCCCCCTCTTAATTTCTTTGATTCATTGGGTGTTCAGGAGCATGTTGTTTAATTTCCATGTATTTGTGGATTTTCCAAAACTGAGCAATTTCTTTTTCTTTGTAGAGAGGGTCCCACTATGTTGCCCAGGCTTATCTTGAATTCCTGGGCTCAAGAGATGCTGCCACCTCAACCTTCCGAAGTGCTGGGATTACAGGCGTGAGCCACTGTGCCTGGCTGGAAGTTATGTTAAGAGCACTACTTGAAGACAGTATTGTATTTACTTTTGGCTTTGGGATGATTTTTTTTCCTTCAACTTTTATTTTAAGTTCAGGGGTACATGTGCAGGATGTGCAGGTTTGTTACATAGGTACATGTGTGCCATGGTGGTTTCTGCAGATCATCCCATTGCCTAGGTATTATGCCCAGCATCCATTTGCTATTCTCTCTGATGCTCTCCTTCCCCCACCCTCACCAATAGGCCTCAGTGTGTGTTGTTCCCTGCCATGTGTCCATGTGTTCTCATCTATCAATCAGCTCCCACTTATAAGTGAGAACATGCAGTGTTTGGTTTTCTGTTCCTTTGTTAGTTTGCTGAGGATAATGGCTTCCAACTCCATCCAGGGCTCTGCAAAGGACATGATCTCATTATTTTTTATGGTTCCATAGTATGCCAGGGTGTATACGTACATTTTCTTTATCCAGTCTATCACTGACGGACATTTAGGTTGATTCCATGTCTTTGCTATTGTGAATAGTGCTGCAATGAATACACATAGGCATGTATCCTTATAATAAAATGATTTATATTCCTTTGGGTATATACCCAGTAATGAGATTTCTGGGTCAAATGGTATTTCTGCTCTAGGTCTTTGAGGAATCACTACTTTGTCTTCCACAATGGTTGAACTAATGTAAACTCCTACCAAGAGTGTGAAAGCACTCCTTTTTCTCCACAATCTTACCAGCATCTGTTGTTTTTTGACTTTTTAATAGTAGCCATTCTGACTGGCATAAAATAGTATCTCACTGTGATTTCGATTTGCATTTCTCTAATGATCAGTGATGTTGATCTTTTTTTCATGTTTGTTGGCTGCATGTGTGTCTTCTGAGAAGTGTCTGTTATGTCCTTTGGCCACTTTTTAATGGGGGTTTTCTTTATAAATTTAAGTTCCTTGTAGACTCTGGATATTAGTCCTTTGTCAGATGGATAAATTGCAAAATTTTTCTCCCATTCTGTAGGTTGTCTGTTTACTCCGATGATAGTTTATTTTGCTGTGCAGAAGCTGTTTAATCAGATCCCATTTGTCAATTTTTGCTTTAGTCGCAATTGTTTTTGGTATTTTTGTCATGAAATCTTTGCCCCTGCCTGTGTCCTGAATGGTATTGCCTACGGTTTTTATAGTTCTGGGTTTTACATTTAAGTCTTTGATCCATCTTGAGTTAATTTTTGTATACGGTGTAAGGAAAGGGTCCAGCAAAACTGGGTAACTTCTTAACAGGTTTCTTTCTTAAAAGTTTACCTTTCATCTGAAATAAAATTCTAAAATAGTAATTATTAAAATGTGTATTAGTCAAGTAAGGCTTAAGATGGGCAACATATGAAGAAATGTAGTGGGTTTTCTTCGTGTGTGTATGTATATAATTATAAAAATATATATTACATCTGTACGGTAATAATTTAACCAGTGTATTAAAAGCTGAAATAAATGTAAAAGACCTCCCCCTTTCCCACAACCAATGGCATCCATTAAAGTCACCATTAAGAATTTCTTGTTTTTCTCAGGTTTGTCAAAGATCAGAAGGTTGTAGATATGCGGCATTATTTCTGAGGGCTCTGTTCTGTTCCATTGGTCCGTATCTCTGTTTTGGTACCAGTACCATGCTGTTTTGGTTACTGTAGCCTTGTGGTATAGTTTGAAGTCAGGTAGCGTGATGCCTCCAGCTTTGTTCTTTTGGCTTAGGATTGACTTGGCAATGCGGGCTCTTTTTTGGTTCCATATGAACTCTAAAGTAGTTTTTTCCAATTCTGTGAAGAAAGTCATTGGTAGCTTCATGGAAATGGCATTGAATCTATAAATTACCTTGGGTGGTATGGCCATTTTCACGATATTGATTCTTCCTACCCATGAGCATGGAATGTTCTTCCATTTGTTTGTATCCTCTTTTATTTCATTGAGAAGTGGTTTGTAGTTCTCCTTAAAGAGGTCCTTCACGTCCCTTTTAAGTTGGATTCCTAGGTATTTTATTCTCTTTGAAGCAATTGCGAATGGGAGTTCACTCATGATTTGGCTCTGTTTGTCTGTTATTGGTGTATAAGAATGATTGTGATTTTTGCACATTGATTTTGTATCCTGAGACTTTGCTGAAGTTGCCTATCAGCTTAAGGAGATTTTGGGCTGAGATGATGGGGTTTTCTAGATATACAATCATGTCATCTGCAAACAGGGACAATTTGACTTCCTCTTTTCCTAATTGAATACCCTTTATTTCCTTCTCCTGCCTGATTGCCCTGACCAGAACTTCCAACACTATGTTGAATAGGAGTGGTGAGAGAGGGTATCCCTGTCTTGTGCCAGTTTTCAAAGGGAATGCTTCCAGTTTTTGCCCATTCAGTATGATATTGGCTGTAGGTTTGTCACAGATAGCTCTTATTATTTTGAGATATGTCCCATCAATACCTAATTTACTGAGAGTTTTTAGCATGAAGTGTTGTTGAATTTTGTCAAAGGCCTTTTCTGCATCTATTGAGATAATCATATGGTTTTTGTCATTGGCTCTGTTTACATGCTGGATTACGTTTATTGATTTGCATATGTTGAACCAGCCTTGCATCCCAGGGATGAAGCCCACTTGATGATGGTGGATAAGCTTTTTGATGTGCTGCTGGATTCGGTTTGCCAGTATTTTATTGAGGATTTTCACATCGATGTTCATCAGGGATATTGGTCTAAAATTGTCTTTTTTTGTTGTGTCTCTGCCAGGCTTTGGTATCAGGATGATGCTGGCCTCATAAAATGAGTTAGGGAGGATTCCCACTTTTTCTATTGATTGGAATAGTTTCAGAAGGAATGGTACCAGCTCCTCCTTGTACCTCTGGTAGAATTCGGCTGTGAATCCATCTGGTCCTGGACTTTTTTTGGCTAGTAAGCTATTAATTATTGCCTCAATTTCAGAGCCTGTTACTGGTCTATTCAGAGATTCTACTTCTTCCTGGTTTAGTCTTGGGAGGGTGTATGTGTCGAGGAATTTACCCATTTCTCCTAGATTTTCTAGTTCATTTGCGTAGAGGTGTTTATAGTATTCTCTGATGGTAGTCTGTATTTCTGTGGGATCGGTGGTGATAGCCCCACAAAAACAAATGGGGAAACGATCCCTATTTAACAAATGGTGGTGGGAAAACTGGCTAGCCATATGCAGAAAGCTGATACTGGATCCCTTCCTTACACCTTATACAAAAATTAATTCAAGATGGATTAAAGACTTAAATGTTAGACCTGAAACCATAAAAGCCCTAGAAGAAAACCTAGGCAATACCATTCAGGACATAGGCATGGGCAAGGACTTCATGTCTGAAACACCAAAAGCAATGGCAACAAAAGCCAAAACTGACAAATGCGATCTAATTAAACTAAAGTGCTTCTGCACAGCAAAAGAAACTACCATCAGAGTGAACAGGCAACCTACAGAATGGGAGAAAATATTTGCAATCTACTCATCTGACAAAGGGCTAATATCCAGAATGTATAATGAACTCAAGCAAATTTACAAGGAAAAAACAACCCCATTCAAAAAGTGGGTGAAGGATGTGAACAGACACTTCTGAAAAGAAGACGTTTATGCAGCCAAAAGACACATGAAAAAATGCTCATCATCACTGGCCATCAGAGAAATGCAAATCAAAACCACAATGAGATACCATCTCACACCAGTTAGAATGGCAATCATTAAAAAGTCAGGAAACAACAGGTGCTGGAGAGGATGTGGAGAAACAGGAACACTTTTACACTGTTGGTGGGACTGCAAACTAGTTCAACCATTGTGGAAGTCAGTGTGGCGATTCCTCAGGGATCTAGAACTAGAAATACCATTTGACCCAGCCATCCCATTACTGGGTATATACCCAAAGGATTATAAATCATGCTGCTATAAAGACACATGCACACATATGTTTACTGTGGCACTATTCACAATAGCAAAGACTTGGAACCAACTCAAATGTCCAACAATGATAGACTGGATTAAGAAAAAGTGGCACATATACACCATGGAATACTATGCAGCCATAAAAAATGATGAGTTCATGTCCTTTGTAGGAACATGGATAAAATTGGACATCATCATTCTCGGTAAACTATCGCAAGAACAAAAAACCACACACCGCATATTCTCACTCATAGGTGGGAACTGAACAATGAGAACACATGGACACAGGAAGGGGAACATCACACTCTGGGGACTGTTGTGGGGTGGGGGGAGGGGGGAGGGATAGCATTAGGAGATATACCTAATGCTAAATGACAAGTTAATGGGTGCAGCACACCAGCATGGCACATGTATACATATGTAACTAACCTGCACATTGTGCACATGTACCCTAAAACTCAAAGTATAATAATAATTAAGAAAAAAAAAGAAAATGTGGCACATATACACCATGGAATACTATGCAGCCAAAAGAAATGATGAGTTCATGTCCTTTGTAGGGACATGGATGAAGTTGGAAATCATCATTCTCAGCAAACTATCGCAAGGACAAAAAACCAAACACCACATGTTCTCACTCATAGGTGGGAACTGAACAATGAGAACACATGGACACAAGAAGGGGAACATCACACACCAGGGCCTGTCATGGGGTGGGGGGAGGGGCGAGGGATGGCATTAGGAGATATACCTAATGTTAAATGACGAGTTAGTTAATGGGTGCAGCACACCAACATGGCACATGTATACATATGTAACAAACCTGCACGTTGTGCACCATGTACCCTAAAACTTAAAGTATATATATATATAAAAAGAATATAAACCATAAAAAAAAAGTTCTTATATATCTTCTCTAAAATATTCCAGGTACATATATGTAAGCATCTGCTGCCTCACTTCACTCCCACATATGTTTTGTCTACTATTCTTGGTGTTTTTCACTTAGCAATATACCTTGAACTTCATTCCAAAAAGCTAATAATAATATACTTTTTTTGTTGTTTTAAATAGCTGTATCATACTCTTGAACTCTATTCCCCCTTTAATAGATGTTTAGATTGTTTCGACATTTTAGCTACTAGCAACAACTTTACAATAAACATCTTTGGACATTTACCTCTGTATATCTACAGGCTATTTGCCTGTAAGTGCATTTTTCAAATTAAATGGAATATGAAGTTAACATTTTGAAAAAAGGCTGCCAATATGCTCTCCAAAACTGTCAATGAGAGCTACTGTTTTCAGAAATGCAGTTGTAAGAAAATGTATATTTAGTTTATAACTTTGAAACATCAAATAACATTAAAAATCCTAAGAAATCATCTGACATTAACAACTCCATTAGCTATTTTTAATTATTTTCAGAACTAAAAATAGAGCACGAATTTTGAAGACAGACATAAATAAGTTCAAGTCCCAGATTTGGCACTTAGAACTTGCGTAATTTTTTTTTAAAGATACAGGGTCTTACTCTGTTGCTCAGGCTGGAGTGCAGTGGCATGATGATAGCTCACTACAGCCTTGACCTCCTGAGGTGAAGACATCCTCCTGCCTCAGCCTTCCAAGTAGCTGACTACACACGAATGCCACTATGCCAGGCTAATTTATTTATTTTAAAAATTATATTTATTTCTATATTAATTATTTTTAGAGATGGCGTCTTGCTATGTTGCTCATGCTGGTCTCGAACTCCTGGCTTCAAGTGATTTTCCCACCTCAGTTTTCTGCATAGCTGGGATTACAGGCATGAGCCACAGCACATGACCTGTGTGATCTTGAGCAGGCTATTTAATCATTTTCAGCCTTGATTTTTGTCTTTTCTTTGCAAAATGGGTAAAATAATAGTTCCTGCTAATAGGGTTATTATGAGGGTTAGTATACAAAGTGTTCTTTTCTTTGAATAGCCAAAAACAAAGCATGTGTTTGTTTAACTCATAATGTATGACCTAAATGATTGATTGATTAACAATAAAAGCATATATCTATCTACTTATATTTAAAAAAAAAAAAAAAACAGTGAATATTACAAATCCCCGTGAATGAACTGATTTTTATTTTCTCTGAGTCTTAATTCCTAAGAACATGAAATCTTCACCTGAACTCCTCAT
The DNA here is from genome assembly GCF_000001405.40 of Homo sapiens. Classification (NCBI taxonomy): domain Eukaryota; kingdom Metazoa; phylum Chordata; class Mammalia; order Primates; family Hominidae; genus Homo; species Homo sapiens. The sequence goes on along the minus strand of NC_000005.10, from coordinate 53,683,768 downwards.
AATCATGAAGTGTTGATTTCTGGGCAGAGATTACTATGAAATGCAATTCATTCAGGCTCAAAGTACCTTCGTAAATTATAAAGTTGTAATTAAATTAATTTAATAATGACGACATAGGGGTTTAAGTTTATAAGACTGCAATGTTATCGTGTACTTCTCTACCTATGATAAAACCATTTCTAAGACAACATTTTAATAATGTTGGCTGGTGATTTATAAACCATATTAACTTGAGAATGGCTATAAAAAGCAAATATAAAACTTCAATGTTGCAGTTGATTTCAAGCATTCCTGTTAATTAATAGATTCTAAAAGTACCAAGATTTCCCAGAGGTATGATCACCTCAAATCTTCTCTCTATATAGGAAATTGAAACATGCTCAATTTGAGACATCAAAAAACATTTAAAATAGACACCACAAAATGTATCTGTAGTTTAAAGGTCCAATTTATTAGGAGATTAAGAGATGTATTTATTATACATGGACTATAAATACTGCACAGCTGACTTTATTCACAGTCAAGCAGAGATATAGTCAGTGCCAACCTATTTTGTGGATACTCTTGTTCTTTTGTTCCAAGAAAAGTTTGCACCATAAGACTTGGACTTGGGTTTTGGAACCTTCCTCTCTTCAATGTCATAGCTCCATCCTAGGAGGAAAAAACAAAGACAAATCCACAGAAACAGAATTAAAGAGGATACCTGAAAAGCACAGCAAGCAGAGGCTAGCTTTTATAACTTAACTTAATGTTCATTTATCATCAAGAGTATATGTCAACACATCTGAGATATACTTACTATTTGTTCCCTTATAATCAATCCTCTGTGAGAAAAGGGTCCAAAAGATTGCCTGCAGATTATTTACCATATCTCAAGTTGTTAAAGATGTAAACTATGATTCAATTTCACCTTGCTCAATTACTGATATCTATGTATTACATAAAAATTTCCATTACTCTATGTGGTTTAACATAGGCCTTTAAAATAGTTGCAATGAAGAGCGATGAACATTATAACCAACTCACTATTATTCTAAAAGTTGGTTTCTTTACAAGAGTTTGGAACTCTTCCAAAGGGATACAGAAAAATATGTAAACGTATATATATGTACGTGTGTATGGGTGCATGTGTGTACTATAGTTGAAGTGGACCATGAGAGGTTACTTGGTTCAATCCCCTGGACTTGGACAGGCTACTGATTAAACTCAAAAATTGATTTTCAACATTTATTTCAATGGCTATCTATCTGCACTAATTGGACTCAGATGGGAGTACCTGATAAAGAGCGCAAATTGTTAGGCCTGACCAAAGGCCCACTAGATCAGAATCTCTGGTGGGGGCCCAGGAAACTACACTTTATCAATTCCAGGAGATTTTTATGCATAAAAAAGTAAGGGCCGCTAATCAAAGGTGTCTGTCTATTCTCTTCTGAGTATTTATATTTTCCTTCCAAAGCCATTTCAGCATTTTGTAATTCTGAAAACTGGGTATATGTATGTCTACATTTTCTGCACTAGTCCTGTTCTTTAGTTCTCCTAAAACATGGGAAACAAATCAACATCCTCCTCCTTAAAAATATAATTAAGTCATTCTTTTATTCCCTAAGCTAGGCAACCCCTATAACATTCACTTTTCTTCATAAAATCCATTTTCCCACACCTGTAATTTATTCTTCTCTCAGGACTTTATTCAAATAACATCTTGAAACATCTAATTCATGGCTGTATCATGCAGTCATGTACAAAATGTCCCAAATGTGATTATTTATTATATAGTCTAATTAAGTGAGCCTCTTGATCTCGGTAAGTATAGTACTTTCTGCCACAAAGCTTACATTTCAATAGTCCCTTAGTTAGTATTCAGTTTTACCACAAAAGTTAAGCCTATGGAACTCAACTCATCAAAGTATACTACTACTACTGTACACAAAGGAAAGTAACAACATTTAACAGCGTATTTTAATTTAAACTTTTAATCTACTTTATCCATAAGAGAATATTACATTCCCAACTGCTGGAACTCCATCTCCAAAGAAAGTCCAATAACTATAAGGAAATGGGGAAGCAGGAAAGCAAATGAAACATCAGAATCCAGGAGAGAAAATATTAATTTACTTGTTCAACATAACCTTACTTTCACAGAGTAGAAAATATGTTTTGAGAACTTTCTTATCCATTAAAGTTACAAAGCTATAGCTTACTTTAAGAGAATGTGGACTTACAAAGTACGTACATTAACAAGTAGTTATCTCCATTTCAAAAAATTTACTAAAGGGCATAAGAAAACTTTGTCTTTCATAAGGTTGTCATGAGGATTAAAGTACATGTCTTGTACTTCATAAGGATGTGATAATTCATGTAAAGTGCTTAGAAAGCACCCTGACTTAACAATCATTTATTGAGTTCTATGAGAAAGAACTTTTCCTAAAACCTTTATATGAAGTAATATTATTCCCCTTGTACAGGTGAGTAAACTGAGGCTCAGAGAGGTTAGGTAACTAGCATAAGGTCACTCAGCAAAGAAGGGGCAGAATCAGGATTTAAACACAGACGGCCAGATTCTGGAGGCTACAACTTACCTATTATGCTACATTGTCTCTTGTGGTTTATAGTAGGCACTCAATAAATGTTAAGTATTATTTGGTCCTCAAATTTGATTCACAACTTCATAGCAACATGTCTCTATATAAATTTCCATTACATTAGAGCCCATTAAATTTGAATTTGTGTTGTTTCGGGTATAGCTAGCTATAATCTAACCTAGGAGAAAACACTTTAGATGGGGTATACAGGGGAGACCTCCCTCCCTGAGAAGTAGGCAGAGAACAGTAACTGCAAAGGCCCTGAGACAAGAGCATTCCTGGTGTACTAGGTAGTATGTTCTAGTCCCCATGCTGAGTGCTTGAAATGTATTTTTTTATTATTATTATACTAAGTTTTAGGGTACATGTGCACAATGTGCAGGTTAGTTACATATGTATACATGTGCCATGCTGGTGTGCTGCGCCCATTAACTCATCATTTAGTATTAGGTATATCTCCTAAAGCTATCCCTCCCCGCTCCCCCCACCCCACAACAGTCCCCAGAATGTGATGTTCCCCTTCCTGTGTCCATGTGTTCTCATTGTTCAATTCCCACCTATGAGTGAGAACATGTGGTGTTTGGTTTTTTGTCCTTGCGATAGTTTACTGAGAATGATGATTTCCAATTTCATCCATGTCCCTACAAAGCACATGAACTCAACATCATTTTTTATGGCTACATAGTATTCCATGGTGTATATGTGCCACTTTTTCTTAATCCAGTCTATCATTGTTGGACATCTGGATTGGTTCCAAGTCTTTGCTATTGTGAATAGTGCCGCAGTAAACATACGTGTGCATGTGTCTTTATAGCAGCATGATTTATAGTCCTTTGGGTATATACCCAGTAATGGGATGGCTGGGTCAAATGGTATTTCTAGTTCTAGATCCCTGAGGAATCGCCACACTGAAATGTATTTTTATTGAAATTTTATGTACAGAGTTTATAGGTTGCATGGCTATAAGGAAGGCATTATAATATATATCTTAATTTTACATTACCTTAAAGGAAAAAATATCGAGAAAATAAACAGCCTAAGGTCACAGGGCTAATAAGTTGCAAAACCAGGATTTTAACCAAGATGGACGTTAACACCTAAGTACTTTATTAATAAAACTGCATTTCTTTAAAAATATCCCGCAATTGCAAGTTTTATCTATTTCATTCATTTCCTTTTATTTGAAAAAATATGTTGAAAAGACTTTTAAGAATCCTGTAAAATAAATATATGTTCCCCATGTGCTCTCCCACAATTGTGAGGAAGGAAATGGTTTCTAGTGTAGATTCTGTATGTGGTTATAATGATAGCTGGAAAATTAACCCAAGACCTCCATATTCTTTTCTTGCCAAATGATAGGTAAGAAACCTAAGTTCTCTCTCCTCTTATTACCTCCCAACACACACTCTCCAGGTCAATAAAGACATTAGGAAAGAAACTGCAGAAGAAATGAGAAAGCACTCAAATATCTAGGAAATAGTAATATACACACAAACACAAACCTGATAATCACTCTCTCATTCACTCAATTACCCTTTCAGCCGCCAGGTAGAATTCTCTGTACTACATCAGATCTCAGACACAGTTCTAATATCTATTCTGGTTATGGAGTTCCAAAATGTGGTCAGGGTCACTGCAATGTGAGAAGAATGAAGTTTTATACATATAAAAGAAAAGAACAACTGGTTTGGGTTTTCCCCTGGTAACTAAGGAGTGAGCTGGCTCCTGGGAATTGTGAGCCAGATTACAGTTGCTGTTGATGGTGATAACAACATAAATAGAAGTATCATGACAGAGATTGGAATGTGGATGGGCAAAGCACCCTGTGAAAAACAAACAAAAATACACAGAGAAGAAGCATGCATTTTCTAATAGGATCCATCTCTATATAATTACCACTGACCACTCATGATTGTTAGGATGTGTAGGGAAAAAAAATTTATTATCTTCCCGTTTTTCTGTGGCAAACAACTTTGTTTCCAAAGTTGCACATGCAACTGTGCTTCTCTAAACGCAAAGGAGCATATGAGGAAGTCCAATGACAATTCACAATAGAGACTAAAACTAAAGTAAGAATCCACATACATCTCTCTTTGGATTTTCTATTCATTATTCAGAAAACTTTTCTGCTATGTAGGGCTGTCATCATAATAAAAATTTGCTGTTTTTTGAGGTACTGTTAAGAATCTGATCACATTTCCAAGCATCCTCCTCCAAGGTGTTTGTTACAGTACCTGGATGAACAAATTTACTGGTCCCACTATACTCGAATGTAAAGGTTACTTGAGCAAACAGGGAAGCTGAGCTAAAAAGATAAAACTCTAAGAATAACAACACTTGAAAGGACATTAAGCATGTATGCTTAAGAATGGGTAAGTTAGACGAATTATACTCATCTTTTCTACTTCCTATTTGAAACTTGTTGCTAAAAAGGATGTATTTTGCAAGAAATAAAATGTAGATATTAAATGTTTAAATTTCTATAAGAATGTCTTTCTTTAACCCTAAAATAATTTTTTTTAAAAGAAAGAGCCCAAACTTATTTTTCTGAATGGGAATATGGAAGTGAAAATACTTGCACTCTCTGAAGAATGCTTATATAAAATGAAGGTATAGTCTACAATCATAATGGTCCCATATGTTGTCCTATTAGGGTACTGAAAACCAGCCCCTTGCTCTTCTCAGCTGTGCGACAGAAGAAGATCAAAGCAATGGAGTCCAAGACAGCTGCCCTAGGGATAGGTAAAGCTCCCAGTGCTGCCGTCACTTTCTAGAGGAGAGTAGCCATATGGCACAGATTTGCCACAAACCCAACTACCAGCACCTAAATGATGAGAAGCTGACTCCCTTTGCTGTTTCACACACTGAAACGCTTTCACAAAATAGTCTGAACTTTAAGCCCTAGTATCAGAGAAGTACCTTTGGAAAATGCTGTAGTAAACTTAAAATGTGATCTTTAACATCCCATGCCCAATTTCTTTTTCTGAAATATGACAGTTTATTTTGTAGATCTCCACATTGTGAGTGGAATATTCTATTTCCTATGATATAAATGATATACTTTTCAAATGCCAAAAAACCCCAACCTCTGAACAAAACCAGGCCACAATTAACTTATGAATTCCATATATAAGACAGAAAAATAAAATCAACTTCATTCATTTTTATACAGAATCATTTCATTTATGGTTCAGTAATACAAAAATACAAACATCCATCAGTTCTTTTATTGCTTGTGAAATATTTTATCTCAAGTAACCTTGATTGACGTTCTGTGAAAGGTCTGTCTTCTCTAATAACCTAATCTCAAACCCTGACATGAGTTTGGAAGTGAACAGCTAAATGATTTTTCCTACTCTCCATTTGTACACAGAACAAGAACTACCACATAATTTGGCACAAACTGACGTAACTGACAGTCACTTCCAACTGAAGCATGGGATCAGAAGAGCAAAGCTTTGGGAGGCCAAAGCAAGGTATACTGGTACTTGGAAGGTTTCAAGATTCTTCACCAGGCTATGTACCCATATTATATCTGGCTGAAAGCGGAGCATAACCCTAACATATAATTTTAAGAAGGAGAAAAGAAAAATAGCTTTTTAGGAATTTCACTTTAAAAGTCTCTTTACTTTGAAATTACCAATTAGGTACATAATATGGGGGTGGGGTACAGTAGGGGGTAAATGGTTCAGAATAATGTAAAAGTATCCTAGATCTTCTATAGAAAATACTATGGAGAAATAACAGAGGTTTCGGATACACTGGCAAAGCAAGTCTTTCCATGAAATTTATATAAAGTGATTTAAACAAGCAAATAAGGTGAAAACATGAGGCACCTGAAATATTTGTTAGATTAGTAATACTCTACACCTGCTGTAGAGTATTGCCACCTCTCAAACCCCAAATTACTGCTTTGATGTGACAGTCAACGGCCCCTTGAAATTTTATCTTTTCAAATAATATACTTGCTATGTAATATTTCTATTATTTTCAAAGCAGTAGTTGGAACTATTCAGCATTTGCCACAAAACAAACCAAGGTAGTAATCCATTACTCCAGCTTTTGTGTTCCAAAAGTATATCTGAAAATCAGCCATTAGAAATTTAGAACACATTTTTCTGGAGAAAAAAACTACACAAATAGCCAAAAACCACTTCCAGAGATTTGCAAGCTACTCATAGGGAGTCTCAGAATCCTATTTAACCTATAATATACCAGGAACGTCAGTAAGCCACCATATATAATTCTCTCTCGTGCTCGCGCCTTAGCAGTACTTCCCTAGCTACAGACAGGATCCAGGATTAAACATTGGGAGGAAAAAGCTATCTATGAAAAAAAAAATCTTTCATGAATTCACGTAAAGTTTATTTGTGACTCCTAAATCAATGCCCATGGTGCTTCTGTGGTCATTTGTGACATGTGGAGAATGTCAAAAAATTTGAGTCCCGTAACATACATTTCTAAATGAGGTGAAGCAGGATAATGCTCTGCCTTCTTGTTTTAGCTCTCATACTGTAAACAAGCATACTTTTTGTGCTCTATTTAGTGCCAGTATTTTGCATTTCTGTGCTGCTTTTTGGTAATTTCACTGTTTAAAATGGTCCCCAAACACTGCTGAAATGTTATCTAGTGTTCCAAGAAAGCTGTGATGTGCCAATATGTGTTTCAGATACGCTTTGTTTAGGCATGAGTTATAGTGCTGTTGGCTGTGAGTTCAATGTTGATGAATTAACTGTATTAAATAAGGTGTCTTTAAACAAAAACACATATAAAACAAGGTTATGTACTGGTCAGACGACAAACTATGTGACCAGAGGCCTGCAGGAACCTAACCATGTATATCCCGAGGGATAAGAATTCTTGCTAATTTAGTGTTTCATAGTGACTTTAAAGAACATAACTGTGAATAAGGAGAACAACTATAATTGAGAGATACATAAAGTCTGTCCTCTCTCATAGATTTGACTCCCCTCTCAACCCAGTCCTGGAAAAATCAGTTTTGTCTCAATTAGCAACTCATCTCAACATTTCTTTACCCTACATAAATCTGTGCTGTTTGACTTGTCCTTTGAACTGGTTATAACATTTGCCTGGCTCCCTTATATCAGATGAGTAAAATCCTTCAATACATGTTTATTGTATATCTATGCTAGAGTCAATGTATCTTTTTCTGGAAAATTTCTTTTAACCATTTTGGAGGTCCCCTTGAGACATCCTATAGATTTATCAACCAAAGGCAGGCAAACTTCATCATCGAAGAAATGGTGTACCTTATGCTTAAGCCTGCATACCTCTTTTCTTGGCTCTAAAAGGTGAATCCAAAGCAGTAAGAGAACTCTGCTGACTCTGACTCTGGTCTTTTGCTCTCTACTAATCTGGGGAATTGGTTTTGCAATCTGACCATCTGATGATCCCTGTAAATGGATTAATGGTTTATAGAGGTCTATTCTCTATTGGGTGAGAAAAAATGGAGAATCTAGTTTGTTAATCTATTTTGGACTCAAATCAATTAATAATTTGTCCTCAGAAAAGAACAGCTCTTTGGTATTTCATCATTTTGTATTATTAATTCATGGCTGAAAGTTTAGAACTGAAGTTATAAACTCTGTGTGACTGTATGTCTATCAATGTCTGTATAGAGAAAAGCCTTATTGTGCGTGTAGATAAGGCTTTTCTACCTTCAGGTGGCACTGATTAGATTATAAAGTCTTTTTAGGGAACTCTGGGCCTGGCGTGGTGGCTCACGCCTGTAATCCCAGCACTTTGGGAGGCCAAGGCGGGCGGATCACGAGGTCAGGAAATCGAGAACATCCTGGCTAACAAGGTGAAACCCCGTCTCTACTAAAAATACAAAAAATTAGCTGGGCGTGGTGGCGGGCGCCTGTAGTCCCAGCTCCTCGGGAGGCTGAGGCTGGAGAATGGCATGAACCCGGGAGGCAGAGCTTGCAGTGAGCTGAGATTGCAGCCACTGCACTTCAGCCTGGGTGACAGAGTGAGACTCCGCCTCAAAAAAAAAAAAAAAAAAAAAAGGAACTCTGTTCTGATTAGCTTATAGAGAAAAGTAAGTGATTATGTAAATTGAGTAATCTTAAAATTTTCAGAGAAGAAAATGGAACTTCTAATCTTTTCAGTGTGCTAGAAATTATTTTAAGCTACAAGTACTTTTTAAGAGTACTTAAAAAGTACTCTAAGAGCAACTAACAAACATTTTGAGACTTCAAGTTCATATCGTGTAGGTAAATCTTGACAAACAAGACTAATAATTTTGGTTTAATAAAACAGCAAGGTTTTCTCTGGTTTATCAATGTCAAATATATAAACAGACTTTTATTCCACTTGCGTATTTTTTTAATTATACATGTTTACTGATCAAATAAGCCAAAATTACTTGTTTAATGTTTAGTCAAGAAAAAATGTAAACTTACAATTAACCAAATTGATTCATTATTGACAATTTTATTTCAACAATAATTATGTTTTGTAATATGTCACCTTCAAAATTAATTTCCAAGATTGTCAGGTAATTAATAGATATTTATTAGATATCCAGATCTCTTATTTTTTTAATTATTTTTTAAGGCTAGTGGAGTCAAGCTGTGGGAGTGGAAAAGGAATAATGATATCTGTAACCGGTTGTGATCAATTAGTTGTGAACCCTAGATCTCTTCTAAGTAAGACAGAATACTAATCCATTGATAATGATAGGGTTCAGGACATGCTACCCTAAAATAATGGCACCTTGGCATTTGAAGAAACAGAGAAGGAAGGCCACTCTGACCTCCTCCCACCCTTGTACCTTGAAGTAGACCATAAAATAATTCTCTGGCCTTCCCGTGGAAGAAGTCATAAGACACTCATGTGCCCTATCACCCAGAGGCAAGGAATATCACAGAGGGATGGACTTAAGAGAAGAATCTGAACAAACAGGCCTAGCTAAGTTCTCTCTAGCTTATTACTATTGGATCATACCTTCTTTATCCAGTCATATTTCCACACACAATATACTTTTTCTTCAAATTTAGCATAAAATACACAAGTATTCCTGTTTCTTTGGGTTTTCATTTCTAAAGCGTCCTGTATCACATAAAACTTACATTAAATAAATATGTGCTTTTCTATTTTTAACTGTCTTTTATTATAGGAGACGAACCTATGTGATGGGTGAGAAAAGACATCTTTTCTCCACTATAATTACTAGGCAAAATTTTAAATTTATAAACTCTTGCTACTTATTTTCATATGCTACAGAGAGGCTGTATCTCTGAGTTGGTTAATGAACATGTTCATTTTTGCCACCTGGAGAAGTTGGAGTATAAGGAATGCATATAGCTATAGAAAGTTATGTGTATTTATGAGATCTGCTAGTCTACTAAAATGCTGACGTGTAACCATTTTCAATTCTCCATCTCCCAGTTTCTCTATGGAATCAGTCACTTTGGTTAAAAGATACACATAAATGAAACTGGAATAGGAGAAATGGTGGCAGAGAGGTAAAACTTTGCAATGCAAGGTTATGAGATGTGTTTTTGTTTATTAAAGGAAAAAGAATAGTTATGTCCTCAAGTAAAGTGACTGATTGTGCCAGAAAGAGAAAGAGAATGTCTTATCATTGTAAGAGCTAAGGTTCTTTCTTTACCATCATATTACCTTCTATATTTAAGTTTTACTGTGACTTTGCAATGAGTGGCCACATATCATTTCTCAGGTACCTATGATTCTATATCTAACTGTTCACATCTCCGGACAACTTTTGATATTTACCTTCCCAAAACTGAATCCTAAATGTAAAATAAAACTTTCAGGATATCATTGCACCTAGAATTATCTCTGAGATTCCCTAGAGGGCCTCTGGAAAATCACAAAGATACATTCTTTCATTTTGTGAAAAGAGAGGTGCTAAAAAATAATTAGGTTTATTTTATATGCTATTATTAACAAGCTACTTGAGAACAGTTGTCAACTATGAGAAAAGTTGTCAATGCAGAAAAGATGTTTAGCCATCCCAAGGTTAAATTTCATGGGTAAAGTGTTATTAACCAAAATTGTATGCTATATGGTAAGTTCCTGGGGAATTATCAATGCCTTCACTGCTCAAGATGTGTTCTATTTACCTGAGTCCTTGTACTGCTTTGCCCAGCAAATAATTACAGTATAGTTTATCAGTCATAATTTGTTATTTTTAAAAATATTAACTTGGTTGCATCTTTACTTCTGTAGTTTAAATCTTGCATCTTCTAGGCCAGTAAATGTCAACTGGAAATCAATGTCACTTATCTGAGTTTTATTAATATACCGATATTTAGGCCATACTCCAGACTTACTGAATCTTTTTACTAGATTTTAAATCTAGTGGCAAGTTCTTGGTGTGGTTTCCTAGCTCAAGAGACTTCAAAGTCCAATCAGAGATTCCTTGTAAAAACTTTCACCAAAGCATACAAGAAAGCATATATGACAAATTAACACTCTTGCTACACCTATGTAAATAAGGCTAAATATCATACCAATGTTATTTTGTGATCACAAATAATCTCTTGCTGAGATTATTTCCTAATCAAAATGGAGAAGGAATAGAAAAAAAAAACCTTTGTTTCAATGGAAAACTGTGCATTGTCTCTGGCACACCCTTCCCCTTCTAGATTATCAGATTTTAGATCAGTTCCTTATCTTTTAGCTACTTGGCAACTCTTTTTAGGTTGTACACAATTGATACACATGTAATTTCTGTCCTGTGTTCTACTTAATAGACCTCCCCCACCAAAACCCAATTTTGCCTCTATTTGCAATTCACTACGTTTTTTTATTTCACATGAATTAGTGCTGTTTTGACTTTTACTCTGAACTGGTTGTAACACCTGCCTTGTTCCCTTATATGAGTAAAATAAATTTTTACTTGCAATTTATACCTATATGAAAGTCATGATTCTTGCCTTTGTTTTGAAAGTTTTTTTTTTTGTTTTGTTTTTTTAAAAGATATATGGATGTGAGGTTGAGACCCTCATAAGAGGTTACGTTAGGTGGAAGCCCAGACCTTACTGATGTTGTTCACTTCTGGGATAATTCTAAGTACTAAGCTACATCTCCAATTATTTCTTTCTTTATTTTCCTGGATCCAGGGCCAGACCTGTTTCCTTCCGTGCTTCTACCTTCTATTACTTCAGAGGCGGGTTTTCCACCCCAATAGACCCACTATGAAGAATGCAGTTTCACAGCTTGTCCTCAGCCCTCCTATTCCTGAAAGAAACCTTCCTTTATTTTGAGAATTTCAAAGAGTTTTTATAGCTAACAACAATGAGAAAAACACAGGGGGTAAAATGACATACTAGACAAAAGTCACAAACTTTCAAATCAGATCAAACGGGGGAAAAAAGACCATTTCTGGTTTTCATTAGCATGTAAATGGTAGTAGATTCTAGTCTTCCACCATCCAAATTTTCCACAGCTGTCTTCTACCTCCTCTCTCCATGATGTAGCTTCCTCCACCCCCCATCCTTCTACCCCATCACTTATTACATAACACAAGGAAAGACAAAAGCCACATGGGTGAGAAGGGTGGGTCTTTTTAGTACACAAAGAACTGAAGTGAGGTTCATCTACATTTCAGAGGAAACCCCAGATGATATTCGTCTCTTTACAAAGAAACGTTATCATTAAAGAGTTCCTTTGGAATAGATGCTGAGCTTAAGATGTTTAGGATGAGGCCCTAAGTTTAAGGCTAAAAGAATCAGGGGTATTTATATTTTCTTTGTGTGTCAGTATGTTTGGGGACATGGTAGTGGGAACAGGGAGAAAATGAAGTCATAGGGAGCATTCAGTCTTTTCTTCTTTTCCACTCCCCAATTTCAGAACACCAGCCTTCCATAAGAAGTGAGGTAAAGAAGAGAGAGCTATGCAAAAAAGATATAAGCTGAGGGGACAGCTGCAGAAATTATCAATAGCAGGAGAAAGAGAACTTCTTTTCATCTCAAAAACAAGAGTAGAGTATTCTTATATAAAAAGATGAGCCTGCATAATACCTTATTTGGTTAACAACTGAAAACAGATGATTAATGGGGGAACTTGTGTACTTATAGAGATACTATAGGTATATAGTACGTCCCTATACTATTATCCCTCCCTATTATCTCTACTATAAAGATACTACAGAAACTTATAGCATCTCTAGAGTATACTATATGGAGTATATATATTATCTCTCTATATAGAGATACTATATAGATAGTAGAGTATAAATAATATATAGTCTAGAGATACTCTATAGTCTATTCCATATATCTATATAGTAAAGAGATACTATAGTATCTCTATACTATACTCTAGAGGTACTATAGGGACACTATAGTATCTCTGTAGAGACCTACAGTATCTCTTTATTATTTTATAAGTAACATAAGAGTTTCTACATATCCTTAATTCATTCTAGGTAAGAGTACCTGAAGAATAGAACTGTATTTCTTAATAAGTATTATATTTGAACTTTTCCAAGTTGGATATGAGTTTCCTGTTTCTCATATTTACTATAGGAATTATTTAATGAACTATTTACATAGAATATATATATATATATAATGTATACCCTGTATATTGCCAAATATATCAGTGCTGTTCAGTAGAAATATGTGAGCCATACATAAGTTTCTAGTAGCCACATTAAATAAAAGGAAATATGTAAAATTAATTTTTATAATATTTTACTTCGTCCAGTGTTTCTAGGTTATCACTTCATGTAATAAAAATTGAGATACTTTTTTTTTTCATACTAAGTCTTTGAAATTCAGTGTGCATTTTACACTTACGGCACATCTAAATTCGAATTAAACACATATCAAGAGCTAAAATCACATGTGGCCAGTGGCTACCATATTGGATAGTGTAGATCTAGATTATTATTTTTTAAGATCTACTAGCATCATAGTACCAGGAAAACCATTGGACTTGGAATCTAGAAGGTTAGGTGCTGTCAGGAGCAATGTGATTGATCTGGGGCTTGTTTTCTTAACTTCTCTAGGTCTCGGTATCCTATCAGAGGGAGAGTTTAGAATAAATAACATGCAGTTTGGAAGCAATTCAAACATTATGAAATAATCATTTTGTTTCAATACACTTCAGGATGCTAATCCTTAATAAACTCAGGATAAACTCCAAATTAACTTGACAGGAAAACATTCATTAGTTTTATTTTACAAACACACTAAAATATAAGAAATTGTTAATCATCCTACTATAGCTTTCTTTCTTCAGGTTTCTAATTACAGGGAATTAACAGATCAACAGTTCTTCTAAAAAAAGAACAAGTCACCAAATTAAGGTGATTTAAAGAAAAGTTTAAAGCATAATCTGGAGAATCATTTACAACGTTACTAAATTTGCTGCTAAATTCACCAATATTTACTGAGCACATTAAAAGATAAATAGGACTTGTCTTCCCTGGTAAATTCTTATAATCCAATAGGCAGGATAAAATATTACAGTTTGAGTGTAAGAACTATGCCTTATTTATCCCCAGAGCCTAGCCATACAGCGCTGACATACAATAGGGTGTGTTCAACATGCTTCTGACTGAGTGCAGTACAAAAAAGGTAAAAGAGAAAACCATACTATAAGAGCTGCAAGAAAGGAACAAATTATTGTGAAAGTTAAAAGGAAGAAAGAGGAGTTCATCCAGTAGTAGATGGGAGGTGCAAGTGAAGGAGGGGAATAAGAAAAGGGATGAAGAAATGAGACAGCATATGAAATGAAGACTAGGTTAGAGTTTCATAGGCAGGGATAAGAATGAGAACAGTATTAACGAGGTTGTAGAGGGAGGAAGGTGTAGTAGGTTTGGAATGTAAGGGCAGAAAGTAAGAGTTGGAACACAGACAAAACTTGTTAGTGCTTTGGTAGTAAGTTTGTGCCTATATTGTGAAGAACTTTGAATTATCAGTTGAGGAATTTGTCTATTAAACACAGACTCTTGAAGATGTTTGAATAAAGGGTATTTTGGGACTTACACAAATGTCATAGTATTGAGGCAGTATACGTAACAGTTTAGACTAGAGGTCACCTAAAATTTTCTGTAAAGGGCCAAGTAGTAATTATTTTTAGGCTCTGGGGCCATATAGTCTCTATTACAACTACTTTTCTACCACTGTAGCCAAAAAGCAGTCATAGACTATATATAAATGAATAAACATGACTGTTCAAATAAAACTTGTTCACCTCCTTGTATGTGTCCCTGTTACTTAATGTGACATAATGTCTCTAAACCTCAGTTGCCTTGAACAATTAAATGGAGATAACTGTTCCTGCTTCACAGAGTTACTAAATGAGAATGAAAAGCACTTAGCATAGTGCCTGGCTCATGATTTAGTGTTTGTTACTTTCTGTGGTGACAATACTTATTACCCAAGTCTCAAAATATAATTAGAGGGCATTAAATATGTTTTGTAAGGCTGGGTGCAGTGGCTTACACCTGTAATTGCAGCACTTTGGGAGGCCAAGGCAGGTGGATCACCTGAGGTCAGGAGTTCGAGGCCAGCCTGGCCAACATGGTAAAACCCTGTCTCTACTTTAAAAAAAAAAAAAAAAAAAAAATTAGCTGGACATGGTGGTGCATGCCTGTAGTCCAGGAAGCTGAGGCAGGAGAATCGCTTGAACCTGGGAGGTGGAGGTTGCAGTGAGCCAAGATCATGCCATTGCACTCCAGCCTGGGTGACAGAGTGAGACTCTGTCTCCAGCCCCGAACCCCTCCAAAAAAAAGGTTTTCCAGAAAGCAACTGAATCTGAAAATCTTACTCCCCTTGATGTATTGATTTTCTACAATCTTTAGTGTCAAGGGAAACCATGCTCATGACTTCTCTTTTTATTTGACATTTAAAAGGGAAATGAAAAAACTAAGGAGATAACAGGTAGGCTTTTATCTTCAGAATAGTCCCTGAATTGATATACAAATAATCAACTGTATCTCAAATACAATTGATAACAAATTGTATTTGATAATTGATATACAAATCAAATAACTGTCAAAAGCTAATATACTTTTAGGCTGCATTAATATAAAATACAATTTGATAAGTGATACATAAATCATCTTTTGTGTAGGTATGTGGCAGTTTTACCCTAACTTCCTATTTCTAGATACTACTGAAAGGCAAGCATTAATGCCCATAAACGTATAACCTTTGTCATATTTTACTATTAACACAGAATCAGCTGTATTAACAAAAACTCATTTCCCCCTATACAGCATATGAGTAAGGCACTGGGCTAGATAGCAAAGAAATAAAGACGAACTAGCCCATGGGCTTTAACATCCTTAAGTCTATAGTTTTTGGACATCACCCAATCCAACTTCTCATTTCAAAGATGAAGAAATATGCTTCTAAAAGGCTAAGTGTAGTGAAGCATGACTTGTTCAAGTTCTCCTGTGATGTAGACCACTGTGGAATGAGAGTCTTAGTTACCAGCCTCTTAATCCAGTAGTCTTTACATATTAGTGCATCTGAACCTTTTTTTTTTAAATGCCTTAACTTATCAGAACATCGGTTCACTCAACCTTCAATAGCACTAGCTGACAACAAATGATTTTAGTTGTGGGGATAGGGAGGATCCATTTGCATGTCCTTCACTACTATTTACCTACCCAAGAGGGGCAAGTCAGAAGGAAGAGGATGCTGTGGAATTTGGAAAAGATCCCCCACCTCCACCTTTTTTTTTTTTTTTTTGGAGACAGAGTTTTTGCTCTTATTGCCCAGGCTGGAGCTTGTTGCCCAGGCTGGAGTGCAATGGCACGATCTCAGCTCACTGCAACCTCTGCCTCCCGGGTTCAAGCGATTCTCCTGCCTCAGCCTCCTGAGTAGCTGGGATTACAGGCATGTGCCACCATGCCCGGCTAATTTTGTATTTTTAGTAGAGACGAGGGTTCTCCATGTTGGTCAGGCTGATCTCAAACTCCTGACCTCAGGTGATCCGCCCACCTCAGCCTCCCAAAGTGCTGGGATTACAGGCGTGAGCCACCGCGCCTGGCCTCCCCACCTCCACTTCTGTAATGCTTCAATGGTGTTTATTTAGATCTTCCTTCCACTGTAGCTGAAGAAACAGGATTTATCTATTTAAGGACATAGAATGCTACATGTTAAATAAATAAGGCAGATCATAAGTACTATACCGAAATCAAGAGTGGAATAATCATTAAGGACTTTCCCAGGAGAGGAGAATGGTTTCAAATTCTTGAGTAAAGAAATATGTTTCTTTCTATTTATTTATTTATTATTTTTTGAGACTGAGTCTCACCCTGTCACCCAGGCTGGAGTGTAGTGGTATGATCTCAGCTCACTGCAACCTCCACCTTGTGAGTTCAAGCGATTCTCCTGTCTCAGCCTCTTGAGTAGCCAGGACTACAGGTGCGCACCACCACATCCAGCTAATTTGTGTATTTTTAGTAGAACCAGGGTTTTGCTGTTGGCCAGGCTGGTCTCCAACTCCTGACCTCAAGTGATCCACCCACCTCAACCTCCCAAAGCACTGGGATTACAGGCATGAGCCACTGTGCCCAGTCAGAGAAATATATTTTAGAAAGTCATTTATTCCACCAGATACTGAGTGTCCATTATATGTCAGGTTTTGTGCTAGGTGCTAGGTGCTAGGCACATAGCAGTGACCAAGATAGGACATAGTTCTGCTATCTTAAAGGTTAAAATTCCTGATTCACTGTTAGCCTACAACTTTATGTCACTAACCACAAGGCTTTTTAAAGTTACACTTTCTATAGACTTTGATAGTGTTCCTCAGTTTTCTTTCCCGGGGAGGTAGAAGTCAGATAGAAAGGCACTTGATTTTAATAGGAACAGTGGTGAGCTCACACTGGCAATTCACATGGCAACTGTAGTCATGCAGTCCTTGTGACCACTTAGAGAAAGACTAACCAGGGATTTAAATATTTAATTAGATTTCCTGTTATTAAACTCATGTGACAGACTTCAAATGAATAATTTTCAAAGTGTCAGACATGAAATATAATAGGCTGAAAAGATAAAAAAATTAATGGAACTGTTTTTCATAACTATGTTACAGTTCACAAAGAGAGTAATGTTATTTTAAGTCAAAATAGTATTTTAAAAGACCACTTTTGAAAACAATTATGTAATTAAGAAATTTGGAACTTGCCAAGAAAGTATAAGTAAGGAATTGCACTTAAGAACCTCTTTTTAAAAAGTTTTTAAAGGTCTATTAAGAGTTAAGGTGGAGCCAAGATGGTGGAATAGGAACAGCTCCAGTCTACAGCTCCCAGCGTAAGCGACGCAGAAGACGGGTGATTTCTGCATTTCCAACTGAGGTACCGGGTTCATCTCACTGGGGAGCATCAGACAGTGTGTGCAGGACAGTGGGTGGAGCACACCGAGTGTGAGCCCAAGCAGGGCGAGGCATCGCCTCACCCAGGAAGCGCAAGGGGTCAGGGAATTCCCTTTCCTAGTCAAAGAAAGGGGTGACAGATGGCACCTGGAAAATCGGGTCACTCCCACCCTAATACTGTGCTTTTCCAACGGTCTTAGCAAACGGCACACCAGGAGATTATATCCCGCACCTGGCTCGGAGGGTCCTATGCCCACAAAGCCTCGCTCATTGTTAGCACAGGAGTCTGAGATCAAACTGCAAGGCATCAGCGAGGCTGTGGGAGGGGCGTCCGCCATTGCCAAGGCTTGACTAGGTAAACAAAGCAGCCAGGAAGCTCGAACTGGGTGGAGCCCAGCGCAGCTCAAGAAGGCCTGCCTGCCTCTGTAGACTCCACCTCTGGGGGTAGGGCATAGCCAAACAAAAGGCAACAGAAACCTCTGCAGACTTAAATGTCCCTGTCTGACAGCTTTGAAGAGTAGTGGTTCTCCTAGCAGGCAGCTGGAGATCTGAGAACGGACAGACTGCCTCCTCAAGTGGGTCCCTGACCCCTGAGTAGCCTAACTGGGAGGCACCCCCCAGTAGGGTCAGACTGACACCTCACACGGCCAGGTACTCCTCTGAGACAAAGCTTCCAGAGGAACAATCAGGCAGCAACATTTGCTGTTCACCAATATCCGCGGTTCTGCAGCCTCCGCTGCTGATACCCAGGCAAATAGGGTCTGGAGTGGACCTCCAGCAAACTCCAACAGACCTGCAGCTGAGGGTCCTGACTGTTAGAAGGAAAACTAACAAACAGAAAGGACATCCACACCAAAACCCCATCTGTATGTCACCATCATCAAAGACCAAAGGTAGATAAAACCACAAAGATGGGGAAAAAACAGAGCAGAAATACTGGAAACTCTAAAAATCAGAGCACTTCTCCTCCTCCAAAGGAATGCAGCTCTGCACCAGCAATGGAACAAAGCTGGATGGAGAATGACTTTGACGAGTTGACAGAAGGCTTCAGACGATCAAACTACTCCGAGCTAAAGGAGGAAGTTTGAAACCATGGCAAAGAAGTTAAAAACCTTGAAAAAAAATTAGACAAATGGCTAACTAGAATAACCAATGCAGAGAAGTCCTTAAAGGACCTGATGGAGCTGAAAACCACGGAACAAGAACTACGTGACAAATACACAAGCCTCAGTAGCCGATTTGATCAACTGGAAGAAAGGGTATCAGTGAGGCAAGATCAAATGAATGAAATGAAGCAAGAAGAGAAGTTTAGAGAAAAAAGAATAAAAAGAAACGAACAAAGCCTCCAACAAATACGGGACTATATGAAAAGACCAAATCTACGTCTGATTGGTGTACCTGAAAGTGACGGGGAGAATGGAACCAAGTTGGAAAACACTCTGCAGGATATTATCCAGGAGAACTTCCCCAATCTAGCAAAGCAGGCCAATATTCAAATGCAGGAAATACAGAGAACGCCACAAAGATACTCCTCAAGAAGAGCAACTCCAAGACACATAATTGTCAGATTCACCAAAGTTGAAATGAAGGAAAAGATGTTAACGGCAGCAAGAGAGAAAGGTCGGGTTACCCACAAAGGGAAGCCCATCAGACTAACAGCTGATCTCTTGGCAAAAGCTCTACAAGCCAGAAGAGTGGGGGCCAATATTCAACATTCTTAAAGAAAAGAATTTTCAACCCAGAATTTCATATCCAGCCAAACTAAGCTTCATAAGTGAAGGAGAAATAAAATCCTTTACAGACAAGCAAATGCAAAGAGATTTTGCAACCACCAGGCCTGCCCTAAAAGAGCTCTTGAAGGAAGCACTACACATGGAAAGGAACAACAAGTACCAGCCACTGCAAACACATGATAAATTGTAAAGACCATCGAGGCTAAGAAGAAACTGCATCAACTAATGAGCAAAATAACCAGCTGACATCATAATGAGAGGGTCAAATTCACACATAACAATATTAACCTTAAAGGTAAATGGGCTAAATGCTCCAATTAAAAGATACAGACTGGCAAACTGGATACAGAGTCAGGACCCATCAGTGTCCTGTATTCAGGAAACCCATCTCATGAGCAGAGACACACATAGGCTCAAAATAAAGGGATGGAGGAAGATCTACCAAGCAAATGGAAAACAAAAAAAGGCAAGGGTTGCAATCCTAGTCTCTGATAAAACAGACTTTAAACCAGCAAAGATCAAAAGAGACAAAGAAGGCCATTACATAATGGTAAAGGGATCAATTCACTGAGAAGAGCTAACTATCCTAAATATATATGCACCCAATACAGGAGCACCCAGATTCATAAAGCAAGTCCTGAGTGACCTACAAAGAGACTTAAGACTCCCACGCAATAACAATGGGAGACTTTAACACCCCACTGTCAACATTAGACAGATCAATGAGACAGGAAGTTAACAAGGATACCCAGGAATTGAACTCAGCTCTGCACCAAGCAAACCTAATAGACATCTATAGAACTCTCCACCCCAAATCAACAGAATATACATTTTTTTCAACACCACACCACACCTGTTCCAAAATTGACCACACAGTTGGAAGTAAAGCACACCTCAGCAAATGTAAAAGAACAGAAATTATAACAAATTATAACAAACTGTCTCTAAGACCACAGTGCAATCAAACTAGAACTCAGGATTAAGAAACTCACCAAAACCGCTCAACTACATGGAAACTGAACAACCTGCTCCTGAATGACTACTGGGTACATAATGAAATGAAGGCAGAAATAAAGATGTTCTTTGAAACCAACGAGAACAAAGACACAACATACCAGAATCTCTGGGACACATTCAAAGCAGTGTGTAGAGGGAAATTTATAGCACTAAATGCCCACAAGAGAAAGCAGGAAAGATCTAAAATTGACACCCTAACATCACAATTAAAAGAACTACAGAAGCAAGAGGAAACACATTCAAAAAGCTAGCAGAAGGCAAGAAATAACTAAGATCAGGGCAGAACTGATCTTAGTTACCACCAGAGAATATACTATAAGCACCTCTATGCAAATAAATTAGAAAATCTAGAAGAAATGGATAAATTCCTGGACATATACACCCTCCCAAGGCTAAACCAGGAAGAAGCTGAATCTCTAAATAGACCAATAACAGGCTCTGAAATTGAGGCAATAATTAATAGATTACCAACCAAAAAAAGTCCAGGACCAGATGGATTCACAGCCGAATTCTACCAGAGGTACAAGGAGGAGCTGGTACCATTCCTTCTGAAACTATTCCAATCAATAGAAAAAGAAGGAATCCTCCCTAACTCATTTTATGAGGCCAGCATCATCCTGATACCAAAGCCTGGCAGAGACACAACAAAAAAAAGAGATTTTTAGACCAATATCCCTGATGAACATCGATGCAAAAATCCTCAATAAAATACTGGCAAACCGAATCCAGCAGCACATCAAAAAGCTTATCCACCATCATCAAGTGGGCTTCATCCCTGGGATGCAAGGCTGGTTCAACATACACAAAATAAACGTAATCCAGCATATAAACAGAACCAAAGACAAAAACCACATGATTATCTGAATAGATGCAGAAAAGGCCTTTGACAAAATTCAACAACACTTCATGCTAAAAACTCTCAATAAATTAGGTATTGATGTGACTTATCTCAAAATAATAAGAGCTATCTATGACAAACCCACAGCCAATATCATACTGAATGGGCAAGAACTGGAAACATTCCCTTTGAAAACTGGCACAAGACAGGGATGCCCTCTCTCACCACTCCTATTCAACATAGTGTTGGAAGTTCTGGCCAGGGCAATCAGGCAGGAGAAGGAAATAAAGGGTATTCAATTAGGAAAAGAGGAAGTCAAATTGTCCCTGTTTGCAGATGACATGGTTGTATATCTAGAAAACCCCATCGTCTCAGCCCAAAATCGCCTTAAGCTCATAGGCAACTTCAGCAAAGTCTCAGGATATAAAATCCATGTGCAAAAACCACAAGCATTCTTATACACCACTAACAGACAGCCAAATCATGAGTGAACTCCCATTCACAATTGCTTCAAAGAGAATAAAATACCTAGGAATCCAACTTACACGGGACTTCGTGAAGGACCTCTTCAAGGAGAACTACAAACCACTGCTCAATGAAATAAAAGCGGATACAAACAAATGGAAGAACATTCCATGCTCATGGGTAGGAAGAATCAATATCGTGAAAATGGCCATACTGCCCAAGGTAACTTATAGATTCAATGCCATTCCCATCAAGCTACCAATGACTTTCTTCAAAGAATTGGAAAAAACTACTTTAAACTTCATATGGAACCAAAAAAGAGCCCGCATTGCCAAGTCAATCCTAAGCCAAAAGAACAAAGCTGGAGGCATCAAGCTACCTGACTTCAAACTATACTACAAGGCTACAGTAACCAAAATAGCATGGTACTGGTACCAAAACAGAGATATACACCAATGGAACAGAACAGAGCCCTCAGAAATAATGCCGCATATCTACAAGTATCTGATCTTTGACAAACCTGACAAAAACAAGCAATGGGGAAAGGATTCCCTATTTAAGAAATGGTGCTGGGAAAACTGGCTAGCCATATGTAGAAAGCTGAAACTGGATCCCTTCCTTACACCTTATACAAAAATTAATTCAAGATAGATTAAAGACTTAAATGTTAGACCTAAAACCATAAAAACCCTAGAAGAAAACCTAGGCAATACCATTCAGGACATAGGCATGGGCAAGGACTTCATGTCTAAAACACCAAAAGCAATGGCAACAAAAGCCAGAATTGACAAATGGGATCTAATCAAACTAAAGAGTTTCTGCACAGCAAAATAAACTACCATCAGAGTGAACAGGCAACCTACAGAATGGGAGAAAATTTTTGCAATCTGGTCATCTGACAAAGGGCTAATATCCAGAATCTACAATGAACTCAAACAAATTTACAAGAAAAAAACAAAGAACCTCATCAACAAGTGGGCGAAGGATATGAACAGACACTTCTCAAAAGAAGACATTTATGCAGCCAAAAGACACATGAAAAAATGCCCATCATCACTGGCCATCAGAGAAATGCAAATTAAAACCACAATGAGATACTATCTCACACCAGTTAGAACGGCGATCATTAAAAAGTCAGGAAACAACAGGTGCTGGAGAGGATGTGGAGAAAAAGGAACACTTTTACACTGTCGGTGGGACTGCAAACTAGTTCAACCATTGTGGAAGTCAGTGTGGCAATTCCTCAGGCATCTAGTACTAGAAATACCATTTGACCCAGCAATCCCATTACTGGGTATATACCCAAAGGATTATAAATCATGCTGCTGTAAAGACACATGCACACATATGTTTACTGCGGCACTATTCACAATAGCAAAGACTTGGAATCAAGCCAAATGTCCAACAATGATAGACTGGATTAAGCAAATGTGGCACATATACACCATGGAATACTATGCAGCCATAAAAAAGGATGAGTTCATGTCCTTTGTAGGGACATGGATGAAGCTGGAAACCATCATTCTCAGCAAACTATCGCAAGGACAAAAAAAGCAAACACCGCATGTTCTCACTCATAGGTGGGGAATTGAACAATGAGAACACACGGACACAGGAAGGGGAACATCACACTCCGGGACCTGTTGTGGGGTGGGGGGAGGGACAGCATTAGGAGATATACCTAATGTTAAATGAAGAGTTAATCGGTGCAGCACACCAACATGGCACATGTATACATGTATACATGTGTAGCAAACCTGCATGTTGTGCACATGTACCCTAAAACTTAAATAAAAAAAAAGTCTATTAATAACAGAATAGGGTATACTTATATACTATCATATAGTATTTGTCAGACCCTAGTCTCTAAACACTTTTATTAACTCATTTAATCACCACAGCAATTCTCATTGCACGTATGAGGAAATAGAAGTATAAAGTCATACAGGTAGTGACATACAGATTCAAAGGCAGATAGGTTGACTTCAGACTTTTAATCATAAGCTATACAATACTAGGTGAAAAAGAAAAGCAAATATGTTAGATTATAACCTTTATAGTGCTTTCACATTTGTATTTCAGGTAATGTTAGAGAACACTAATTTCTTATTTTTATATACTGCCTTACAGTAACAATGCACTTAAAGAGACAAATTCAATTTGAGAAACTAGAATAACAGGATACATTAGGTACAAATGTTTAGTAGTGCATTTGAATCTAAGGAAGACAAACAGCAGAAATACTGGCTGGAGGGAGGTGAAGGTCAGAACTAATAGTTATCAAGTAGTATCTATTACGTATCAGCTATCACCCACTTCATGAGGTATCAAGCAGAACATCTATTATGTATCAGCTATCACCCACTTCATGAGGTAGGTACCCTTATTTCAACTGAGAAACATTAAGTCCATTATGAAATTAATCCAAAATCATATAGCTTCAAAGTGGCATAACCAAGATTAGAATCCATATTAGTCTGACTGCAAAACTTCCTTTCACTATACTATGTTGGCTTAACAGCAGAAAATAAGGAAAAAGGAAGACATTTTGCATTTTTGTTGATAGCAAGATCAACATAACCCAATGATGTTAGGTGGCTGCCCCAAAAGCAAATATACTCTTAGGCCACATTAATATTATTATACAGTTGAGATTAGGCTTGGTATTAGGCCCACTATATCTAGAAAAGTAGCAAATGTGGGCATTTAGACTGAAGGGAAATTTTACAGGCAATAAGACAATATTTTCAAATAATTGAGTTATTAAATAGATTAATAGACTAGATTTTGGCATTACGTTTGGCTGAAAGAACTTAACGGTAAACAGAGGTGTCAAAACTAGAATAGGCTGCCATATATGTTCAATTGAAGTTCAACAAAATGTTAGTAATTTTACAGAGGAATTCATACACAAGGTAGGCGTTAAGTAGTTTCATTCCCTGTTGGTACTTCAAATTAGAGCAGTCTGTCTTTTACATGTTGTATGAGCATTCCAATTTAGGTTTTTTTTTTTTTTTTTTTTGGAGGTGGGTGTTCTGATGTAGTTAAAGTCTGAAACCACTGGATTAGATACAATGAAACCACTGGATTCCAACTCAAATTCTGTATACTTAATTGGTTTTAATTAAGGTTAAGAACATAAAATCATTATCTTGACTTTGTCAAAAACAGACCAAACATACCATTTTTTTCTGCAAAGGAAACTGCATCTTCTTTAGTACTGAAGGTTAGAACCATGTTGGATAAGGGATCAGCCCTGTAAGAAACAAATTTTTTTCCAAGATTTAACATTAAGCTTTAGCTGAGAAACAAAATCAATATTTAAAATAAACAGCTACTATAAAATCAAATAAGTACATTATTGATGGAATATTTTATTTGTAATAATTTCTTTAAAACTGTTAGTTGGAATACCTTTTTCTGTGTTAAATTTGGGAGATTTTCTAATATGTATTGTCAAATAATAAAATTCATAATTGCAAAGGCATTGTTAGTCTTTAATAATTTTATTCCACTCTAAAAAAACAATTTGAGATGAATTTTAAAACCCAAGAGGATTCTTAAATGGAAATTAAAATTTACTATCAAGATTACTGATGTGTAAAATTGCTAGTCCTATCATTACTCAAGAAAATGCAACAATACACATTCTTTTTTTAAATTAACTTCTTCTGAGTCTCCTTTTTGAAGATCGCTCACTCCTGACAAACCTTCCATCATTAACAATATTCTTTTAAAGCATAAAAAAATAAAGCTCTAAGATCTGACATCCAATTGAATTCTTCAATGTAGGACAGTGTTAATGTTTACAAATCTACATAGGCTCTTTAGGAAATCCAACTTCAAGAAATGTCACTTTTATTCTTTTTTTTTTTTTTTTTTGAGATGGACTCTCACTCTGTCGCCCAGGCTGGAGTACAGTGGCGTGATCTGGGCTCACTGCAACCTCTGCCTCCCAGGTTCAAGCAATTCTCGTGCCTCAGCCTCCCAAGTAGCTGGGATTAGAGGTATGCACCACCATACCTGGCTAATTTGTGTATTTTTAGTAGAGATGGGGTTTCACTATGTTGGCCAGGCTGGTCTCGAACTCCTGACCTCAAGTGATCTACCTGCCTCAGCCTCCCAAAGTGCTGGTATTACAGGTTTGAGCCACTGTGCCCACCCCACTTTTATTCTTATAACAAGGTGGAACACTGTTTGCTACAAATGTTTATTGTGAATCTCTCAGAGGTGAATATAGCATTCTATGAAACATTGCTTAGAAATGTGGAAGTAAAAAATATAGAAAGGAGGATTCAAAAGGTAATTTGGATGGGGAAAGATATGAGATATAGAAAGAAGAGAATAAATGGGGAGTACCTCTCACTGACGGGAAGACCCACTAATTACTGCTGCCAATGTTCTGGTCACAGACCATGGTTGCTACTCTGAGATTCCTATAATTATATATATTCTTATCATAACCCACCCCTACCCTTTGTAAGCAAAAGAGCTTCATATGGCTGGCTATATTAGTACTAATAATATCATAATTTTATATTGGTTCCTCCTTTTCAAAGCGCACACGATTTTCCAGTTGATAGTTAAAGTATATATACTGAGAACAGAAGTATCAACATAAATATGATGCAGTAATCTGATAAGTGTTGACAGGCACATTGGCTTAGTTGAGAATAAGAAACAAGACAGAAGCCAGGAGATCAGAACTCTGTTTCCTGCAAAGATGGTATAGCCTTTATTATTATCCTCACTTTATTTATGAATACATACATATAGAAATCAAATAGTAACAACTTATATCCAATATATCCAATAGTAACAACATTCATCCACTGGAAGAAGCCACTATTCTTCCAGCCATTCAGTTTCTACCCTTCTCATTCTCCTTCATTTCCTGTATTTTGTAGTTCTTTTTTAGGTATGCTGTCACCACCAGTTTAAGCTCTTTTTCATTATTCCCATAACCCCATCCTAACTAATCTTTCTGCCTCCTTGACTCCAATCCACCCTTCACCAAGATGTCTTCCTAAAGTTCAAATCCCAAACTCACTCTCTGCCCAGTTCAAAAATTTCAAACAGTTTTCACTGTCTATCACATTAACTTCAGTCTTCTACCTTGGCATTTAAGCACTTCTATAATATGGACAGAACTACTTTCTAGCCTTCTTTTTAATTACTCCCCTGAGAAGTAACCAACTAGTCAAATCAGGTTGCTAATTGTTTTTATAAATGCAAGGTGTACTTTCCCATCAGTTCAATTTGTTCCTTCCTCTTGAAATGCTCTCCTACTCTCTGCACATGGAAGTCCATCCAAATAATCCCTCATGCTTCACTTTGAATACCAACCTATTCCATGAAGTCTTTCATATCCTACCCTCCTCCAACTGTATACAATCTCTCTTTCAACCTGGTCCACTAAAGATAATTTGTTCTTTTATTTTTAGACTTTATTTGCTCATTTCTCAATTACTGAAGTTCCAATTTGGGTAATGGCAGAATATTATATCAGATTTATCTGCCTAACTATAAACTCTGGACAAAACAGAAAAATAATTTTCAGAGACCAGAGAGTGACTAATAGAAAAAAAAAATAAACTTCTAGAGAATTCAATCTTTAAAAAAAAGGAACCAATCTAAAGTTGGATTTAGATCCAACTTTATACGGTGTTTCCCATAAGGTATTCTCTAGTCTAGACAAGCTAGGAGCATCGAGAACTCAAGCAGAAAGCCGTAATCTCAGTGCAAGGAGCCTGGAGACGGAGTCCAGGATTGCCAGAGCAGCTGGAAGAGAGTATCCACAGAGCAGGGAGCTTTTGAACTGTACATGATTCAGCAAGGTTTCAAAATGAAGCTGGGAAGGCTGAAAGAATTGAGCAAAGATTTCAGCAGCTGCCTGTTACAGGGGAGACTGAGTCTGAAGGGAGAATGTGGGTAAACACCTTGTGCTTTCCATCAAAACTTCAGAAAGGCCGTGCCTTTTTATTTTTTAACACTAGGTTCCAAGACTAAGGCTAAAACTGAAACAGATCCACTCCAATGATGCATAATCCTCCACAAGTTCAAGGTGGATCTATCAGTAATTTAACTGTCTGTTGGAACAAAACTTATCAAGTTGCTACTGTCATTAACTTGAGAAACATAAGGGATCAGATAATTAATAGATTATTGTTATCTCTATATTAATTGTTTGAATATTAACTAGTGACTAATATTTCAGGGACTAATTAGCATATTAGAAAGCCACATATCCACTAAAAGATATATACGAGATTCTTCATTTTAGTACTGTATTATACATAAAAACCCAAACAGAAATTTACACAAATAACCATCAATAAATAGCATGGAATGGATGAATCTCACAAAGTTAAGCAAAAAAGCCAGTCACAAAAGAGCACATAAAGGATGATTCTCTTTAAGTAAAAAAAAAAAAAAAAAAATAGGCAAAACTAATCTATGTTGTTAGAAGTCAGAACGGTGGTTACCTCTGGAAGGCTGAAATCTGAAAAAAGCATGGGATGAAATGGGAACTTCTGAGATACTGGAAATGCTGTTTCTCCATCTGGGTACTACTCACATGCATGTGTGTTCCGGTTGTAAAAATTCATGAAGCTGTATGCTTCTGATCTGTATACTTTTCTTAATGTATATTTCAATAAAGTTTAAAAAGCAATATTAAGCCTGGCAAAATAATACGTTGTACACATTTCCAAGGTTGATTTTAGATATTTTTCCTCCAATATCATTTTCATATACTTTACTAGACACTAATGAACATCAGTAAACCAATAAAATATCAAAAATTGTTTCATAATTATAATGTCCAACATTGGTTGGCAGATTGCTTTTTGTTCTACACCATAAAACAGACTTTGTGAAGATACTTACCATTTGTGAATTTCAATGATCATTTTCTGCTTATGAGCAAAGCCTATTTAATATTATTCAAAACAGATCTAAGTATCAATACAATGTAAAAATTAGCATTATAACTGACTCTTGATTTACCTAAGAGAACTATTCATGCATAAAAGGTATTGGTGAAACATTTTGGCACTGAGAATTTTAATTAGATGCCCTCTGAATGGCACAGAACGGCAAGTGAATGAGTTTCTTCTCGGGAAGCTTAGCTTATTTGTTTATTTTTTAGTTTAAGTATCAGTAGCAGTTATAAGTGGCTCTAAATGCTGTTAGTTTGATTAGCACCATTCAGAAATATCAGGTGGTCATCTTTCTGCAAATAGGAGATATACATAATGAAGACCGTAGAGAAAAAATATGTAATATTAAAACCAATATTTTAATAAACACTTTTGTTATTTTAAAATATTTCTGAGGTAAGAAATGCCAAATAGCTGAGCAAAAAAAAATTATATTCTGCTATAGAAGTTATGTGTGCACACTCCCTCCACCCTGCATCAGGCCAATTCCACAGATTGGGTGGATGCAAAAATGTTAAATACATATTAACAAATACATATTACTTAAAAATAGTAAATACATATCCAATTATAAAACATATAATTGGATCAGAAAATAGGTAACTGAAATTCACTACAGAAAATGCCCTTCAACAGATGTTACAAAAACATTAATACTTAATACCCATTCCTGATTTTTTTTAATTATTGGTAGATCAAGATTAGAAAAGAACTTTGTCCATTTTATTATATCAGAAACATTTCTGCTAAAGAAGAAAAAGGGAATAAGGATGTTGAATATCATGAATGATACTCAACTTTGCAAATTCTAGCCAATGCAACAAGGCAAGAAAGAGAAATTGGCTATAAGGAGAAAACAAACTGCCACTATTGTTAGATTATATAACTAGAAAATCAAAGTGAATCCCTTGAAAAACCATGACAACTAAAGAGACAGTACATAATGTGGCTTATATGCAAAATCAACTTTAAATATTAGCAATACTCAACTAGAAAATGTAATGAAGAAACTTCATCTGAAATAGTGATAAAACTAAAATATCTAGGCATAATTTTAATAAGAAATGTGAAAAACTTATACTAAGAAAATCATGACATTTCACCAAAGGACATATAAACTTAAATATATGCATATACATACACTGAAAAAAGTCTGGAAGGATATATACCAAATTGTTGTGGGGGCTTCTATGGAGGGAGGGCGGGTATACTGGTGAGAGGGTAGTAAGCAGGGGAGGAAAAGGAGTAACTGGTAACATTCCTCGCTTATATGTTATATATGGAAACATGTATCTATAGTTTAAATCTACAATGCAAGCACAGTCATTTACTTGTTCAAAAGTCAGTAATGAGATGAAAAGTAGACAGAATTCTTATTTAAATTCAATTAAAAAAACTGAACCACCTGATTAAAGCAAATTTTAGAAGTGCTTTGGCAATGTGTTAGAACAGTGTAAAGGGGAAAGATGATACAGGCAATGCTTCTGTTTGCTACTTACTCATAATCAAAAGAACTATCTGCCAACCTAAGATGTCCACTTTGATGACTTAAGGCTTGAGGATCAAGTGATGAGAGAATTCGCAACATCTACGTTTGTGCACATGTCTGCTTAAACTATTTGACCTTCTATGTCCACAATGACATGGAACAAATCCTTGTTTCCAGAAGCTGAATGACAGATTCATAATTTTCTAACAAAAAAAACATTTTTAAAATTTAACACAGAAGTCACATTTTCAGAATGTGATTAACACAAAAAGTACTGAGTCCAATGATCACTGAGTTTCAATGACCAATGTACATTAATACAGCTGAGGAAAAATAAATCATTTTTAGGTTTAATCAAAATTAAAGTCCTGCTTACAGAAATAAATGAAAAGTAAGCATTTACTAACCTAAAAGATAAAAGATTGTAAAAAAAAAAAAGAGATTAATAACCAATAGTTATCTTTGGCAACTTGCTACAATATTAAACAAGGATAAGTCATGCTGTCTCCCTGAAACAGGATCAAGGAGATTTAAAAAGTAAAAACACTTGGGTCAAACCCAAAGGATAATTTTGCACCTTAAGATATTTTTCATATTTACACAAAGATAAATCTTTTACCTTTGAGTTCTAACATTTAAAGACTCAGGTAATTAAAAGAGCATAAGAAAAGCTCCACTTTGGATGAGAAAAGAAATGTAAATATAGTACTTTAAAATATGAATTTAGAAATCTAAAAACAAAGATCAAACACATTTATCTTAAAATCCTACATGTGAACCAAAGTGGCCTTTCAAAAAATACTGTAGATAAGCAGATAACAATGAAATGTATTCACTATATTTTTAAAAAATAAAACCATGTTTACAGTCATGAAGCCCATTTTCACAATGAGGATCCTTCCCCTCAATCCCCACTGAGGAAAACATATGGGAAAACATTTAAGATTTCAAATTTCTGTCACAAAATTACTGTGAAATTACTGTAAAATTACTGTAAAATTAAAAAATTACTGTAACTTTGTAAAATTACCTTTTCCATTAGCACTGCCTCTGCTGCTCAATGAAATATGTCCTTTCCTGTGTATTTAACAGCAAGATAGCAAAAAAAGAAAAAAAAAACCCTTCCAAAGGTATATAAAAATAATCTCTGCAGGTGTTACATTTGTCATATTTCTTATACTGCACACTTCCAACCCTCTGTAATACTCTTACATCAGCAGGGTTAGATGTCTGTTAAACCCTCCAAGCCATTCCATCAATATGATAGACCTAGACAGTATCTATCAGAAGAAATGAATAAAGTTGGCCGGGCACGGTGGCCCACGCCTGTAATCCCAGCACTTTGGGAGGCCTAGGCAGGCGGATCACGAGGTCAAGAGATCGAGACCATCCTGGCTAACACGGTGAAACCCCATCTCTACTAAAAATACAAAAAAAATTAGCCGGGCGTGGTGCAGGTGCCTGTAGTCCCAGGTACTTGGGAGGCTGAGGCAGAAGAATGGCATGAACCCGGGAGGCGGAGCTTGCAGTGAGCCGAGATCGCCCACTGCACTCCAGCCTGAGCGACAGAGTGAGACTCCATCTCAAAAAAAAAAAAAAAAAGAATAAAGTTAAGCCCAAGATCCCCTAAATTAGGAAACCTTGTGGCTTTGGAAACAAATATATTCTAGGTATAGGATGGATAGTCATTTCTCTTTTAGCACATCCTAAAATCATTCTTTGACCCACAGCAAAAAACACATTAAAATATTAACATTCTCTTTGCTCCATTAAATACAGTAATTCTCCTGATTAAAAAAAATACAAGTCTATATGGACTTATCTAGCCAGGTTTTAAATATTTTATATTTTTAATATTCTACATATTAGTATTTTATATATAGTTGTAAAATAAAATATAAGCAGGCTGAGAACCCAAACTATGGTCAACTCATTAATTTATCTGGGACACAGGTTTATTTCTTAGTTAAGTGATAAAATTTAATTAGATGATCATGAAAAACCTTCAGCTTACAATTCTAACAATTTTAGAAAAAGATTTAAAATATTTCACAAAGAGAAGTCAGAATTCAATATGTCCAAGCAGTAAAATTACATACTATTTTTGTGTCATTAAAATGCTAAAAAAAGAGTAGCAATTCTCTGTTCTAATCAAATCAAATAAGTAAATATTTTAAATAATAATTTTATTCTTATATTTTTTCATGCTACTGGTTGTTAACACCAGAACAAAAAGAATTAATGAATGTTTTTTAAAATTATTCAAGATTCAAAACAATGTCTCAGATAAACCAATTGCAGACAAGGTCTATTGCTTCAAAAAACTTTTTACTTCGGCAAAACTACGTTTTGAAAAAGAACTTTACCTCCCAAACATATAGTATATCTCATTTTCAATCAATATGTAATAAAAACAGCATTTCCATATTTATGCACAATAGGTTACAGTTTTGTCTTAAAGCATCAGAGTATTAAATCACTACATATTTCAACATTTAATATGCTATTTCCAGACTAAGCAATACTATAATAATGATTGTGTGAACCTTTGTGCAAGCACAGCAAAGTAAAACTGTATTTATTTAAACAATCCACTAATGCGCTTCCAGGACACACTATCCCCAAAATATGGCAGCTTGGCATTTGAGAAAACAGCAGAAGCAGGAAGGTCTCTCTGACACTCTCCCCTGAAGTAGGACATAACAGAATTATCTGACCTTCTGAAGTCAGTCCTAAGACCCTCATTCCAGAACTGTCTACCCTATAACAGAAGGAATGGAATGTCCTTATTTCTGAAGACAGAGACACAGACAAGAATCTGAACAAACAGGTCTGGCTAAGTTCTTCCTAGTTTATAATCATTAGATCATAAACTTTGTCCAACCATCTTTCTGTATGACTGTCCACTCTTCATCAAAACTAAGCCCAAAAATACACAGATTTCCCTGTTTCTTTGGGTCTTCATTTCTGAAGTCTCCTGTATCACATAAAACTTACACAAAATGAAATTGTATGCTAGTCTCTTGTTAAACTATCTTTTGTTATAGATGTCTCAGCCACAAACCTTGCAATAGATGTGAGGAAGATATTACTTTTTCTCCTCTATACCACTCAAATGTATATTCTTATATAAAGTATTTTACTCATCAACAATTTAGCGTATACAAGGCACAAGTACTCAAATAATCATTTATTACTGAATGTTGCTGGGAATGTATTACTACGGTGAGTCTGGGGAATAGATGAACATGTAAAAATCTCATGTGATTGAAAAACAGTAATCATTAACATTTCAATCACTGGATCGGGACAAATTTTTTCCTTATAAATTCCTTCAGCTTCTAGAAGCATGTGGTTTACAAAATGACTCTATATATTATATGAAACATAAAATAAAAAGGATAACACAACACCTACTCTTCAAAAGAAAACATACAAATGGCCAATGAACACGAAAAATGCTCAACAGCACTAATCATCACAGAAATGCAAATCAAAACTACCATGAAATACCATTTCATACCAGTCAGAATGGCTATTGTTGGCAAGGATGCAGAGAAAAGGAAATGCTTATACCCTAATGGTGGGAATGTAAAGCAATTCAACCCCTATGGAATACAGTATGGAGATTTCTCAAAGAACTAAAAACAGAACTACCATTTGACCTAGCAGTCTCACTACTTGGTATCTACCCAAAGAAAAATAACTCATTTTATCAAAAAGAAACCATTCACAATAGCAAAGTCAAGGAATCAACCTAAGTGTCCATCAACAATGGATTGGATAAAGAAATGTGGTACATAAACATCATGGAATACTACGCAGCAATAAAAAAGAATCAAATCATGTCCTCTGTGGCAACATGGATGAAGGTGGAGGCCATCATCCTAAGTGAATTAATGCAGAAACAGAAAATCAAAGACTGCATGTTCTCATTTGTGAAAGCTGAACAATGGGTACACATGGACGTAAAGATGGAAACAATAAACACTGGGAACTCCAATAGAGGGGAGAGGGAGAAGGGGGCAAGAGTTGAAAAACTGCCTGCTGGGCACTGTGTTTACTTAATTTGGGTGATGAGTTCACTAGAAGCCCAAACCCCAGCATCACCCAATATATTCATGTAACAAACCTGCACATGTACACCCTGGATCTAAAATTTAAAAAAGAACAATATTCAATTATGTATGAAGGGCCTTAGACTAAAGGGCAAAATTTCCATGAACAGGGGGATACTCTAGATCACTTTATTATGAAAACAAACACAAGATAGAAAGAAAATATAGATTCCTATTGTTTCTGATATAAGGAAAAGTAATTGCCAGAGAGCATCCCCTCACCTTTGCCATAATCAATTGTCTAGAACAAGTCACAGATGTAGCCATACCTTATGGAAGAGGATGATTAGAGTTGTAACAAAGAAGCAGATATCCTGGGGCATCTTAGAATTCTACCTACCACAACCACCCTTGTACAAAAATGTGATCCAACATCTCACATTGGTGGGGATATTGTGTTTTTGTAAGGAAAAAAAAATGGTCTCAAAGTATTCTCCTTGATACTGGGGCTTTTAATCCTCAGCATCTTCCACTTTTGGGGGGCCAGAAAATTTTTTCTTGGTTGCAAAGGAGGGCAGTCCTGTGTCTCATAGTATTGCCATTATTAACTAGATGTCAGCAGAAGCCACCACTTATTACAACCAGGAATGTCTCCACACACTGGCAAATGTTTTAAGGATACAAAAGCACCCTCAGTTGAGAACCACTGATTTTGTCTGTATATGACCATTCTTACAGATGCAGGCACCACCAGGAATCTCTTGAAACAATAAGGTGCATTGGGAAATCTGACCTGGTATTTATTCTTTGAAGCTAGAGTTAATGGGAGACTTCTGTTTTCTTGACAAGTACTGAGAATATACAACCCATTAGAGCAAGATTACTTAGGAAAATTATCTTACATATGAAAAAGTTTGGAAGCCAAATGTTCCTCCATCTGTTGTTTTCCAGAAACTGGGTAGATTCAGTTTTCTGTTTGGTAGTTCCCCTTTCTAACAATTTCCAGGCCAGGTCTTGTACTACTACTACAGGAGACATGACAATTATGGGCTTTGAGGGACATGAGCCGATTCCATCCCTTCCTTATAACCATGACATGGCGGCTCATCTCACATATACAGATTCACTCCAAAGACTAAGTTGGGTAAGTATCTATTTCTCAGCTTTATTACCAGTGAGTGCTCAAGACTCTACCTAGGTGGTTTGATAAAGCAGAATATTCTTAGCAAAGTGTTTCATTTTGGTTCTCTTAATTTTATAACACACTGAATTATAACTAATCTTATAACAAATTTGTAGATCTGTGGAAGTACATTTGTATTTTTGTGATGTTCTAATTGAATTTGTATTGTTTGACTTTTTTCTCATTTTAATAAATTAATTAAACTGCAACATAAGAAAAAAACTAAGAAATTGTGCCTATATATCATTTGCCTAATAAAATATAATTCTATTTAAACTGCAACATGACAGATGTTTTCTAAAAAAAGTCTCCCAAGTAATCAACAGGCAATGATGTTGAATATTATACTTTTCTAGAACAAGACAGTCTACATTTTCTAATTTAAGTTTATAACTACCTTCAACTGGAGACCGGACATAATGTTCTCAGAGTTTCAATACGAATGACAATTTTCTAGCTTATCTGCCTAATGTTTTCTCTAATGACAGCTTTTTAAATTTAACTAGAATCAGCCCTCCTACTTAACATTTGGGCCCTATTCCATTATGGAGAATTAGGTCACTGACTTCATTAGTACCACAAGAATTTATTCCAATACACTGTTAAAAAGCAATTTAATGGCCAGGCATGGTGGCTCACACCTGTAATCTCAGTACTTTCGAGGCTGAGGTGGGTGGATCGCTTGAAGCCCGGAGTTCGAGACCAGCCCGGGCAACAAAGCGAGACTCCATTTCTACAAAAAGATAAAAAAAAATTGGCCAGGTGCTGTGGCATGCACCTATATTCCCAGCTACTTGGGGGATTAAGGTGGGAGGACCGCTTGATCATCCCAGAGTTCAGGGCTGCAGTGAGCTAGGATCACATCACTGCACTCCAGCCTGGGCAAGGGGGCAAGACCACATCTCTAAAGAAAATAATAAATAAAAATTAAAAGTAATTTATTATTATTTATTATTAATCACAATATCTCAGGAACTTATAAGTTTCCCTCAAGTTAGCTAATTTCTAAATTGACCTAGTTCCTACCCCCCTTACAAAGAAAAAAGATATATATATAATATATATTACAAAGAAGTTTATTGTAATTTTAAAACAAGTTAAAGTGTCACTATATTATAAACACCATTCTTACAGTATCTTGGATAAAACAGTATTCCCCCTTATCTGAGGGGGGACAAGTTCCAAAACCCCTAGTGGATGCTTAAAACCACGAATAGTATCAAATCCTATATTTTCCTAAACACATAGACCTATGATTAACTTATAAATTAGGCATAGTAAGAAATTAACAATAAGTTGTAATAAAATTGAACAATTATAACACTTACATACTATAAGAAAAGTTATATTAAGGGTAGTCTCTCTCTATCTCGAAATATCTTATTGTACTGTCCATCGGATAACTGAAACCGTAGAAAGCAAAACTGCAGATAAGGGGGGACTGCTGTATACATAGCTTTGAGTTCCATAACAGTGCTCTGAAATTCAGTCATTTTTATCTAGTAAGTAGTACTCTGAAAAAGACTATGTCATAGTTTACTGTGCTAAGCCACACTTATCTGAATATCTAAATATATAATGTGTATCTTTGAGCACAGTGGTACTTAACAGCGTCAAAAAGTACTGTCATAAGCATATTGTACATAAAAGAGTTTGAAAATCATATTTAGAAGAAAGATCTACATAGAAAAAGATAGCTGACAATATTCACATTAAAATAAAGTACTCACGTTGATGCCCAACCCATCAAAGGATTTTCCCATCGCTCTCTGGTATCAAACTCCATCTTCCATTTCTTTGTGTTGTTTACTCCAGACTGCATGTTATTGCGAGCAGGAACAAAGATCCTGACTTTTCTAGTTTTTATATGCTCTTCTGGAACTCCAGTTAAAGTAGTGATATCCTACAGAAAAACAAGAAAAAAAAACACGTTTCAAACAGCCTACATACACACTAATGTACTTTTGTTGTTTCCTATATTCATGCAACTCTATTCAGATTTGTTCATAAATTGAGATAAATTTTCTGGCTTATTTCACTACCATTCTGATACTTTACAATGTAAATTACTATTTAGATACCTGTAAATGGTTTATTTAGGGGGACGTAGTGGAGACAGTGGAAAAGGATCGTAAAAAAAATTTACGCCCTTTTGTCCAACAAAGCATTGGTATTTTCTGAAGAGACTGTTTGCTCGCAGAAGAGCCTGTAGTCAACAATGCTCTTACTTTGTGAGCAAGTGCGAACTAGTCAGAGGAGAAAAAATACAAAGGAAATATGAAAAGGGGATATAAAAAGTAAATCCTTATTTGCATGTTTATTTAAATCTTAAATAGAAGACAATCTGTTACTTATAATTTCTGTGTCAAATTGCTTACCCACAAGGCATTACCTTGAGAGGGAAACCTGAACCTTTTTGTAAAGTTGTAAATTTAACAACTTTAATTAGCATTGTGATGTATCTCCCCCCTTTGGTGAAACCTACTAAAGAGAGAATGATACAATCAAACACATTCTGCAAAAGTAATCCCAAAAAGTGGCATAATTTTTGCCAAAATGTGAGATGAAAACAATGGTAACTTTAACTCGATTTTTCTATAATTTTATCCAGTAACAAATGCTCATTTTGAAAATGCACAGAATTTTGATGCCCCAGAGTAGATACATTTATCAAAACATAGTAGCAGTCAGGACACAAATTAGTAAAGTAATTCAGAGTTTAAAACTTATTTATTCCTAGTGTTCCATTATTGGAATGCTAAGCATGTGGGAGTTATTTATATCCTACTGCTCAAGGCCATTGCCAAGGTCTGATTGCAAAAATTCTAAAAACTGCAACCTCAGACATAAATGGGTTAAATCTCCATTTAGTAATGGTAAAATACTTTATCTGATCAAAGTAAATCACATTGGGGTCAACCATATGCTTATTAATGAAGCATTTTAAAATCATGGTTCACTTACTAACGTAAATTTTGGATAACTTGGTAAAAACAAGAGTTAATATAAAAATGATTATACCAAATTTGTGAAAACTAGAAAACGTCTGTGAATTTTTATGTCATTATAATACACACCCTAATGAAGACTAATGTTTATTTGTAGTTTCAATCTATCAATGCTATGAACCAAATAACTGGCAAGAATACTTAGCTGGTAAGTATTCTTAGCTAGTACGTACTAGTGGGAAAAACACGAAACACATTTCTGACTTGACTATTATCTCTATCCACAAGATTAAAAACCAATTCTTTAAAGTTATTTTAGTTGGCAACCAATCCTCTATTTAACACAATACCTTTCCACCTGCGTCAATAATTAGGTGTGGCTACTTTGTCACAGCTTGTTTACAGAAACTATCAAAATTATCCATATAAATATTTACACAAATATGCACTTCTAATATGTGCCTACATTTACTTATTTTTAAAGTTTCCCTACATCTAGTTTAAAGTAAAAATGAGTGAAGCTGGCACATAATTTTTAAAGGTGTGAAATACTTTAATTGGTAATTTCTAATATTCAGGTTCAACTTCAAAAAAAGTTTAAGTATTATTATATTTAATGACTTCCTGAAGCATATATTCTCTATTTAAGAGCTTAAAGTGGCTCAACTCCTGGGAAGTCCTCAATGTTTAATTCCTCCTTTGAATTCACTGTAATACTTGCAATCTGCCATAGTAGTTTATTATTTAATATTATATATCTTTAGATTAATCTGTCTCGTTTCCTCAGCTACAGCTTAAGCTGGGTATAAACAAACACTATAAGCATGTTATAGAATTATGGGGTGGGGCATCTTTTCCAAATTCCAAAGCATCCCCTCTGTTCTGAGCTGAGCTCATAAAAGCTGGAGCTGTAAGTTATGTCTATTTTTAAAACTATATGAAAGGAAACACATTAAACTCTTAACACTGGTTACCTCAGGAAGATTAGAGGAAACACTTTTACTTTACCTACTTCTATACTGTGATGCATATATGCCAAAGTGATTAAAAAACTTAAGATTTTAAACTTTTTCAAGTTTTGAAAAAAATTGAAATAGTATTTCTTGATTTATACTATAAAACAGTATTTGAGCTACAAAGTAGAAAGGACAGTATATAGAAAACCTTTTTTAAAAAGTGTCTACACAATGTTGCTAAGCTATTTATATTTTGAACTCATAACTACCAATCTTCCATGTCTTCTCGAATTACAGCAATTATTTATTGGTATCTTACCCTAATTTAAAGTTGGCATTTGAACAAGTGGGTTTCTGATTTTGGGAACCCAAGTTGTCATGACACAGAATCAGTTTTTGCATGCAGAAGACATGTAAGGTACTACAGCCCAATTGAGCTGCTGCCAAAGACAGAATAAAGAGGCTTGGCATCTCTCATATACTTGACACCTAAAGGGTACAGAGGCTCTAAAATTCCTAGTCCCTGTAGGCACACTCTCAGTCTAGACAACCTGATTTCTCACACTTTAAAAATGCATCACGACACCCTATTGTTATCATTTCATCCACACAGCTTCGGCTAGTGACAGAAGAACCTGTTCTTTAAGCACATTTCAATGGGCTAAAGCTCCCACTCCAAGATTCCATTAAAACAATGTAACACTTGAAAAGAACTATGAGGCACTATGCTGAACTCTACTTGTGTCTTCAACGCTTTGTGTGGTTCCCTCTAAATTCACACGGAGCTACCTGAGATCTAACTTTCACAAAAAAATTTAAAATCCGCAAACTATTTAAATTATATTGAACTAATTGTATTCTTTATGGATTTCTACTTTTGTATGGCAATATGGATCACCTGTGAGTTTTTGAAACCTATTTAGAAAAGCTAGAAATGCTTTGGAGAAAGATGTCACTATTGCCTTTTACAAATTTCTTATTTTACTGGTAAAATAGAGATAAATAATTTATAAATAATAATTCAAAAAACTAAATCACATAGGTATGAAAAGCCTTCAAGCTGGCACCTGAAGAACCTCAAGACTCACCAGTTAATAATTATCTGTAAATTCTAATAAAACAAGCTACTCTATAAGTAATATACACAGATTTATTGAATTTTAAAACTTAATTGTTGAATAGTTGGGTCAAGTATGAAACCTATGCTTCCATTATTAATGTCATTATCCTAATAAAGTTTCAGAAATACAACCTTATGTGCAATATGCTATTTTAATAAATGATAACTAATAAGTCAATGATAATTCACAGATTAAGGGCATTCAAGTCAAAATTTGCTATTGGAAAGATGCATGTCATAATTCCAAAGTTCATTCTTTCAACACCATATCTTCAACAATTTTAAATTTTGGAGGAGATGATAGCTGACCTGCCATTTCACAAGTCTACATAAATGAAGAGAAAATTTAAAAAATCACTATGAATGTACCAGTATATGTATATGAACTTTATTCTTTCAAATACCAATTTCCATGATAAAATACTAGTTTTCCATATTAAAACTGTATGATTCGGTTATCAACTGTCTCCATTTATCTTCTGTGATTTCAACTTTTTTTTTCTTTAACAAAGGAAGCAGGGAACAAGCAATGGGAAGTTGGTGTCAAAATGCAGAAAAACCTCCCAGCAAGCTTCTTGCAACCACCCAGGATTTAGAGTCTTGCTGGCCGCTCTCTTTTCAATACCAGAATTTCACACATTTCAATGACTATTATGACTTCAAAGAATCAAATTTTCATCATTGTCCGTCATCTGCCGGTTGATTTGTATAAAGGAGTTCTTCTGCATGCACTCCCAACAAAAGCCTCCTTACTTTTGTGGCTATATATCAAGTTTAAAAGTTTTGTTTGTGACAGTTGTGTCTTTGGTAAATTAGGGCAACACTGAAGGAGTGCAGCTGCTCCACAGGAACCTCCTTTTTGGCACCATTTCACTTAAATAAAAACTGAATAATTAGCTTCTGCCTTTATTAAACCACAAAAATGCCACTGGCCTTAGTAATTACTTCCGGTTGCCCCACCCACTTAACCTTAACAGTTTACACTTGTCATGAAGAGAAATAAATGTAAGGTTTTTGCACTTTGGGATGCATTTTTGCTAGATCTCTCAGTACGCCCAGAAAAGCCAAAACTTTTATCATGCTTTTCCTAGTAAGTTCACTAAATTGCATGTTAGTATGGATCAATGCTGAACAGTTTTAGTAGAGCACATATTGAAACATTAAAAATACTGTTTATAGAAACTTGTTCTACCGCAGACTATTAGTTATTTACAGCTAAAACTAATCTAAATTTGATGACTGAGTTTACATTCTATTTCAACCATAAAAGATGTTCAAAGAAAAGCAAGTCTTAGACCTGTAATAAAAACTTTCTTTCAACTAACCCACAGATACTTAAAGCAAGAAACTCATTAAAGGTTTCATAAATAAGGACATTTTACAAAATAAATTTTACAGTTTAAAAAATATAAAGAGTTGGCAGATAGCATTATCATATCTATTTACTTACTGTGGAAGAACTTAAACACTTCTAAAAACTTAGGGGCCATATAGATTCAGATACAATAAAAAACATAAAAATAAATTTGAGT
Source organism: Homo sapiens (assembly GCF_000001405.40). NCBI lineage: Eukaryota > Metazoa > Chordata > Mammalia > Primates > Hominidae > Homo > Homo sapiens. The sequence continues at coordinate 53,641,579 of NC_000005.10, read as the reverse complement.
TGTGCCATTAGAACCAACTTTTGTTTGTTTGTTAAAGTAACAAATTGATGTTGGAGTCCAACCAGGCAATGAATCAAGTGTTGGAATGTGACATCTGTTATATTTTGCATACTGGGCAAAACTATCATTGAGCCAAAAGTGTAGTTTGAATGAACTGCTGTGGATAATATGATAGAAATAGTTCATGCAAATGATGCTACTAATCATACAAGGAGTACAAAACTAATAATTAGAGACATGTTTTTCAATCTCACAAACTATTTTTACCACTCCTAGATCCTTCTGAGCAGGAAAGCCTTGGCTAAAAGCAAAGGGCTGAGTCAAAACTGGGTTGGAATCCCAGTTCTCAACTTTGGGCAAATTAATAGACTCCTTTTTCATCATGTATGAAATCAGTTTGCTATACCAAAATGAGTACTAAATAACATATGTGAAGTGGTTACCTTCGGCAACAAAAAGAATGTTTCTCATTTATTCAACGTATTTTTTAGCACTTACTACATATTAGACACTGAACACAATGAGCAACAGTGAAAACATGATCTCTGTCCTCAAGAAAATAACAAACATTTTTTTAAAGGACATTCTCTGTCCAACCACACCAGCTCTCAGGGAAGTTTGTAATAAAGGTCCCGGTCTTTAAGGGGATTCTGTCATCTCAACCTTAGCTGGTCAGTCATATGGTTAATGTCACAGATTAATGTGTGTGTGATTACAGGCATGTCATATTCCATGGGAAACTGGAGATCCATAACCACTATAGCAACAAAGTCTTTTCTTTCTTTTTGCCTATCTTTGGAAAGGGCTATCTCCTCCAAATTTCATGTTAAAATTTGATCCCCAATGTTGGAAGTGGGGCCTAACGGGAGGTTTTTGGGTCATTGGAGCAGATCCCTCACAAATGGTCTGGTGCTGCCCTTGTGGTAATGGGTGAGTTCTTGCTCTATTAGTTTCTGCAAGAGTTCCTCCAAGAGCTGGTTGTTTAAAAGAGCCTGACACATTCTCTCTCTCTTGCCTCCTCTATCACCATGTAATCTCTGCACAAGTCGGTTCACCTTCACCTTCTGCCATGAGTAGAATCAGCCTGAAGGCCTCATCAGAAGCATATGATGGCACCATGCTTCTTGCACAGCCTACAGAACCATAAACCAAATATATTTCTTTTCTTTATAAATTATCCAGTCTCAGGTATTCCTTTACAGCAACACAAATGGACCAAGATACTGCCCACACTGGCTCCTTCCTCTTCCTTCTGGACCTTTTTCTTCCATTTTCTTCTGCTCCCCTTTCCTCCTTTTGATATTCCATAAAGTAACTTTGAATCTTGATATGTTCCCCTTCAAGTTCCTACTTTAACATCCTTCCGTCTACCCCTGCCAGAATCCTTCACTTTCCACTTCAGCCCCTCAGTAATTTGAACTTTAAGTACCCCTACTCTCAAGGGATTCAAGGTCTCCCAAAAGCAACCACGTAATGCTGAGAAGAGGAAAAAAAAAAACTATCTGAAAACAGAAATGGATGTTTTGTTCACTTAGATGGACTCTGGGGTAAGACAACTGCTAGATGTTTCCTCAGTCACTAACTCACCTAAAAATTTCATCCACAGCCTCCATAAGAAAAATATTTGATAATAGGCAAATATGTTATAAAACTCCTCCCTGGAAAAAACTTACATTCTTTTTCTGTGCCTTTGAGATGTAAATTTCCTACCTGTCTTCTCTTGAACTCAATAGTTATCTTTTAGAAATACAAACTTCAGGGAGGTAACTGTTATCAAAAGAAAAAAAGAGAGAGGAAGAAACAAGTTTAAACAAAGTTTAACTTTTTAGTTTCTTTGCTTCTGTGATATTTTTTATAACTGCCTGATTTTTAAACAAGAAAAATAAAATGATGCTTAGCTTTGTTTAATGTCTCAAGAAGTTGTCATGAGCAGTTTAATTGTTGAGAACAAGTTAAATAAATATAACTGGAGTAAAAATTTGTAAGTGAACTCTTCAATAATAACATTTTATACAAGATGTCAACTTAAAAAGAGGTTCCAAAATCTTTTTGGTAACTTGCAACCTTAAAGTTATACTTAAGTAAGATTAAGTAACAGATATTCATTAAATGTCTAGGTCATTTCTTAGTAAAATAAAATGCTGAAACATTAATTGCTGAACATAAATTTGAATTTATATACTTTTGGAATATTGCTTTTATACACTATAGAGTAGCTAAACATATTTGGTCTGTTAATAAAAATGAGAAATTGTACTATAAGGAAGCATGTTTCTAGAAATCATAATAGTATTAATCTACAGAATATTATTACATGACAATTCACAATTGCTAAGTATTAAAATTCTAATATATATATATAGTTTAAGCTACAAGAAATTAAGAAGGGTGAAGAGAAACAACTTTTATACAAAAAAAATGCAATAAAGGATGTATTTTTTGGTAAGAGAAGTTCTAAAGCATGAGGGTATATTTTCCATTATGGGAAAAAAGAGAGTAAATTAATTCTGTGCTAAAGTAAAATAACTGGTTTGCCAGAATAAGAGAAAAAAGCAGGAAGAGAAAGCAGTTGGATATTTGTTTCAAGACTAAAAAAGGCTTATGGAAAAGGAATCTTGGGGGAAAAAAATCTTATCTCATGTGGTCAAAGATGGCTGAGACTGAATGAATTCATTTACATAGTTTTATTAACATTAGCTATAGCTATAGTATTAATAGTACACTGATGCAAAACTAGAAATTTGGTCTTCTCTGTTAAAATGACAAAGTTTTCCTGGAGTACTGGTTTAAGAAAGTGAAGGTTTTCCTTTATCTGTTAAGTAACTGGCCAAATAAACAAAGATTTTGTGTTTTATCAAGATAATTTTTTTTTAACTTTTATTTTAGATTCAGGGATACAAGTGCAAGTTTGTTATATAGGTAAACTCATATCATGGGAGTCTGGTGGACAATTATTTCATCACCCAGGTACTAAGCATAGTACCTGATAGTTATTTTTTTCTAACCCTCTACCTTCTCCCACCCTCCTACCTCAAGTAGGCCCCAGTGTCTGTTGTTCCCCTCTTTGTGTCCATTTGTTCTCATTATTTAGCTCCACATATTTGTAACTATGTAGTTTTCTGTGTTTGCCTTTAAAATCTTTTGTCACTTTGGTAATATTTCACAGTGCCCTATGGGCCTATTTAATCAAATGCTTTAAACCTTTTGACATTTTTTACTTCTTAAAGTAAAATTCTAAATTATGTCTTTTAAACCTCTGATTTTGGAACTTTCCAGAGGGTCCCTGGAAAGTCTCAAAGGATTTGTCTCTCAATCTGTTGGAGATATTAATTAGGCTCATTTGATAAGTTAAATTATATGGGAAGAACTGTCAAATAATAAGTGATGTTTAGACTTCTCAAAATTATTATCTATGAGTATATTATTAATGAGTGTTCCATAAATTGACATTTCAAAAATTCTGATATGTTCTGGTGTAATGCTATCAGTCATAATTCTGGCTAGTATGTTAACATTTTGTATACCAAAAAACTGCCGAACTTCCTTGCCAACTGCATCATTATAATAATGAACGCTCATCAGACTTTTAACCACGGCCATTTTAAATCTTCTGTCATTCATAAGACAGTTACTATATATTTTGATTCTTCTCTCAAAGTGTTTGCAGTGAGCAATAGTCTAAGTTGCCTCATCTTCAAGGGGATTAATGAAAAAGACTGACAAGTACTCTGTAACACAGATTTCTGGTAACTTTCAGATTATACCATTGGACTGCATAAGAATTTCCAGAACTCGAATGAAGAAACTAATGGGTTCGTGAAACTGCTCATCAAAATCAAGCAGAACAAGAATTACATGAGGGTGAATGAACTAATGAGGATAATTTTTTTTTGTTGTTTGAAACATTGTGGGTCTTTAATGTTTTGTTTTCCAGATTTAAGGAAATTCTTTTTTCTTTTCTTTTAAGCTATCTATACAGCTTACAGCAATTTGGCAAAGTATACTTTTATAAACAAAAATGGAAAAAATTCTCCCCCTGCATAATCCTTCTAGAATCCAGGAACTATAAGCAAGTATTCTTATTTTTATACAATATAGTTACTTGTACAAGTTCAGGAAGAATCTGTTCTTGTAACAGGAAATTGTGTATTTACTGCTTATATTACCAAGGCTTTGACTAGAATGTCTTATTTTCAAATACAACCAAATAACTTTAAGAAACTAAGTTTGACTTTATGGAGCCAATAAAAGCCCCTTAGGGGTAAAAAAACTGGCCTGGTAACTTGAATACATGGTTGTATGGTTGCCTTACAGCTAGGTGAGTAAGGAATGCTACTTCTTGGAAGGCCTAGGAACCTCAGGATACTTGGGGACCTCAAACAGGAATTCACCTCATCTCTACGAATGCAAAGTCTTATGAAGAGTCCTTGGCTTGGCCTTCTAGTCTCGAGAGGCTTTTACAAATCCAATCTGAGACTCCTTATGAAAAGTTCCAGCAAAGCAGACTTAAAAAGAGCCTATGCTGCACATAATGTAAATAATCAGGTTAAGTGTATTAGCCTGTTCTCACATTGCTGTAAAGTAATACCTGAAACTGGGTATTTTATAAAGAAAAGAGGTTTAATTGGCTCACAGTTTGGCAGGCTGTACAAGAAGCATGGCTGGGGAGGCCTCAGAGAGCTTTTACTTTTTACAGCAAAGCCAGAGCAGGCATCTTCACGTGGCTGAAGGAAGAGAGAAGGGGGCAGATGCGACATACTTTTAAAAAACCAGATCTCATGATAACTCATTTACTATTACAAGAACAGCACAGACAGGATGGTGCTAACCTATTCGAGAAGGACCAACCACCATGATGATCCAATTACCTCCCAACAGGCTCCACCTCCAATGTCGGGGATTACATCTCCACGTCAGATTTGGTAAGAACACAGATCCGAACCATATCACTAAGTTTAATAAGATTAAACTTGTTTTGCAAACAAATTAGTTTGATTATCTTTGATAAAAATGAGAATGACTGTAGAAAGAAAAATTACATTTTAGAAGAAAACTACAGTGCACCTATTATTAGATCCCAGCACATTGTTTTTGAAGTTTTGTTATTTACCTACAAACTGAAATGAATCCTGAATTCTTCCGGTTTCTTCTAATATCTAGCTACAGCTCTCCAAACTAATGTTTCCAATTTTCTCCCAAGTTTCTTTGACTTGGAATTACTAAAATTAAAACTTCCCTTTTCCTGAAGTCTTACAAACTGTGGCTGGATAAATTGATAGAAACTTCAGAGAAATCACAACTCATGTGTAGACAACCTTTGTGACATTCAGACTGCAAACCAGGAAAATCTATCAGACTGCCACTGCCTGTAAAACTGGTTTTTTAAAAAATCTGTTAGCTGGATACAGTGGCATGCATCTGTAATACCAGCTCCTAGGGAGGCTGAAGTGGGAGGACTGCTTGAAACCAGGAGTTTGAGACCAGTCAGGGCCACACAGTGAGACCCCATCTCTTTAAAAAATAAATAATAAGTAAAACATTTGTTACATTTTTTTCTTGTTAATCTGTCTTTTGTTATAGCAGTGTCAGCCATAAACTTTGCAACGGGTATTCAAAAGATTTTCTCCCTAATAGTAGTATATGATTTGACATATGACATAACCAAATCAAGTCTACTAAGAAACTATTTTATGATGAAATGCAATTTTAGAAAAATGATATAAGATACAATTTTTCCCCCAAATAAGAAAAATCTATTAGAACACCTTTTTGCATTTTTATAAGGAAAACTTAAAAATCTTTGTTTTCTAAGTTCAAACTTTGGAACAACTGAAATCGTTGAAAAATATGCTTAACGAAGAAATGAAGGATCAATGCCTAGATGAAAACCAGTATGTTTAACAGAAGCATTTTGAAAATTATTAAACTAATACATTTTTTAATACTTAGAATTACAAAAGTATAACATTTAATAATTTCAACTTTTTGGCAGCTTAATGGATTTGCTTTTTAACCCAATACTTCAGGATTCTTTTTTATTTTTACTTATTTATTTATTTTGAGAAAGGATCTCACTCCATCACCCAGGTTAGGGTGCAGTGGCATGATCATGGCTTACTGCAACCTTGAGTTTCTGGGCTCAGGTGATCATACCACCTCAGCCTCCTGAGTAGCTAAGACTACAGGCACATGCCTCCCTGCCTGGCTAATTTTTTGCATTTTTTTTTTTTTGTAGAGATGGGGTTTCACCATGTTGCCTAGGCTGGTCTCGAACTCCAGCAATCCACCCGCCTCAGCCTGCTGAGTAGCTGGGATTACAGGCATGAGCCACCATGTCTGGATGGATTTTTTGGTTGGTTGGTTGGTTATTTATTTATTTATTTATTTATTTAACAGAGTTTTTGCTCTGTTGCCCAGTCTGGAGTGCAATGGCGTGATCTCAGCTCACTGCAACCACCGCCTCCTGGCTTCAAGCAATTCTCCCACCTCAGCCTTCCAAGTAGCTGGGATTACAGGTGCCTGCCACCTCGCCTAGCTAATTTTTACATTTTTAGTAGTGATGGGGTTTCACCATGTTGGCCAGGCTGGTCTCGAACGCTTGACCTCAAGGTGATTTACCCGCCTCGGCCTCCCAAAGTGCTAGGATTACAGGTGTGAGCCACCACACCCAGCCAGATTTTTCAGATTTTTAAATCATCAAGTCATGTACCTATCTTAGGATACCTGGCAGCTTTTCAGAAGCTATAATAAAAGGTGAAAAAAAAAAAGTCTGGCCCTAAGGTACCTGGAACTTATATAACATTACCTTTTGAAAAGAACCAGTCTAAACCAGATAAGGTGGCATATGCCTGTAATCCCAGCTACTTAGAAGGCTGAGGCAAATGAACTGTTTGAGCACAGGAAATCTGAGACCAGCCTGGGCAATAAAGCAAGACCCACAGGGAAGGAAAAAGGGAAGAGGGAGAGGAAGGAGGGGGAAGGGAAGGAAAAGAAAGGGAAGCAAAGAAAGAACAGAACAGAACAGAACCAATCTATTATTTCTTAATTAAACAGTACTCTTCATCTCCTGGTAATAAATTAAAAAGGCTAAAGAACACATAGCATACATTAAGAGTTATGAAAACAAAAGGTATGGCAGTAAAGAACTAAAGATGAAATAATTCTTAAATAAACAAATATCAGGACAAAGGGCCAGAACATAAATTTCCTAAAATCAAGCAATGGTTTTAAGCAATAAAGGAACTTAATTACATCTGAAAAGGACACTGGAAATAAGAGAAAATAATGGATTGAAAACTGAACGCTTCAGATTTAATAATGAAATATTCATGAGGCAATGATGTGCAAGTCAAACTAGATTGCAAGAAGGCATATTAAAAAAGTGTAAGGGGATTCCTTGTCAATTTAGCATAAGAATAAAAAACTATGCAACAGAAGTTTCCTTTCTGTTGTTAAGAACTGGTCCTAGCTCAGTTGCCTGAACATACTAGTAAAACCAGGGAAACACTTAAGTAAGCAATATACACAAACCTTAAACATTATATTATAATGCAAGAATGTACACGTGTATTCTTTTAATAATCTGATTTGGGCAATACCTTTTGAGTATAGGTCCATTTATCAAAATCCCAAGTGGTGTTTTTTCCATAAACCATCAAGAAAATACACCATCTACAATTTATAGTTTCAGTTTTGTAAATGTGAAGTGAGAATATAAAAATGTTTGTGAAATAATCTGAGTCCAAAATCTGCCTAGAATTTAATGATTTCCTTTTACACCACACACAATCTTTTTACAATTGCCTTACTCAACATACTTTGACAGGAATTATTAGTATGAAGGAGACAAAATATCTTTTCTTCTACCCATCTTGGGTTCATGGTTGAGGGTCCCAAAACAAAAGACGGATTAACAAGAGAAAAGCATACAAATTTATTTAATATAAGTTTTATGTGACACAGAAGCCTTCATACGGAAATGAAGACCCAAAAAAGAGTTAAACCTGTGTGTTTTTATGCGTAGGCTAGATGAAGAGTGGGTAGTCAGAAATATGATAGGATAAAGGAGGTGTGATCTAATGGTAATAGACTGCAGAAACTTAGCAAGGCTTTTTGTTCAGATTCTTCTCTGTGATCCTTTATCTTCCTCAATGTATAGGTAAGGCAACTCTCACATAAGGTTGTATGGTCAGGGAAAGGTCAAAAAATCCTTCCTAGGTTTTACAACTTACCTCATAAGAGACAGGGAGTGGGGAAGGTCACAGTGACCTTTTTGCTTCTGCCTTCTTCATAAAATATTCAATATGCCAAGTCACCATATTGTGGGGTTCCATGTCTTGAACACTATCATTAGAAATTCACCTTTATCATCTTCTCAAAGTATTCAACAGAACTGTTACAGAAAGGACTCTCTTGTCCTCATATAAGCAGATTATAGCACTCAGTTACATTATGAATTACAATGTCAAGTATAACTGGCAGAGACAGGTATGGAAGTAAGCTCGCTGAGTCTTGATAAAGCATACGACTCAATGACTGAAAGCTGAAGTCTGGCAATATACTAAAATGAAGCCTTAATTAAGCCACATATGTAGTATGTCAAGGGTGTTAGTAGGTATGTTTTATAAAGAGAATTGAGAACATCAATAACTGAGCACATTTTTAAAGGTTGGTTTAAAAAGTAAAGATTCATTAACAAAGCCACTGTTGCAAAAGAATTGTCACAGTGTAGTATATGGATCCTGCTGCAATCCATAATGGGATCAGACTACCACTCTTGCCTTTACAAACTATAAAACTAGGAAAGTTATTTTAAGCAACTGTTTTCAGGTATTGGACAACCTGATAACAGAAAGCACAGCACTGTGTTCCCTGAAAGAAGGAAAACTCAAGATGCAGTCCTATAATTGTCTCAGCTTCATGCATGGGGGCACATATCAGACTATGGTACAGAAAGGTAAATCCCAAGCAGAACAAAGCAATCTCACAGAGCAGAAAAGGTAGGGATTGGCATTCAGGCATGCTGAGTCAAATGACATTTCTGAGGCAGAGTTCTGAAGAGGAGTTAAGCAAAAAAGGAGTTTCAGAAATCTGCACAGTCTTTGTCTACAATGAGACTCTGTGAAGTGGGACAAGTAATGAGAAGTTCTAACAAGTCAGAGTAAAGATTTTGCTGAACACTCTGGGCATTAAATTGAGACACAAGAAAGGTAAAACGTAAGAAGAAGAGCAACTCTATGACTGCCCATACAATGCTTAATATCAATCACTAAAAGGATTAAGCTGATCAGCAGTAGTAGACTGCTGAAACAAATCTAAATGCTGTATAAAGGAAGACAGTAAAATCCAGGCTCCCAGTAACAAAGCAATCAGAACATCAATTACACACTTAAAAATCATTAACTGTATTTTCTGGCAAGATGGCCAAATAGGAACTGCTCTGGTCTGCAGCTCCCAGCAAGACTGATGCAGAAGATGGGTGATTTCTGCATTTCCAACTGAGGTACCTGGTTCATCTCACTGGGACTGGCTGGACAGTGGGTGCAGACCACGGAGGGCGAGCCGAAGCAGAACACAGCACTGCCTTACCAGGGAAGTGCAAGGGGTCGGGGAATTTCCCTTTCCTAGCCAAGGGAAGCTGTGACAGACTGTACCTGGAGGAATGGTACACTTCTGCCCAGATACTGTGCTTTTTCCCATGGTCTTCGCAATCGGCAGTCCAGGAGATTCCCATCGGTGCCTGGCTTGGCAGGTCCCGTGCCCATGAAGCCCATGAAAGCTAAGATCCATTGGCTTGAAATTCTCATGGCTAGCGCAGCAGTCTGAGATCGACCTGGGATGCTGGAGCTTGGTGGTGGGAGTGGAGTCCGCCATTGCTGAGGCTTGAGTAGGCAGTTTTATCCTTACAGTGTAAACAATGCTGCTGGGAAGTTCAAACTGGGAGGATCCCATCACAGCTCAGCAAGGCTGACTGCCTCTCTAGATTCCACCTCTATGGGCAGGGCATCACCGAACAAAAGGCAAGCAGCCCCAGTCAGGGACTTACAAATAAATCCCAGATTCCCCTGGGACAGAGCACCTGGGGGAAGGGGCAGCTGTGGGCACAGCTTCAGCAGACTTAAACGTCCCTGCCTCACAGCTCTGAAGACAGCAGTGGTTCTCCCAGCACAGCATTCAAGCTCTGATAATGTACAGACTGCCTCCTCAAGTGGGTCCCTGACTGCCGTGTAGCCTGACCAGGAGACGCCTCCCAGTAGGGGCCGACAGACACCTCATAGAGGAGAACTCTGGCTGGCATCTGGCAGGTGCCTCTATGGGACGAAGCTTCCAGAGGAAGGATCAGGTAGTAATATTTGCTGTTCTGCAGCATTCGCTGGTGATACCCAAGCAGACAGGGTCTGGAGTGGACCTCCAGCAAACTCCAACTGACCTGCAGCTGAGAGGCCTGACTGTTAGAAGGAAAACTAACAAACAGAAAGGAATACCATCAACATCAACAAAAACGACATCCACACCAAAACCCCATCCATAGGTCACCAACATCAAAGACCGAAGGTAGAAAAAACCACAAAGGTGGGGAGAAACCAGTGCATAAAGGGTGAAAATTCAAAAACCAGAATGCCTCTTCTCCTCCAAAGGATCATAACTCCTCACCAGCAAGAAAAGGAAACTGGACGGAGAATGAGTCTGACAAATTGACAGAAGTAGGCTTTAGAAGGTGGGTAATAACAAACTCCTCCAAACTAAAAGAGCATGTTCTAACCCAAAACAAGGAAGCTAAGAACCTTGAAAAAAGTTTAGACAAATTGCTGACTAGAACAACCAGTGTAGAGAAAAACCTACATGACCTGATAGAGCTGAAAAATGCAGCAAGAGAACTTCGTGAAGCATACACAAGCTTCAATAGCCGAATCGATCAAGCTGAAGAAAGGATATCAGTGATTGAAGATGAAATTAATGAAATAAAGCAAGAAGACAAGATTAGAGAAAAAAGAATGAAAAGAAATGAACAAAGCCTCCAAGAAATATACGATTATGTGAAAAGACCAAATATACGTTTGATTGGTGTACCTGAAAGTGATAGGGAGAATGGAAACAAGTTGGAAAACACTCTTCAGGATATTATCCAGGAGAACTTCCCCAACCTAGCAAGGCAGGCCAACATTCAAGTTGAGGAAATACAGAGAACACCACAAAGAGACTCCTCAAGAAAAGCGACCCCAAGACACATAATCGTAGGATTCACGAAGGTTGAAATGAAGAAAAAATGTTAAGGGCAGCCAGAGAAAAAGGTCGAGTTAACCACAAAGGGAAGCCCATCAGACTAACAGCAGATCTCTCAGCAGAAACCCTACAAGCCAGAAGAGAGTAGGGGTCAATATTCAACATTCTTAAAGAAAAGAACTTTCAACCCAGAATTTCATACCCAGCCAAATTAAGCTTCATAAGTGAAGGAGAAATAAAATCCTTTACAGACAAGCAAATGCTGAGAGATCTTTGTCACCATCAGGCCTGCCTTAACAAGAACTCCTGAAGGAAGCACTAAACATGGAAAGGAACAACTGGTACCAGACACTGCAAAAACATGCCAAATTGTGAAGACCATCAGCGCTATGAAGAAACTGCATCAACTAACAGGCAAAATAACCAGCTAGCATCATAATGACAGGATCAAATTCACACATAACAATATTAACCTTAAATGTAAATGGGCTAAATGAGCCAATTAAAAGACACAGACTGGCAAATTGGATAGAGTCAAGACCCATTTGTGTGCTGAATTCAGGAGATCCATCTCACAGGCAAAGACATGCATAGGCTCAAAATAAAGGGATAGAGAAAGATCTACCAAACAAATGGAAAGAAAAAAAAAGGAGGGGTTACAATCCTAGTCTCTGATAAAACAGACTTTAAACCAACAAAGATCGAAAAAGACAAACAAGGGCATTACATAATGGTAAAGGGATCAATTCAACAAGAAGAGCTAACTATCCTAAACGTATATGCACACAATACAGGAGCACCCAGATTCATAAAGCAAGTTCTTAGAGACCTACAGAGAGACTTAGCCTCCCACACAATAACACTGGAAGACTTTAACACACCACTGTCAATATTAGACACATCAACGAGACAGAAAATTAACAAGGATATCCAGGACCTGAACTCAGCTCTGCACCGAGCAGACCTAATAGACATCTACAGAACTCCCCACCCCAAATCAATAGAATATACATTCTTCTCAGCACCACATCGCACTTATTCTAAAATTGACCACATAATTAGAAGTAAAACACTCCTCAGCAAATGTAAAAGAACAGAAATCACAAGAAACTGTCTCTCAGACCATAGTACAATCAAATTAGAACTCAGGATTAAGAAACTCACTCAAAACTACAAAACTACATGGAAACTGAACAACCTCCTCCTGAATGACTACTGGGTAAATAACAAAATGAAGGCAGAAATAAGGATGTTCTTTGAAACCAGTGAGAACAAAGACACAACGTACCAGAATCTCTGGGACACATTTAAAGCAGTGTGTAGAGGGAAATTTATAGCACTAAATGCCCACAAGAGAAAGCAGGAAAGAGCTAAAACTGACACCCTAACATCACAATTTAAAGAACTAGAGAAGCAAAAGCAAACAAATTCAAAGGCTAGCAGAAGGCAAGAAATGACTAATATCAGAGCAGGATTGAAGGAAACAGAGACACAAAAAAACCCTTCAAAAAAATAAATCAATGAATCCAGAAGCTGGTTTTTTAAAAAGATCAACAAAATAGATAGACTGCTAGCAAGACTAACAAAGAAGAGAGAAGAATCAAATAGACTAAATAAAAAACAATAAAGTGGATATCACCACTGATCAAACAGAAATACAAACTACTATCAGAGAATACTATAGACAACTCTATGCAAATAAACTAGAAAATCTAGAAGAAATGAATAAATTCCTGAACACATAAACCCTCCCAAAACTAAACCAGGAAGAAGTCAAATCTCTGAATAGACCAATAACGGATTCTAAAATTGGGGCAATAATAGCCTACCAACCAAAAAAAGTCCAGAACCAGACAGATTCATAGCCGAATTCTACCAGAGGTACAAAGAGGAGCTCATACCATTCCTTCTGAAACTATTCCAATCAATAGAAAATGAGGGACTCCTCCTTAACTCACTTTATGAGGCCAGTATCATCCTGATACCAAAAACTGGCAGAGACACAACAAAAAAAGAAAATGTTATGCCAATACCCATGATGAACATCGATGCAAAAATCCTCAATAAAATGCTAGCAAACCAAATCCAGCAGCACATCAAAAAGCTTATCCACCACAATCAAGTCGGCTTCATCCCTGGGATGCAAGGCTGGTTCAACATATGCAAACCAATAAATGTAATCCATCACATAAACAGAACCAATGACAAAAACCACATGATTATCTCAATAGATGCAGAAAAGGCCTTCGACAAAATTCAACAGCCCTTCATGCTAAAAACTCTCAATAAACTAGGTATTATGGAACGTATCTCAAAATAATAAGAGCTATTTATGACAAACCTACAGCCAATATCATACTGAATGGGCAAAAACTGGAAGCATTCCCTTTAAAAACCGGCACAAGACAAGGATGCCCTCTCTCACCACTCCTATTCAACATAGTACTGGAAGCTCTGGTCAGGGCAATCGGGCAAGAGAAAGAAATAAAGGGTATTCAATTAGGAAAAGAGGAAGTCAAATTGTCTCTGCTTGCAGATGACATTATTGTGTATCATGAAAGTACCATGGTCTCAGCCCAAAATCTCCTTAAGCTGATAAGCAACTTCAGCAAAGTCTCAGGATACAAAATCAATATGCAAAAATCACAAGCATTCTTATACACCAATAACAGACAAACAGAGAGCCAAATCTTGAGTGAACTCCCATTCACAATTACTACAAAGAGAATAAAATACCTAGGAATCCAACTTACAAGGGATGTGAAGGACCTCTTCAAGGAGAACTACAAACCACTGCAAAAAGAAATAAAAGAGGACACGAACAAACGAAAGAACATTCCATGCTCATGGACAGGAAGAATCAATATCGTGAAAATAAACATACTGCCCAAAGTAATTTACAGATTCAATGCTATACCCATCAAGGTACCACTGGCTTTCTTCACAGAATTCGAAAAAACTACTTTAAATTTCATATGGAACCAAAAAGGAGCCCACATAGCCAAGACAATCCTAAGCAAAAAGAACAAAGCTAGAGGTATCATGCTACCTGACTTTTAACTATACAACAAGGGTACAGTAACCAAAACAACATGGTACTGGTACCAAAACAGATATATAGACCAATGGAACAGAACAGAGGCCTCAGAAACAACCCCACATATCTACAACCATCTGATCTTTGACAAACCTGACAAAAACACGCAATGGGGAAAGGATTCCCTTTTTAATAAATGGTGCTGGGAACTGGCTAGCCATATGTAGAAAGCTGAAACTGGATCCCTTCCTTACACCTTATACAAAAGTTAACTCAAGATAAATTAAAGACTTAAATGTAAGACCTAAAGCTATAAAAACCCTAGAAGAAAACCTAGGCAATACCATTCAGGATGCAGGCATGGGCAAAGACTTCATGACTAAAACACCAAAAGCAATTGTAACAAAAGTCAAAATAGACATATGGGATCTAATTAAACTAAACAGCTACTGCACAGCAAAAGAAACTATCATCAGAGTGAACAGGCAACCTACAGAATGGGAGAAAATGCTTGCAATCTATCAATCTGACAAAGGACTAATATCCAGAATCTGCAAAGAACTTAAACAAATTTATGAGAAAAAAAACCAACAGCCCCATCAAAAAGTGGGTGAAGGATATGAACAGACACTTCTCAAAAGAAGACATTTATGCAGCCAACAAACTTATGAAAAAATGCTCATCATCACTGGTCATTAGAGAAATGCAAATCAAAACCACAATGAGATACCATCTCATGCCAGTTAGAATGGCGATCATTAAAATGTCAGGAAACAACAGATGCTGGAGAGGATGTGGAGAAATATGAACGCTTTTACATTGTTGGTGGAAGTGTAAAGTAGTTCAACCATTGTGGAAAACAGTGTGGTGACTCCTCAAGGATCTAGAACTAGAAATACCATTTGACCCAGCAATCCCATTACTGGGTACCCAAAGGATTATAAATCATTCTACTATAAAGACACAGGCACACATGTTTATTGCGGCAGTGTTCACGACAGCAAAGACTTGGAACCAACCCAAATGCCCATCAATGATAGACTGGATAAAGAAAATGTGGCACATATACACCATGGAATACTATACAGCCATAAAAAAGGATGAGTTCATGTCCTTTGCAGGGACATGGATGAAACTGGAAACCATCATTATCAGCAAAGTAACACAAGAAGAGAAAACCTAACACCGCATGTTCTCACTCATAAGTGGGAGTTGAACAATGAGAACACTTGGACACAGGGCGGGGAACATCACAACCCAGGGCCCATCAGAGGGTGGGGGGCTAGGGGAGGCATAGCATTAGGAGAAATACCTAATGTAAATGATGAGTTGATAGGTGCAGCAAACCAGCATGGCACATGTATACCTATGTAACAGACCTGCACGTTGTGCACATGTACCCCAGAACTTAAAGTATAATTTTAAAAAAATCATTAAATGTGTATGTAAAAGGGAAACAACAACTACAATAACAAAATAATCAATAGAAATAGGCCCTGAAATGATGTAGGTTTATAAATAATGACTATAAATATGTTAAAAGATTTCAAGAAAAAAGATGGACAAAATGAGTGAACATTTCAAAAATTTCTGCAGAATAATGGAAACTATATTAAAGAACTAAATAGAAATTCTAGAGCTGAAAAATATAGTATCTAAAATGATAAATACTGTAAGGGATTAATAGAAAATTGGACACCAACAGAAGAAAAGATCAGTAAATTTGAAGACAGGACAATAGAAACTAACCAAATTGCACTACATAGTGGAAAAAGACTGGAAGTCAAACTGGGCCTCAGTGACTGGCTGGAAAATATTAAGCAGTACAATATAAGTGTTATAGTTACAGAAGATGAAAGATTGAAGCAGAAATGTTTTTTGAAGAAAAATTTCCAAATTTTCCAATTTTTAAGAATACTAATCAAAAATTCCAAGAATCTTAATGAACCCTAACCAAGATACATGTAAAGAAAACCACACAAAAACACAGTATAACAAAATTTCTGAAGTTTAAAGATAAGATAATTATCATAAAAGTAGTCTTAAGAAAGACACATTACCTACACAGTAATGATGATAAAAGAAAACAGAAAACTGTAATCCCAGCACTTTGGGAGACTGAGGCAGGCAGATTGCATGAGCTCAGGAGTTCAAAACCAGCCTGGGTAACATGGCGAACCCCATTTCTACAAAAAATAAAGCCAAAACTATCTGGGTATAGTGGTGTGTGCCTATATTCCCAGCTACTCAGGAAGATGAGGTGGGAGGATCTCTTGAGCTCAGGAGTTCAAGGCTGCAGTGAGACAAGATTATGCCACTGCACAGAGACCCTATCTCAAAAAACAAAAACAAACAAACAAACAAAACACACCAAACAACAACACAAACCCAGAAAAGACTGAAAGCTTTTCCTCTAATATGAGGAAAAAGACAATGATGCCCACTTTTACTAATTCTATTCAATGTAGTACTGGAAGTTCTAGCCAGAGCAATTGGACAAGAAAAAGAAATAAAAGCCATCCAAACTTGTAAAGATGTATAATTATCTCTGTTCCCAGATGACATATGTGAAAATCCCTAAAGATTCCACCAAAAAAACCTGTTAGAGATAATAAACAAATTCACCAAGGTTGCAAATATAAAATCAATATACAAAAATCAGTTATGTTCTATACACTCACAATGAACAATCTAAAAAGTAAATTACAAAAACAATCCCATTTACAATGGCATAGAAAAGAATGTAATACTTAGGAACAAACTTAGAAAACGAAAGATTTGTACACTGAAAACCGCAAAACACTGTTAAAAGAAATTAAAGACATAAGTAAGTGGGAAGACATCCTGTGTTCATCAACTGGAAACATCAGTATTGTTAAGATGACAATACTACCCAAAGCAATCAATCTACAGATTCAATGCAATCCCTATAAAAAGTGACATTTTGGGGGTAGAAATAGAAAAATCCATCCTAAAATTCACGTGAAATCTTTGTTTCAAAACAATCTTGAAAATGAAGAACAAAGCTGGAGGACTCATAAATCCCGATTTTAAAACTTACTACAAAGCTACAATAATTAGTTTGGTATGACAGAGAATAGATATATGGGCCAATGAAATAAAATAGCCTAGAAATAAACCCTTGCATATATAGCCAATTGGTTTTTTAAAGAAGTGCCAAGACCATTTGATGTGGAAAGCACCAACAAATGGTGCTGGGAAAACTGGATATCCAATTCTAAAGAATGAAAATGAATCCTTGTCTTACACCATATACAACAGTTAACTAAAAATGGATCAAAGGGCCGGGCGTGGTGGCTCATGCCTGTAATCCCAGCACTTTGGGAGGCTGAGGCAGGCAGATCATGAGGTCAGGAATTCAAGAGTAGCCTGGCCAATATGGTGAAACCCCATCTCTACTAAGAATACAAAAATTAGGAGGGCATGGTGGTGCACGCCTGTAGTCCCAGCTACTCAGGAGGCTGAGGCAGAAGAATCGCTTGATCCCGGGAGGCAGAGGTTGTAGTGAGCCGAGATTGCGCCACTGCACTCTAGCCTGGGTGACAGAGGAGATTCCGTCTCAAAACAAACAAACAAGCAAACAAAAAAACAGATCAAAGACCTCAATGGAAGAGCTAAAACTGTAAAACTTTGAGAAGAAAACATAGGAGGAAATCTTCGACAGTGAATTTGGCAAGGAATTACTGGATATGACAATAAAAGCACATGCAACAAAAAAATACAGATAAATCAGACGTCATCAAAATTAAAATTTTTGTGCATCAAAGGACATCTAGCTGATAGAGGATTAAGATCCAGAATATACAGAAAACCCTGAAAACTCAACAAAAAAACAAACACCTAATTCAAAATGAACAAAGAACTTGAATAGACATTTCTCCAAAGATACATAAACGGCAAATAAACACACAAAAAGATGCTCAACATCACTAATTTATTAAGAACATGCAAATCAAAACCACACTGAGATACTACTTCACACACATTAGGATGGCTATTATAATGAAAATGGAAAATAACACATGTTGGTGAGGATGCAGAGAAACTGGAACCTTTGTGTATTGCTGTGGGAATGTAAAATGGTGCAGCCAATATGGAAAACAGTATGTAGTTCCTCAAAATGCTCAACGTATAATAACTACATGATCCAACAATTCTACTTTGGGGCATCTTCCTAAAAACTTGAAAGCAGAGATTTGAACAAATATTTAGACATCCATATTAATAGCAGCATTATTTACAATAGCCCTAGAAACAATCCAAATGTTCGACGACAGAAGGATGGATAAACAAAGTGTGATATACACATAAAATGGAACTATTATGTAGAGCCTTTAAAAGGAATGAAATTCTGACACATGCTATAACACAGAAAGTATAATAGAGGTTATGAGGAACAGGGGAGAGCATAAAGGACAGTTAATATTTAATGGGTACAGAGTTTCTATTCGGGATGATGAAAAAGCTCCGGAAATAGTGGTGATGATTACTTAACATTATGAATGTGGTTAATGCCACTGAATTGTGCTCTTAAAAATGGTAAACTTTGTGCAATGTATATTTTAACATAATTTTTCAAAAAAGGAAACTGGAATGACATTTTTAAGTCATTCCAATCTTCAACCTAGAATTCTATATCCAATGAAAAGGTCTGTTATGAACTGAATGTTTGTATTCTCCCAAAATTTGTATAGTGAGTCCCTAATCCTAAATGTGATGGTATTTAGAAATGGGGCCTTTGGGAGGTAATTAGGGTTAGATGAGATCATGAGTAAGGCCCTCATAATGGGATTAGTGCCCTTATGAGAAGAGATATGACAAAGCTCACCTGCTTTTTCTCTCTCTCTGTGGCCATGTAGACACATCAAGGAGGTGGCCTTCCACAAGCTAGGAAGACAGCCCTCAACAGAAACGACCATGCTGGTACCTTAACCTCGGAATTCTAGCCTTCAAAACTGTCAGAAACTAAATTTCTGTTGTTTGAACCACCCAGTCTATGGTATTTTGTTGTGGCACCCTGAGCTAAGACAAGGTCTGTCAAAAGTGGAGTCAAAATAAAGGGATTTCTAGATAAACAAAAGCTGAGAGATTTCTGCCCAACAGAACAGCACTGTAAGACATGTTAAATAAGGCTCTTTAGGCTAAAGGAAAAGGATACCAGATGGAAACTTTATCTACATGAAGTATAATAATTAAGAGCAACAAAAATGATAAATTTGTGAGTAAGTACAAAAGATTTTTCTTCTCACTTCTAAATTTATTTAAAAGACAACTGTTTAATGCAAAAATAATAATTTACGGCCGGGCGCGGTGGCTCACGCCTGTAATCCCAGCACTTTGGGAGGCCGAGACGGGCAGATCATGAGGTCAGGAGATCGAGACCATCCTGGCTAACACGGTGAAACCCCGTCTCTACTAAAAATACAAAAATTAGCCGGGCATGGTGGCGCACGCCTGTAGTCCCAGCTACACGGGAGGCTGAGGCAGGAGAATGGCGTGAACCCGGGAGGCGGAGCTTGCAGTGAGTTGAGATCGCGCCACTGCACTCCAGCCTGGGCGACAGAGCGAAACTCCGTCTCAAAAAAAAAAAAAAAAAAAAAAAAAAAAATTTACTATGAGGTTTATAACAAATATGGAAGTAAAATGTGTGTCAACATTAACACAAAGGACTGGAATGACAAGTGGAAGTACTGTTTTAAGGTTCTTATGTTACATATGAAGTAATACATTATTAGTTCATGGCAGACTATGAAAAGTTAAGGATGCATATTGTAATCCCTAAAGCAACTGTTAAAACAAAAAAGAAAGAAAAAAGAAATCAGATAGGACAAATAGAAAACAAGCAGCAAGATGGTAAATGTAAACCCAATTATATCAATAAATATTTTGCACATAATTTTTTAAACACAAAATTAAAAGACAGAAATTGTCAAACTAAATAAAAAAGTAAGACCCACATATAATCGCAAAGGTCAAACTTTAAATATAAACTCACAAATGAGAATAAGATGTACCATACAAAACTAAGAATAAGAAAACTGAGGCAGTTATATATTATTATCAAATTCGACTTCAGAAAAAGAAACAGCACCAGGATAAAGAGGGACATCACATAAGAATAAAGCAACAACTTATCAAGAACACACAACAATTTTCAATGTTAATGCACCAACCAACAGTAGTTTCAAAATAAGTGAAGCAAAAATGTGATCCAACACACACAGGAAAGATACCAATTATAGTTTGAGACGTTAACTCTTCTCTCTCAAGAACTAACAGAAAATGTGGACAAAAATATTGGTAAAGATATACAAAATGTGAGTAACACTATTAGTCAACTTAAAACTTAATTGAAATTTTTGGAACACCCAACCCAAAAACTGGAGAATGCATATTCTTTCAAAATGTGTATGAAACATTAATCAAGACAGACCATACACTAGGCGATAAAAAAGTCTCAAGAAATCTGAAAATTGAAATCATAGAGTATGTTGCTGACTACAGAATTAAATTTGAAATCAGTAATAATGTAGTTCGCCAAATAAATGATGAAGTACTGTAGATATTTCAGAGGATGATGTTTACCTTGCATTGTTTTGGAAAGGCTTTATAACAAAACAAAAACATAGACTGAATGTAAGAATAGGTAGAAAGTTTCATAACTTCCTCAGATACATTATGCCACAAACTCTGTTATAATGCTTTATAAAATAATAGTAACAGTGGTACTAATGTAGCAGCAGCAGCAATAGTTAATGCTTCTGTAGCACTAACTGCTATGCATTGGCCTAGTATACAGAGATTTGTGATAGAAATCTCATCAACCAGCAATATCCACCAATTTATAGTACAATGATACATAAATTTGTAAGTTGATCCTTAGGATATATATACTAAGCCTTGAAGTACTTCTAAATCAATGTTGCATCATTAATGTATTAAGTATTTTTATTATACTCTAATTCTTAGATATATGGTATTTATCTATTAGGTAGAATTTGCTACATGCCCCCTGTGTCAGAGTCTGAAAAGTATCCACAGAACTAGGCCATGTATATTAAAAATAAAGCCATATCTCTAAAGTTACATTGGTAAAATCTTCTCTAAAAGCATTCTGTATCAATTATCTCTAGGTATCAAAAAATATTTAAAATGTTGATACTTTTTTTTTTTTACATTTTTTGAGATGGGGTCTTGCGATGTTGCCCAGGCTGGTCTTGAACTCCTGGGCTCAGGCAATCCTCCCACCTTGCCACTGCGCCTGGCCTAAAATGTTGATACTAAACCCTTCAATTTAGTAATTCCACTTCAAAGAATTGATACTAAAATAAAGATGTCATCAAAGATTAGACTTAGGTATAAAGATGTTCATTCTAGCATTGCGTATAGTTGCAAAAAATTGTAAACAACCTGCAGTACAAAAACTGCATGATGGCTAAGGTATTATGGTACAGCCATACAATGAAAGATTATACATTCGTTTATAATTATGCTTTTGAATAATTTTAAAGAAATATAGTCACATTATAATAAAGTGAAAAACAGGATAAAAAACTGTAAAACAATTTGTCTTACATATAAATACATTAGATATTAGTGTGTTTAAATATTCATATAAAAAAGAAGTAAATTCACCAAGACTGAGATTAAGGTGATTTTAATTTTCTTCATTATGCTTTCTTCATTTCCAAATTAATGTTTCCACAACATGTACATATTACTATGTTTTTAAAAAATATGTATCTTTTTTATTGGTAGTAAAATTTGATATATTTATGATGTATAATGTGTTTTTTTTTTTTTTTTTTTTTTGAGACAGAGTCTTGCTGTGTCACCCAGGCTGGAGTGCAGTGGCGCCATCTTGGCTCACTGCAACCTCCGCCTTCTGGGTTCAAGCGATTCTGCCTCAGCCTCCCAAGTAGCTGGGACTACAAGCACCCGCCACCACAAGCACCCGCCACCACACCCGGCTAATTTTTTTTTTTTTTTTTTAAATTTTTAGCAGAAAAGGGGTTTCACTATGTTGGCCAAGCTGGTCTTGAACTCCTGATCCACCTGCCTCGGCCTCCCAAAGTGCTGGGATTACAGGTGTGAGCCACCGTGCCCGGCCTCTAATGTGATTTTTGATATGTCTATGCCTTACTATTAAAACCAGTAATTATTATTATTATTATTATTATTATTTTGGAGACAGTCTCACTCGGTTGCCCAAGCTGGAGTAGAGTGGCGCGATCTTAGCTCACTGCAACCTCCGCCTCCCGGGTTCAAGCAATTTTCATGTCTCAGCCGCCTGAGTAGCTGTGACTACAGACACGTGACCCCACGACCAGCTAATGTTTTGTATTTTAGTAGGGACGGGGTTTCACCATGTTGCCCAGGCTGGTCTTGAACTCCTGAGCTCAGGCAATCCACCCACCTCAGCCTCCCAAAGTGCTAGGATTACAGGTTTGAGCCACTGTGCCCAGCCTAAAACCAGTAATTTTTTAATTACACAGGGTTTAATGACCAAATATAATAATAGGAATAAGTACTTTGGAAACTTCCTTGAAGTAATACAGTTACAAATTTCCACCATTAAAAAGAATAAAGAAATTTCTCACTGGAAGGATAATTATATAGCAATACACCTATCTACCAATTAAAGAATTACATAGTTGATTGTCAGAAACTGTATATTGAGAGATAATATCACAGATGATATTAGTGCCACAGGCTGTTAGAAAAGGCAAGTTACATGACAAAAATCATTACCAACTATACATGTACATACGTATACACACATGACTAACACAGGACCACTGTGAAGCCAATATTGTGCTCCAGGGTGCCCTAGAACTTAGTACCTGCACTGCAGATTTGATTCACAAGAATGGGCTCCATAATAATTCAAAACTGATTAAGAATAATAATTATAATTCCAGCTTGCTTCTCTCTCCAGGCTAACAACTCCAAGTAGCAAAAAAAGGAAGAAAAACACTTTTTAGTGAATAATGAACATAATGCGTTATTTATTTATTTATTTTGGAGACAGGGTCTCACTCCGTCACCCAGGCTAGAGTGCAGTGGCATGATCACGCCTCACTGCAACCTCAATCTCCTGAGTATTAATAGTTCAGCTCCTGCCTCAGTCTCCCAGGTAGCTAGGACCACAGGCACGCGCCACTACCCTCGGCTAATTTTTTTTTGGAAGAGACGAGGTTTCCCCATTTGCCTGGGCTGGTCTCAAACTCCTAGGCTCAAGTGATCCTCACAACTAGGCCTCCTAAAGTGCTGGGGTTACAGTTGTGAGCCACTGCATCCAGGCTCTCCTCTTGTTTAGTGTTGGTATTCTCAATTAACTTTCAAAACAAATATAAAAAGGTATATTCATTTTATAAGATGAGGACACTCACAGAGGTTAAATAACTTGCTTCAGGTTATACAGCTAAAAGAAGAGATGACTAAAGATCTAAGGCTATATTTATAATTAGTCCATGATCTTGCCATTATCCCATGTATCTCACTAGAGTGAACATTTCAAATAATGTAATAATGTATAAACCATTTTTCAGTTATTAAATGTTTCTAAAAGTCCTATATATTTACAAAAGAGGAAATATGACAATTTTTAAAAAAGTGCTTAGAGGGTGGGGCACCTTTTGTCTCTCCCACTAGTTTTGATGTTGCTCCTTAGTCATTTTGGGAAAGTGAGAGAAAGAAGAAGAAAGATAAAAGGAACAGAAGTACGGAATAAAAAGAATGGAAGGAAGAAGAAAACGGGCGGTAGAAGAGACAGGGGAGTGGGGGAAAAAATGACGGCCAAAGAATGACTCAGAAAGCCAAAACTAGAGAGAGACAGAAGGGAAGGCAGGAAAAATGAAAAAAATGGAAGGGAATAAGGTGGTATCAGGAAAACACATGTAGCCAGAAAGGGAGAGAGAGATGACCTACAGCTACATAGTCAGCAAAAGACAGAGTGTCAAAAGACAGAGGGGAAAAGCCATACAAACTGTGAAGAGAGATTTCAAGAAGCAGAGAGTAAGAGGGGGGAAAGGAGAGGCAGAACAAGAGGAAGTGCAGTCAAAGTTAAGATGAAGACAGACAACTATCACCATCAACCCATGCCACTGGCAAAAGCAAGGTGCAGAACTCAAATATATTTGAAGCTATCAGCACCAAACTGGTGGACAGCACCTCAGCCAATTTATTCTTATCTTCCTTTACCACTATGACAAATCTTTAACATGTTTTCCCTTGGTGGAGAAGGGGGCAGGGCAGAGAAAGAAGGGCTATGGAGAATTAGAGAGATGAGTTTATTATTCCTGGTCCCAATACTGCCTTTCTCAAAAAGCAATTTCAAATTCAGAAGATTCTTTAATAGAAAAAAAATCACCAAATTGTTATATCGTATATAAAACCTATGCAAAGACAAAAATTAGGTTCCTTCAAATTAAAATGGCAGCAAACTAACCATTTCCTTTGAGCTTCTTTAAAGTTGCCCTTAACCATAATAGCTTAGTAATTTTCTAGCTTTTACAAGTAAATCGGATCAAACCACTTTTCTACTTAGAATTATATAAAGCCTTCTCATTATAATTCAAATAATATTCAAATTTCTTACTATGGGCCTAAAGAGCCTTCTTACCTGATCCAGCTCCTGCCCACATCTCTGATCTCATTTTATATCATTCTCCTCCTTTCTTATTATGTCATATCTTTCCGTCTGTTATTTGACTACTACCAGCTACACTTTTGGTCATTAGCTTTTCCCTTTACTCAAAATGCTCTTACCTTAGATACTCACACAGCTGCTTCTTTCTCATCAATTCAGATCTTAATTCACACAGCACAACATCTCAAAGTGGGTTTCGTTGACTGCCCTACTTAAATGACCCCTATTCCACCCAAACCCCAGCTATTCTCTGTCTCATCACCTAGCTTTGTTTTTTCCATAATATTCATAATCTATGAAAAATACCATAATTATTTATGAATAAAGCTGGCATATGCTTAAGCATGAGAATATAAGCTCTAAGGACATGGTTGTTGTGCTTTGTTCATAGCTACATCCCCAGGGCCTAGAATATGCTAAAAAAAAAAAATTGAATGAATGAAGGAAAGGATAATAATATTTTACATTATAAATAAGAGACAAGTAAAAAAATATCTTGAATGATCTTCACAACTACAGATTGTCCTAGATGAAAACTACTAGATCTAGAGGACTTCTAATCTCAGAGCAACCTAGGCACAGGCTATAGCTGCCATATTTGAATGTTTAAGATATTATAATGCATACTAAATCAGAAATCTTGTTTTAATTCTTTGGATGTCAAATCTTAAACTACCCAATTAGGTTTAAAAATTATCTTTAATGGATACATCTTAATTTACACAATATATACTCAGTAATCACTGGAATAGATGTACATCGGTACACTAATCAGATCCTCAGTTCTTTAAGTTAGCATTCTCAGCCCAACATTTTGGTATATTTCTGTATCCTATATGTTGTTTAGAGAAAGCCAAGTTTATTTTTCATGTCTATTTTATTGGAAGCATTAACATTTTAAAAACCCTCATCAACTAACATGAAATATGCTGAAAGCCTTTAGAAGTAAAGTATTAAACATGAAACAGCAACTGAACAAAAAGCCTATTCACACATTTCTAGAAAAGTATGCCTTATAAAGAAGCAGTTTTGTGGAGACATAGTATACTGCATACAGTAAAGCTTCCATATCACTGCCCTATTTTTCAAACTTCCCCATCTTATAAAACATGAATATCTCACATGCTTGCAGGTGGTATTTTGAAGAGTAGAATAGAAGCAGACACTAGGTCATATAAAATTAGAAAACCTGAACACAGAAATAGAATCAAAGTTTGCTAGTCTCAAATTTTAAAGTCTACGTTCTCCTTTCTTTTGCTCTAATTCTATTCTGAGATACATGATATAAAAAGAAAATATAATTGTCACCAAAAGATACTACTTCTATTTCTTTACCTCCTCTCACCCTACCTTCATTGAGAACTTACTACAAAATGGCAGATATAAGGCTTTAACAAGTTTAAGTATTTGGATTAATTCTTGAGTTATAAACTTATCTGGCAAGCTGGCTAATTCAAGAGCTATAACTTTAAAAACAAAGTACTATTTACTACCAAAAAGACCAAAACAAAACAAAACAAAAAACCCAAAACCAAATTCAAATAGAGTGTAAAATAAAGCATCAGGGATCTATCTGCATACCCTACCATAAATTTGATGGTTTCTTTATAATTATATTCAGTTAAATGAAAAAAATTAGATAAGCAATTTTCAAGGAGATAACATACAGTTTATGTACTTCAAATTCACTAATGAGTAATAGACTAATAATGTATTTTCAGATATAAATGAGTACTCTCTAGAATATGACAAAAAACCTAAACTTAAAATCCAAACAAATGAAATATTATCAATTCTATTTTCTTGAGAGCCAAAGTTTCCTACATAATAACATGCAAGAATTTTAAATTCTTGAAAGCAAGTGTCAAGTACGATACACAATTTCCATACACAGCAGGTAGTAAAGCAAGAAAAGAACTGACACAGTTACTCTGCTTAAAAGAGACACACAATGGAGAACTGTTATACAGCACTAGCATACTACAGGTCTATGCATTAAAGATGTTGTGGCTATTAACAGTTTAAACCTTTACTGTATTTTGCTAATTGGTACATAGAACTTTAAACCTTTTGAAAGATAAAACATTTCAGTCAGTTCAATTCTCCAGTATTGTTCAAGTATTCCAAGTAGGAACAAAGAGGGAAATAAATCTGCTTTAATTGCTGAAGAATCACAGATAATAGAGATGGCTGAATACTGTAGGGGAAAGATCTTTTGTTCCTTAAACAATTTAAATATAGAACGATCATTCTCTAAGTTTTAATGGTT
The DNA here is from genome assembly GCF_000001405.40 of Homo sapiens. NCBI lineage: Eukaryota > Metazoa > Chordata > Mammalia > Primates > Hominidae > Homo > Homo sapiens. The sequence goes on along the minus strand of NC_000005.10, from coordinate 53,614,378 downwards.
CCTGTCTGTATATAAAAACTGTAATACTTAACATTCATTTTCTTTGTGATATTTAGTACATGTAAGTTTTACACAGCTTGATACTACATAAAAATAGCATTTCAATAAGCATATATTTTAAACAACAAAGTTCTGCAGAATTTTATTTATCTAAAGAATTTAGAAATAATTACATTTGAAAAATAATAACTGACTTGTTTTAATGATCATCATAGTTAAATATAACAGGTTTTAAAATTACATCAAGGAGAGTAGAAAAAATTCATTTTAAATGATTAACTGTTTTGATAAACTTTCAACTATTTAAGAGCATGTTTTATTTATAAACATAAAAAACTTTTAATATTAGTTCATGTTTATAGATACATGTCATGAGACAAAAATATGAAATACAATGTAATAATCTTCCAAACATGTAAAGCAATCACTTTTTATATGATTATTTACTGATTAACTTACACAAAAAGTACAAAAAGAAGAGCTTTCCTTCTAGCTTCAAGAAGTCTTAACATTTTCCATTACTTGAGTCTGGTATTTTTCAAAATCAATCTCTCCTACATACACACATGACAGTACTAAAAAAGGAACAATTAAGGAATGACCATTTCACTATGAAATCTACACTTCCAAAATCACTAGTCATTACTGCTTCCTTAGAATTTTAAGCAACAGTATTGCTGCAATCTTAAAGGCTATTCATCCATTTTTTTTTTTTTCAATAGCTTGTGGGTAGTGTAAAAACTGACACAGGGAAATACATTGTAAAAAAAAAAAAACTATAGTTGCTTTTAAAACAAAATTTATTGCAACAAACATTTATATTTAGTCATGATTCTTCTCTTTTTATATTAGAAGTTTCATCTAAGAATAAAAATAGGCATTTTGTAGGATGAAACACTTGAAGAAACATTATACATATTTAGTGAAAGTCTTAAAGAAAAAAACCCACACGCTAAACTGCCACCATGGTAGGTTCTCAAAGGCTGCTATTCTTTGATGTAAAATGAAATACTACTTAGTGAATAAAACATAAAAAACTCCTGTCTACCCTTCAAAGAGACATATCCTTTGACCCAGTGCTCCAGACTAAAGCCTTGAAATTTTTGCACAAGAATGCTGCGTGAGTAAAGTCCAGACAAAACAGACACTTGAGATGCTAGAAAGCTGTATAACCCCAATCGCAGACACTACTCCTTCCAGTAATCTAGCAGAGATAGCACTGCCATACACCAAAAGAAAGTAATCTCACCAAAAGAAAACTGACCCCTTAGAGGGGGAAAAAAAAAGTAAACAGTCAAAGCAAAAGTAAGCCTTTAACTTAAGGTTATCTTTTTGTGTAGGTCACCTCTTAATGATCAATTTTTAATTCAAGTTTGCAGACTTATATAAGTTTTCATCTATAAACTTTTAGTATGTCAGGAAGAAAAAACAACATAAAACCAACAAATACTTGTACAGCAAACGTAGTTGTTTTATTTTCGAAGACTTGCAAAAACCATTCAATTTTACAAACTTCTTAGAATAAGTTCGAGTAATAAAATGTTTTTAACTATTACAAATTGACAAAAAAATTGTATTAAATAACTTGCTGCTGCTTACAGACATTCTAACACAGCAATATTAAAACCTCATCGGCTGAGCATGCTACCAGTACCGTGTGCTAATTAATCAAACAGCGATTTATTTATTGCAAGCCTCAGCAAGTACCAAAGCTTAAGTGCTGTTTAATTGCTATTTGGAAGAAATTTTCAAGTAGCAAAATACAACCAATTGGCAACATTCAGAATACTGACAACATTTGTTTTACAGGCACACCTGATTTTTAAATAAAGATATTATTAGAGTGCTAAAAATGTCAAAACTATTAGGATTTTACATTAATAGCATTGTGCTATAATTTCTCAAAAAAGTTTTGAAATAATAGATGTCCTTCCTCACTCCACACACTCCCAAAAGATTTAAGTTTTACAGATTGCTAAATAAAAAGTTTCCTTTTTCACATATATTTAAATTGAGGATGCATATCTAACTAACTATACTACCTTTGTAAAAGTTAAAACAGGTGGTGCTTAATAGTTTTTAAACAAAATAACTTAGCATATAAATGAAAACAATGTAAAGTGTCAATACAACACTGAAGCATAGTGCCTGGCATATGTAAGTATTTATTGAATAAATAAACAAAGAATGAAGGAGAGATAGCAGCCAACATAATTTATATAAAAACAATATATGTAATGTCTAAACTATTAAAGCTTATTTTGTGTCATTTTTACTAATAAATTGAAACTACTATATTTTCTGAGGGTATTTTTCTATTTTCTTAGTAATATTTTAACTGTACTAAATAGTTATAGGAATCAGTGTGTAAAAAATGGGCTAAAAAAATGATCAGAAAGCAAATTGAAGGTATACCTATGTAGGACTAATTAATATTTTGGTTGTTTTTTAGGGGAGTACCTACTCAAAATCTTTAAAGAGCATTGCAAATTTAACTTCTCTCTTTTGTATAGCTGAAGTGAATATAAAAAAGACAACATGTTCATTGGACTTGCGTATTCATCAAATGTCCTGAAAGGAGACTGAGGTGGAGGGAGGCATAAAGAAAAAAAAGTTACCCTCATAATAAAGCACAAAGGCAAAGACATTCTTCACCTAACCTCATGGCACAGCTCCTCCTGCAACAAAAACCAAGGGCCAAGCAAACAACCATTTATAAGATCTCCTTAGTATCTGTAGGAAGTATCATATATTAGGAAATAATGGTACAGTCCACAAAAAGTTTTTTTTTTTAAGCATTGTGCTTCTAAACATAAGCTTACAGGATTATTTTCAGATGCTGTCATCTACTCTTTTGATATTTACATTCTTGTTAGTTTCAAGGGTAAAAAGGTTAGCAGTTTATACACAACAAACTAAAATTGACTAATTAGAAACATAGAAAGTACTCTGAGGCCATATTCTTTATTAACAATAATCCAGGATTTGCCACAATTTTATTATCTGAAGATTTGTACTCAACAATGTTAACATTGTATATAGTTCCAAAATGAAAGAATAGATTCTTGCACTAGAAAATGCTAAGCAGACTTTTCCTTTCTACATTTTATGCCTAAAAAAAAGATAAGATACATGTTGTTGATACATAATTGATGCCCAGAAAAAAAAAAAAACCACAAGTTTTTCTTTGTACTTGTATTAGCACTGACATCCACAAAGTACTATGAAAATTCTTGTAATTTATTGTATACTGTATAGAAAATTCTAAAATGTAACAGTAAAAAAATAAAATAAGCTTTACTGGGTAAGATGTCCTATGAGTGACTCTGTGAATATGTTAAAAATAATGATCATATACTAAAGATGGATGAAAAGAAACACGACTTGATAACAGCACACAAAAGAGAGAATCTGAGGTTTTAGCTCTCCATGAAATCCACATAAGTATGACAACCTAAATTTAAAGTTGCCTTACTAGAACTGCGATGATTAAAAGGAATAAAGGCAATAATCCCCACCACAACCTGCACCACATCTGTAGTATGAAAAATTCTGGCAAAAACATTTTAAAAGAGATTCAAACTGGATGGCAATCAAGATGATTAATTAACTGGAACTCATATGAAATAAATCAAAGCCCTGGCGATGTTTAACCCAGAAAAGAGAAGACTTAGGAGAATGATTCGCAAGCTTTTTGATGTTGAGATTCCTTTATACTGTTAAAAACTACTGGGACTCCAAGGTTTTGTTTATAAAAGATACAGGCATACCTCATTTTATGAACTTTGCTTTACTGTGCTTCACAGATTAATGGTGCTTCTTTTTTTTTGTTTTTTTATGTTTTTGTTTTTTCAAATTTAAGGATTCTGGCAACCCTCTGTTGAGGTCTACTGGTGTGTGCTCATTTCAAGTCTTTGTGTCACATTTTGACAATTCTCCCAATATTTCAAACTTTTGCATTGTATGTGTTATGGTGCTCTGTGATCCGTGATCTTTGATGTTACTATTGTAATTGTTTTGGGGTGCCACAAACTGCGTCCATATTAGATAGCAAACTAAATTAATAAAGGTTGTGTGTGTCCTCCACTGACAAGCCATTTCCTCGTACCTCACCCTTTCCTTGGGCCTCTCTATTCACTGAGACAACAATATTGAAATTAGGCCAGTTAATAACCCAACAATAAGAGTTCAAGTGAAAGGAAGAGTCTCATGTCTCTCACTTTAAGTAAAAATTTAGAAATGATTAAGCTAGGTGAAGAAGGCATGTCAAAAACCTAGACAGACCAAAAGCCAGGCCTCTTGCACCAAACAGCCAAGTTGTGAATGCAAAGGAAAAGTTATTGAGGAAAATTAAAAATGCTATTCCAGTGAACACATGAATGATAAGAAGGCTAAAGAGACAGCCTTATTGCTAACTGGAGAAAGTTTCAGTGGATAGAAGATCAAACCAGCTACAACATTCCCTTAATTCAAAGTCTAATCTAGAGCCAGGAGCCCTAAGTCTCTTCAATTCTTTGAAGACTGAGAGGGGAGGAAAGCAGAGGTTGGCTCATGAGGTCTAAGGAGGAAGCCATCTATATAATATAAAAGTGCAAGGTGAAGGCCCAAGTGCTGACAGAGAAGCCACAGCAAGTGATCCAGAAGATCTAGATAAGATAACTGATAAAGGTGGCTATACTAAACAATAGATTTTCAATGTACAGCCTTGTATCAGAAGAAGATGCCAGCTAGGACTTTCATAGCTAGAGAGAAGTCAACGCCTGGCTTCAAAGCTTCAAAGGACAGGCTGACTCTTAGAGGCTAATGCAATTCCGGTGCTCACTGACCATTCTGAAAACCCTAGGGCCCTTAAGAATTATGCTAAATCTCTTCTGCCTCTGCTCTATAAATGAATAACAAAGCCTGGATGGCAACACAGTTGTTTACAGCATGGTTTACTAAATATTTTATGCCCAGTGTCAATATCTACTGCTCAGAAAAAAAGATTATTTTCAAAATATTACTGCTCACTGACCATGCACCTGGTCACCCAAGATGGAGATGTACAAGGGTGTCGCTTTCATGCCTGCTAACACAACATCCACTCTGCAGCCCGTGGACCAAGGAGTAATTTTGACTTTTGAGTCTTATTATTTAGGAAACACATTTCATAAGGCTATAGCTACCATAGTGATTCCTCTGATGGATCTGAACAAAGTAAATTGAAAACCTTCCGGAAAGGATTCCCCATTCAAGATGCCACTAAGAACATTTGTGACTCATAGGAGATGAAAATAGCAACATTAGCACGCGTTTGAAAGAAACTGAGTCCAAAACCTTAAACTGGGAGAACCTTAGTCCCCTCTCTTTCCTCTTCCTCCTCCACTTCCCACTTATTGTCACCTTGTAATATTCAGAGAGCACCTAGATTATGGATCTGAATAGAGAAATGCTTACAGATAATCATTAGCCCACATGCCAGTAACTTATACTTAAACATGGGATGGAGTTGTAAAGTGCTTTTATAATACAATACAATTGTTAAAGGCAAGAGTTGAATCTTTGTTTTATTTTGACATGGCATGTCCTGAAATAAATATTGATTCAATATGGGAAAACAAAAACAAAAAAGAAAGAAGTTGAATCCAACCCTCATGAATGACTTTGAAGGATCTAAGACTTTAGTGGAGGAAGTCACTGCAGATGTGGTGGGTGGAGCCTAAACAAGTGATTAAATTGCTACAATCTCATGATTAAACTGGAACAAATCAGAAGTTGCTTCTCATGCATGAGCTAAGTCGTTTCTTGAGACAGAATCTACTCCTGATAAAGACTGTGAACGTTGCTGAAATGACAACAAAGGATTTAGATTATTCCATAAACTTAGTTGATAAAGCAGCAGTGGGGTTTAAGAGGCTTGATTCCAATTTTGAAAGAAGTTCCACTGTGAGTAAAATGATATCAAACAGTGTCACATGCTACAGAGAAATTTTTCATGAAAGGAAGGGTCAATCAGTGTGTCAGAGTTCACTGTTGTCTTATTTTAAGAAATTACCACAGCCACCCCAACCTTCAGCAACCACCACCATGGAGGCAAGACCTTCCACCAGTCAAATGATTACGATTCCCTAAAGGCTCAGCTGATCGTTAGCATTTTTGAGCAATAAAGTGTTTTAAAATTAAGGTATGTACATTATTTTTTAGACATAATGCTAATGCACACTTAGCAGACCTCAGTGTGGTAGAAACATAACTTTTATATGCACTGGGAAGCCAAAACAAAATTTCATGACTCACTTTATTGTGGCATTTGCTTAACTGTGGTGGTCTGGAACCAAACCAGCAATATCTTCAAAGTATGCCTGTATATCCATAAATATCTATCACATAATAAATTAAAATGAAGAAAACAATATAAATTTAATGTAAAATAAGCCAGTTATGTAATAATATAAAGATTTTAATTTAAAAAACTCTATTTTTGAAAACTGAAAAGTGAGAAGAGTGGCACTCATTTGCATTTTGGCACTCGTTTGAAAATCTACTATCTAGCTTAATGGAGGACAGCTGAATTCTAACATCTGTTCTTGCATTCAAACTGTTTTGGTGGATTGTTTTTATTGCAATATATGAAGAAAACTCATTATCATACAGATATGTAGTTAGAAAAAGGAGCAAAATATTCATAGCCTTAATATTTTCATACTTGATTACTTAAAATCCATTGCTCTATTTTGTACTTTAAAGGAAACTTTTACCCATGCATGATTTTATATCATGCACTGGTCATACGAAAAATACTAGTTCATAGAGGTATATAGATATTCCAAACGTTAATATATTGCATTACACAGTATCAAAAATCACATCCGTTAGTGTCATTACCAATCCCACTAGAACAGTCTTTTTTTTCTTTTTTTTACAGAATTTCAATTTTTAATTTTAGATTCAAGAGGTACATGTGCATGTTTGTTACCTGGGTATATTTTGTGATGCTGAGATTTGTGGCAGATAAATCCCATCAACCAAGTATTGAGCATAGTACACAATGTTAGAATTTTTATAGAACTTAATTCTGCCATGGATGTGATTGAGCTTGACATCTTTCTAGTATTTAAAGACCGTTCTGGGAAGGAGAGATGGGCACAACGGTTGAAAAACTATCACTGCGCTTGAAGTGTATCATGGGCAACACCTCCTTGAAGTGACAGGTTCATTTTCAAGAAAATGTCTGCCATGTACCAAAGATAATAACCAATTGATTTCAGCTGGAAAACCATAGTGACATTCTGGTCTGATCTACAGTCAGGCCTCCATATCTGTGCCTTCTGTATTGTGGATTAAATCAACTGCAGGTAAAAAATATTTGAAAAAAGAAAAAGTATGGTTGTATTTGTACTGAACGTATACCTCCTTTTTTCTTGTCATTATTCTCTAAACAGTACAATATAACAGTTACACTGTATTAGGTATTGTAAGTAATCTAGAGATGATTTAAAGTATATGGGAGAATATGCATAGGTTATATGCAAATACTATGCCATTTGATATAAGACTTGATACAGTTTGCATATTTGTCCCTGCCCAACTCTCATGTTGAAATGTAATCCTCAATGTTGAAAGTGGGGACGGATGTGAGGTGATTAGGTTATGGAGGCAGATCTCTCATGCAGAGCTTAGTGCTGTCTTAGTGATAGTCAGTTCTTATGGGATCTGGTTATTTAAAAGTGTATGGCAGTGGGCACGGTGACTCATGCCTGTAATCCCAGCACTTCGGGAGGCCGAGGCAGGTGGATTACCTGAGGTCAGGAGTTTGAGGCCAGCCTGGCCAACAGGGTGAAACCGTCTCTACTAAAAGTACAAAAACTAGCCAGGCGTGGTGGCGGGCACCTGTAATCCTAGGTACTCGGGAGGCTGAGGCATAAGAATCACTTGAACTGGGAGGCGGAGGTAGCAGTGAGCCGAGATCGCGCCGCTGCACTCCAGCCTGGATGACAGAAAGTGTATGGCACCACCCTGTCCCTTGCACCTGCTTTTGTCATATGATGTGCCTGCTCCCACTTCACCTTCCACCATGAGTAAAAGGTCCCCTAAGGCCTCCTCACAAGCCGAGCAATGCTGGTGCCATGCTTGTGCAGCCTGCAGGACCATGAGCCAATTAAACTTCTTTTCTTTATAAATTACCCAATCTCAGGTTTTGTTTTGTTTTGTTTTTTGAGACAGAGTCTCGCTCTGTCACCTAGGCTGGAGTGCAGTGGCGCCATCTCCACTCACTGCAAGCTCCGCCTCCCAGGTTCACACCATTCTCCTGCCTCAGCCTCCTGAGTAGCTGGGACTACAGGCGCCCACCACCATGCCCGGCTAATTTTTTTTTTTTTTTTTTTTTGAGACGGAGTCTCGCTCTATCGCCCAGGCCGGAGTGCAGTGGCGCAATCTTGGCTCACTGCAAGCTCTGCCTCCCAGGTTCACGCCATTCTCCTGCCTCAGCCTCCTCAGCAGCTGGGACTACAGACACACACCGCCACGCCCAGCAAATTTTTTGTATTTTTGGTAGAGATGAGGTTTCACCATGTTAGCCAGGATGGTCTCGATCTCCTGACCTTGTGATCTGCCCGCCTCAGCCTCCCAAAGTGCTGGGATTACAGGCACGAGCCACTGCGTCCCACCTCAGGTATTTCTTTATAACAATATGAGAACAGTCTAACACAGGTCTTAAGCATCCACGGATTTTGGTACTTGAGGGGAGTCCTAGAACCAATCCCCTTACAGGTACTGAGGGACAACTATTACTTCAAGAAAGGTATAACAAAGCTGGGGAAAATCTAGGTAGGGCAAGAAAATTCAACAGTATGCAACCGATTTTATGACATATAATTAAAAATACCAAACCAATCCAGTCTGTCTACCTCTCTTGTATGCTTCATAGCACTCTGTTTAGGGCAATGTATTACTGGCTGACTCACTCATTCTTCAAACTAGAAAGAAGAGAACTTAGAAGAGTTATTAGTGAACTCTAAAATTTGAAAACTTTATAGAAAAGGCAACCTCCTGAGAGTTAAAAAAAGATGCTCATAGGAAAAATTAAAATAATAGTGCTCTCATTAATGAACACACAGGATGTGAAAATCATCCTCACTTCATACACACATAACTGCCTCATTTCTTTTGTTTTGTTTTTCAGACTGAGTTTCACTCTTGTTGCCCAGGCTGGAGAGTAATGGTGCGATCTCGGCTCCCTGCAACCTCCACCTCCCAGGTTCAAGCGATTCTCCTGCCTCAGCCTCCTGAGTAGCTGAGATTACAGGCACCCGCCACCACGCCCAGCTAATTTTTTGTATTTTTAGTAGAGACGGGGTATCACCATGTTGGTCAAGCTGGTCACGAACTCCTGACCTCGTGATCCACCCGCCTCAGCCTCCCAAAGTGCTGGGATTACAGGCATGAGCCACCATGCCCTGCCCCTCATTTCTTTTATACTTGACTAAGCAAGTGGTGTTTGATTACCATTTGAAGAATAGGTAGATGGTGACCGGATGAAGTCCTCAGGATTAGTTAAAATGCATCCAGGTAGAGTGAACAGGAACTCCAAATGCCTTGAAGCAGGAAAAAGAGTAGCAAGTTCCAGGCTTGGTGTGGCTAGACCACAGAATGTAAAACACAGTGGTACAAGATAAACCTAGAGAGGAAGGCAGGAGCTAAATCAGGCAAGACGTCAAAGACCATGTTAGGATTTTAGTGTTTACTCTAAGGGCAACAGGAAGCACCAAAGGACGAAAAGAGGGTGACAATACCAGCATTTCAAAGACTATTTTGGCATCCTAAGGAAAATTAATCAGATTAGGATTAAAGAGTCTAGGGAGATCAGGTCAAAGACTACTGTAGAAATCTAGGTGAAAGATGATGTAACCTAGATCAGGATGATGACAATGTCAGTAGGTAAACTGAAGAGATAATTTTAAAATAAAACCAGTCAGCACAAGATGTGAATTTTCCAAACTGTCTCTATTTACTTATACATTTATTTGTCTGTATCTTTAATGGTGCAAATAGAAATTTAAGTGTGACCTATTACTTAGATTGGGCTTACAGGCTCAAAGTTGAGTGATAAAATACTGTACAATAATAAAGGGGGTAGTTAAGAAACACTGATAATGGTAAACCAGATATAAAATGAAAAGCACACATATACAATTACTCATTTCTATCAGAAGTTTTGGAAACATTACAAAATGTATGCTATTGAAGCATAAATATAAAGTTGCATGTAAAGTAACAGACCACACTCTAAAATATTTTATAAGTGATGGCTGCCAAAATTCTGTTTGTTACTGATTCACAAAACATTATTACTCATTTGTTGCTGGTCTTGCTAGTTGTTTGCTAGTTGCTTGCTAGTTATTTCTTCATACATATGAAGAAATAAAATGTGTGTGTATGTGTTTGTATGCATATACATATATACATATAGTGATAATAAATGTTGCATGCTTCCAAGAAAACCTAATATATTTAGTTTTAGATAGTACTAGCAAGTATCTCACAACTTAAATAGGAGTGTAACTGAGAAAATAAAAAGCAAAACATTCATTACAAAAAGTAATGAATGTTCTGCTAGTTATAAACACCACAAAAATGAAAACCTTTCATAATTTTAATTTATTAATATTTGCATATGGTTTTGTATTTGTTTATAATGCTTAATATAAATTATCTTTTGATGACAAATATTTCTTCTTAAAATTTAGGTATAATCTAGAAATTCAAATTCAAATCACTTTCCTGAAAACCTGGAACACCATACTGAATATCTATAGTACAAAAATAACCCTGAAGGCAGAACCATAGCAGTGTGTAGTAGAAAATCCTTACCAATTTTTCATCAACTGTTATGAGTTGTGTGTCTTGAGTCTGGTCCTGTGCCAATCTCCATGTGGAAGTCCTCAACGACCTGCAGTGCAAGACTTTAAGTTAAAAAAGGATCCAGGCAATGAGAGGAGAGACAGACAAATCTTACATAAACAAGCTACTTTAACAATATCTGTCTTATTAAAAAAAAAAAAAAAGGAAAGGAAAGAAAGAGAAGAGGGCACAAAAGTCCTTTTTCTCTGCAATTAGTTCTGTCTGCTGAGTTTTTGGCAGACTCACTTGACAGTTCACAACAGGCTGCGCTTTACGTCAGTCTTCAGGCTCTCTGTCACAGAAAGGCCACCAGTGACAAGTACTGTACTGCTGTCTATGAGTGTACAGTGGCTGATTTGTCACGACCAGCCAGAAACATGCAAAGCTATACCAATTGTTCTGGAACACTGATTCTTAAACGGATGGCATCAGAAACGAAAAGAAAAAAATCCCAATCATAATAAAAAGTTTATTCACTCTAATTTCACACCAAAAGTATTTTACATAGGAATGATTTGTATAACTAATGTTATTAGTTTAGTCCTGTAGCCCATTCACAAAATGGGAGAAATAAAATTAGTTAAAATGAAAATATTAAGTTAGACGTAAAATGGGCAGAGAATCTAGCCCCTTTATATTAGCATTTTCCTACTCTCACTCCAATTACTTAACGTTAACGGACGTTTCATGTACACTTTGTTGTTTATACTACTGAATGTCATACATATCCCTGACTGTGCTGTGACATTTTAGCATCTTAAGAGTTTTCCAAACTATTAGGCTATCTGACATAGATTTCTATTGCAAAAGTAAGTATACACAACTGTGGCTCAAATTTCCACCCCAAATATATGGCATTTGGTCCTTTCTTTTTTTTAATACAATATATTCACTACCATAGTTTTAATGCAACATAATAACCAATAATTGACAAAAATAACTGATACAAATAGTTGAACTTTTTGTGCTAAAAGTTCAATTTTGATAATGTGTACACAGCCATATAGAAAACCTTCTTAATTATAATTTAAAGATAACATAATACAAGAGGTTTTACTGCTTTATGAATATACTTTAAAATATCTGTCAATTATTTACCAAATTTAAGGTATTATGTAATTCTTTATCACTGTAAATGCCCCACTCAGAAATATACCTACACAAAATGTACTAACATGGAAATAACTCTAGATGATTTACACAAAGTTAAAATACATGTCCTGGTTGTTATATTAAAGAAGTATAATTAAGCAACTCTTAATACCTATTTTATTTTGGAAATCATTAAGGTCAGTAACATGGCAATTAAAAAATTTAAATACTTTTAAACAAATCCACATATTACAAGAAAAACATTGGGTAATGATAAGTGAACTCATGAGAATCTGAAATATCAGAAAATGTTATCACATTTTCTAAATGCAGTAAGTAGCTCCCCCTCATCCTTGTACGATACATTTTAAGACGCCCAGTGGATGCCTAAAATTGTTAATAGAACTGAACCCTACATACACTGTTTTTTCTAATACATACACACCTATGATAAAGTTTACTTTACAAATTAGGCAGTAATAAATTAACAATAACTAATAATAAAACAGATCAATTAAGTAAAATAAAGGTTACTTGAACACAAGCACTGCAATACTGAGACGGTCAATCTTATCACCAAGATGGCTACTAAGTTCTGACTAACGCAGGTATCCTATACAACCTGGATACACTAGACAAAGGGATGATTCACATCCTGGGTGAGACAGAGCTGGACGGCATGAGATTTCATCACACTACTCAGAATGGAGCAAATATTAAATTCATAAATTGTTTGTTTTGGGAATTTTCCACTGCATATTTTTGGACCACAGCTGACCGTGGGTAACTAAAACCGTGAAAAGCTACACTATATTTTCTCAAATGAAGAGACCTGTTAGATGAAAACAGTGCAAATTATTAGGTAGATTAAAACTCTGTACCCATTTTGTGCAATTTTTTACTACAAAGGGGATTTAACTTAAAACGATTATGTCCTAATTGTTTAAGAAAATCTTAGTATATATTAGTTGTAATCCAAAGTAAAGTTCTTAATTTATAAAACCATATATAATTTACTTTAAGGATAGGTTTATTTTAATAATTTTAGGTTAACCTCCAACTAATTGTAATAATAAAGTTATATAACATCTTTTGTAAACATGTGTAGCCGGGCGCGGTGGCTCATGCCTATAATCCCAGCACTTTGGGAGGCTGAGGCGGGCGGATCACAAGGTCAGGAGATGGATACCATCCTGGCTAACACGGTGAAACCCCGTCTCTACTAAAAATACAAAAAATTAGCCGGGCGTAGCAGCGGGCCCCTGTAGTCGCAGCTACTCGGAGGCTGAGGCAGGAGAATGGCGTGAACCTGGGAGGCGGAGCTTGCAGTGAGCTGAGATCGCGCCACTGCACTCCAGCCTGGGCGACAGAGCAAGACTCCGTCTCAAAAAAAAAAAAAAAAAAATTTATTATAAACAAACGCACTGATAAAAATTTATATCAAGCTGTATGTAAAAGATAATACAATAAAAAGGACAAAAATGTTAAGTAAAACAATCCTACCATAAAGTTACAGTAAAAATTTTTTGTAAAAAAATTTAAGATAGGTTAGATTGCAAAGAGTGATTTTAATTTTTATGTAAAACAATAATTATTTCAGAAAAATTTGCCTAAATTAAAACGTGTGCTTGTGTAAGTTATATCATGTGATAAGAAACTACCCTCTAAGCAGAAAACAATTATTAAAGGACTCAAATATCAGATGTGGAGAAAAGTTTTTCTCCAATTCTGGACAGTTAAGGTAGCAACGAAGGTCCACAGTCAATTATGAACACAGCATTTAATAAATTATACCTACCGGGCTGGGCGCAGTGGCTCACGCCTGTAATCCCAGCACTTCAGGAAGCTGAGGTGGGTGGATCACCTGAGGTCAGGAGTTCGAGACCAGTCTGGCCAACATGACAAAACCCCACCTCTACTAAAAATACAAAAATTAGCTGGGCTTGGTGGGGCATGCCTGTAGTCCCAGCTACTCAGGAGGTTGAGGCAGGAGAATCTCTTGAACCTGGAGGCAGAGGTTGCAATGAGCCGAGATCGCACCACTGCACTCCAGCCTGGGCAACAAAGTGAGACACTGTCTCAAAAAATGAATAAACAAAAAATAAAAATAGGCCGGGCGGGCCGGCTCACACCTGTAATCCCAGCACTTTGGGAGGCCGAGGATGGCGGATCACCTAAGTTCAGGAGTTCCAGACCAACCTGACCAACGTGGAGAAACCCAGTCTCCACTAAAAATACAAAATTAGCTGGGCGTGGTGGTGCATGCCTGTAACCCCAGCTACTCGGGAGGCTGAGATAGGAGAATCACTTGAACCCGGGAGGTGGAGGCTGCAGTGAGCTGAGATCGTGCCATTGCACTCCAGCCTGGGCAACAAAGAATGAAACTCCGTCTCAAAAAATAATAATAAAATAAATAAATAAATAAAAATTATACCTACAAAGTATAATCTATAGTAAATTTTAGACTACACATGAATTATACAGTAAATATCTGTTTGTTGATTAGCCTGTAAGGAATGTCACATCAGTGAAATGGTAGATGGAAGGAAAATATTAAGAGTACAAAAACCTTGTTAAGAAAAAAAGATATAAAGCCTAGAAAGCATAAAGGAAAAAATGACAGAAGCTATTACATAAAACCAAAAACATCAAAACTAAATATACTGTAAGTGAAGTGTAAGACAGACAAGAAGAAAATAATACAAAATAGAACAGTAAGGAATCAACATCTAAAAGAGGTAAAAGAACTTGTACAAGTAAGTAGGGGGTCATTTCTAAATTTTAAAAGAAGAACTCAAACAGCAACAAAACAACCCAATTAGAAATGGGGAAAACACCTAAATAAACATTTATCCAAAAAAGATATACAAATGGCTAATGAGCACATGAAATGATGCTCAACAGAACTAATTAGAGCAATGCAAATCAAAACACAATGAGGTAGCATTTTACACCCTTTTACAACATTTTAGTATATAAAAACAGAAAATAAGTATTAACAGAAACGTATAGAAATTGGTACCCTTATGGGAATGTAAAATGGTACTACCACTATGGAAAATGGTATGGCAGTTTCTCAAAAAGTAAACAGAATTATCCTATGATCCAACAATTCCATTACTGAGTATATACCTAAAAGAACTAAAAGTGAAGACTCAAATAAATATTTGTACACCAATGTTTATAGCAGCATTTTTCAAATAGCCAAAAGCAAAAACAGCCAAAATATTAATAATCATATTTTACTGGGCAATGTACCCAGTAAAACAGTGTTCTCAGTAGTAAGTGTTCATGTAGAAACAATGACTAATGTGTAATCATTAGAAAATAAATGGTAATTTTACTCACTCTGCTGTTTAATATTCATTTTTGACAAACTTAAAAACATTCTTTGCCTCATGGGTTTGCCTTTATTTTTGTCCATCTATTTGTTTTGTTAATTGGCCTGCTCACATTTCCAGGTTTGTAAAGTATCATTCTTAATTCTCAGCCCAAAGGATAAACTCTGAGGGTTGTGATTGTGATTATTAATTACCATTACTGGTCAAGGTAATTATAAGCGTACAAGCCATTTATTCTGTTTTTCTGTATAAGTTTCCTGAAAGAAAAAGAGATATCCTGAAAATGAAAATCAATAAACTTTATTTCTAATCCTGGTTTTTATCAATAAACCTTATTTCTAACTCTGGTTAAGTAAAACAGTTTGGTGAGATTTTTGTCTTTTTTATTGTGTTGTCTTTTACATACAGCTTGATAACAATATGAGATAAATTTTTATCAGTATATTTATTTATATAAACATCTTTTGCTGTAGATGAGAAAATCTCAACTCCTCTGCCTTTATATTTTATTTTTTGAAAACATAAAATGAGGAACTTGTTGCTCTAAAGTTTCTTCTAGTGATGACAGTCTATTTGATTCTAGTAAGTGGAACTGACGATAGTTCTACTTTGTTTTAATAAACCCGTGGAAATCCTATGCAAGAATCACCCAACTCACATAATAATCTGTTTTTCTTTAAAAAAATCTTTCAAAACCATACATATACACATTTTCTTTCTTTCTTCATCCACTGATGAACATTGGGGTTATTTTGCTAAAAACATTCATGTGCAGGTTTTTGTGTGGACATTAAATTTGCCACTTGTTTGGGTAAATACCCAGGAGCACAACTGCTGATCATACGTTAAGACTATGTTTTAGCTTTGTAGGAAACTGCCAGACTCTTCCAAAGTGCTGTACCATTTTGCATTGTCACCAACAATAAATGAGACTTCTTGCTCTCTTCATCCTTGCCAGCATTTGGTGTGGTCAGTATTTTGGATTGCAGTCGTTCTAACAGGTGTGTAGTACTATTTCATTGTTGTTTTAATTTGTAATTCCCGAATGACATATGACGTTGAACATATTTTCATATGATTATTAGTCATCTGTATATCTTCTTTGGTGAGTTATCTGCTTAGATCTTTTGCCCACTTTTTAATTGGGTTGCTTGTTTTCTTATTGTTGAATTTTAAGAATTATTTGTTAACTGTAGATATAGTTCTTTATGAGATACGTGTTTTGCAAATATATCTTCCTAGTCTGTGGCTTGTCCTTTCATTCTCTTTAGAGTGTCTTTCACAGAGCAGAAGCTTTTAATCTTAATGAAGCCTAACTGATGCATTTTTCGTTCATGGATGATGCTTAGCGTCTTCCTATCCATGTATCCATTAGGATCTTCTTTGATATCCTTCCTCAGAGTTTTCTAATTTTCTTCATATAGATCTTGTAAATATTGTTTTTAACACTTCAAAATACACTTTTCAAAAAGTCTTAAACAGTGAAGATTTTTAAAACATTACACTGAAAAATAGTATCTAAACAACACTACTGACCCAACGTACTAATACTATGTCCCTTTTGAAACTACCTATCAACTAAGAATAATTTAGTAAAATTCCCATATTCCTTGTAGCAGTTTGAAACTGTGACTCCAAATTTCTTTGACGCTCCTCCCTCCCATTAAGAGCTGAAGTCTGTATCCTGTTCTCCTAAAATCGGAGCTCTGTGATTCCTTGATCAATATGAGAAAGTTAAACTGAGGTTATGTGTGTTTCCAGCATCAGACCTTAAGAAACTATCTGTTTTCACTCCCTGTCTCTTAGAATATTGTTTCTTAGGATGTTTCACTTTTGGAACCCAGCCACCAAGTTGTAAAAAAGACCAAGCTGTCCCACAGAGAGGTCCTTGTGAAGAGGAATTGACAGCCAATAGCACTTTGCCAGCCATGTGGGTGAGGTATGTTGGACATGAAACCTCTAGTGGAAGTTGAGCTATCCCAGCAGACACCACATGGAGCAGACAAACTTCCCTGGCAAAACCTGCCCAAATTGTACATTTGTAAGCAAAACAGAAGACTACTGTTGTTTTAAGCAACTATTGGGATGGTCTGTGTCCAGCTATAGATTTAAAAACATCCCTATAAATAACTGAATATGATTTTATAAACATTAAAATTGAACCAGTAATTTCAAAGGACCAGAAATAATGTGTTGGACTTTTAGACAAAATAAAACTCCTAATCTTATAAAAACCATTATGGAGTCAATCTTTAGCCTTTTGATTAGAACTAATTACGTTTGTTGTCAATTTATTACAAATTAAATTAACCCAGACTCACCTTATATCATAAAGTATTTCCATGCTAAGCCATAAGGAAATATTACTGAGAGTTTTAATTGAAATAAAATATATACATATTCTCCATGCCACAGTAATTTCCTCACACCTGAAATGTGTTGATATTAAACCTTTGAAAACTTTCAAGTTAATAATCTTGAAGCTTTTCAATATCTTGAATCAATAAAGAAAATTTAAACTGTCTTCAGCATACTGTATTCATTAGATAGAAAAAAGAGAGAACCAACTGTTAATGGGAAAATTAAAGATAAAAGGTCAAGGGACCATTTTATTTTATTTTATTATTTACTTTTTGACACAGGATATGGCTTTATCACCTACGCTGGAGTACAGTGGCACAATCATGGCTCACTGCAACCACGACCTCCTTGGCTCAAGCGATCCTCCCACCTCAGCCTCCTGAGTAGCTGGAACTAGAGGCACACACCATCCCACTCGGCTAATTTTTTGTTTTTTTTTATAGGGATATGGTTTCACCATGTTGCCTAGGCTGGTCTTGAACTCTTGGGCTCAAGCAATCCTCCTGCCTCGGCCTCCCAAAGCACTGGGATAACAGATGTGAGACACCGAGCCCAGCCTAAGGGACCATTTTAACATTCTGGAAAGACAGACTGAGTAAAAGTAAAAGAAAAGAACCCACAAATGCTTTGTTTAAATTAGAGAAAACAATAGTGAAGATAATTTGTTTAAAATCTCTTTAGAACACCATAAATTCTTTTATTCTCACTTAAAGTTTTTGCAGTAATTTCTAATCTTCATCTACAGTACTGAATATTATCTTAAAATGTTCAGCTGGTCAAATCAGTAAAAAGTAAGCACCTCCTGCTCATAGAGGAGGAAAAAGTAAGGATTATTTTTCTCATTCTTCTGAACCAGGTAGAACTATGGTAGGAACTAATAGCAGTTGTGTGTCTGGACACAGCTCAAGCCCCAAACTGAAACTAATCCTTTCAGAGTCATCCAACAGATTAAAGAAAGATTTGTGCAAGAGGGATAAGGGTAATTATGTTCACGTAACAGACTCTGAAATGGAATTGAAGAGTAATAAGTAGGAGAATGTGGGCAAGATACTGGAGGATGCTAACAAAGAAACCGGAGGGTGTGACGGAAAATGTAAAGGAGAAAGAAATGTATCTACATTTATAGCAACAGGTTATCAAAATAAATATACATGAGAGAAGAATAAGAAATAAAGATGTCATGGTGATGACAGTAATTATATTACAAAACACAAGGAACATATGAAATGTTCACATTTAAGAAGGTCAAATCATTGAGCTACCTTGGCCACAGAAGAATACGTCTACTGGCTTGGAATGCCTTAATGGAAGAAACTGTGTTGCTATCCTTTGACATGTGTTATTAATAACTGGAAACAATTTACCACAAAGATGTCAATTATTAACTTATAAATTAAATACAATAGTAATACAAATCCTAATAGAATTTTTATAAAATTAGGTGAGTCTCATGAGAAGAAAAAATTCATAAAAAATAACCAAGGAAATTTGAAAAACAATAATAAAGTAAGATTTCCTTGCCAGGTAACAGACTACTGTAATTAAAATACCTGTATATGCCCAGGCACAGACATATACATTAAACAAATAGTACAGATCAGAGTACAAAAGCAGACTATGCAGATCTGTAGATTTATTACATAATAAAAATACAATTTTAAATCAGTGGTGAAAAGGTGGGCTATTCAATAAATAATATTGAGACAACTGGCCATCCTTTCATGGAAGCATAATGTCTGAATCCCTTTCTAAAAGAATTACATCATGTACCAAAGAATTCCAGATGGATTTAAAAATCAACGCATATACACACACACACACACACACACACACAAACACAGACATACGTATATACAAATGCAATGTATGTGTATCTGTGTGTAAAAAAATACTGAGATAATGTATAAAAGAGGTTTGTTTTAATAACTTTTGAGTGGTTAAAGTCTTCCAAATTAAGGCAAAATATCCACAAACTAGGAATGAAAAATAATTTCTGAACAACAAATTCATATAAAGGAAAAATCAGAG
Organism: Homo sapiens; assembly: GCF_000001405.40. NCBI lineage: Eukaryota > Metazoa > Chordata > Mammalia > Primates > Hominidae > Homo > Homo sapiens. The sequence continues at coordinate 53,594,678 of NC_000005.10, read as the reverse complement.
ATAATAAGTAAAACATATAGTAGATAAAAGACTAATCTGTAGGATACATAAAAAATGCTTACAAAGCAAAAGAAAAATCATTCCAAAAAGGGAGAGGGAATGCAGATGATATGAGCACAATAGACATTAATATTAATGATATCAATAATCACTTTAAATGCAAATAGTCTAAATATACCAATTAAAAGAGAGTTATCGGAGTAGATTAAAAAATAAGACACAACTACATATTACTGAAAAGAAACCCATTTTTAATTATAAAGACACAGACTAAAAGTAAAGGGATGGAAAAAGACATAGCATGTTAACACTAGTCAAATCTTGCTTCCACAGCTAAATTAATCTCAGACAAACGGGACTCCAGAACAAGAAAAATTATCAGGGATGAAGAAGGTGATAGTGATAAAGGGGTCAGTTCTCCAACAAGATGTAACAATCGTTAGTGTGTATGTACCTAACAAGAAAATGTCAAAATATGCTATGCAAACACTGATGAAACTACAAGGAGAAATGCATTATTATTGTGGGACACTTCAACATTCTTCGAATAGTAATTGACAGAGCCAGTAGACAGAGTATCAGTTAAGAATATGGTTGAAGTAAACAGCACAATCAATTAACTGGATATAACTGGCATCTGTCAACTGCTTTATCTAACAATGGCAAAAGACACATTCTGCTCAAACTCAAGTGAAACATTCACCAAGATGGGCCACATTCTGGGACATAAAACATACCTTAACTAATTTAAAAGAATAGAAACCACACAATGCAAGCTCTCAGTCAGCAATGGAATTAAACTAGAAATCAGTAACAGAAAACTAGAAAATCTCCAATTACTTGGAGATCAAACAATACACTTCTAAATAACTCATGGGTCAAAAAAGTCTCAAGAAAAATTTTAAAATATTTTGAACTAAATGAAAATGAAAATACAATGTTCAAAATTTGTGGGATGCACCAAAAACAGTGCTTAGAGAAAAACTTATAGCTCTGAATGCATATATTAGAAAAGAAGAAAGGTCTAACTAAATTCAATAATCTAAGCTTCCACCACAGGAAACTAGAAAAAAAAAAAGGGCAACATAAACCTAAGGCAAGAAGAAGATAAAAAAAATTATAGTAAACATCAATGAAATTGTAAATAGGAAATTGGTAAAGAAAAATAAACAAAACCAAAAGCTGTTCTTTGAAAAGAGCATTAAAACTGATAAACCTTTAGTCAGGTTAACAAAAAAGAGAAACAGACAGATGAGAGAGAGAGAGAGAGAGAGACAAAGCCCTAATATATAAAATGAAACAGGTATCATCACTCCTGATCCCACGGACATTAAAAAAACAGGGAAATATTATGAACAACTCTAAGCTCACAAATTTGATAACTTAAATGAAATGGGCTAATTATTTGAAAAACAGGAATTACTAAAACTCTCACAAGGAGCAATAATCGGGACAGGCCTATATCTATTAAAGATAATGAATCAATAATAACCTTCCAAAAAAAGAAACCATAACGTCCAGATGTTTCCTGGTGAATTCTACCAAATATTTAAGGAAGAAATGACACTAAATCTCTACAATCTCTTCTAGGAAATAGAAGCATGTAGTACCTCATTCTATGGGACCAGCATTACCCAAACATCAAAACTAGATAAAGGCATTACAGGAAAGGAAAACTATAGACTAATTCTCTTATAAATATAGATGCAAAAATTCTTAACAGATATTAGCACTAAATTCAACAATGCATGAAAAGATTTATATACCATGACCAAGCAGGATTTATTCCAGGCATGATTCTAAAATTCATATGGAAAGACAAAAGACTCAAAATAGCCAATGCAATACTGAAGAATGAAGTCAGAAAACTGTTATTACCCGACTTTAAGACTTACTACACACTGCACAGCTATAGTAATAAGGACTGTGGTATTAGCTATAAAATAAATAGATGAATGGAACAGAAATAGACTATTCAAATATAGTCAACTGATCTCTCAGAAAGAAACAAGGGCAATCCAATAATGACAGTCTCTTCAATAAATGATGCTGGTACAACCAGACATCCACATGCAAAAACTTAATCTACACAGTGACATTACACCTTTCACAGAAATTAACTGAAAATGGCTCATGAACCTAAATGTAGGAAGCAAAACAATCAAATTTCTCAAAGATAATGTAAGAGAAAATCTAGGTGACCTTGGGTTTGGTACTGAGTTTTCAGATACAATGCCAAAAAAATGATCCATGAAAAATAAATAAGTTGGACTTCATTGAAATTAACAGCTTTAGCTCTGTGAAAGATACTATTAATATTAAAAGAATGAAAAGACAAGCCACATGCTAGGAGAAAATATCTGCAAACTATATATCTGATTAAGAAACTTTATCTACAATAAACAAAGAACTCTTAAAACTCAACAATGCCGGGCGCAGCGGCTCACACCTGTAATCCCAGCACTTTGGGAGGCCGAGGCGGGCGGATCACTTGAGGTCAGGAGGTCAAGACCAGCCTGGCCAACATGGTGAAATCTGCCACACCCCCTCATCTCTACTAAAAATACAAAAAATTCGCCAGGCATGGTGGCACGTGCCTGTAATTCCAGCTACTCAAGAGGCTGTGGCAGGTGAATCACCTGAACCTGGGAGGCAGAGGTTACAGTGAGCCAAGATTGCGCCACACTGCACTCCAGCCTGGGCAACAGAGCGAGATCCCGTCTCAAAACAACAACAACAACAAAACTCATCAATAAGAAAACAAACAACCCAACTGAAAAGTGGGCAAAAGATCTAAACAGACACCTCACCAAAGAAGATATACAGATGATAAATAAGTATATGAAAAAGTGCTCAATATCATATGTCATTAGGAAATTATAAATTAAAATGACAGTGCTACACACCTATTAGAATGGCTAAAATCCAAAATACCACACCAAATTTGAGAAAGGATGAAGAGAACAGAAGTCTCATTCATCGCTGGTGGGAATGCGAAATGGTACAGCCAATTTGGAAGACAGTCTGGCAGTTTTCTACAAAGCTAAAACATAGTTTTAACATAGGATCAGCAACTGTGCTCCTAGGTATTTACCCAAATGAGCTGAAATCATATGTCCACACAAAAACATGCAAAAGAGTGCTAGGGAAATGAAAAAGAAAACCATAAGATACCACTTCATATTTATTACGATAGTTATTATCACCCCCCCCCCCCAAAAAAAACAAACAAAAAGTAGCAAGTACTGGCAAGGATGTGAAGAAAATGGAACACTTGCTCACTGCTGGTGGGAATGTAAAATGACACAGCCATTACAGAAAACAGTAGTGTGATTCCTCAAAATATTTAAAATAAAATTACCATATAATCCAGCAGCTTCACTTTGGGATTTATATTCAGACAAACTAAAGCAGGGACTAGAACAGATATCTGTACACTCATGATTATAGCAGCATTATTCACAGCAGCCAAAAGACAGAAGCAACCCTACTGTCCACTGGCAGATGAATGTGTAAACAAAATGTGGTATATACATACAATTGAATATTATTTTGCCTTAAATGGAAGCAGATTATGATATATGCTACACCATGGAAGAACCATGAAGACATTGTGATAAGTGAAATAAGCCAATCACAAAAGAATAGTATATGATTCTATTTATATGGGGTATCTAAAGTAGTCAAACTCACAGAAACAGAAAGTAAAATGGTAGTTGCCAGGGGCTTATGAGAGAGAAGAATAGAGAATTACTGTGTAATGGGTACAGACTTCAGTTTTAGAAGATGAAAAAGTTCTGGAGATATATGATGGTAATGGTTGCACAACAATGTGAATGTACTTAATGCCAATGAAATATACTTAAAAATAGTTAAAATGGTAAATTTCATAGTATGTATAAACCACGACAATATTTTAAAAAGAGCATGCCTTGTGAAGAAACAGATAATCCCTGGTTTACAACACCAATAAAGACACATATGCAAAAGTTTGTCAAAGATGAAGAAGATTTATAACTGCCTAGAGACAGTCTCTTCACATATGTACATAAAAATAGTATGTTTGTATCTATTAATCACTCATCTCCTTGGAAAATTTCAGAAGTCCAGAATTAAGCTGTTGAACTTCAATATGATTATTCATTTGTACTGCCTCATGGAACAAATTTTCCCAAATTATATACTTTTTAAAAACTACTAGTGCTTGCCTATGTAACACAAAATATGAGATAGTTTTTGTTATATGTCCTACCAATTATTAACCTCTTGATTTTTTAGACTTTGCATAGCATCATTATCCAACATGTTCTACATAAAAATAGTTGATAACTGTGAATCTTTATTAATAGATTTATGTTATAAGCAAGCACATAAGAGCAAATCTTAAATATGCTTATGAAAATGTAACAGACAAAACACAAGGAAAAGGATGTCCAATTAACCAGTTTACTCCTCTACTGGACATTTCTGGCTAAACTGCCTAGTTCACCTTTCAGCAACAAGACCCTTAATTCAATCAAAACAGGATTACTTCAAAGCTATTTGGCATTTTTTTAAAAAAATCATTCTACCAATCAATCATGCGTAATTCTCTATATTCCTCAAAAGGCTTGTTAGTCATTCCAGCTGGGCACCCATATTCCAGTTCTTCTCTGTATTAGTCAGGGTTCTCTAGAGGGACACAACTAACAAGGGAGTTTATTAAGTATTAACTCACACCATCACAAGGTCCCACAATAAGCCATCTGCAAGTTGAGGAGCAAGGAAAGCCAACCCGAGTCCCAAAAATGAAGAACTTGGAGTCTGATGTTCAAGGGCAGGAAGCATCCACCACGGGAGAAAGATGTATGGCTGGGAGGCTAGGCCAGTCTAGTCTTTCCATGTTTTTCAGCCTGCTTTACAGTCTAGCCACACTGGCAGCTGATTAGATGGTGCCCACCCAGATTACGGGTGGGTCTGCCTTTCCCAGCCCACTGACTCAAATGTTAATCTCCTTTGGCAACACCCTCACAGACACACCCAGGATCAATACTTTGCATCCTTCAATCCAATCAAGGTGACACTCAGTATTAATCATATTCTCCTTCTAATCGTATTTTGAGACTACACTCCCATTGCCACTTCTTGGTTAGGTGTAGGAACGTAACTTACCTAAATTAGTGAAGTATAAGGGGAAATGACATTATCCAGCAGTAGCTTTAGAAGTCAATGCCTAACTGCCTCTTTTCCTACATCCCAGTAACCAACAGTAGTTAGTCTGAGTTCCCAAGTGAGGATACACGGAGTAGCATTCCTGACTGTCCCACAAGGGAAATGCAACATGAACAAGAAATAAATCTCTGTTATTTTAAGCTACAGGTATTTTGGGGTTTAGGATCCTGACTGACACAGTTTGATAAGCAATTCTCTATTCAAGTGCTTCTCTAGGGACTACCATACGAGAATTTAAATTGTATGATGTCTGTTTTACATTGACTGAGGTTGGGAGTGTTACAGCTTGAGAGTTTACTATTTTCAAATGAATCAAGATGTTGCTCTTAAAAACCTACGTTTTGGTCTTTAAGGGCAGAATAATTTATTTTCTTACGCTTTTGAAGGTCAGAAGGGGTCAAAAAGCCATTAGATGATCTGCTTCACAACTGCTCTAATGCTACTGTGTCATCTTGGACAGATCACCTCCTAATTTTTTTTTTTAAGATGGCTATGCATTTTCTCTTCACTTTCAAGTGTTCCAACTTGTCACTTTTTGCTTCGGTTTAGGAATCTTTTGGTCTAAAACTTCTCTGTATCAGCCCTAAAACCACTGAGATTACATTTGTATAAAAAATATATTAAAAATAAAATAAAAAGTGAATTCAAAAATAAAATATGGTGACAATATAAGACATGATATTTCATTGTTTGGCAATATTACATCAAAGGGAAAGCTAGTTGGTACAAGTTGCATACTTCAATTCAAAAATAAAGTGCCTAAGAGTGGTGTATTTGCAAATGGACTGACATATTGTTTTTTAAAAGGCTGATGATCACATCATTAAGAATAATGAATACATGCAGAAGAAAACAAAAATTACCAGCATTCATATATTTTTCACTTCATGAAACAAACTGGATAACAGTCATGTAGTAACTTCACAGTCAGTCAGACTCGTGAAAATTCCAGATCTGCCACTTAAGAGCAATATGATCTTGAACAAATTATTTCACAACTCTGCACTTCAATTTCCTCATCTGCAAAAATAAGGATAATAATACCGCAAATAATTACTGGTAGAATTAAATAACTAGTTAAGTAATTGGCATGAAGGAGCTGGTGTGCGGAGAAACAAATGTTCACTTCTTTCCCTCTAGTCACAAGCAGGACCAATTCATAGGAAGGCAAGAGAGGAAAGAGAACCCCACTGAAGGCTCAGATGATCGTTAACATTCTTGAGCTGAGCAGTAAAGAATTTTTAAATTAGGGTACGTACACTGTTTTTTAGACATAATGCTACTGCACACTTAACAGTCTACAGTGTGGTGGAAAAATAACTTTTATCACTGGGAAACCAAAAAATTTGTGTGACTCGCTTTACCATGGTATTTGCACAATCTAGTGGTGGTCTGGAACCAAACCTGCAGTATCTCCAAAGCATGCCTGTACAACAATCACTTATTAATAATTGGCCTCTCTGCCTCTAGTCTTCTCTTCCTCAAAGGCACCTTCAACCTAAACAAGTAATTATTATACCCAATCATGTGACTCTTTTGGTTGAAATCCTTCATTGACTGAGTGGTAATTTACCTTAAAAAAGTGAAGTATTGCCAGGCATGGTGTCACACCTGTAATCCCAGTTCTTTGGGAGACTGAGGCCGGTGGATCCCTTGAGCCCAAGAGTTCAAGACCAGCCTGGGCAACATGGTGAAATCCCGTCTCTACCAAAAAACACAAAAATTAGCTGGGCATGGTGGCACATGCCTGTGGTTCCAGCTACTTGGGAGGTTGAGGTGTGGAGTATCACATGAGACCAGAGGGCGGAGGATGCAGTGAGCCATGATAGCACCACATGCTCCAGCCTGTGAGACAGAGCGAGACGCTGTCTCAAAAAAAAAAAAAAAGTATTTAGGGATGGAATACCATGATATTTATAATTGAGTTTCAGATGGCTTAGATCAATATATGTGTTTGTCTGTTGCTAATCTATACATACTCAAATATATGCCTTTTGCTCATTTATATACATATATATGCAAAATAAGCAAAACCAGCAAAATACTAACCACTAACCATGTTAAATCTAGGTGGTAGGTTTATAGATTCACAGCACTCCACTTTTCTGCATGTGTGAAAATTTTAATGGAAAGTTAAAAAATTGAAAGCAACATGAAAATTACAATTAGTATGCCTCCTCTGTGGAAAAATGGGCAAGAATAATATATTTTCTTAAATATGCATAAACGGACTCCAAGCATAAGAAACTAATAATGATTTTTTGGGAGTGGGGTAAGCAGTGGTAAATGAGCAGATGGGATAGAGAAGGAGACTCTTAGAATTTATTTTATATATATATAACTCGGCCGGGTGCAATGGTTCACGCCTGTAATCCCAGCACTTTGAGACGCCGAGGCAGGCAGATCACTTGAGGTAAGAAGTTCGAAACCAGCCTGGCCAACATGGTGAAACCCCGTCTCCACTAAAACAAAAAAAATTAGCCAGGCATGGCGGCACATGCCTGTAATCCCAGCTACTCGGGAGGCTGAAGCAGAAGAATCATTTGAACCCGGGAAGTGGAAGTTGCAGTGAGCCGATATTGTGCCAATGCACTCCTGCCTCAGTGACAAGAGTACAACTCCATCTCAAAAAAAAGGAAGAAACAGGCTGGGCACGGTGGCTCACGCCTGTAATTCCAGCACTTTAGGAGGCCAAGGCAGGCGGATCACAAGGTCAGGAGATCAAGACCATCCTGGCTAACACGGTGAAACCCCGTCTCTACTAAAAAATACAAAAAATTAGCCAGGCATGGTGGTGGACGCAAGTAGTCCCAGCTACTCAAGAGGCTGAGACAGGAGAATGGCATGAACCTGGGAGGCGGAGCTTGCAGTGAGCCAAGATTGCGCCACTGCACTCCAGCCTGGGCGACAGAGTGAGACTCCGTCTCAAAATAAATAAATAAACAAACAAACAAACTAACTAACTAACTAAACAATTCATTTTCCTGAACAACTACAGTAAAGTTTGCTACCTATGGCCTGTTCTAATGCAATCATTTTTCTGAAATCAGATTCAAATCAAGGAAAGATTTAGTAATAAGTTACTATAACTAGAGATTATTTGAGTTTTTTGTTTTGGTTTGTTTTTTTTTTTTTTTTGAGATGAAGTTTCACTCTTGTCGCCCAGGCTTAAGTACAATGGCGTGATCTCGGCTCACTGCAACTTCCATCTCCCAGGTTCATACGATTCTCCTGCCTCAGCCTCCTGAGTAGCTAGGATTACAGGCACCTGCCACCACACCCAGCTAATTTTTGTATTTTTAGTAGAGATGGGGTTTCGCCGTGTTAGTCAGGCTGGTCTGGAACTCCTGACCTCAAGTGATCCACCTGCCTCGGCCTCCGAAAGTGCTGGGATTACAGACGTGAGCCACTGCACCTGGCCGATATTATTTGTTAATAAAAGAAAAACTGAAAATATTCTATACTAGTCAGCAAAGCAATGCCATTTTAAAATACAATTTTAAAAATGGATGTCTACAAATTTAATGTACTTGGCAATTTGCTTAAAATTAATAGAAAATTCCAATAGTTTCAAAACAAAAGAAAAAACTATCAACTCAGAAATGTAACATAACAAAAAACATATGCATAAAAGCACAAAAGGACACATAAAAATAAATTACAATACACACAGGCACAGGTGTATACACACACATACACACAAAAATTTTCTTTTTTTTTTTTTTGAGACGGAGTTACGCTCTTGTTGCCCACACTGGAGTGCAATGGCGCGATCTCGGCTCACCGCAACCTCCGCCTCCCAGGTTCAAGTAATTCTCCTGCCTCAGCCTTCCAAGTAGCTGGGATTACAGGCAAGTACCACCACGCCCGGCTAATTTCGTATTTTTAGTAGAGAAGGGGTTTCTCCATGTTGAGGCTGGTCTCGAACTCCTGACCTCAGGTGATCCGCCCACCTCAGCCTCCCAAAGTGCTGGGATTACAGGCGTGAGCCACCAAGCCCGGCACAAAAATTTTCATTGTGGTTAGCTTAATGAAGAAAATAGTCTGCTTGTTATTCAATTTATGCTTTTACAGGCCCTCATACTGTTTAGGAAAAACTCAACAATTATTTATTGTAAGATTCATCCAAATCGAGTCAATAAAACTGCAGACTACTAGAACAGAACAAGTAATTAAAACTCCCACTGGCTTCCCTTATAAATTATGAATAGTTACCTAAAAGCCTAAGTCAATGACTTTTTAATAAGTACTATCAGAATTATATAGGCAATTTGCTTTTAATCACAGAACCAACCTAATCAACAAGAAAACGAGACACAAAACCAGTACTTCTTCAACTGACTTTTCATAATATCCCATAATTTTAAAATATTCACCTAAGATTTTTTAACTTTAAAACATTTTTGGTCAGGCACTATGGCCCACGTCTGAAATCCCAACACTTTTCTGAGGTGGGTAGATCACTTGAGGTCAGCAGTCTGAGACCAGCCTGGCCAACATGGTGAAACCCCATCTCTACTAAAAATAGAAAAACTAGCTGGGTGTGGTGGCGTACACCTGTAATCCCAGCTACTTGGGAGGCTGAGGCACAGGAATCACTTGAACCCAGGAGGCAGAGGATGCAGTGAGCTGAGATCCCGCCACAGCACTCCACCTTGGGCGACAGAGTGAGACTATCTCAAAACAAAAACAAAAACAGAAAACATTTTTAGTTATGCTGGTAAATATCCAGGCAATAAAATACTCTGAAGAGAAGTTTAAAAGATCTAACAAGAGTTAATACTTATTAACTACAAATTGGCATACCTATGTTTAAAAACTCATTTGAGGCCAGGCATGGTGGCTCACGCCTGTAATCCCAGCACTTTGGGAGGCAGAGGCAGGTGGATCACCTGAGGTCGGGAGTTCAAGACCAGCCTGGCCAACAAGGTGTAACCCCGTCTCTACTAAAAATACAAAAATTAGCCGGGCATGGTGGCACCTACTCGGGAGGCTGAGGCAGAAGAATCACTTGAACCCAGGAGGCAGAGGTTTCAGTGAGCTGAGATCGCGCCATTGCACTCCAGCCTGGGTGATAAGGCCGAAACTCCATCTCAAAAAAAAAAGAAGCTCAGTTGAACTCCGTCAACCATATATATTTAAGAATGTATACCAAGATTCTAATTCCTATTCTCAATTCACCAAACATCTACTATGAAATATCTATTATGTCTTACGCACAATGCTAAACCCAATAATAACTTGCTTTCAAGATTTTATAGTTTATTGCGAGAAGGCAGACATATAAACAATAATCGCAATGCCAATAGTTTGAATGCAAATGGTAATTTCTATGAAAAAGGTACATATGAAGTACTTTTCTATGCATGGAGAAATAACTGTGCATTGGGGAGTGGGAGGTGTAAGTGAGATGCAGCAGGACTGTAAGGAAAAGCTTTCTTAACAATGTTGCCTGTACCTGCCAGATACTTCTGTTTTCATTGATCATCCAACATCCCAAGATTGAAAAGGGAATTAAACATTTAACATATTACTTGAATTCTTTCACACATTTTGTACTTATTATGTGCAGTACAGTCTTGGCAACCACGGTTGGCAACACTTGGCAACTTTTAAATGTAGGTATAGTACCACATAACCAGTAGCTTAAATTATGGTTGAAAAGCCATGAATTCTTCATCTTCCCAAATTTACTCCCACCAGTGCGTCTTATCTTGCCACCCATCAACTCCCAGTAATTGAAATAATAAAATGTAACAATACCTATAATATTTAAAAATCCCTTAAACTCTAGTTGATTCCTATTTTTGAGTTGCTTTTATTTCCAAAATACATAGAATTGAACAAATTTAGCCAAATAAAATCATGCGGTATATTTAATGCAGACTATAAACAGAATGTATAATCTTCTATTTCCAAAGTCTGGGTTTATACTGCATATCAAGCATTCTGCTATTCTAAAATCACATAATAGCTATACAGCTATTTATTACGGAAAAAAATTACAATTGGAAGTTACTTAGATTTGCAATACATGTCCATTCCTTCATGAACAACTTTAGAGTTCTAATAACCCAAATCACATGGAAAGCTGTCTTTCTGACAGGACTCCACATATACATTTTAGTAAATATTGCCGTAAGATAAAGTTTGCAATAGTATTATTCAATAGTATGAAATAAGAAGCATCATAAAGCTATAAAAGTCATCATTTTTTGGTAATCTCTGACATTGTCCATGATGGCTATATTGAAAACCCAAACAGTTATTTCATAAGAAAAAAATATATAAGGCCGGGTGCAGTGGCTCACACCTGCAATCCCAGCACTTTGGGAGGCCGAGGCGGGCGGATCATGAGGTCAGGAAATCGAGACCATCCTGGCTAACACAGTGAAAGCCCATCTCTACTAAAAATACAAAAAATTAGCCAGGCGTGGTGGCGGGCGCCTGTACTCCCAGCTACTCAGGAGGCTGAGAGGCAGAGCTTGCAGTGAGCCGAGATCGTGCCACTGTACTTCAACCTGGGTGACAGAGCGAGACTCCGACTCAAAAAAAATATATGCTATACTGCTTATGGAGATGCTGCTGTGCATTAGTTTTAAATTTCTATATGATTCCATAATCAAATGAGTCCACAGATGTTTACCAAGTATCTATTATATGAAGTATCTATTACACGCTAAGTACTGTGTTAGCCTGTAAAAACAAACAGGTGAAGAAACAGTTCTTGATCTTGAAGAACTTAAGTCTAAAGAGAAACACAGACAAGTAAACAGGCCATCATGATGAAGCATAGTAAGTACAGCAGGTCTTTGAATAATATCAGCTTGTTCAAGGTCATTTTGTTATATGTTGATGAAAAAGAAAAAACGAAATTAATTCCCGGCCAGGGATACTATCTGTGTGGAGTTTGCACATTCTCCTCATGTTCACATGGGTTTTCTCTGTGTACTCCAGTTTCCTCCCACATCCGAAGGATGTACATGTGAGCTGAACTGGCATGTATACATGGCCACGGTCTGAGTGAGTGTGGGTATGTTTGAGTGTGCCCTGCAATGTGATGGCATCCTGTCCAGGGCTGGTTCCTGTCCTGTGCTCTGAGCTATCAGGGCTGGCTCTGGCCACTCTTGACCCTGAACTGAAATAAATGGATAAGTATCTTACTTGTTTTTATTCATCTTTCTTAAATGTGTATATAGCTATTTATTTTTATTTTAATTTAATTTTATTTTATTTTATTTTATTTTATTTTATTTTGAGACAGAGTCTCACTCTGTTGCTCAGGCTGGAGTGCAGTGGCGCGATCTCGGCTCACTGCAAGCTCCGCCTCCTGGGTTCACACCATTCTCCTGCCTCAGCCTCCCAAGTAGCTGGGACTACAGGCACCCAACACCACGCCCGGCTAATTTTTTGTATTTTTAGTAGAGACAGGGTTTCACCGTGTTAGCCAGGATGGTCTCAATCTCCTGACCTCATGATCCACCTGCCTCGGCCTCCCAAAGTGCTGGGATTACAGGCGTGAGCCACCACGCCCAGCCCTAGCTCACATTTATTTTAATGATTAATATTAGAAATGCTTGGGCCTTTATTTAGAAATGTGATGATCTTTTTTAACTCTTGTTTTATATCAATTAGCCTACGGTTAAACTGGTTTTGTTTATACATTGTTTCCCTTAAAGTAGCAGTTTCCAAAAACATGATGAGGTAAGAGAGGGAGCTCTAAGACTTCACAGATAAGTACTTAATCTAAACTTGTGAGTTCAGATAATGCTCCTCAAAGAAAATGATGGTTAAACTGCCACCTGAAGGATAAACAGGACTTAAATAGGCAAAGGGTGTTGGGGGTAGGCCGGGGCAGAGAAGGCACAGACAGGAAAGCAGAAGAAATAGTCTAGGCAGACAGAGCCTTAATTACAGAAAAGAGAGAAAACATTTAGGGGTTGCAAGCAGTTGAGAAATACTAAAATATAGAGTTTATGTACAGCTGGAGATTGGGTCAGGAGGGGACTGATGAAAGTATGAATGCCCAAGAATGAAATGAGCAGGGAATATGAAGGACTCTGTGGCATGCTGGGAAGTTTAGACTTTTGCAACATGTACCCAACATGGAGAACAAACTGAGACTGATGAGAGGGAGATCAGTTAGGAGGCAGGATGATAGCAATAGCTGTAGCAAAGATGGAAATTGATTCAGAGTTAGGAAAATGAATACTAGAATTTAATGACTAGCTGATATGAAGCCTAAGAGAGGAAGGAGAGAAGAATAATACACAGGTTTCTGGCTTAGACAACTGGCTGGGTGTTGGTGACAATTACTAAAAAGGAAAATAAGTGTGGCCAGGCACAGTAGCTCACGCCTGTAATCCTAGCACTTTGGGAGGCCAAGGCAAGCAGATCACCTGAGGTTGGGAGCTCAAGACCAGCCAGACCAACATGGAGAAACCCCATCTCTATTAAAACTACAAAATTAGCCGGGCACGGTGGCACATGCCTGTAATCCCAGCTACTTGGGAGGCTGGGGCAGGAGAATCGCTTGAACCCAGGAGGCAGAGGTTGCCGTGAGCCAAGACTGTGCCATTGCACTCCAGCCTGGGTAACAAGAGCGAAACTCCAAAAGAAAGAAAGAAGGAAAGAAAAGAAAGAAGAAAAGAAAAGAAAGGGAAAGAAAGAGAGAAAGAGAAAGAAAGAGAGAGAGAAAGAAAGAAAGAAAGAGAAAGGAAGGAAAGGAAAGGAAAGGGAAAAGGAAAAGGAAAAGGAAAGGAAAGGAAAGGAAAGGAAGGACGAAAGAGAAAGAAAGAAAGAGAGAGAAAGAAAGAAAGAAAATAAATAAGCGAAGTTGTGGAGGAAGTCATCATCGTAACATTGTTTCAGGTATGCTGGATTTGAGACGCCTGTGCAAAATCCAAGATGAGGATGTCTTGGTTAGATCTATGCACCTAGAATTCATGGAAAAGATACAGAATCACATCTTTCATGAAGAGCAGGTCCTAAAGTCAGTGTTAGGCAACAACTGCAAATAGCAAAAATCATCTTTGGAAATTCTAATTTAGGAAGATCCCCTCCAAAGGAGACTCACATACTATCTCTTAATAAGCCAGTCGTCTAGCACTAGAACAAACTACCGTTTCTTTAGTTGAGTCCTAAATGATCATTAAGTAGAAAAATAAGAGTATTAACTTGCATTTTTAACTGTTTTTAAAAAATTCTCTACCCATTTGTAGTTGCCACGTATATGTGTTGAATTTCTTAAGTGAAAAGTACATATGATGTAAATAAATCATTTACATTTAGGCTTTAGTGTAAATAGATGGTAAATGAAGTCATGGTGGATAATGAGACACAGGGAGAGTATATTAGTTTCCTATAGTTGCAGTAACAAATTACTACGAAATTTGTGGATTGAAACAACACACATTTATTACATTTATTCTCTTATAGATCTAGAAGTCAGAAGTTGGAAATCAGTCTCACAGGGCTAATATCAATGTGTCAGCAGGAATGGACTCTTCTGGAGGCTCCAGGGGACAATTTGTTTCTTGTTTCTTCTAGCTTTTAGAGACTGTTGGCATTCTTTGACATGTAGTCACATCACTCCAATCTCTGCTTCCAACTCTACACTATTTCTCTGACTCCACCTGCATCCTTCTTATAAGGACCATTGTGATTACATCAGGCCCACCAGGGTAATCTTCCCATCTCAAGATCCTCAACTTTATCACATCTGCAAAGCCTCCCCTCCCTTTTATTTTAAAGAGATGGGGTCTTGCTCTGTCACCCAGGCTGGGGTGCAGTGGCGCAATCATAGCTCACTGAAGCCTCGAACTTCTAGGCTCAAGCAATCCTCCTGTTTCAGCCTTCCAAGTAGCTGGGACTACAGGCACATGACACCACACCTAGCTAAATTTTTATTTGATTTTACTTTTTTGGAGACAGGGTCTTGCTATGTTGCCCAGGCATGCAAAGTCCCTTTTGCCATATAAGGTAACATTCTCAGGTTCTGGGGATTAGGACATGAACATATTTGGTGGGTGGCTGTGTCATTATTCAGCCTCACAGAGAATATACAAAAATAAAGGTACTGGTAATTGTCTAGTGTGTAAATTGGATGGTGGGTTCACAAGAATTCATTTGGCTATTATGGTTCCTAACATATATATGATACATATATTCATGTGTATATAAAATATTATCTAATTTGAAACATTTTAGAAAGCGTAAAAAGGTATAAATCAAACTCTTAAGAAACAATGATAGTTCAATGAATGGGCAAAAGATAATGTATTCTGAAAGAAAACTGAGACGGAGTAAAGCCAAAACAGAAGTCAAGGGAAGAATCTTTCAAGAATGAGACAGTCATCTCTTTGGATGGTAAAGGTCACGTAAGATAAGGACTGAGAAGAAAATATTCAATTAGCAACAGGGTCACTGCTGACCTTGATCAAAGCTATTTCAGTGGAATGGTAGATGCTAAAGATAGATTGTTGTGGGTTGGGGAGTGCACGGGAGGTCACAATTTGGAAAAAGCCAGGTGCACAAAATTCTATTATATATTTATGCATAAAATACTGCAAATAAGTAAGACGAAATCCAGGATGTTCTGATAAACCAAAACACGAAATTGGAATCTAGTTAAGATTTACCAAAAGAAAGAAAAAAGAAAGTAAGAAAAGTAGAGAGGGAGAAAGAAGCAAAAAGGAAAAGAAGCTACAAAAGAAAGAATAATGATGATGACATCGAGGAGGAGCAGGACAGTGATGATAATGTTCTTTTTATAATTTTTCAGGCACTTATAGCATATGCCGAGCACTGTACTATGCATTTTATATACTTTACAAAACAGGAAGTATTATGTCCATTTTACGGAACAGGACACAGAAACAAGGAAAGCACAGTTAGCAAGTATCAGACCAGGAACTCAAATGTAGGTAGAGTTGACTCTAAAATGTGTGTTCTTAACTAGTCTGCTAGACTGACATGACGGGTCCAATAGAGTAGCTCAAGTATGAGAAGGGTAAGAATACAGCCTGACAGCATGGCTAATATCGTGAGCCAACAGAAAATTTCTAGAAAGTAGTCTTTCCCAAAGCTAGGGTCAAGGACACTGGTAAGAGTCTATTAAGGGAGTTGGCCACAATAAGAATTTGAACTTTAAGCCAAAAAACTAAATCTAGAACCAAAATAAAAACTTGAGCCTTAATAAGGGGCCACTTACAAGCAGTAACTAAGACAGACATAAACCATGGACTTCATCAGCAACAGAATAACAATGTTTAAAGTCTCAACTAAGGAAAGAAGAATCTAAAATTTGTTAAATAAACTCAGATGCATGTTGTATCCATTCTAGTACGAACTATGAACTAAAATGGTATGCTGAGACATTAATAAAATGGAAGACAAGACTATCACAATGATAATCAGTCAGAGATGAAAGTGGGACAGGAGCAAGACTAAAAGGCAGCTGTTGAAGAAAATTCTCTTAACTACCCTAAGTCTTTTAGGCAGTATCACTGAAGAGAAAATACATGCTCATCTGGAGAATTAGATCATCTAGGATACCAAATTCAAAGAAAACTGTAGGTTGATCTTTGTTAGCTGGGATGTTATACACAATCCCGGGTCAACTACCCTGGCACATAGCATAGGAATATTCTGCTATCATGAATTCCTTAAACATAACATTATATAGAAGAAACTATCTCTTCCCATGAGATTATTATTTATAGTTAAGTGAGTTGGAAGACCTCAATTTCCAAATCCTTTGGCATACCCTTCAGAACAGGTGAGTAAAACAAATTCCAATACGGGTGAATTCTTTTACAACCCTGGGAAAATATCAAACTATAATATAATCACCAAGAGACCATCTAAAATTAGATGTTTACTTTAGTGAGATGAAACAATATATCTAAAGTAATTACCTCAATGCCTAAGTGCACAATAAACAATAGATATTAGACCCCTTACTAGGACCAAAAAAAAAAAAAATAGCAGACTATAGAGACTCTTTAGTTATAAGGTCCTGTAACAGACACCTTTGAAGCTCATGTCACACTCCCTTGGCCCATGTGTCATTTCAGCCACAGCTGCAGGAATTCATACTCCCATTATCCTCTAGCATCCCACCTCAAGTGAGCCCATTACGCCTCAACATCTTCAGAAGCACAAGTATAGCTTAAAGCACAAAAGAGTTAACACCTTTAATCAAAAGGGAATGAGAACTTATGGATAAATGGTCAAGCCTTCCACCTTTCAAATGGGTAATACTGGGTAGCATTCTACACACTGCTCAGGAGGTTTCTCTACTGCTCACAGCAACAATCGCAACATCATACTTTTTTGTTCCCTCTCTCACTCCCCAGGCTTCTCACTCCTACTTCCCAGGCAAGCTCTCAAATAAACCACCTAGGCTTATGTCTTTGTCTCAGACTCTACTCAAGGAGAAGACAAACTAAGGTGAAGCCCTACACAAACCCCGAGAAATGAGTATTTGGCCTTTGCTTGAACACTGCTAATCCTCAAAACAGATGTTCCAAGAGCATACATCCTACTCAAGTCTGTAGAAATGCAGCCTTTGAAGCTAGAAAAGAAATACAAATATTTGTTGAATGGGTGAACAAACATTAGCAAAGTCTCAGAATTCATTAGGAAAAAAGATAGTTTAACCCATAAAACATACACAAACTTTGTTTCCCGAAGATAACACTACACAAAATATTCCTGTTCTAAATTTTTGACTAGGAGGTCCCAGCTTTTATTACATCTCACTCTCAAGGTTCCTATGATCTATATTCATACGATACAGCAGTATAAGAAGAATTACAAACATTGAGTATTTTTTGTAAACCCTTAGTGTGTTTAATCTGACTCAAATCAAGTATTTCTCCAGGATTTTTAAACTTGGTATCAGAGAAAGGGATTTTCAGTCCCTCCCTGGTAATAAAGCTATGGAGATATAAACCTGAAGAAATTTCTATCAGTTATAGTATCTACCACATGGGAAAAAAACAATCTGAAATAGTAGCTGTCATTCAGAGACAGACAGAGACAAACTAGAAAAAGAACCTGGTGGCTTTCTAGCTTAGGTCCCTGAGACTAGCTAGGTGCACCCTTACCCTTTCCATTGCTTGGTAATGTAAACCAATTCTCTCTTCTTGCCTAAGCCAGCCATCTGAGATTTTAGGTTTCTGTAACTTGTGAGAAAGGTTTAACACAAGAACTTGAACACGAGTATAAACAAAACACTGTATAAGACCTAATACTATCTATGGAAGGGCTACAAAGCCTGGGATCCATTAATCCCCCACTCTGATTTTATACATATGACTGTATCTATTTCTAGAGAAAAGTCACCAAAACTTCCATCATTTACTCTAAATAGATCTCTGACCTCTACACCCTCTCAAAGAAGATTTATTGTTTGATGGTCTAAACCAGTGATTCAATGTATTTTCCTGCCTCTGCATCACTTACATGGGCAACATCTTTAAATAAAAGTCATGATTTTCAACCACAAGTACATGTATTGTGAAACCCTTTCTTTATGCCATTTCCAAGATTATGGTATGTGAATTCCTCCCTTTCTCCCACCACAGTTGAGAATCAACTGGTTAAGAATCTGATCATTTAGGCCAGGTGTGGTAGCTAACACCTGTAATCCCAGCACTTTGGGAGACAGAGGCAGGCAGATCACTTCAGGCCAGGAGTTTGAAACCAGCCTGGCCATCATGGTGAAACCCCCATCTCTACAAAAATACAAAAATTAGCCAGACATGGTGGTGCACACCTGCAATTCCAGCTACTCGGGAGGCTGAGGCACATGAATCGATTTAACCCGGGAGGCAGAGGTTGCAGTGAGCCGAGATCATGCCACTGCACTCCAGCCTAGGCGACAGAGCAAGACTCTGTCTGCAAAAAAAAAAAAAAAAAAAAAAAAAAAAGAATCTGATCATATAAAGAATATTTTGAGTCATTTTAGATCCTTTAAATCCATTCAGATGTGCTAAGATGCAAGAAATGTTAGCGTTTAGCTTTAAAAATAATCCATCCTAGGATGGGCTTGTCCTGAGTAAGATGTAGCAAGCACACTGTACCCTGTATCTCCCACTGAATGCAACCATGAAATCTGGAAAGGATGCATGGAGCAGCTGTTTGAAGGCTCTGAAAAGGAAATAGCAGGCAGATCAGGGAAGATCATCAGAACTCAAAGGACCACTGAACTAGCAGTGAGTCTGAAATAGCTTTTCCCTTGAATGTCCCCAGCCTGAACTTAAATGCGGCTGGAAACATGAAATGAGCAATTCTCCAGAAGCACTCGGCCTCAAGGAGCAAGAAAAGAAACAAGTGCTCAGAGAAATGATAGAAAATCCCCATTTTCTTCTCTTTTCTCTCATACACCATGAATCAGCCATAGGCAATCCTATAGCCACATGCGGTGGCAACAATGGAAATGTGCGGGAGCCAAAAATCTGAAGGAGGGTTCTTCTTCTAAGTCCGCTGGAGCTGTGGTTCTGAAAAGGTGGGGCCAACACCCATTGCTTTTCTGTTTTTTTCTCTCTCTGTCCTCTAGTCCCTTAGTCCCTGATTTAGGTGCAACTACAGTGCAACTTAATGATAGCCACAATTTTCTGGATGGACATTGATAAAGGAAACCCCAGGGAATTGGGTTCTCCGAATATAATATAAACAAAAAATAAATAACAAAAAAAAGAAAGCATCCAAATACATGGAAATTAAACAAAACACCTCTAAATAATTTACAGATCAAAAAGGAAGTCTCAAGGGAAATAAAATATTTTGAACCAAATGAAAATACAACATATCTTAATTTGTAGCATGAAACTAAAGCAATTCAAAAGAAAAGATGATGAAAAATTTCCCAGCTCATTTTATGAGTCCAGCATTACCCTGATACCAAATCTAAACACAGTACCAAAATAAAAAAGAAACAAACTACAGATCAGTATTCTTCATAAACACAGATGTAAAAATCTTCAACAAAGTATTAGGAAACCAAATATGCCAGTATACGAAAAGAATTCAACACCACAACTAAGTGGGGTTTATTGAGAATGCAAGCTGATTCAATATTTGAAAATCAATCTACCACATTAACAGTCTAAAGAAGAAAAACAAGACTACACCAATTGATGCATAAAAGGCATTAGACACATCCATTCTTGATGAAAACTGTTAGCAAAGCAGAAGCAGAAGGGAACCTCCTCAATCTAATAAAGGGTATTTCTACAAAAAACCTTTAGCTAACATTATACGTAAAGGTGAAAAACTGAATGCTTTCCCTTAAGATTGGTAAATGAAAAGAATGTCTGCTGTTACCATTCTTAACATCCTCCTGGAAATGAAAAAGAAATAAAAGACCTAGTGATTGGAAAGGAAGAAACAAAATTTCCCTATTCACGGACTGCATGATTATTTTCTTAGAAAGCCCAAAGAATCTACAAAAAACTTATATAACTTTATGTAACAAATAAATGTGGCAAGGTCACAGGATACAAAGTCAACCACAAAAATCAATCACACTTCTATATACAGCAATATACAATTTCAAAATAAAATTTAGGCTGGATGCAATAACTCATGTCTATAATCCTAGCATTCTGGGAGGCCGAGGAAGGAGGATCACCTGAGGTCAGGAGTTTGAGACAAGCATGGGCAATATAGCAACCTGTCTCTACAAAAAAATAAAATAAGAAAATTAGTCAAGCTTAGTGGTACATGCCTATAGTCGCAGCTGCCTGGGAGGCTGAGGTGGGAGGACTGCTTAAGCCCAGGAGCTCAGGGATGTAGTGAGCTATGATTGCACCACTGCACTCCAGCCTGGATGACAGAGCAAGGCCCTGTCTCTAAAAAATAAAAAATAAAGAAAAGAAAATTTTAAAAGCAATGCTCTTTACCACAGCTCCCCCAAATTGAGATAGTTAGGCATAAATCTAACGAAACATATACAGGATCTGCACGCTCAAAACTACAACACTGATTAGATAAATAAATAAAGAGACATACCATGTTTATGGATTGAAAGATTCAACACAGCAGAAATGTCAACTTTTCCCAAATTAATCTATAGATTTAATGCAATACAATCAAAACCCTAGCAGGATTTCATAGTTATAAAAGAGCTGATTCTAAATGATGGAAGGGAACTAAAATAGCTACAATTTTCAAAAAGAAGGATGGGCCAGGTGCAGTGGCTCACACCTGTAATCCCAGTACTTTGGGGAGCCTAGGCAGGAGGACTGCTTGAACCCAGGAGTTCAAGACCAGCCTGGGCAACACAGGGAGACACCCATGTCTACAAAAAAAATATAAAAATTAGCGAGGCATGGTGGTATGCACCTGTAGTCTTGGCTACTCAGGAGGCTGAGGTGGGAAAGAATCGCTAGAGTCCGGGAAGTCAAGGCTGCAGTAAGCCATTATCATACCACTACCCTATAGCCTGAGTAACAGAGCAAGACCTGGTCTCTTAAAAAAAAAAAAAAACAAAAAAAAAAAACAAAAAACAACAAAGGCCAGGCACGGTAGCTCACGCCTCTAATCCCAGCACTTTGGGAGGCCAAGGCAGGTGGATCACGAGGTCGGGAGTTCGAGACCAGCCTGGCCAACATGGTGAAACCCCGTCTCTACTAAAGATACAAAAACTTAGCCAGGCATGGTGGCACATGCCTGTAATCCCAGCTACTTGGGAGGCTGAGGCAGGAGAATCCACTTGAACCCAGGAGGCAGAGGTTGCAGTAAGCCAAGATTGCGCCACTGCACTCCAGCCTGGGCAACAGGGCGAGACTCCGCCAAAAAAAAAAAAAACTTCAAGAAGACAATACAGAAAAAAATCTTCACAGCCTGGGGTTAGGCAAAGAGCTCAACAACGAAAGCACAATCATTAAAAGGAAAAATACTAGTAAACTAACTTCATCAAAATTTAAAACTTTTACTTTGTGAAAGATAATGTTAAAGAATGAAAAAGAAAAACTACAGATTAGAAGAAAATATTTGAAAATTACACATCTGATTGGTAGAGTTCAGGACATGCTACCCCAAAATGTGCCACCTTGTAATACTGAAAAACGGCCGAAGTAGGAAGGTACCTTTGACCTTCTTCCCCCATCCCTTCTTCTCTGAAGTAGGTTATAAAATCTAGGATTATCTAACCTTCCCTATAAAACTCTCATGTGAGAGGTGTCTTCCCTATATCAGAAAGAAAGGAACATTGTTATCTCTGAAGACAAATGGTCAGTCAGAGACGAATCAGAACAAACTGGCTTTGCTGTTTCCCCCAGCTTATTACCATATACCAAATCCCCTTTGTTCTATCATATTTCTCCCTATCTACTCTTCACCAAACCTAAGCATAAAAATATACAAGTTTAACTGTTTCTTTGGATATTTATCTCCTTATGAAAGCTCCCATGTTACACAAATTTATATTAAATACATGTGTATGCTTTTCTCTTCTTCATCTGTCTTTAGTTGTAGGGGGCTCAACCATGAACCTAGAGAGATATATTTTTTCCCATACATGACAAAGAATTTGTATCCAGAATATTTTAGGAACTATAAAAGCTGAACAATAAGAAAATAACATGATTAAAAATGGGCAAAAGACATAAACAGATACTTCACCAAAGTTCAACATCATTTGCCATTAGAGAAATGCATATTAAAACCACAATGAGTTAGCCATCATAGAAGTACAAGTCAAAACCAGAATGAGGTACCACCTTATACTCACTAGGATAGTTATAACTTCAAAAAGATAGATAATAACAAAGTTGGAGAGGATACAAAGACACTGGAACCCTCATTCACTGCTGGTGGGAATGTAAAATAGTGCAGCCACTTTGGAAAACAGTCTGACAGTTACTCAAAAGGCTAAATATAGAGTTATTACATTATCCTGCAATTCTACTCCGAGGTATATACCCAAAACAATAAAAACATATGTTGACATAAAATATTGTATCTGAATGTCCACAGAACACTATTCATGTAGCCAAAAGGTAGAAACAATCCAGATGTCCCTCAAAAATAAAATGTGGTTTGTCCATACAATAGAATACTATTCTTCAATAAAAAGGAATAAAGTACTGGTACATGCTACAACTTGGATAAACCTTGAAAACATTATGCTAACTGAAACAAGCCTGTCACAAAAGACCATATATTATATGACTGCATTTGTATAAAATGTCCAGAATAGGCAAATCTGTAGAAACAAAAAGAAGGTTAGTCGTTATCTAGGACTGGGGGAGAAGCGACTGCTAATGGGTACAGAGTTTGAGTGATGGAAATGTTCTAAAATTGTGGTTTTGGTTGTACAATTCTGGGAATATATGAAAACCAGTCAAATTGTATACTTTATATGAGTAAATTTTATAATATATAAATTATAGCTAAATAAAGCCATTCCAAAATAAAAATCCGTAATGAAATACCATTAAACACCTACTAGAATGGCTAAAATAAAAAACACAGCCGGGCGCCGTGGCTCATGCCTGTAATTCCAGCGCTTTGGGAGGCCGAGGCAGGCAGATCACCTAAGGTCAGGAGTTCGAGACTAGCCTGACCAACATGGTGAAACTCCGTCTCTACTAAAAATACAAAAATTAGCCGGGCATGGTGGCATGCACCTGTAATACCAGCTACTCAGGAGGCTGAGGCAGGACAATCACTTGAACCTGGGAGGCGGAGCTTGCAGTGAGCCAAGATCGTGCCACTGCACTCCAGCCTGGGTGACAGAGCAAGACTCTGTCTCAAAAAAAAAAAAAAAAAGAAAAAAAAATACAATACAAATGTTAACAAGGATGCAAAACAACTAAAACTTTCATATGGTGCTGGTGAAAAGCAAAATGGTACAACCACTCTGGAAAACGGTCTGAGAGTTTCTTATAAAATTAAACATACACTTAGCTATGACCCAGGAATCTTCTACCCAGGTATTTACTCTAGAGAAACAAAATCATAATTCACATAAAATCCTGTACAGAAGCTCTATTTACACTGCCAAAAACCTGAAATAATTCATATGTCCTTCAATAGGTAAATGGATAAACTGTGGTACCTCCACATAACGGAATACTACTTAGCAGTAAAAAGGAACAAACTGTCGATACATGAAACTTATATGAAGTTCAAAGGCACCAGGCTGAATAAAAAAAGACAATCTCAAAAGGTTATATATGACTACATTTATATTACAGTCTCAAAACTGTAAAACTATAAAGATGAAAAAAGATAACTGTGGACAGGGATTACAGCGGTCAGGGAAGGATAACATGAGGGAGTCTTGGGGTAATGAAGTCTTTTGGTATTCTGCACCCTGAAACAATACAGTAAAACAGTTATCTGCATATTACACTGTATTCTGTACTAGGATTATGGTGGTGGTTACACATAACCCATACATGTGTTAAAACTCTAAGAAGTATACACCAAAAGGAAAACAGTTAATTTTTCTTTATAATTTTAAAAATAATATAAAATAAATCCAACCTAGAGTCAACTTTTTTCCTTAATTCAATCTCAGCTCATGAAACTATCATCTCTGATAATCTCATTTAAATAAAAGTACAGTACATAGTTCAAAGATCAACACTGACAAAATGGAAAACATCCTAAGGGGTACCAAGAGGTAGTAAAGCGTCAGGAAATTTGATCATTAATAAAGAGTAAACAAACTGGACGTGCTAAGCCTGGAGCACAGACTTGAAGGAAGAATGAGTGATGACAAATGTCTTCAATTATCTGAAGGGCTGACAAGTGTATACGGGGTTAAACTTGTTCTATACAGTTTCAAAGAAAAACATCACTTACCAGTAAGTCTAAACGTATAGTGTGTTTTCTGGGGTTATCAGAAAGTCACCAAACTTCCTCAACAACTAGATAATCAAGAAGCAGGAAGTTCTAGGGATTCTTGCATTAAATAAAGGGTTGGACTTAATGAT
This sequence comes from Homo sapiens, assembly GCF_000001405.40. NCBI lineage: Eukaryota > Metazoa > Chordata > Mammalia > Primates > Hominidae > Homo > Homo sapiens. Next base: position 53,569,512 of record NC_000005.10, on the reverse strand, counting down.
TCTAGAGTTTTCTTCCAACTTAAATATTACATAAATCTATGAACTATAACTCCAGAGTTAACCTACAAAGATAGAAGACACTGAACATCTAAAAAGGTAACCTTGCCTGCCAAAATATCACTTTTTATTGCACAAAAGTAAATATTACAAAGCACTTTCACATTTTTTAAAAGGTTGAATACAAAATCTGAACAAAAAGCCATATTATGAAATGTATTTTATTCCCCAAATCTCATTTGTACTACGAATATTAAAATTAAATTCAAATTACACATGTCTAAGTCTAATCTTATTAGACTTAAAAGGCAAAAGTCATAAATTTCATGCAAATTCCTGTAAGTATATTGAAGAGATCACTTGAAAAAGAAGTACTCTTTCCATACAAAGAGTGGTAGTCCTCAAAAGAGCCAAAACATCTGTATTCACTTTAAAGCTCATCAAGACAGACTGACATTTTTAGGAGAAGCATATGGCTTGCTGAACAGTCATCTAGAACAGAATCTTTTGTCCAGTAAGCCCTATTCAAGGACCATTTACTTATGTGTGAAGTGGCTGAATAAAGGAAAAAACATATTTTTGAGTCCTAGAAAACACAAAGAAATAAACTCTTCATATAGCTTTGTTTAAGAATACAGAAAATATATTGCAAAAGCAGCCAGATTTTACTCCCAGAGACAGTTCTCTCAACATTTGAAACGATTCAAACACAAAAGAGTAGAGAAGCATGAAACTTTCTTAGAGAACTACATCCAGTGAAAGACCACCTTCCTAAAAAAGCCTTTTCCATTTTAAAGGATAAAACACTTTCTTAAAATTTTGAAGGGCAGAGTTCAACAGCTGTGCTATATTAAACCTGAGCCCTTCCAAAAGGAAGAATAAGAGTCTCTAGAGAGAGAGTAATATGGCCTGCTTTCTCCAAAATTATCAAAATGCCTTTTTTCCCTCTAAGGAAACTTTCCCCAAGAAAATACCTCTTATGTGCATGGGTGAAAAGCATAAAACTTAATTTAGAATAGAAAAATATGCAAAAATGGAAGAATTTTTGTTTCTGGAAATCTCCCTGAACTCTCTCCCAAGGAAAAATATATTTCCTAAGTCTTACAAGATATAATATGGAAACTTTTTTTTTAATCCGTTTTCAGCCCTAGCTTCCCATTAGAATCACCATAGAGCTAAGCCTCAACCTAAACTTACTGAACCAATATAGACTGGGGGGCAAGGCATCTGAATTTTTTAGGCACCCAACAGATAATTTTGATGCACAAGGGTTTAAAAACCAGTGAACTGGAGAATGAGCCCATAAAAGAAAAATTAAGTCTAGTGAGTACAGACAAGAAGAAAAGGTTACCTTTGAGCAACTAACTAGTTCTAAAGAACCTAAAGTCATATTTACCTACCAAAATACTTAGTAACAGACAACAAAATAGAACTTGAAACAAGAATTCTGAATTGCTCTGTTATTAAAAGAAAAAATTTATAATAGTTTATTAAATTATTCATATGTTTAGATGAAAGTTGTTATGAAGAATGTGGTCACTGCATAATTCAGGTTCAAAAAGGTTCCATCAGGATCTATGGACTTCTACAAGCTAGAAAAGAAAAGTCACAAGAGCTCATATATTAAATATAATTATTCGTTAACCTTAAAAGAGCTCAAGTCTTTAATCATAAAAAGTAAACTTCTGCCATCATCAGAATTTCATTTAGCATACTTTGTTTTATACAAAATTCTAATAGGTTTAGTTGCTTGACATTCAAATCCATAATAAATGAAAAAGGGGTGCTAAAACTGCTAAAGGGAAGCAGACCAGTCAAGGAAGAATATAACACTATTAAAAAGCAGACACGAGAACTCAGAAAGCATAGCAGACACTGAATCGTTTTTAAAGACAACACAATACAACCGTTTTTCCTAATCACTGGAATCAGTAAGAAAACAGAAAAAAAAAATGTCCAGTATATCTTGTTATATATATTTTTTAAGAGCGTAAAAAAGTATAATAAGTCACCTATGAAAAGTCCCTTACCAAAAATAATTACAAAATTTAGGGGAAAAAATCATTAGCTTAAAAAAGTAAACAACTAATTGTGCATTTGGTAACTCTCACTGTACAAATGGAACCATGCAGCAACAGTAAAGATAAGAGCATTCCATGGTCTCTCAAATAAAGAAGACACTTGGCTAAAAGGCAGAAAAAACAGAGAGGACATTAGGGTTTGAACTGATTATTACCAGACATAATATTCCTCACTGCAAAAGTGAACATATTCATTTAGACTGCTATATCAGACTACAGTCAACCCTCTGCATCTGTGGGTTCCACATCATAATTCAACCAACCTCAGATTTAAAATATTAAGGGGTGCTGGGCTCAGTGGCTCACGCCTGTAATTCCAGCACTTTGGGAGGTCGAGGCAGGTGGATCACGAGGTCAGGAGTTTGAGACCAGCCTGACCAACATGGTGAAACCCCGTCTCTAATTAAAATACAAAGAAATTATCCAGGCGTGGTGGTGCGCGCCTGTAATCCCAGCTACTCGGGAGGCTGAGGCAGGAGAATTGCTTGAACCTGGGAGGCAGAGTTCACAGTGAGCCGAGATCACGCCACTGCATTTCAGCCTGGGCAACAAAGCAAGACTCCACCTCAAAAAAAAAAAAAAAAATACTTGGCGGTGGGGGAGGAAAAACTGCATCTGTACTTATCATGTACAGTCTTTTTTCTTTTCATTATTTCCTAAAGAATACAGGATAACAGTTATTTACAGAGAATTTACATTGTATTAGGTATCATAAGTAATCCAGAGATGATTTAAAGTATATAGGAGGATGTACAGAAGTTATATGGAAATACTACACCATCTTAAATCAAGGACTTGAGCATCCGTGGATTTTGGTGTCCTTGAGGAGTCCTGGAACCAATCTTTCATGGATACCAAGAGACAATTACATTTCCTGGCAATGTAAACTTCAGTAATTTCACTTCTGTACCTGTTTCCTCATCTGAAAAATGAGGATAACAACACCTGAGTTGATAGGATTACTGTGGGAAACACATGAGATAATACAGGTGAAATCCTTGGCACAGTAGCTGATACAGAGTAAATTAAAAACAAATGCTACTTGGAATTAATTTTGCTTGGAATAAACGATTCTCAACTTCTACCAAGGGACATGTTTTAGAAGCTCTTCCATTTGAAATTGTTTGTATTCAGTACAGACAATATGTATTCTGACTAAATTCTATGTATACCTCACCCCAAACAGATCTCTTCTAGCAAGTATTATACAGGAACCAAGTTGCTCCATCTTTCTCCCTTAAGTTCCGTGTATTATTAACTTTTTTTTGGAGTCTTGCCCTGTCACCCAGGCTAGAGTGCAGTGGTGCGATCTCGGCTCACTGCAACCTCCGCCTCCCAGGTTCAAGCGATTCTCCTGCCTCGGCCTCCCGAGTAGCTGGGATTACAGGCACCCGCCACCGCACCCGGCTAATTATTGTATTTTTTAGTGGAGACGGGGTTTCACCATGTTGGCCAGGCTGGTCTCGAACTCCTGACCTCATGATCCACCCGCCTTGGCCTCCCAAAATGCTGGGATTACAGGCGTGAGCCACCGCACCCGGCCGTATTACTGACTTTTTAAAACTTCGCATAGTTACTCTTACTCCAAAAAAGTTCTCATGTTCCAAGGGTACCCTTTCCCAAACATTCATTTCCTCTTGCATTTTTAAATTTGAATACAAAAGAAGTGTCTGAACACTTGTCAAAGTGTATGAATACAAAATCTATTCATAAGACAACTTCAATCCAAAAGTTAACAGAGTTCTAGGTGAATATCCTACACTCAGACCACTGCAAATAATTAGAATATGTGTTGTAGATAGTTTATCTTCATATTTATAAAGGTTAGTGCCTACCTGGCTATCACTGATGAGGGTATTAAAAGAAACACTGCGTAATGCTCCCTGCTTTTCCTCACAATCGCTCATCTCTAAATATGTATTTATTCATCTGTAAGATAAGCATTTACCTGCTACATGCAAGCCATTACACTAGATGCCATGAAGTACACACAAATAAACAAAAATGTGGTTGTGTCCTCAAAAAGCTTGCGACCTCACTGCTGATATATCGGTCCATGTGCTAAAACCTGCTCACTTGCAAATATGAGTGTATATAAAATAGAGTCAGCATAGGTTGTTATGCTGAGGTAACCAATCCAAACACCTTTGTGGCTTACAGCAAAGGTTTATTTTTCACTCAATTTATATTTTATAAAATCTTGCAATAAGAATCAGTTTCTGCTTTGCACTATGTAGTCTACAATCCAAGATGTGGGCTAAAACAGCAGACCCCACCTGGAGTACACCTACCTCACATCAGAGGGAAAAGGAATATGACAAAACACAGGAGAGCTCTCAAAGCTCCTGTTTGACATGGTATATCATTTCCACTAACATTTCACTGGATAAAGCAAGTCATTTGGCCAGTGGTTTTTGGATATGTAATCCTGTTGCAGACAGTGGTAGTGAATACTTTAAACAATAACACAATCTATCACAATACTTACAACCAAGATTAAAGAAATGAAAAACATTCAGGCCATTCAAACCAATAATAAAATTACCATTTATCTAGGGAAGGCTTACTATATGCCGACATTACATATTAAAATATTTAATTTTCCGGCTGGATACGGTGGCTCATGCCTGTAATCCTAACACTTTGGGAGGCCAAGGCACACGGATCACTTGGGGTCAGGTGTTCAAGACCAGTGTGAAACCCCGTCTGTACTGAAAATACAAAAATTAGCTGGGCGTGGTGGCAAGCACACCTACAGTCCCAGCTGCCTGTGAAGACTAAGGCAGGAGGATCACCTGAGCCCAGAGGGTGGAGGTTGCATGAGCCAAGATTGCGCCACTGCACTCCAGCCTGAGCAACAGAATGAGACTCTGTCTCAAAATATAATAATTATTTTCCTAACAAAAATTCAACGAAGATGTCTGCTACTGATGAAAACTAAGTATGGGCATTTGGAAAGAGGAAAAGAAACAAAACAAATAAACCTATCAGAAAACATATTAGAAATCTTTCAAGCTCTCAAACTTTGGCTTGGATGTGTTACAAAGATAGCAAAAATAGCTGCCCCTAGGAGAGGAATTTATTTAGTTTATCTGAAGTAGAAGTGAACCTATTGGTCTTAAGTGTCCTAAATTTGAGCTTAGCCTATTTCCCAGCAAGGTGTTAACAAACAGAATTCTTGTCAACCTTAAGGACTGCTTACTATTTGGAGGGTTCAAATTCAATTCCCCATCGAATTGAAGACTCAATTTCATGCTAGCTTATATAATGCTGAAGAACCAAACACAGCAACAGAATAAAGCCACAGATCAGGGCATAAAAGAGACCTCACAAACAGGTCCCAAACACTCAGTCCCCACCAGTCATTAATTAAAACCCTCTGGGTGATTTAACACCCTAAGGACTTGTTTGAGGAAAACACAAGACCTAGTAAATACTAAGGTGAGATAAGTATACATGAACACACTTAAATAAGTGAATAAAAACATCACTGCATCAAATATCTTAAGTATAGCTATTTTGAAATAGAGTGCCATTTCATCTGGCTGATAAATGCATTTAGAATAGTTAAATTTACCCTGGAAAATCTCTTAGGAAAGTCAGGGAAAGTAAGGATAAATGTAGACAACTTAGGGATGGGCGCGGTGGCTCCCGCCTGTCATCCCAGCACTTTGGGAGGCCGGGGCGGGTGGATCACCTGTGGGTAGGAGTTTGAGACCAGCCTGGCTAACACGGTGAAACTCCATCTCTACTAAAAATAAAAAAATTAGCTGGGCGAGGTGGTGGGCACCTGTAATCCCAGCTACTCTGGAGGCTGGGGCGGGAGAATCGCTTGAACCCGGGAGGCAGAGGTTGCAGTGAACTGAGATTGTGCCACTGCACTCTAGAATGGGTGACAAGAGCGAAACTACATCTCCAAAAAAAAAAAAAATGTAGACAATTTAACCCCTTTTTTTGCCTCCTCACATTCGGTACAGGGAAATGAGAAGCACATGGAAACTGAGACCAACACTACAGCACAAGCTCAGTAAGTAACTAGATCAGCTCAATCACCCACATTACTAGATTTTTTCTCTCTTGTGTGTATGTGTTGTTGCATTCTTTGTTTTGCTTTTCACTGATGATATACTATAATTGAATTAATATGTTAATGTAGCAGCTAACAGCATCCTTCCTTTTCTTTTTTTTTTTTTTTTTTGTTTTTTTGAGACACAGTCTGGCTCTGTTGCCCAGGCTGGAGTGCAGTGGCGCGATCTTGACTCACTGCAAGCTCTGCCTCCCGGGTTCACGCCATCCTCCTGCCTCAGCCTCCTGAGTAGCTGGGACTACAGGCGCACGCTGCCACGCCTGGCTAATTTTTTGTATTTTTAGTAGAGACGGGGTTTCACCGTGTTGGCCAGGATGGTCTCGATCTCCTGACCTTGTGATCTGCCCGCCTCGGCCTCCCAAAGTGCTGGGATTACAGGTGTGAGCCACCGCGCCCGGCCCTTCCTTTCCTTCAGTTCCCTACTCCACTCCTTACCTTACTGATTCCACTTCCCATATTCTATTCAAATGATCTGAAATGTTACATGATTTGCAAATGTTTTTCTAAGCATTACAATAAAATGAATTTTAGATGTAGATTTTCCCATTAATTGGTTCTTTCTACTCACCTTTTTCAGATCCTCATTACTATCAAATCATAATGGAAAAAGAATGCTTAAGGATGAAGAACAAACAATATGTAAGGGAGAGGGTCTATAAATTTCCCTCAAATTAGGATGAACATGACAAGCTCTTAGGGTAAAAATGTGGCACAGAAAACAAATAAATGTGTTAATTTGTATTTAAAAAACGTCTTCCCTGGCATTAAGATTTTTTTTCAAGATTAAATGATTTATTTTCAAATCTCTTACATTTGCAGGCAAAAACTCTTAAGTTTGGATATGTAGTAACAATTATCATCAGAGTTTCAAAAATCTAATCTCAACTTCAATTACTATAATTGCTGACAAAATGGCTTTGACTTAAAATTACAGCCATGTTTTGATTAGCCATAAACCAGTGGTCCCTTCAAACTTGTTTTCAGTTCTGGGGCTACCATGAGTACATTATTATCTGGGAATGACAATTAATCCCTATAATCTGTACGGGAGGAAGGGCTAATCTTGGTCACCGCTATATTAACTCTAAGTTAACCAGTGAAGTATTTTACCTTAGAAAAATACTTAACCCAGCCTGACCAACATGGTGAAACCCCGCCTCTACTAAAAATACAAAAATTAGCCAGGTGTGGTGGTGCGCGCCTGTAATCCCAGCTAGTCAGGAGGCTGCGGCAGGAGAACTGCTTGAACCCGGGAGGCGGAGGTTGCAGTGAACCAAGATCACGCCATTGCACTACAGCCTGGGCGTCAGAGTGAGAATGTATCTCAAAAAAAAAAAGAGAAAGAAAAAGGAAAAATACTTTCCATATATGGAACACTTAATTACAAACATCATTTGCCTTTCCCCAATCTTAGCACCCTTACTTTTGAGTGACTCTATTCTATGTATTTAGTAATCGTTTAACTAATGCTTTCAAGCCTTTTCATAAGCCACGGACCCTACGGGACACTCTCTTCTTTCCCACCCAACACCCACTATATTTAAACCTTAATAAAACTCATCCTTAAAAATTCTTCCGAATTAACTCATCCTAATTCTCTGCATTCCATTTATATTTAACACTAAATCAATTAGCATTCTACTAGACCTTCCTTTCAACTTTTAACCACTTGCATCCACCTCCTACCCCCTTCAAATCTCTCCATCCAGTCTTTCCAATCTTTGTTCTAATATGTGTGTGTATGTACGTATAGCATTAGTACTATAATTTAAAAAACTCCAGGAAATTCTGAAAAATAGAAAATGGAAGGTTAATACAGCCAAAAAAAAAAAAATCATCACAAAAATGCTTCAAGGAAAAACAGTAACAACTCAATCAACTGACAACTGAATCTGACAATACTTTGGAAAAGTACTACTTTAGGTTCTCAAGGACGCAAAGAGCCCTCAACAACTCAATTCAATCCCTGAATTATTGTGAGGCTTTAACAAAATCCCTAGAAAACCTCCAGGCATTACCACCAGCCTTTTAAAAATTACCTTCCAATATTACTAGCAGTGATATTTTTACTAACACTGAATTCCAAACAAGTTTTCCTCCCAAGCAGACTGATGAATAAACAATCTTCCTATGCAGAAACCAAATTAAAACCACTTAAAACCATGGAAGGGATACAGTGATTTAACCCTTCTGTAAGGACTGGAGTGGTGGGCAAACAGGTGACAAATGGAAGGGATGCAGAAAGTGGAAACAGAAATCAGTGAGACTCCTCCCCTTCTCTGAGGGCTAAGGTTCAGCTTGCAGCTCCGGAGGCAAAACCTCCACGGACCCTCTCCCTCAGCGACAAGCCGAATACGAAAGCTTCCAGAAAACCACAGGTCCTCCTCCCCGGCCTCGCACTCACGCCCTCACTCGCCTGGCCAACGCCCATTGATAGCAGACAGTCCCTAGTCCGCCCGACTTCTCCCGAGAAAAGGGTCAACAGAGGACGCCTTCCCCGAGGCCTCCTCCGGAACTCAGCCAGCAGAGACTCCGCAAAAATGGAGGGACCCAAGAAGCTTGAAGAAAAGTGTGAAAATTCTATTACCTGGTCGGAACCCTGGAAACGGAAAGGGCAGCTACAGCCACTGCCCTTCTCCGCCACAACGTCTGCCTCAGTACCACTGACATTGACACCGCCGCCATCTTGCTGCAGGCAAACGCCAGGATGAAAGGACGGATCACCGCAAGGGACTAACTTCCTTCGTTCTCAAGCCAGTGCAATCGCAATGTTGCGAAATTCTTTGGGATTTTATTTTCTTTTTAATACTGGGGCTTAAAAAAAGAGGGGAAACGCTTAGTTTAAATAAGTAAGAAGAAAAATGTGCGGGAAGAAATGCAGAAGTGCATTAACTGTAAATATTACCACCATAAAGTGTAATCTTTACTGCTTGTTAGGACTGGTGTTTTACAATGATAACGAAAAGACCAAAATATACTTGCATATTTAAACACCTGCAACTCGTAATTTATTGAAGAAATTAGGATATTTGGGGCTGAACCCACTGGAAAAGCTGGAGAGCTCTTTGGGTCCTTGAGAACCTGCAGTAGTACTTTTCCAAAGTATTGCCAGATTCACTTTGCAAGCCCTCAGGACAGGGCTGTATTCAGTTTGATATTCTGTAGTAGTAATGTTCGTATTTTCCAAACGAAAAATCTGGATACGTGATCTGGCAAAGGATTATTTTTTGACATGTAGATTTATATGAAGAATCAATAGAACATAATATTTGATGTCACTGTTTCCCCAGTAAATCCTGAATGTGTGTGTGTTCATAATCCATAGACATGAAGAATGATATTAATGCTCCATGCATATAAAACAAAAATTATCTTCCAATACAAGTGTTGGAAACATGTTTGTATTGTGGACTTCCGACCTTAAAGAATAATGACTAACTGAATTATATAAAATAAAAAGCAGGTTAGTTTTGGGTTTTGTTTTTTAAGAAATTTGTTTAAAGAGTTAGTACTTTCCTGCTTTTAAAATTAAGCACATGAAAACATAACCTTCATTAAATAAATAGGAACAATAGGAGGATGGGGAATGACATAGTTTGGCATTATGGACCGTTAAAGGAAAACCCAGTACATAAGGGAAAGGGAGAAAGAAAGAGAAAAAGTCATACTCAGGGAAAGAAATGCACAAGATGAAGGAAGGCAAGGGAGAGATGCCTCAGAGAAAATTTTCTTTCAAACTTTTCATTTTGAAATAGTTATAGATTCACATGAAGTTGCAAAGATAGTACAGATGTCTTGTGTACCTGTTTCCCCCAGTGATTACATCTCGTATAACTCTAGTACAGTATCAAAGCCAGGAAACTGGCATTGATATAAAGTATTTGTGTAGTCCTATGTCATTCTACTACATATTTTGTGTAACCACCACCATGATCAAGATACAGAACTATTCCACCCTCACAAAGATCTCCCTAGTGCTAACCTTTTTGGTAACACCTGCCCTCCTAACCCTAGTGATCTCTGTTTCTGTTTTTATAATTTTGACATTTTGAGATGTTATATGAATGGACTCATGCAGTACATGACCTTCTAAGATTGGCTTCTTTCACTTGGCATAATGCACTTGAGACCCATCCAAGTTGTTGTGTTTATCAATAGTTCATTCCTTTTTTATTGCTGAGTAATATTCCATGACATGGATGTACCACAATTTGTTTAACCATTCACCTATTGCAGAACATTTTGATTGTTTCCCATTTGGGGCCATTACAAATAAAACTGCTGCAAACAATTGAATACAGGTTTTTATGTGGACAAAAATCTTCATTTCTCTGAGATAAATGCCCAGGAGTGCAATTGCCAGGTCATGTGATACATGTATGTGTCATTTTTTAAAGAAATTAAAAACTGTTTTCCAGAGTAACTGTAACATTTTACATTTCCTCCAGCAATGTATGAGAGATCCAGTTTCTCCATATCCTCACCAGCATTTTCTATTATTGCTATTTTTGTTTTAGCTGAGCTAAAGTAAATAATAAATGTGCAGTAATACCTCATCACAGTTTTACATTTATTCCCCTGGTGGCTAATAATGTTGAATATCTTTTCATGTTTTTATCTGCCATCTGTATATTCCATTCAGTTAAATGTCCTTATGTCTTTTGCCCATTTTCTAATTAGCATTATTTGGTTTTTTACCTGTACATTTTGAGAGTTCTTCATATATTAGATGTGTCTTTTGTCAGATGCATGATTCACAAATATTTTCTTCAATCTGTAGTTTGTATTTTCATTCTCTTGACAAGATCTGCCACAGAACAAATATTTTTAATTTTGATGAAGTCCAGTTTATTCATTTTTTAAATTTATGGATTGTGCTTTTGCTGTCATGTCTGAGAACTATTCTCTAATCCTGTATCCTAAAGATTTTATCTTGTTTTCTTTCAAAGGTTGTTTTAGTTTTGCCTTTTACATTTAAGTCTATGTAATTTTTGTGAGTTAAGTTTTCCATTAATAGGTGTGAGGTTTAGGTTCAGGTTTTTGCTTGTGGCTATCCAATTGCTCTAGCACTACTTATTGAAAAGTTTATCCTTCTTCCATGGAGTCCCTTTTGCACCTTTGTCAAAATATCAGTTGGCCATACTTGTGTGTGGCTATTTCTGGGTTCTCTATTTCAGAGAGAAATTTTAAGCCCAAGGGTGGCTTTGGTGTCTGGGTGAATTTTAATAAAGATTTTCTATGTGAAGGAATAATGGGATGTGTCCCAGTGTTCATAAGAGCAACTTCCTATAGCCCTGTTACTGGCCCTACCAACCAAAGCTCAACCTCTCCACCTAACACCTATTCTAGTCCCCAACTTCCATGGATCTGAATTCCCCAGGAAAGCCCCCGGTCTCTAGTCTCTTTGTCTTTTGTACAGCCCATAATCCAACATCAGCATTGCCAGAACCCTAGTGGAATCTTTGATTCCCTTCACTTTCTGCTGGATTCCCTCAGCTGCCCATTCCTGAGGTCCTTTCTGACCTTATATACAGGATATAGGTGTTAGAATGGAACAGAAATAACTTGGTATGTTCATTTATTTATACTATTTCACCTATACCACAGGCTGTACCATTAAGCTTAATAGAATGTCTAGGTCCAAGTGCCATTTTGTTATTTCAATGTGCTGCCCCAGAAGTTGTTAACTACTAGAGTCCACTTCTTTGCCTCTTCTCTAGTCATCCTCCTTGCCCTTCAGATCACAGCTGTGAGTCACATCCTTCAGAGTCACTCCCCATGGTAGAAACTACGTCTTACAGGCATTTTTCACCTCCGCCATCCTTGCTGACAGAGCCTGACTCCTATGATAGAGACTAAAGTTGCTGTATATTGGCTTTCCCATTAGCTCCTGCAGCTAGCACATGAACATGTCCAAAGCCAACAGGATCTGAAATCCCTTTTGAGAAAAAAGACTTCTGAAAAAAAAAAAAAAAAAAGACATACAAGAAGAAATACCTCTTTTCCTGCGTCTGAATGCAGTTATATGAGGACATAATGCCTAGAACTGTGGCATCTTCTGAACTAGAAGGGACAAGCATAAGAGCTTAGCTAACAAGAAGGGGTGGAGGAATAGAGAGAGGAAAAGAGCCTAGGGCTTAGTTGACATCATTGAGCCAATCCTGAACCGACTTTTAAACCAAACCTGATGAAAATACCTCCAAACTTCCTGTTACATGAGGTAATAAATGACTTAATTGTTTAAACCTCCATTAGTTAGATATTCTGCATCCAAAAACATCTTTTCCTATGCTCTTACATGAAAAATACTTCTCTGACTTCCCTTTATGTCAGCTCTTTCTGTAGACTCTCCTAGCATCACATCTTCCTTCTTCGTAGCACCTCTCATGTCTCAGTTTTAATACACTATCATTGTCACTTTCTCTACAATGTAAAGTAAGTTATCTGAAGACAAGGATCATATCTGATTTTGATTATCATTTTCCCAGTATCTAGCCTAGTCCCTCACATATAGCAGCCTCCAAAGGATGTATGGAATAAGTGAATGAAAGTAACTGGAACTTTTAAAATGTCAAAAAAATGAAAAAAAACAGTGCTATCTCTATTTGCTATTTTGCTTAGGAAAAGCTCATACAAATTAATGTGATTGCTGTCTTGGGTCTATAGATCTTATTGGTTTCTAAAATTTCATCTTTGATCAGTTGCCATTTCCTGAAGAACTTGGTGAGATATTGGGGACAGGAGCTCCACGTTGCTGGCAAGAGATCGGAAAAGATAAATTTACCTTTTACTGGGCTTGCATTAAAAAAATGTAATAACCTCTTTCATTTCCTTTTTTCTTACATTTCAAATAAGGATATAGACCTGAGAGTGGAACAGAAATAATTTGCTGTGTGCATTTTTTTATAACTTCAACCAAACTATGCATTCTACCAGTAAGCGTAGTAAAATGCCTATGTCCAAATACCATTTTATTATTTCAAATAGGAGTATTAAAATGTAAATTGACTTTACTTTTTGCTTGCACTTCATCCATGATTGCCAAATGAAACATTTATCTTAGACTTTCTGATGGCATGTGAAAGTTACAGTGGATCCAAAGTTGTCTGTTTTTAATTTTTCCCCTTGCACATGGGTCTTTAGTAAAGCATCCAGAAAAAAATAAATTAAAACCAGACATTTCTATCAGAAGTTTCACATACAATCACTATAGACATGACAAAATTCCACCATCACTTTATTGGCTGCAAACTAATTTTTTTATCACATCTCATTTTTCACTGCTAATTTATTTGAAAAACTTAATACCTTATCATCTTATAAAATTATCATGACATCTAGCAGTGCAGCTGAGGCTTTGGCAACAAATGAAAGAATTTCTACCTATAGTGAAGATCTGTCACTTGAAATTATTTTTGGAAAACAAGAGGTACAAATAATCACATTCTTAAGAACTCAAGGAGTTTTCCCACATAAATTTCAGAACATACTTCATCACCCGCTGGAGTTTCAGCCCTAAATTTTCAACTGCACATAGGTCATTCTCAAACTTAACATATAGAAAACCAAACTAATTCTATTTCACCCCTTTCTCTTGCCCCAAGAAAATCTGTTCTTCCCCTCAGTATCTCTGCCTTGGCAAGATATGTACTATCATCTTTCTTCTAATACATGTCATCAACTGTAAAAGGCACCGTTATTTTCTGTACTATTAAGAAAGAAAACAATGCAGCAATTGAACCATGACATAGTACTAATTATATGTCTTGATTTCAGAGAGGTAAACTGTGGGAAAATGCACATCTTAGAATCAAAGAAATATAGTAATTGTCTGCCCTAATATATTTCCTCCCCTTTTTTGTGGTAATAGAACCTGTTATTTTATTTTATTTTATTTTTTTACTGGTTTCTGGAATAAAGACTTTATTTTTCAGCCTCTTTATTGCTAGGAGTAGCCATGTGACTAGGTTCTGGCCATTGAAATACAAGGGGGCAGTATCATGTGACAACTTCTGGGAAACCTCCTTTAAATGCAGATAAGAGTCACACTTCTTTTCCCCTACTTTTACTTCTTTTATCCTGCTGCCTGGAGCTAAGTGTGAAAACTCAGATCATGAGGACAATAGCTATACTTAATGATGAAAGAATAATGATGTGGAAGAAGCCTGGATCTCTAATCATCATTTGATTCCCTAAGAAATGCCAATCTATTGATCCTACCACCATTTTCCTGTTCTCCACTCCTTTGATGAGGACCCTCTTCTCTTACCCAGGTTAAATTCTATGACCAACTGTTATGCTTCTACTCATGACTCTCCTGTCTGTTTCTCATTTTTTTTTTTTTGTACTCAGCAAAACTGCCATCTAAATGAAATCCAACTCTCTTTCTGTTCTGCACCTGCACCCATAAAAGCGAACAGGACTGGAGAAAAGTATCAAACCATACTGATTTGTCTCATTTGACCATAAACTTCAAGTTGGCCATATTGCTACTTAGCAATTATATTAAACTTCTTTGCATTCTTATCACATTAATTTTCTCACTTTATTATGTGGATCTTTCACACCTTGTTTTCTCTCCTCGAATCTCTCCAGTTCTCAATTCTTGCGATGACTTTCCTACGTGACTGAGAAAAGTGGAGCAATCAAAAGAAGACTTCTTCAGACACTCACTACCTTATCACTTACCAGCAGCTGCACTCACATACTCTACCTTCCCTCCTATTATCATAGATAAAGTATCCATGCCTCTATCTAAAGCTAATCCCTCCACTTGTGCACTAGATCTCATCCCATCCTGAACCACCTATATAAGATCTTTCTAGTAAGTCTGTCCTTTAGAAGAAAATAGGAGAAAATCTTTAGGACACAGGGTTGGTGAATAGTTCTTCAACCTCATACCAAAAGCACAATCTATACATTTAAAAAAATGAATATAGCTGGGTACAGTGGCTCACACCTGTAATCCCAACATTTTGGGAGGGTGAGGTGGGCGGATCACCTGAGGTCAAGAGTTTAAGACCAGCCTGGCCAACATGGTGAAAACCCGGTCTCTACTAAAAATACAAAAATTAGCTGGGTGTGGTGGCACACACCTGTAATCCTAGCTACTTGGGAGGCTGAGGCAGGAGAATAATAGCTTGAACCCAGGAGACAGAGGTTGCAGTGAGCCAAAATCGCGCCACTGCACTCCAGCCTGTGCAACAGAGTGAAACTCTGTCTCTAAATAAATAAATAAATAAAAACTGGACTTCATCAAAATTAAAAACATTTGTTCTGCTACGGATCCTGTTAAGAGGATGAAAAGAGAAATTACAGATGGAAGAAAATATTTGTGAACTACATATTGATAAAACTTGTATCTGGAATATATAAAGAACTCTAAAAATGTAACAGGAAAAAAAAATCAAATATTGCCATTTAGAAACTGGGCAAAAGATATGAGACATTTAACTGAATAGAATATACAGGTGGCATATAGGCACATGAAAAGGTTTTCAACATTATTAGCCATTAGAGGAATATAAGTTAAGACCATGATGAGACATCACTACACACTTATTATTTATTTTACGCTACCTTCAAAGTAAAACTATAATATGACCACTTCTCACTACCTCTATTGCTAGCACACAGGTCCATGCTACTATCATCTCTTGCCTGGAATGCTGCAAGTCTTTTAATATGTCTCCCTGCATTCATCCTTACCCACTTATAGTATATTCTCAATACAGCTGCCACAGTAGTCTTTTTAAAAATATAAGGCAATTCATTTCACTCCCTTGCTCAGTACCCTCCAGCGGGTCCTAGCATCAGAGTTGATCTTTTACATCTGCTATGACTTTTTTCTTCCTCTCTCTGTTGTTTTCTTAAACATGCCAGGCAGGTTTTCAGGTTAGGGCCTTTGCATGGATTGTTCCCTCTGCCTAGAATATACTTCCCCCATATCAACATGGCTAACGCCCTCCATTCTTTAAGTCTTTGATCAAATGTCACCTTTTCAGTGAGGCTTTCCTTGACGTATATATCAGTCAATGTCTTGTAAGGAAAACAGAAACTGCTTTAGATATTTCAGAGGACATCTAATTTAGGGGAATTGTTTACACAGGTGATGGCATTTCTGGGGAACTAAACAAGGAAGCTCATGAGGCAACTCAGATACTAGAATCAGCAACATCTGCTATCACCCCTAAGAGCTAATACACCACAGGGAAAACTGGTGTTACCAGAGCTCTAAAGCTGGGGTAGCCAATGGGATTCAAAACCACAGCAAGGGCTGTTGAGCAGGAGCTGGGATCAGGGAAGGAGACGCTGTCTAACAGGAACTAAAATCATGGGGAAAACAATGCAACCACTGCCAAGGATAACCCCACCCCAAGCAGGGGGAGGAAGGATAAGTACCCCCAACTTACTCTCCAATCTGCCGGTGCTTCCCATTAGCTAATGCAACTAGAAGCCAGAAGTCCAGAGAACCCAGGGGAAATGGTATCTTATAAATGGCAGAGCAGGGAAAGGCAGGGAAGAAATCTGATAGCAAACTGGCAGAAATCCAACATACCACCTTATCCAAAATTGTAAGCTCTCAATCTTCACCCCTACCACTTACTACCAAACCCCTTAGCCTGCTCCACTTTCTTATCTATCAGGACTCATAAATGTAAACAACAAAAACCTACTGTGGTTATAGAAAGGAAGTTATCGAAGATCCCAAATATCTCAGTCAGTGGAGCATCAGTAAAGGAAGTTACTGAAAACATACTGAGTAGGAAATCGAATCACAAGAGGTCTGAAGAACAGAGCTAAATTTTAAAAGGGCAGTAATAAATAACCTAGGCAGAAAGCAGGACCAAAGCCAAATTATGCCACAAAAAGTAGTCCAGTGAGGACTCTAGTATTGTGTTAAATACAGGGTGCACAGCTTCCTAGACCCCATTTCTGGAACCAAGACCATTGCTGTCCATGAAAACTATGCCTGCTGCCACCACTACTGCCACCTATCTCCATAATGGATCCTTCACTGCCCTGGGTGCCCAGTGACTCCCTCTCCAAAATCCAAGGCAAATATGTCTCAGTGCCTGAATCTGGGTCACATGCTTATATCTTAGCTGCATAGGAGATGGGAAAGGGGATGTGTCATTTTCAGGTTTCTTGGTAAGAGGCAGTCTTCACCTCTTGTCCATATCCATAAGATGGTAATTTCCCAAACATACAAATGAGATTTACATGCAGGGCAGTCAAAAAAATTATAAATGTTCACTGCATCCTTGTATGTAACCCAAATGCCATCACTTTTCTCTCTTGGATATCCTCTATGCAATCTTATTTTTTTAGAAACTTCCAATGCAATCTTAAAGACCTAGGTTAACAGTTGCTCTTTCATTTAATGTCCCCACTCCCACTGTCCAAGAAGTGTCCATCAGTCTTTTCTTTTTGCCATCACTATATATTATATAAACTTCCTCCATGGCACTATTTTTTTTTTTTTTTTTGAGACAGAGTCTTGCTCTGTCACCCAGGTAGGAGTGTAGTGGCATGATCTTGGTTCACTGAAACCTCCGCCTCCCGGGTTCAAATGATTCTCCTGCCTCAGCCTCCCGAGTAGCTGGGATTACAGGGATGTGCCACTGTGCCCAGCTAGTTTTTGTATTTTTGGTAGAGACGGGGTTTCACCATGTTGGCCAGGTTGTTCTCGAACTCCTGACCTCAAGTGATCTGCCCGCCTCGGCCTCTCAAAGTGCTGGGATTACAGGCATGAGCCACTGTGCCTGGCCAGCACTATTTTTTTAAAAAACACATATTATATACCTACCATGCCCTGGACATACTAAGGGCTTTACATATTTTATTTGATCTTTAATAATATACTCAGGGATTTACATATTTTATTCTATTTTAATTTTTAATAACATAGTAAGGGCTTTACATATTTTATTTAATCTTTAATCATCTCTAAAATGTAAGTATAAATATTTTCTTTGTGTTGCAAATGAGAATATTGAACCGCACAAAAGATAAAATGACTCACCCAAGCTGGATACTTCCCGAAAGCAAGAAAGACAAGATATGAAACCCAGTCCATCAGAATCCAGTATATGAATTTTTAACCATATGAGAGATACACTTCTTTAAAAACAAAGAGCGTGTGTGTGTGTGTGTGTCTGTGTGTGTGTGTATACAAATAAGAAACAAGAGTGGCAAATGTTGATAATTATTGAAGCTTTTGATGAATATATGGGTATTAATTATACTGGTTTTTTTTAAATTAACACACACATACATATACACATATCTTCTTCAAACTTTTTTTTTTCCTGGAGTATTTCAAAACAAATCTTGGTCATATATTTTACCCATTGATCAGCAGAAGCTTATGGAATTCACACTAGGATCCTGCCATTAAAATGACTTAGTTTTGCTCAATCCCTACATAGTAGTTTCACAATACCAAAATCTTATGGAGCTACAATCAAATTGGTTCATCTTGGTTCAAATTTCCAGCCCTGTCAATCAGCAGGACTGGCGGTGGCACTGATTAGATATGACTGCCGAAGCCGATCCCTTCAGAAGAGACCAATGCTAAAGGAAAGTGTATGTGCCAAGTAAATACTCCAACTTTTGCCTAAGAGGTTTTATATTGCTCTTGAACCCCTAAAAGAAAATAAAAACTTTAAAGTGTTTGTTGACAGTGAACATAATTGGGTTTATTTATTATAAATAAGACTGACGTTACACCTATAGTAATTTGTGACTCAGGCAACATTTGTCTCTGGTACATTTGATTTCCTTGTATTAGTTAAAAGTTGCTTTAATAAATAAACCTAAATTCTCAGTGGCTCATCACAATAAAAATTTATTTCTCTGGGGGCCAGGTGCCATGGCTCTCACCTGTAATCCCAGCACTTTGGGAAGCCAAGATAGTTGGATCGCTTGAGGTCAGGAGTTCAAGCCAGCCTGGCAAACATGGCGAAACCGCCTGTCTACTGAAAATACAAAAACTAGCCAGGCATGGTGATGTGTGCCTGTAGCCCCAGCTACTCAGGAGGCTGTGGCCTGAGAATTGCTTAAAACCAAGAGGAGGAGTTTGTAGTGAGCCAAGATTGCTCCACTGCTCTCCAGCCTGGGTGACAGAGTGAGACTCTGTCTCAAAAAAAAAAAAATTATTTCTCACATGTCAGTAGAGTTGAGGGTATTCCCTATCAGGCCAGAAAACTAGGCTCCATCCTTCTCCAGGTCCTTGGAGATCTTTCCATTCAATAAGCCAAGGAGAAAAGATGCCATGCAGGTAGTGTGGAAAGTTTTTATGGATGAGACTTGGAAATAGCATGTATCACTTCTACTTATAGTCCATTAGTCAGAATTCAGTCATACAGTCACACATAACTGCAAGGTAATTCTGGGAAAAATGGCATATCTAGGTGCCTTGAAGGAAAAGGAAATGGACTTCGGTTAACACATAAAAGCCTCTGCCACAGCCTGCTCTTCTGATCACCCAACATCCTTTTTCTTTCTCCTTACATACAGAAAACACTCACCCTCTTCCGAAGACAAACAAACCAAAGTTTAAAGCAGACACGGCATCCATACATTGTCCATGTAAATGTGCCAAATTATGGGCTACCATGATCTAGAAAAGGACAAGTTTTATGAACCCCCACTGCCATCCACATATTCACTCAAATTACAGTAGTGGAATTGCAATACACACATCTATTTAGGAAGGAAAAGAATTAGAGATATCCAGCTCTCATTGGTCTTTGCAATATTTATTTATTTATTTATTTATTTTTATTTTTATTTTTTATTTTGAGATGAGTCTTGCTCTGTCGCCCAGGCTAGAGTGCAGTGGCCTGATCTCAGCTCACTGCCAGCTCCGCTTCCCGGGTTCACGCCGTTCTCCTGTCTCAGCCTTCCGAGTAGCTGGGACTATAGGTGCCCGCCACCACGCCCAGCTAATTTTTTTTGTATTTTTAATAGAGACGGGGTTTCACCATGTTGGCCAGGCTGGTCTTAAATTCCTGGCCTCAGGTGATCCACCCACCTCAGAAGACAGGTGTGAGCCACCGTGCCCGGCCGATCTTTGCAATTTTGGAATTTTGCTGGGCAGGCATTATGAAGGTTCTGAGCCTTGACCAGATCTTTATTCTTTTCTCTGGTAGGAAGTCCATTATCCATTGTTCTCTGTGGTTCCTAGATCCAGGCCTCTAGGAAGTATGTGCTTGTCCTATATCCTCCACAGATACACCCAAAGTGTGTCCCTCTTGGTTGTGGCCCATCTTTACTGCTCGCTCCTAGTGTGCAAGTTTGGGCTTGTGATTGTGTTTATAGCAAGAAGAGCCGCAGACAAAATCCTTCAGACACCAAGTTAAAGAAGGAAGGGGTTTATTCGGCCGGGACATCAGCAAGACTCCTGTCTCAAGAGCCAAGCTCCCTGAGTGAGCAATTCCTGTCCCTTTTAAAGGCTCACAACTCTGAGGGGGTCTGCCTGAGAGGGTCGTGATCCATTGAGCAAGCAGCGGGTACGTGACAGGGGGGGCTGCATGCACTGGTAATCAGAATGGAACAGAACAGGACAGGGATTTTTACAATGCTTTTCCATACAATGCCTGGAATCTATAGATAATATAACCAGTTAGGTCAGGGGTTGATATTTAACTACCAGGCCCAGGGCGTGGCACCGGGCTGTCTGCCTGTGGATTTCATTTCTGCCTTTTAGTTTTTACTTCTTCTTTCTTTGGAGGCAGAAATTGGGCATAAGACAATATGAGGGGTGGTCTCCTCCCTTACGCTGACAATTCAATTCCTTCAGAATCACGGTAGATTTCTGATTTATGTGCTTTTCAGTCAGTTCCATGTGTCAGTAACCACATCTGAAAGTCTCCTTAGACACAGCTCTCAGGCCTCATTTTTTTTTTTTTTTTTTGAGACAGGGTCTCACTCTGTTGCCCAGGCTGGAGTGCAGTGGCGTGATCTCGGCTCACTGCAAGCTCTGCCTCCCAGGTACAGGCCATTCTCCTGCCTCAGCCTCCTGAGTAGCTGGGACTACAGGTGCACGCCACCACGCCCGGCTAATTTTTTGTATTTTTAGTAGAGATGGGGTTTCACCATGTTAGCCAGAATGGTCTTGGTCTCCTGACCTTGTGTTCTGCCCGCCTTGGCTTCCCAAAGTGCTGGGATTACAGGCGTGAGCCACCGTGCCCGGCTAGGCCTCATTTATTTCTTTGCTTCCTTGACCCTTATGGTGAATAGTGATCCAGGTAAATACAGCTAAGAGATTCCTTGCGGGGCAGAGACAAGACATCCTCACCAAGCTTCTTCTCAATTGCATAAAAATCATGAGTAGATAAAAGGTTGTTTTAAACTATTAAGCTTAGGGTGGTTTGTGACACAGCAGTAGATAACTATATTATGATATGCCTTTTTCTCTTCTCTTACCTGGCCAGCTAACTTAAAGGCACTTAGACTTTGAGTAGGAAGGCCATACTTGTAATCTGTTTATTTGGCTCAGAATAAGTTGTATTAATACTATTAATATTTAGGCAGAAGCAACAGTTATAAACCATGACTATCCTGGTCAAACTGGGACATACAGTCACCCTATGGCCCTTTGTTGCTCGAAGTCTTTTTTCCCCAGGGTTATCTTCTATTCCCTAAAGTTTAAAAGCAGTCAACTTTTCCAGTCCTTTGAGGAACCACATTTCTAGCCTTTCTTTATCCCCTTTATTTCTGTTTGCAAACCAGTCCATTCTTTCCTAAGCACATTTGTCTCTTGTGATAGCTTGCTAAAAGCAGTCAGTCTTATTTTTTCCAGTCACTTCCACTGATGCTACAGGTTCTGTGGTTCTTTCAAGTTCTCCTTGGAGGCAGCTTTACCATGCGTTTTGCTTCTGGATATCATGAATCTCTATCTTTCCAGCCTGTAGTATCCATTTCCTCGTTGTTTAATGCCCAGCCACTAAAACCAATGTCGTAAAATGTCTTACGTTCAGCAGTTCTTCACTTTCAATATGAAATGTGTAATGGTTCAAAAATTATATATATATATATATTTTTTCACTCACATAAAGTCCAATCTAGGTGTTCCTGATTGGTGATTCTCCTGTTAAGTGTTTCTGGAATGTGTTTCAAGGCTCTTTCTATTTTGTAGCTCAGTCCTCTTCATCCAAGGTTTTCAAAGTCACTGTGTTCTGAGCGAGTCTGGAAGGTGGAAAAAGGGCATAAAGGATCATGTATAAGAGACTTTTATGGACCAGACCTGGCAGTGAAGCCACATCCTATTAGCTAAATACATCCTATTAGCTGAAACTCATTCACATAATTACACCTCACTGCAAGAGAGGCAGGGATGTGTGGTCTAGCTGTGTGCATGGGGGGAAGAAAACAAAAAAAGAAAGAAACAGGCTTTCTGAAAAGCCAGCCTGTCTCTGCTGACCTAGGCCACAGAAGTAATAAGATTTGCTCAGCTCTTAATTATTAACCTGTTAGAAATAAAAGCAAATTTGTGGATAATTTAAATTTCAGTAATCTAAAAAACATTGTGCATTGAACTTTGTGAGGTATTTTCTCTCTGCGTTTGAGTATATATGTGGCTGATACTCTTGAAATGTCTTTTTAAGCAAATAACATGCACTATACAGATTTCATTCCTGCAAGGCCAGGAAACTGCTCAGTTTTGCCATCTAGTCTCCTCCTTTGGAACCGTTTGCAAACTAATCTAAAGTGTATCACCTTTCAAATCTTCTTTGGAGCTAAATGTGCTATTTCAACAAACTTATTGGCTTGCAGATAAACATAAAGTAAGTATAAGATGTAATAAAATAATTAGCATAGGATCAGAAATCATCTGATTCACTTCCTCTAATTTTCAAATGATTGTTTTATGTTTATTCCATTTTACTGTAGATGCTTGGAGTTAATAAGCATAAAAAAATATTTTTACGAAGTAAAAAATAGTGCTGAACAATAAAGAATTGACTATACAAAAAAGTATTACAAAATGTTAATAGTTCAAATCAATTTTGAAAAATTGCTGTCTGTTATCATTTTTATTAGAAGTTTTTAAAATAAAGAGCATAAGAGCTGTCAACAGTTTCTCCAAACAGATTAGACTTGTCTTTTTAAACTCTTAAAACCTAATTATGAATGAAGCTAGCATTTTGTTTGCGGTGTCTTCTCTTTTCTCATTCCTTGAGAGTTTCACTAAGACTGTACCTCCTTTCAGGCATTAAAAATTGAGCAGTAATAGTCAATAGATTATATTACCAGGAGGTGTATTAATTTCTGGAAGACATCAAGATTCCAAAGCTTGCCTTGAAATCATCAGTTAATCACGTGGCCCAATTGCAACAATTGAGGAAAGCAGAATGGAGCTATCCCATGCCACTAAAAGGCTTAGCATACTAATGGCCCTTTGACACTACCAGCCATTCAGAAATCAGACTTTGTCATGCTGAAGAATAGACCACTCACCCCCAACAGGAAGCATTGGGGAGGCAAACGTGACAGTAATTCCCTGTCAGATAAAACTGAGGTATTGTTTTGGATTCCATCATATGTGAAAAGAATTACCCAGTCATAAATTTAAAATATTCTCTCTTTACCTGTTAGTCACTCTGTATTAGAGTTAAGTGTTTGTGACAGATTAAGGTTAACAGTTTATAAAATCTAGGTGTTTTTGAATGGGTTGTAGAAATTGGAATATGGTCACTTGCTCTATTTTGATAATCTAAGTATTGCTAAAGATTATAGATACAGCTGTGGAGGGGAAAAATGAATCAAGATTCAAATATTTTCTGTTTTTTATTAGCTAGTAGAAGGCAGGATATAGTGTGAGAAAATAAAGCATAGCAGGGAATAATCTGCTTTAGAGTTACTTTTCTCCATATTTACATAGTTTTAAATGACCTTGTATTAACATGCAACAAAACACTAGAAACAATTCAGTAGAAAGCCAGCATAAAAACCCAGTAATGGTCCATGGAAACTTAGGGAGGTGGGGGAACTCACATTAACACATCAAAACTAATTTGAAGAGGATTTAATTGATCTGTGGGTTGTCAAAGGAAGACTTCAGCTTGTAAATTACAAGTGGGTGTCTGCTCATTACCTTTTTCCTTTTGAAAATAGAGTGAAGAGACATAATCTTAGTGTTTTATCTGTTCGTATTTATTTATTATTTCCCACCTTAACTATGAATGCAGTGCCTTATTTTGCCCAATTATCTTTTGTTTGAATCATTTTTCAAAGGGGGAAATATTTATTTCAGGGGTGATTATCTCTTGTTCCATGAAAGAGGAAAAAACAGGTTCAAATCAGGGAGACTTCATCAAAGAGACTTGTAATCCCTATTGTGTCTGTGTATTCTTCCCATCAGTTTAGAGAATGTGATAAATATCTCTTTGAATCAAGCATTGGCACTTACTTTTTCAGGTTCCAACAATTTAAATGTGGTGCAAAAATAGGATATTCAGATACAGTAATTTACTACATTGTGTTGCTTTTGAATGTAAAAAAAACCACTTGTAATTCTTTTAAAAATGCCCCCTTTGCTAGAAGTACTTAATTTTTTTGTATAACTTTTATTTTATAATAGCACTATGTTTTGGGGGGAAAAGAAAAATAAAACAAGATCATTCTTTGTGACTCAATACGTTTCACTGAACCCAATAAATGAATAATTGCAAAAGAATAAGAAGCCTTTTAAAGTTTCATTTAGCTCCGAAAACCTTCCCCAGACTGTCAGCTCCAGCTACGCTCTCCTGCAAAAGCAAGTATTATTTTAGAGTTTTTGAACAGCACAGGTTTACAACAACATGGAATTTATTTTCTTGATTGCTCAGTTACCACAAATTTTAAAAGATTAATTTTCTCATTTTAATTTGGTTGTCGTAATAGTATTGCCAAGTTTCCACATGGTTTTAATTTAATGTTCATCAGTTGGTATCTTTATTACTCCATTCCTGCCTCATCTTGAGGTATACTGGATAATTATTTTTTTCCTTTCGAAACAAAAACAGTGATAAAGGTTATGGGTAGATTTTGAGCTATCTAAGACCTTTATTATAAGTTTTTCTTTTTTAATTTTGACGATTGCGAGAACAGTTTTCTTAAGAGAAAAAGTGTATGTTTTAAAGAATAACATTATTATCTGGGGACAGATACATATTAGAAATCATGTTTTATCATCCTGGAACAGGAAGAGAAATACCTTATTTTAAAATTAAAGTTCATATTGTGGGTGATTTGTGAATATTTAGGGGCCTGCTCATTTGCTAGTAAGCATCTGTAAAAAAATTACAAAAAAATCCGTAGTAAAGATATAATATTGACAGAATACTAATAAGATCAGCAGAAACACAGTCTTTTGAAATAAAAAAAATTCCATTTTATTCCTGATTTTCTTTTTGTGTACCAAAATTAAACTACTTAATTAGTCCTAAGTGACTATGTTTTATTTACCTTACCAATCTGTATTTTACTTTATTAAATACTATTTTAATTTTTAGGACGTTAAAAAAATGGTAAAATAAACAATATTTTTTAAAGTAACAGAAAGTAAAATTGAACACCTTCTATGACATTCTCATCATGAGTTTCCATTCCCTGTTCTGTGATTTCCATCAGGTGCTGAGAAGCCCTGGGCAGAGTTGAAATCTTGTTTCACAAGAGCAACTGGTCTGTCAATGATGCTGATTTTACAAACTGCACTTTGAAGACTCACTTGCTTATCTAGCTGGGATGAGCACCCCCACTCCCTCAGCCTACCAGGCATGCAAAACCACAAGAAAAATGTGGTCAGCTTTTTCTTGGAACTCAATTGTACTCCAGGGTAGTTAATTTTAAGCCTCATTTTGCATTAAAAATGCATAATACTATGGAATACAGTGCAAAAATCTCATAATTCTTTAGGTCAAACATAAGACACTTCGAAACAATTTCGAAGTTGTGGAGACTTTCCTGATAACTTCTCATGTTCATGTTGCTGAACTGTTAAGCTGTCCAAGTAGAAAAATATGAGAAACCCTGAATTAAAACACAGAAATGTGAAATCTTTTTTTTCCTTCCTAATTTTATGGCAGTTCCTATACGCACTGTTATCTTAGATGAGTTCTACTTACTCAAATTATAAACCATTTTATCTCCGAAATTTGGGCTTAGAAAAAAAAAAACAGAGAGAGAGAGTCTTGCTATTTCACCCAGGCTGACCTCAAACTCCTGAGCTTAAGCAATCCTCCCACCTCAACCTTGTTAGTAGCTGGGACTACAGGCAACTTGGACTTTTGAGAAAGAGAAAACCTGAAACAACAAGAAAAAGGCAAATGAAATCTAAATTGAGTGATGACTGGTATTTCAAGACTATTGTGTTACTGAGCCACATGTAGGGAGGTAACAATGTTATTTCTTCATGGGCTTTTTATTTTTTTGAAATCTTTTTCCTACTTGTAAAATATTTGAAAAAATATATAAAATCATACAGAAAAAGAAAAAGAAGGGATTAAAATTCACCTTAGGTCTTACCACCATGAGATTAACCCTGTTTATCAATGAATTATTTATTGGGTGCTTACCATATAACAGACATCTTTCTATGCACACATGTAAATAGTTTTACATAAATAGAAACATACCATATACATGCTGTTCTATTACTTGCTTTCCTGTAATAAAAATATGTCACAGACAACAAATATATGTCTACATCATCTTTTAATAGTTGTCTAGCATTCCCTTATGCAGTTCTAGACTACTTAACATAACCATTGTTGTTATAGCCTTTCTTAATTTCTTATCCCCACATCAATCCATTGAGACTGAAGCCTTCTCAGGTTTCCTCCAAAAATGAGTTCTTCTGTCATTTCATGATTTTTCAACTGAAGAATACAACAGGTAGTCCTTGTATATATTTATGAGTTTATATATCCATATATGTACATGTGTGTTTGAAATATGTCTGTATTTAATTTTTTTTGCTGTATTTTCTTTAAAATCTCAATATCCATTTAATATAATTTCCTCCATTGGTTGTGATAAGAAGACCCAAATATCTTTACCAACTCCATCAAATAATACATTTTTTTCAAATGTAGCTTACACAAGTCCCCTGCTTATAGCAGAATAACTTCCGTTGAAAGACGTCTTTCAGAACTGTAACCACTGTCTTGAGGATGAATACACCTAACTAGATCTGAATTTTCAATATAATTGCACAACTCTAGCATGTATTCCTTGGTTATTCTCATCTCTTTCTTTATGCTTCATCTTCTCATGGAGTTAGTCAGCCAAACTGAATTTCCTCTGGGAAAACTATATGCACATTTTCTGCATAATCTCTGGAGGTTAAAGCTTTGAGGATCTTTGTACATAATGGAAGAGGAGAGTCCTTTGACTACAATTGTCTTAATCCTTAAGATGTTTTGTATGTCATGAATGGGGAAGCCATCATTTCATCTAAGGCTTCCTGAGACAGGATCTGTAAGATATTTTCTTCTCAGTGATTTTATTCAGTAATGCATTGAATAGGTGAAGTTCATAATCACTAAATAAGCACATGCTAAATAAATTTGCTGTAACTACATTTTAAGGTTGATTGGTGCCCTCAGGTTATATCTGGTCATACATGATAACATTGCATACTGAAAAAGGATTTGCTTATTTAATTAAGTGATTTTTTAAAAGTTGATGATAAGGGTTAACATACTACTCTTGGCTAGATTTGGCACATTAAAATATTTCTTATTCCAGAGGGAATTTTAATTTTGTTCACAACATTTTACCTAGAGATAGTCTTTTCCTTAACAATTATTTTGTTATCAACATCTGTTTTAAACCAGAATTCATACAGAAGTCTGTTATAAATAGAATCATAAAATAATTTTGCTCTGTATGTGGCTAGATTTAATATAGAATCAAAGGAACAGTCTGCCCTTTGTTTTTTAGATTGTTCCCAAAAGAAAATTCATAGACTCACATTTCTCCTTGAGTTACTTAACCTGCAAAAAATTGTCAAAAATAATTGATATATTGAACAACATGGAAACTAAGTGGAGATATGGGATTTCTCTTTCTAGAATACTTCTCTTAAAAGAGACTTAAATTTCTTTAGAGTGCAGCTTCCCTTTAGTTAATAAAATTGAGAGGTGAAGCCAGCTGGACTTCCTGGGTCAAGTGGGGACTTGGAGAACTTTTCTGTCTTACAAAAGGATTGTAAAACACACCAATCAGCACTCTGTAGCTAGCTGGAGGTTTGTAAAATGCACCAATCAGTGCTCTGTAAAAACGCACCAATTGGCGCTCTGTAGCTATCTAGAGGTTTGTAAAATGGATCAATCAGCACCCTATAAAATGGACCAATCAGCACTCTGTGAAATGGACCAATCACCACTCTGTAAAGTGGACCAATCAGCACTCTGTAAAATGGACCAATCAGTAGGATGTGGGTGGGGACAAATAAGGGAATAAAAGCTGGCCACCCACCAGCCAACAGCAGGGCAACCGCTGGGGTGCCTTCCTACCCTGAGGAGAGTTTGTTCTTTCACTGTTCACAATAAATCTTGCTGCTGCACTCTGTTTGGGTCTGTGCTACCTTTACGAACCGTAACACTCACTGCGAACGTCTGCGGCTTCATTCTTGAAGTCAGCGAGACCACGAACCCACCGGAAGGAACCAACTCTGGACACGAAATGAGCAAGATGATTTTTTTAAGGTCGCCTTTATTGTCATAAAAGGGAGGTCCTATCAGGTCATACCAGCTTCACCTATCTCTCTCTTATTTTTTTTATTTTTATTTTTAGAGATGGGTTCTTGCTGTGTTGCCTGGGCTGGGATACAATGGCTATTCACAGACCCAATCATAGTTCACTGCAGACTTTGGCTCCTGGCCTCAAGAGATCCTTCTCCTTCAGCCTCCTGAGTAGCTGGTACTACAGGTGTGCACCACCACACCCAACTTTATGTTTAATCTCCTGTAAATAGAGGGGCTTAGTCAGAATTCTCAGAATATGTTTTATTTTGTCTTGCTTTGGCTCTGGAAATACAGCTAAATAGAATATTTAATGTTTTTAAAAATAATTCACAAATCTGTGGCTAGTTATTCCTTTATTGTCAATCAAATGCCAATCCACATTTTATATAATTAAAACTTGAAAGTAAATTTGAATAGGTATTAAAGTTATGCAAGTTCACCCTAAAATATTTAAATACCATAGACAAGTATTCATAAGGGTTACAATGCAGAAATAACCACTACAGGCATTTTGATGCATTTTTTCTAGTTTTTTTTCTGTGTGTACATGTTTATATATATTTCAATTGGAATCTTCTGTTGGTCCGTACTGAAATACATTTGTCTAAGACAGATTCCTATTATAGATGAGGAATTACTAGACAAGAGAATGAATATTTTTAATGTTCTTGATGCATGGTGTCGTATTACTTTGAACAGAGTTGTGCCAATGTATAACCTTACCAGTTGTGAGTGAGTATGCATGCCTGTTTTGTTTTGTTTTTGTTTTTTACTGTCTTGCCTACATTAATATTTGTTTGATTTAAAGCTTTGCTAATTTAATAGGTATGGTGGGCTAAATGGTGGCCCCATCTTCAAAAAGAGACGTTCATATCCTAATCCCCAGAATTTGTGAATATTACCTTCTATGGCAAAATAATGAATAATGCCTTAAATGGCAAAATATGTGATTAAATTAAAGACCTTGAGAGGGGGATTTATCCTGGATTATTTGGGTAGGCTGTATATGCAATCTTGTGTATTTTTATGAGAGTCAAAGGAAGTTTTAAGACACACAGAAGAGGAGGCAATGTGAAGACAAGACAGAGATTGCAGTGATGTGGCCACAACCCCAGGGATGTCATGTTGGACTGAGTATATATGGGTATTTATTATACGGTAAAGGTGCATTCAAAATAGTGGAACAAAAGATGGGTTTTTCATAAAATAACATTTTAGCATTTGGCTAGTCATTTAGAAAAGATAAGTCAAATTCCTGTTTTTAGATCTCTACAAACTTGAATGATTTAAATGTAAAAGAACTTGAAGAAAATAAGTGTATATATTTATATTTCATTGTTTGGACATTATTATAGAAACTGGAAATTGTATTAAGTCTTAGAACTTCCTTATGGTAATGAATACTATAAACAAGCTGAATGATAAAAAACTGTGAGAGTCACAACACTTGTTGAAGGAGTAATAGCCATAATGTACAAATGAATAAGCCAGTAAAAATAATTCGATAGAAAAAAATCAGTGATAGGCTTTAGCACTTGTGTGTTATGTGAAGAGGCACAGCTAGCAAATAAATGCCAAAAATATATTCACTTTATTAATAAGAGACATGTAACTAAAACCAACCATAAAATACAGTTTCTACATCTATAAAGTTTTAAAAGATTAAAACAACCCATTGGTGTAGAAGGCGAAGGAAAATAGACCATCTCATTCACTGTGGATGTTTAAATCACTAAAATTTTCCTAGAAGGCGGTTTGCCATAATTTATCAAAATGTAAAATGTTTATAGGCTGCCACCCATCATCTCAATTTTAGGACTTATTGCAAAGGAAAAATTGTGCAAATGCAAAATGATATATATATTAAAATATTTATTCTGATTTTGTGTTTTTTAACATCCTCCCCTCCCAATTCAT
Organism: Homo sapiens; assembly: GCF_000001405.40. Taxonomy (NCBI): domain Eukaryota; kingdom Metazoa; phylum Chordata; class Mammalia; order Primates; family Hominidae; genus Homo; species Homo sapiens. Next base: position 53,538,691 of record NC_000005.10, on the reverse strand, counting down.
TAAAGCAGGAGTATACAAGAAAATTATGGTACAACCCTGTAGTGGAATACTTTGTAACCATTAAAAATTAATATATGATTCTGTATTGATTCATGAAAAAATATATCCACAAGATTCTATCAGTGGAAAAGAAAGCATGTACAGAATGATCCCATTTATTTAAAATTGATTGCTAAGTATAGTACTCTGGAATAATAGTATCTGGAAAGATATTCACAAAATCAGCAGCAGTTATCCTTAGGTGTTGATATTCATATTTTGGATGCTTTCTCTTTGGCTTTTTCTGTACTGTTTTAATTTTTAAAATGAACACATGTAATTTTACAAAAATATATAGCTACAACTATTTTTAATGCATAATGAAGTAAGGAATGAAATAGCTTATGTGAAGACTAGAAGCAATTGCTATGTAGGGAACTACAGAATTTTAGGAAACACTAACAGTCCAGGTAAAATTGGAAATCACGCATTTATTTTGTCACTAATGTTAGAGATGATACGGTATTCTCCAGTAGAGCTATGTGGCTTTACATTCTATATTCTAAAAGCACTCCTTTGAATGTCATGGACCAAATCTCATGAACTCAGATTATAGAGTTTTACTATAACTGGAAGTGTAAAGAGCATGGAGAACATGATGGGTAGCAATTACTCATCAGATAGAAAGAGGAAGGAGACATTTTGTATAATGGGAGGAGAGGAGGCAAATTAGTAAGGAATGCAAGCGGAGAGAAGACAAGTATTAACTGGATCCCTGATTAGAGATTTGGTGAGCCATCATTCTGGGTCTTGGGCAATGGAGGCATGTGGCAAAATGGCAGGAAGCCCAGATAGCTTGGGAAGAATCTGAGGCCATCCAGCCTTGTACTCTGCTTTCCTGACCTATCACCATGGCTGTAGAATGGTAGGTCAGCAAAAGCAGAATGGGGATTCTAGAGAGATGGGCCTAGGATATTGTCTGCAGCCTATGACCTTTATATAGTACTTAGTGGTAGGAAGCAGAGATGCTATAAGGACTGGCAGATCAAAATGGCTTAAGTTGGAAAATTAAAGCTGGAGTTTGTGGGAAACTTACACTGGAGGCCATGGTGAGGAAGTAGTCATCAGCAGAGCTGACCATGCAGGACCAGACACTCCTTGGTAGATGCCAATGCCCACTACTGAGGAAACAGACTCATCGCCCTCCATTGGAGACAGAGGAACACCCGGAACAACACTGTCCAGTGGAAATATAATGCAAGCTACACATGTGATTTAAAATTGTCTAATAGCCACACTTAAAAAACCCAAAGAACAAAAAAAACCACACTTCATGTGCTCAGTAGCTGGATGTGACTGGTGTCTACTGTATTGGACAGCTCAGATCAAGAGAATAGCACATAGACCCATCATCATAAATACACAGAAGCTTCTCTACTCAGAAACAATGTTGGCAAGAGAGAGTGGGAGAGGAGACCCTTCCAGCAGTGAGAAATATACCTGATGGAGAGTTAAAATTATGGATTGATAACTTTCAGCTAGAGGAATCAGTTATTTTTAAATAGACATTAGGATTTTTTTTTTCAATGATCACTGGAAGTTGGAGACTTAAGAACAAGATGAGGACCAGGTGCCGTGACACACACCTGTAATCCCAGCACTTTGGGAAGCCAAGGCAGGTGGATCACCTGAGATCAGGAGTTCGACACCAGCCTGGCCAAGACGGTGAAACCCCATCTCTACTAAAAATACAAAAATTAGCCAGGCCTGCTGGTGGGCGCCTGTAATCGCAGCTACTTGGGAGGCTGAAGCAGGAGAATCACTTAAACCCAAGAGGCAGTGGTTGCAATGAGCCGAGATCATACCATTGCACTTCAGCCTGGCAGACAAGAGCAAAACTCTGTCTCCGCTCCCCCCTCAACAAAAAAACAAGATGAGATATTTAAAAATAAAGAAATATGTAATTCTTGCACACTTGAGTAAAACGGTACATTTTAACCCTCATCACAAACTTTTGAAAAATTGTCTTTTTACTGAGAGGAAACCTAGCAATTATTAAGCATATTAAGTATGTCACTGTGCCTTCCACTGTATTTAGGCATGGTTCCCTGAAGTTAAGTCAGTATTGCTTGAATCCTCCAAATGCTTGTAACCTAAAGTCAAGACTACACAACACTAGCTGTTACAAACAAGATGTGATAATTGAGAACTGGGTTTTTTGGGGTACAGGAGCTTCATAACATTTGATTTTAAACAGCATGTCAGGACTACTGCAAAGCTTTAGGAAAGTCCTTCTCTGAGCGGTTTTCATTCCTGTGTTATACCCATCAGGCTTACTCTTACTCCTCTCCCTTCACTTGTGTGTGTGTGTGTGTGTGTGTGTATGTGTGTGTGTTTAAGACTTCATTTTCTTCAGAGCAGTTTTAACAGCAAAACTGAGAGGAAGGCACAGAAATTTTCCACATACTCCCTCACCTCACACATGTATAACCTCCCCAGTAATCAACATCCCCCACTAAAGCTGTGCATTTGTTACAACCGATGAACCTACATTGACATATCACAGCCACCCAAAGTCCAAAGATTACATTAGGATTCACTTGGTTTTGTACATTCAATGGGTTTGGCTAAATGTATAATAATATGAATCTGTCATATAGTATTTTATACAGAGTATTTTCACTGCTCTCAAAGTCATCTGGGCTCTGCCTATTTATCCCTCCTCCCCCACCCTCCCTACCACCAGACAACCCCTTGCAACCACTGATCTTTTTATTGTCTCCGTAGTTTGCCTTTGCCAGAATGTCATATAGTTGGAATTATACTGTATGTAACCTTTTCAGATTGGCCCCTTATGCTTAGTAATATGTACTTAAGGTTCCTGCATGTCTTTTCATGGCTTAATAGCTAATTTCTTTTATCACCGAATAATATTCTATTGTCTGAATGTACCAGTTTGTTTATCTGTTCACTTAAGGACATCTTGGTTGTCCCCAAGTTTTCCAATTATCAATAAAGCTGCTATAAACATCTGTCTCCCCAAATCCAGAACATTGACAACACCAAATGCTGGCAAGGCTGTGGAACAATAGAAACTCTGATTTATTGCTGCTGGGAATGCCAAATGGTATACAACCACTTTGGAGACAGTGTGATAGTTTCTTATGAGACTAAACATGCTTTTACCATACGATCTTTGCAGTATGCAGTCTCCTTGGTAATTACTGAAAGGAGTTGAAAACTTATGTCTACACCAAATCTGCCTTCACATTTTATGTTCTCCTATCTAAAATATCTTCCTCCTTTCTGATACCTTATTCTATTCTGCCATAGTCTGAATATGTCTCCTCAAGTTCATGTGTTGAAAATTTAATCCCAATGCAACTAGTGTTGAGAGGTGGGGCCTTTTGGGAGATGTTTGGGTCATGAAGGCTCCACCCTCATGAATGGATTAATGCCACTACAAAAAGGGCTTGAAGGAATAAATTCTCTCTTCTACTCTTCTGCCATGTGAGGATATAATCTTCCTCCTCTCTGGAGGAACAACAAGGCACCATGTTGTAACCAGAGACCAAATCTGCTGGTGACCTGATCTTGGACTCCCCAGCCTCCAGAACTATGAGTGAATAAATTTCTGTTTTTTATAAAGAACGGTCTGTGGTATTCTGTATAACAGCACAAAATGGACTAAAACATATCTATATTTCAAGAACAAGTTTAACTTCCATCCTGGTTGTAAACTGTGCCTGGCCTCATTCAATTTAAATAGAACTTACTGTGTGTTTCACATTAAATGGCTAGACTTTGAGCGATATACTCTTTTGCTTAATTTTCCAGTTGCTTTATTTAGTGTCTTATCTCACCAGTGAATTCATGCTCTATTCATGGGAAAAAAAACTCTTATTTTCTTTATTTACCTAACACATTCAGTGAAGTGCTAACCTTGGGATTAATCCTCAGAAACTACTTTTTGCTTCAATTGAATCAACTAAGTAGTCTGTAATGATTCAATTTGAAGATTAAAGTAGCCAAATGTAGCCATTTTAATGTAGTCATTTTGTTAGCACAGGGTTGCTTTTATAGAAAGGGGAGTCCAAACTGCAAATAGGTAATCACATGGAATTACATTCTGAACGCTGTATTGACGATTTTGATTTTATCTTCTTCAAATATTCTATGGCCAAGAAGTATTCCTGACCTTATGTTTTCCAACCACTGTTCATAAAACTGTTGATCATTTCTTGGCTGTAGTGAGGTGAAAGGATGATCACCATTTCTAAATACACTATATTTGCCATTTATTACTTCCGTTTATTCCTAGAAGATGCTCACCCTCCTCAAGCACTTTAACATAGAAAATTATTTTCATAGTTGATTCTTTTGGAGCACCTTCACTTCTGTAATACAACATGCACATCTTTTATCAATGACTATGTGCTGAAACTATTCACCAAAACATGAAATAAAGACTCCCATCTTTTTGGCTTCACTTTTACCATGCTCACGTAAAGAAACAAATTGATGTGTCCACTCAAATTGAGGCAAAATCAGTATGGTATGTGATTATGTACTAGTAGTTGAATTATCAGGAGAAAACCTACCAAAGCAGTATTCTGTGTTTTACACACACACACACACACATACACACACACACACACACACACACACACACAGTTTTTTTTTTTTTTGAGATGGAGTCTCGCTCTGTCGCCCAGGCTGGAGTGCAGTGGCGCGATCTCGGCTCACTGCAAGCTCCGCCTCCCGGGTTCACGCCATTTTCCTGCTTCAGCCTCCCGAGTAGCCGGGACTACAGGCGCACGCCACCACACCCAGCTAATTTTTTTTTTTTTTTTGTAGTTTTAGTAGAGACAGGGTTTCACCATGTTAGCCAGGATGGTTTTGATCTCCTGACCTCATGATCTGCCTGCCTCTGCCTCCCAAAGTGCTGGGATTACAGGCGTGAGCCACCGTGCCTGGCCACAGTTTTAATATAAAATACTTGAAAAGCAAGAGCAGTATAATACATCAGTACTATTCAAAGTAGTGTTCAAAGAGGTATGCTTCTAGTACTTCGTGGAGTAATTTTAGTGCTCCTGGCACATTATATTAGGCTGGTGCAAAGGTAATTGTGGTTTTTACCATTGGAGGTAATGGCAAAACCTCCAATTACTTTTGCACTTACCTAATAAGACAATAAACATCTAAATAAGGTTATAGCCTCAGTTTTGATTTTTTTGGATTACTTTACAAAACCTTGAGCTTATAGCTTATTTTTAATTATAGTGCTTTAACATTTGTCAGACATATGGCTTTTACTCTTGTCTTCCTATCTGGAGAATTTCAATATTGATATTCTGTTGTTTAAACCACCTTTATGCTCCTCAGTTTCTGCTGAAATAATAATTCTTTGACCCAAAAGCCTTCTTTACTTTTGTTAAAGTGTTTAGTTCAAAAGGCATTTTGCTTGTTCACATAGACTAATTTAGTAATTGTGATTTTTATAATCTAAAAATTTAGAATATTACTTCTTAGAGGTTTCAAGGGATGATTTAAAATGGATACTTTTCTTATGTGTGGGTCTAATGATGATGAAATTATGAGAATTAGTGGATTAGGCAGGAATACAGTAATTCTTAGGGGTGAAGAATTATATACAAAAATCTATGTAATGGTGAATTATGTCAAAACTGAGTGCAGTTAGTCATTTCACAAATATCTATTGAGGGCTTGCTATATACTGGACACCATCTTAGGTAGTGAATGAGCTGTAATGAACAACATAGACATTCTTCATAAACTTGGAAGTTTAGAATCCAGCAGTTACTAATATATTGATAATACAATGGATGAGATGAACTTACTCTCTCACATGACCAGAGGTTTGCTGATGTAAGCAGTGTTCCTTAGAGTGATAAAAAATAAGACATTGATTTAAGTTCTTTTATATTTCGTATTATATAAAAGGAATTCATGGAATGGATCAGATTTTACAACCCATAATATTTAGCTCCACCACAAAGGAAGCATAAAATTTAAAGTTCTTGACTGGTTTAGGTGTTTAAAGTGCAGACTGATGGCTTGAACCTTTGACTGAATTTCTTTTCAGCCAAATAAGGTTTTATAATGGATGAATCCTTTTCGTAAAGCTGTCAAAATTAGACTTAGGGAAAGTGCATCCTCTTTGTTATATCTATCTCATCCTTTACACATTTGCAGAAATGTGAGACAATTTTTTTTTTTTTTTTTTTTGAGATAGAGTCTTGCTCTGTCACCAGACTGGAGTGCAGTGGCACAATCTCGGCTCACTGCAACCTCTGCCTCCCGGGTTCAAGCGATTTTTCTGCCTCAGCCTCTGTAGTAGCTGGTACTATAGGCGCGTGCCACCATGCCCGCTTTTTGTGTTTTTAGTAGAGATGGGGTTTCACCATGTTGGCCAGGATGGTCTCCCTGACCTCGTGATCCACCCATCTTGGCCTCTCAAAGTGCTGGGACTGCAGGCGTGAGCCACCATGCCTGACCCTTGGTTTTTTTTTTTTTTTTGAGACGAAGTCTCACTCTGTAGCGCAGGCTGGAGTGCAGTGGCATGATCTTAGCTCACTGCAATCTCTGCCTTCTGGGTTCAAGCAACTCTCGTGTCTCAGCCTCCAGCTACTCGGGAGGTGCCTGCCACCGTGTGCAGCTAATTTTTGTATTTTTAGTAGAGATAGAGTTTTGTCATGTTGGCCAGGCTGGTCTGGAACTCCTGACCTCAGGTGATCCACCCGCCTCAGCCTCCCAAAGTGCTGGGGTTACAGGCATGAGCCACAGCGCCCAGCCACAAATTTTTAAGTATTGAAAAAATATGAGATTTGAAAAATGTTTTGATTCTTCATCTGATATAGTAGTAGAAGTGAACTATTAAGACTAGGGTCAACTATGAGGTTGGGGGTCATATTATGTTCATAGAAGTATCTCATACAATTATTATGTTCATACAAGATAACAAGTATCTCACAAAAATGTTGCAAGTTGTATAAACTCTTTTGTAGTTCAGATAAAACTCTGTGAATATGACTTTCACCTGAATCTGAAGCATATTGCAAATCAGCATAGAGAAGTGAAACTTGAATAAATTTAAACATTTAGAGGTTTTTTTTTTTTTTTGAGACAGAGTTTTGTTCTGTCATCCAGGCTGGAGTGCAGTGGCACGATCTCGGCTCATTGCAAGCTCCACCTCCCGGGTTCACGCCATTCTCCTGCCTCAGTCTCTCGAGTAGCTGGGACTACAGGCGCCCGCCATCACGCCCGGCTAATTTTTTGTATTTTTAGTAGAGATGGGGTTTCACCGTGTTAGCCAGGATGGTCTCAATCTCCTGACTTTGTGATCCACCGGCCTCGGCCCCCCAAAGTGCTGGGATTACAGGCGTGAGCCACCGCACCCAGCCTAAACATTTAGAGTTTTCAAAATAAAATCACCCCTCTTTGCAGAAAGCAAGCATTGCTTTGAAGTCTTTTTTTTAAGTGTGCTCCATGTAGAATAAAAACTCTTAAAAAAGGAAGCCAAATGGAATGAATATCAGTAAATAGTGAAAAATAAATATCTGGAAAAATGGTTGATTAGGAAGCATCAGAAATCTGTTTTCCTACCTAGATAACAATTGCACTGGCAGAATCTGTCTGATGTAACTCTTTTGGAACTCTGGAGTCGATTGAGGGCTTGCAACCTCCAGGGGAAGGCTTGGTCCATAAATTGTAGTTAATTTCAGGCAATTCCAGCTCTTACTATAGTAGCAGCTACCCATCCTTCATCCCCAAATGGAGGCAGGCAATTGTGCACACGTTCATGAAGCAACCTAAGCATACCTTGTGGGAGCCAGAGTAGGCAAAAAGAACCATATCCTCCAAATATTAGGAATCTGTGTCCTGATCATGGACTGCATCTTATGATCACAGATTCAGACAGAGTTGGGCTGCCATTGATGTTACACCTGCCCCCATTGCTGCAAGCCTCTCTCCCTGCAGCTGAAGTGACTGCCAGGAGATTTAAAGGAACTGTGCTCCTTTTACCTCTTTCTCTCTTTCTTTCTTTTTTCTTTTTTTTTTTTTTTGAGATGGAGTCTCACTCTGTCACCTAGGCTGGAGTGCAGTGGAGCGATCTGGGCTCACTGCAACTTCCGCCTCCCTGGTTCAAGCAATTCCTCTGCCTCAGCCTCCTGATTAGCTGGGATTACAGGCACACACCATCACGTCTGGCTAATTTTTTTTGTATTTTTAGTAGAGACGGGGTTTCACCATGTTGGCCAGACTGGTCTCAAACTCCTGACCTCAGGCAATCTGCCTGCCTTGGCCTCCCAAAGTGCTGAGATTACAGGCGTGAGCCACTGTGCCCGGCCTCTTTCTTTCATTTTATAAAATTTTTTGACACCTCCCCATCCACCTTTATTTCTATCATTTTCTACTTCTAGCAGCCAGACATTAAAGACAAGCAGATTAAGACCAGGCATAGTAGCTCATGCCTGTAATCTCAGTACTTTCGGAGACTGAGGTGGGTGGATCACTTGAGGTCAGGAGTTCAAGACCAGCCTGGCCAACATGGCAAAACTTTGTCTCTACTAAAAATACAAAAATTAGCTGGGAATGGTGGTGTGTGTAGGTAGTTCCAGCTACTTGAGAGGATGAGGCAGAAGAATTGCTTGAACCCAGGAGGTGCAGGTTGCAGTGAGCTGAGATCATGCCACTGCACTCCAGCCTGGGCAACAGAGTGAGACTGTCTCAAAAATAAAAACAAAAACAAGGACATTCAAAATCAACTGTATTCATGGGGTAAATTAGAAAGTACCTGTGCATACCCAGAGAATGGCACAGGCTCATAAAATACCTCCAGTTTATAACTCAGGCTGATCCTTGGCACAGAGACAGCAGACAGCAGACAGCAACAAAACAAAAACAATAGCAAAAATAATAACAAAAAGTAGCAAACTCTGGGGAAAGGGGAAAATCTGATTTCTAGAGTTATCATATTATTAGATTCCAGTATTCACTTTTCAACAAAACATCACAAGGCATACAAAGAAACAAGAAACTATTCAGAGGAAAAAATATAAATCAACAGAAACTGTCTGTGAAGAGGGCCTGATGGAAGATCTTCTGGATGAAGACTTTAATACAATATCTTAAAGATGCTCAAAAAAACAAAAGAAGATCTGGTAAAAATCAAGAAAGCCATATATGTAATATAAATATTAATAAAGAGATAAAAAACTTAAAACCAAAATGAAACTCTGAGCTGAAAAGTACAATAACTAAAATGAAAGATACATTAGAGGGGCTGGGCACAGTGGCTCACACCTGTAATCCCAGCACTTTGGGAGGCTGAGGTGGGTGGATCATTTGAGGTCAGGAGTTTGAGACCAGCCTGGTCAACATGGTGAAACCTATCTCTAGTAAAAATACAAAAACTAGCTGGGTGTGGGGGCAGGCACCTGTAATCCCAGCTACTTAGAAGGCTGAGGCAGGAGAATTGCTTGACCCCAAGAGGCAGAGGTTACAGTGAGCTGAGATCATGACACTGCATTCCAGCCTGGGTGACAGAGTGAGACTTCATCTCAAAAAACAAAAACAAAACATTAGAGGGATTCAAAGGCAGATTTGAGGAGGGAGAAGAAAAAAAATAGTGAGTTTGAATATAAGACTGTGAAAATGTTCAAGTCTGAGAAAAAGAAATATTGAAGAAAAGTGAGCAGGGCTGGGAGCAGTGGCTGATACCTGTAATCCCAGCACTTTGGGAAGCCAAGGCGGGTGGATTTTATGAGCTCAGGAGTTCGAGACCAGCCTGACCAGCATGGTGAAACCCTGTCTCTACTAAAAATACAAAAATTAGCTGGGCATGATGACACATGTCTGTCTGTAATCCCAGCTACTTGGGAGGGTGAGATAGGAGACTCACTTGCCCAGAAGGCGGAGGTTGCAGTGAGCAGAGATTGTGCCATTGCACTCCAGCCTGGGCAACAAGAGTGAAACTCCATCTCAAAAAAAAAAAAAAAAGAATAGAAAAGTGAACAGAACCCAAAGATTTGTGGAATACCATTAGGCAGATCAATGTATGCATTGTGGGATTCCAAGAAGGATAAGAAAAAGAAGCCAAACACATATTTGAAGAAATAATGGCTGAAAACTTACCAAATTTGGTGAAACTCATGAATATAAACATCCAAGAAGCTCAATGAATTCCAAATAAAATGAACCCAGATATGGACAAAGGCACATTATAATCAAACTTTTTAAAGAGAAAGGCAGAAGATAAGTAAGAGAAGAGACGACTTCACAAATCTACTAGATGTAACAGATGTATACAGAACATTCTACCCAACAACACAGGATAAACCTCAAGTGCACATGGAATATTTTCCAGAATAGACTGTATGTTAAACCACAAGTTAAGTCTTTTTTTTTTTTTTTTTTTTTTTGTGAGACGGAGTCTCACTCTGTCGCCCACGCTGGAGTGCAGTGGCACGATCTTGGCTCACTGCAAGCTCTGCCCCCCAGGTTCACGCCATTCTCCTGCCTCAGCCTCCCAAGTAGCTGGGACTACAGGCGCCCGCCACTACGCCCAGCTAATCTTTTATATTTTTAGTAGAGACGGGGTTTCACCTGTGTTAGCCAGGATGATCTCGATCTCCTGACCTCGTGATCCACCCGCTTTGGCCTCCCAAAGTGCTGGGATTACAGGCGTGAGCCACCACGCCCGGCCAACAAGTTAAATCTTAATTGATTTAAAATGAAAGATACCATACAAAGCATTTTCTCTGTCCGAAACAGGTTAAAATTAGAAATCCCTAACAGAAGTAAAACCAGAGTATACACAGATGTTAAAGCATTTATCAAAGAAGATATCACGAAGGACATTAGAAGGTATGTAGTCTTCAGTAAAGTTTCAGGGTTTAAAATCAATGTACAGAAATCAGTAGCATTTCTATACATCAATAACTTTCAAACTGAAAGCCAAATCACTAACACAACTGCTTTTAAAATAGCCACAAAAAATACTAAGGAATATATATAGCCAAGGAGGTGAAAGATCTCTACAAGGAGAACTACAAAGCACTGCTGAAAAAAAAATCATAGATGACACAAACAAATGAAAAAACATTCCATGTTCATGGATTGGAAGAATAAATATCATTAAAATGGCCATATTGCCCAAAGCAATCTACAGATGCAATGTTATTCATACCACACTACCAATGTCATTTTACACAGAATTGGAAAAAAATGTTCTAAAATTTCTATTGAATCAAAAAAGAGCCTGAATAGCCAGCACAATCCTAATCCAAAACAACAAAGCCAGAGGCATCACATTATTCAGCTTCAAACTATAAGGCTATAGTGACCAAAATAGTATGGTACTGGTGCAAAAACAGACACGTAGACCAATGAAACAGAACAGAAGACCCAGAAATAAAGGTGCAGACCTGCAACCATCTGATTTTTTGACAAAGCTGATAGTAACAAACAATGCAAAAAAACTCCTTATTCACTAAGTGATACTGGGATAATTGACTAGCCATAAGCAGAACACTGAAGCTGGACCTCTATCTTTCACCATATACAAAAATCAATGCGGGCCGGGCGTGGTAGTTCATGCCTATAATCCCAGCACTTTGGGAGGCCAAGGTGGGCAGATCACCTGAGGTCAGGAGTTCGAGACCAGCCTAACCAACATGGAGAAACCCCATCTCTACTAAAAATACAAAACTAGCTGGGCATGGTGGTGCATGTCTGTAATCCCAGCTACTCGGGAGCCTGAGGCAGGAGAATCACTTGAACCAGGGAGGTGGAGGTTGCGGTGAGCCGAGATCACCCCATCACACTCCAGCCTGGGCAACAAGAACAAAACTCCATCTCAAAAAAAAAAAAAAAATTAATGCAAGATGGATTGAAGACTTAAATGTAAAACTTAAAACTATAAAGACTCTAGAAGAAAACCTAGGAAATAACATTCTGAACATTGGCTCTGGCAAAAACTTTATGACAAAGACTCCAAAGCAATTGCAACAAAAACAAAAATTGACAAGTGGAACTTAATTAATCTAAAGAGTTCTACACAGCAAAAGATCAACAGAATAAACAGACAAACTATAGAATGGGAGAAAATATTTTCAAACAATGCATCTGAAAAAGGTCTAATATTCAAAATCTAGAAGGAACTTAAGCACATCAAGAAGCAAATAATAAACTTCTTCATTTAAAAATGGGCAAAGGACATGAACAGACACTTCTTAAAAGAAGACATGCATGCAGCCAAAGATTATATGAAAAAATGTTCCACATTACTAATCATCAGAGAAATACAAAATAAAACCACAATGAGATAGCATCTCACACCAGTCAGAACGGCCATTATTAAAATGTCAAAAAACAAAAGATGCTGGTGAGGCTTGCAGAGAAAAAAGAATGCTTCAACACTGCTGGTGGGAGTGTAAATTAATTCAGCCACTTGGGAAAGCAGTCTGGAGATTTCTTAAATATCTGAAAACAAAACGATCAGCAATCCCATTACTGCCTATATATCCAAAAGAAAACAAATCATCCTCCAAAAAGATACATGCACTTGTATATTCATTGCAGCATTATTCACAATAGCAAAGACGTGGAATCAATCTAGGTACCCATCAATGGTAGATTGGATAAAGAAAATGTACATGTACACCATGGAATACTAGGCAGCCAGAAAAAAGAATGAAATCATGTCCTTTGTGGCAACATGGATACAACTGGAGGCCATTATCCTAAGTGAATTGATGCAGGAACAGAAACCCAATATCGCATGTTCTCACTTTTAAGTGGGAGCTAATCACTGGATACACATGGCAGTAAAGATGACAACAATAGAAACTGTGGACTATTAGAAGGGACAGTGAGGGAGGGAGGGAACGGGTTGAAAAAATATTGAGTAGTATGCCCACTACCTGGGTGATGGGATGAATCATCTCCCAAACCTTGGCTTCACACAATATGCTCATGTAACAAAACTGCACATGTATCCCCTGAATCTAAAATAAAAGTTGAAAAAATACTACTAGAAAAAATTAACCAATACAAATTAAATTAAATTAAAAAAGAAAATTTTTAGATACACATGAAGATGAAAATGCAACATACCAAAATTTATGGGATTCAGTGAAAGCAGTGTGAAAGGAAAAACTTAGAACCATAAAGACTTACATTAAAAGATAAGTAGAATCTCAAATCAGCAATCTAACTTTACATCCTAAGGAACTGGAAAAAGGGCAAACAAAACCCAAGGGTAGCAGAGAAAAAGACATAATAAAGATTAGAGCAAGATAATAGAGAATAGAAAAACAATAAAGAAAAATCAATGACCAAAAGTTGGTTCTTTGAAAAAATCAACACAATTGACAAACCTTTAGCTAATTGAACTAAGCAGAAGAGAAAGAGGCCTCAAATTGTAAAATCAGAAATGAAAGTGGGATATTACTTATTCTCCAGAAATAAAGAAGATTATAAGAGAGCAATTATATGACAACAAATTGCAGAACTTAGATGAAATGGACAATTTTTAAGAAACACAAAACCTGCTAAGTCTAAAAAACAAAGATATAGAACATTTTAATAGACCTATAAGTAAATATGTAAGTAAGGAAAGGAAAGCAAGAGAAGAAAATGAATTAGTAATCAAAAATCTGACAAGGGAAAGTCCTGGATCTCAGGGCTTCACTGGTGAATTTTACCAAACATTTAAAGAGCTAATACCAATTCTTCTCATACTATTTCAAAAAATTGAAGAGGAGGGAACACTTTCCAACTCATACTGTGAGGCCAACATTACCCTGATACCAAAGCCAAAAACACTACAGCAGAACAAAACGGCAGACCAATATCCCTTATGAACATTGATGCAAAAAGTTTCAACAACATACTTGCAAAATTGAATTCAGCAGCAAATTGCAAGGATTATCCACCATGACCAAATTGATTTATAGCTGAAATGCAAGAGTGTTTCACATATGGAAATCAATCAATATAATACGACACACCAACCGAATGAAAAAAATAAAAACACACCTGATAACCCCAATTGTTGCAGAAAAAGCAGTCACAGTATTCATATATTTTCATAATAAAAACACTCAACAAACCAAGAAGAGAAGGACATTACCTCAACATCATAAAAGCCATATATGGAAACACACAGCAAATATTGTACTCAATGGTGAAAGATGGAAAGCTTGGCCAGGTACGGTGGCTCACGCCTATAATCTCAGCACTTTGGGAGGCCAACGGGGTGCGGATCACGAGGTCAGGAGTAAGAGACAAGTCTGGCTAACATGGCGAAACCCTGTCTCTACTAAAAATACAAAAATTAGCCAGATGTGCTGGCAGGCATCCATAATCTCAGCTACTCAGGAGGCTGAGGCAGGAGAATTGCTTGAACCCGGGAGGCGAAGGTTGCAGTGAGCTGAGATGGTGCCACTACACTCCAGCCTGGGTGACAGAGGAAGACCCCATCTCAAAAAAAAAAAAAAATAATAAATAAAAAAAAAGAAAGAAAAAAGACTGAAAGCTTTTCCTTTAAAATCATGAACAAGGCAAGGATGCCTGTTTCTACCACTTCTATTCAATATAGTACTGGAAGTTCTAGCCAGAGCAGTTAGGCAAAATATAGAAATAGAAGGTATGCACATTGGAAAGGAGGAAGTAAAATAATCTCTGTTCACTGGTGATAAAACATTATGTGATAAAACCCTAAAGATTACACAAAAACCCTGTTAGAATGAATAAATGAATTCAGCAAAGTGCAGTACAAAGTCAATGCACAATAAATCAGTTGTATTTCTATATACAATTAGCAGTCTCAAAAGAATGTAATAAAAATAGTTTCATTTCAAATAGCACGGAAAATAATGAAATAAAAATTATCCTAACCAAGGAGGTGAAGAACTTGTATAATGACAATTTTAAGACAAAAATTAAAGAAATTCTAAGACACAAATAAATAGAAATACATTACATGTTTATGAATTGGAAGGCTAACTATTGTTAAGATGTCAATACTACCCAAAGCAATCCACAAATTCAATAAAATTCTTACCAAAATCCCAATATATAAATATATTATATATACATATGTACATATAATATATTTATATAAATATATGTAATATATTTATATGTATTATATGTATATATTACATATATATTATATTAGATATAATATATTATATAATATACAATATATACATATATTATATAAATATATAATATATACATATACTATATAAATATATAATATACATATATTATATTAATATATAATTATATATTAATATATTATATATACATATATATCATATATACATATATAAATATATTATATGTACATATATCATATATACATATATTATATATATATTTTATATATACACATATAGTTTATATAGATACATATATATTATATATATATGCAGAAATAGAACAACTAATTCTAAAATTCCTATGGAACCTTAAGGGATCTTAAATAGTCAAAAGCAATCTTGAAAATGAAGAACAAAGCTAGAGGACTCACATTTCCTGATTTCAAAAATTACTACAAAGCTACAGTAATCAAAACAGTGTGGTACTGACACAAAGACAGACATATAGACAAATGGAATAAAATAGACAGCACAGAAATAAACCCTTGCATGTGTAGTCCAATGATTCTTGACAAAAATGGCAAGACCATTCAATGGGGAAAGGATTCTTTTCAACAAAAGAGTCTGAGGAAACTGAATATTTATATGTGATAGCATGAAGTTAGACCCTTACCTAACACCATGTACAAAAATTAACTCAAAATGGATCAAAGACCTAAATGTAAAATCTAAAACATTTAGCAGAAAAGAAAAAAAGCTTCTTGACTTTGGATTTAGCAATGATTTCTTGGATATGACACCAAAGACATAGGCAACACACAAAAAGAATAGACAAATTGGACTTCACAAAAATGAAAAAGATTTGTGCACAAAAAGACAGTATCAATAATATAAAAAGGCAAATCACTGAATAGTAGAATATATTTGCAAATCATATCTCTGACAAGGGATTAATATCCAGAATATATAAAGAACTTCTGAAAAACAAATAACCTGATTCAAAACTGAGCAAATGACAAATACATATTTTTCCAAAGAAGACATACCAAAAGCCAATAAGCACATGACAAGGTGTTCAACATCACTAATGATTAGGAAAATGAAAGTCAAAACTACAATCAGATACCCCTCACACCCACTAGGATGGCTACTATTAAAAAATAGAAAGTAACAAGTATTGGCAAAGATGTGGAGAAATTGGAACCCTTGTGTACTGTTGTTAGGAACAATGTAAAATGGTACAGCTGCTGTGGAAAACACTACAACAATTCCTCCAAAATTAAAAACAGAATTACCATATGATCAGGCAATCCAACTTCTGAGTATATATTTAAGATTTGAAAGCAGTCTGGAAGATATATCCATACACTCATGTTCATAACAACACTATTCACAATAGCTAAAACATGGTAGCAACCCAAGTGTCTATTTTTTAAAAATTTTAAGTTATTTAAAAAATCTTTTTGGCTGGGCATGGTGTCTCATGCCTGTAATCTCAGCACTTTGGGAGGCCGAGGTGGATGGCTCCCCTGAGCCCAGGAGTTTGAGACTAGCCTGGCCAACGTGGCAAAACCCTGTCTCCACTAAAAATACAGAAATTAGTGGGGCACGGTGGCATGAGCCTGTAGTCCCAGCTACTCGGCAGGCTGAGGTGGGAGAATTGCTTGAACCTGGGAGGCAGAGGTGGCAGTGAGCTGAAATCATGCCACCGCACTCCAGCTTAGGCAACAGAGTGAGACTCCATGTCAGAAAAAAAAAAAATTTGTGGGCACACAAGTGCCTATGGATGGATGAATAAAAAAGCAAAATGTGGAATGAAATATCATTCAGCCTTAAAAAGGAGGTAATTCTCTTTTGTTCTTTCCTGTTTTTAGTTTAAGTTCAAGGGGTACTTGTACTGGCTTGTTGATATAATTTGGCTGTGTCCCCACCCAAATCTCATGTTGAATTGTGGTTCCCATAATCTCCACATATTGTGGGAGGGAGTTGGTGGGAGATAATGAATATAATGAGGGTGGTTTCCCCCATCCCGTTCTTGCGATAGTAAGTTAGTTCTCATGAGATCTGATGGTTTTATAAGGGGCTTTTCCCTCTTTTGCTTAGCACTTCTCCTTGCTGCCATCAAGTGAAGTAGAGTGTGTTTGCTTCCCATTCTGCCATGATTGTAAGTTTCCTGAGGCCTCCTCAGTCATGCTGAATGGTGAGACAATTAAACCTCTTTCCTTTATAAATTACCCAGTATCAGGTATGCCTTTATTAGCAACATGAGAATGGACTAATACATTTGTTACATGAGTAAATTGCATGTTGCGGGGGTTTAGTGTACAGATAATTTTGTCACCTAGGTATCAGCATAATATCCATACTTAGTTTTTCAATCCTAACCCTCCTTCCATCCTCTACCCTCAAGTAGGCCCCAGTGTCTTTTGTTCCTTTCTTTGTGTCCATGTATGCTCAATGTTTAGATCTCACTTATAAGTGAGAACATGCAGTGTTTGCTTGACTGTTCCTGCTTTAATCTGCTTAGAAGAATGGCTTCCAACTTCATCCATGTTGCTGCAAAGGACATAACCTTATTCTTTTTTATGGCTGTGTAGTATTCCCTAGTGTATATGTATCACATTTTCTTCATTCAGTCCACTGTTGATTGGCATCTAGGTTGATTCCTTGTCTTTGCTATTGTAAATAGTACTGAGAAGAATATATGCATGCATGTATCTTTACAGTAGAATACTTTATGTTTCTTTGGGTATTTACCCAGTAATGGGATTGCTGGGCCAAGTGGTAGTTCTATTTTAAATTCTTTGTGAAATCTCCGGACTGCTTTCCACAGTGGCTGAATTAATTTACATTCCCACCAGCAGTGTATAAGCATTCTCTCTTCTCTGCAGCCTCACCAGCATCTTTTGTTTTTTGACATTTTAATAGAAGCCATTCTGACTGGTGTGAAACGCTATCTCATTGTGTTTTTCTTTTGTAATTCTCTGATGATTAGTGATGTGGAACATTTTTTCATGCGCTCTTTGGCTGTGTGTATGTCTTCTTTTGAGAAGTGTCTGTTCATGTTCTTTGCCCATTTTTAAATGGGGATGTTTAATTTTGCTTCTTGATTTAAGTTCCTTATAGATTTTAAATATTAGAACTTTTTCAGATGCAATTATTTGCAAATATTTTCTCCTATTCTGTAGGTTGTCTGTTTACTCTGTTGATAGTGTCTTTTGCTGTGCAGAAGCTCTTTAGATTAATTACGTTCCACTTGTCAATTTTTGCTTTTGTTGCAATTGCTTTGAAATCTTTGTCACAAAGTTTTTGCCAGAGCCAATGTTCAGAATGTTATTTCCTAGGTTTTCTTCTAGAGTCTTTATAGTTTTAAGTTTTACATTTAAGTCTTTTATCCATCTTGCATTGATTTTTGTGTATGGTGAAAAGTAGGGATCTAGTTTCAACCATCTGCATAAGGCTAGTCAGTTATCCCAGTATATTTATTGAACAGGGAGTCCTTTTCTTGCTGTTTGTTACTACCAGCTTTGTCAAAAATCAGAAGCTTGTAGGTGCGCACCTTTATTTCTGGGTCTTCTGTTCTGTTCCATTGGTCTATGTGTCTGTTTTCATACCAGTAACATGCTATTTTGGTTACTGTAGCCTTAAGTCAGGTAGTGTGATACCTCTAGTTTTGTTCTTTTTGCTTAGGATTGCTTTGGCTATTTGAGCTCTTTTTTGGTTCCAAATGAATTTTAGAATGTTTCTTTCTAATTCTGTGGGAAGTGACATTGATAGTTTGATATGAATAGCATTGAATCTGTAAATTGCTTTGGGCAGTATGGCCAAAAAAGTGTAGGAAATTTTGACATATGCTACAACACACATGAAACTTGAGGACATTATGGCAAGTGAAATAAGCCAGTCCCCAAAAGACAAATAATCTATAATTCCCCTTATATGAAGAACTTAGAGTAGTTCAAATTATAGAGGCAGAAAATAAAATGGTGGTTGCCATGGGCTGGAGGGGTGGAGGAATGTGGAGTTATTATTTAATAGATATAGAGTTTCAGTTTAACAAGATGAAAAGAGTTATGGAGATGGATGGTGGTAATGGTTGCACAACATTTTGAATGTATTTAATACTACTGAATTGTATACTTGAAAATGGTTAAGATAGTTGCTGGGGTCTGCTAAAGTCTCTCAAAATTCATGTGCTGAAACTTAATCCCCATTGTGGTGGTATTAAGAGGTGAGCCTTTGGGGAAGTGATTAAGTCATGAGGGCTTTGCCCTCATAAATGGATTAGCGTCTTATAAAAGGACTGGAGGGAACTAGCTTAGTTCCTCTTACCCTTCCATTTCTTCTGCCATGTGAGAACACAGCATCTGTGCCCTCCTGAGAATACAGTACCACGGCACCATCTTGGAAGCAGAACAAGCAACTCTCACCAGACACCAAACCTGCTTGTGTCTTGATTTTGGGCATCCCAGACTTCAAAACTGTGCAAAATAAATTTCTATCACATGTAAATAACACAGTTTGTGGTATTTTGTTGTAACAACATGAACAGACTAACACAATGATAAATTTTATGTTATGTATAGTTACCACAATACAAAATTTGAATAAGAAAAGAACATCAATTGTTTGTGTTCACTAAAGTCAAGAGGATCATCTGAGTCTAGTAAGCAATGGTCTCCAGTCAATAAAAATAAAATGGGCATGTTTATGACAGACCCTTGGGGGGCAAGGAAACACAAAGGAGAATAATGAGAATTTACGAAGAAGATCTCACTTTTTAATATATCTACCTCGTTTCCACTTTCTCTGAAGAGAACAACAGAGAAGTTCCTTGAGCATTTTAGAGCATGATTGGCATAGGGAACAGCAATCTCCCCATAGTGAGACCACAGGGAGGTGGCAAGGTTTCCTCAAATAACCAAAAGCACGGCCCACAGTGGTTGAATGGGTGACAGAAGCCAACAAGAAGAAGCTACCTCCCTGGGCTAAATCACTTTAATCTTTAATGGAACCATAGTAATGCTCTCTAACTGGCCATGTCACTCATCTTTCCTCTTCCTCAATTGATTCACCACAAAGCTGACAGAAAAATGTTTTAAAATTAAAATCTGATGATATCCTTGTCCTGCCTGAACACTTCAGTGGTTTCCAATTGCACGTCAGATAAAATGTAAAATCCTGTTTCTGAAGGATCTGGCCCTGCTTAAGTCTGAGGTTCATTTTCTACCTTTCTCTTCTTCCCTCATTGAGTTTCAAACTCAATGGTTCACCTACTTTTTCTCAAATAAACTGAACTCTTTGATCCCTCACAGTATTATCACAAGGTTTTTCTGTATGTCTGAGAAAATCTTCATCACTACCCCCAGTCTGACCCAGGCCACTGTTGTCTGATTGGTTCTTCCTCAACCTCCAAGTCTGAACTTCAGTGGCTCTCCAGTCTAGGTTAGGTTATATGTTATTACAGTATCCTATACTTTGTCTTTACACATATTACTTGTTTAAATAAAATTACTCAGACCAATAGCAAGTTAAATAGAAATATGATTTATTATGTATTTATTATTGTCTATCTTTCTCCATGAGGGCAGAGACTGTGTCTATCTTGTTTATTTCTGAATTCTATGTACATTGTCCCTGACTCATAGTTGGTGCCTCATAAATACCTGTGAAATGTAAATGCAGACATGACAGGGATCAGTGGAAAATCTTGTCATTGTCTTCATGTTTTGTCTGAACCAGGACACAGCTTTTTGTTTTAGGTACCAAACTTTAAGTCTAAATTATCTAAGAAATAATTAATGTTGTAGATTTTACCAAATACTTCTTGGGGAGGTGAAGAGGAAAATGACATCACACACACCACATAGTAAATCTTAATTTAAAAATCTCTGTTAAACATCTCTGTTCTTCCCCTCAAAGTTCCTTTTTGACTTGTTGTCTTCCCCTTGACCCTCCAGACAGCCTCTCCAGCTTTACAGATCTTAGTCTTCACCACCCTGGTCACCATACCAAGAAAGGCTCTCTCTATTTTTTTTTCTTATGTACAACATTTTAGCTTTCATCTTTGTACTAGGTTGCTAGGACTGCCATAACAAACTATCACAAAGTTCGTGGCTTAAAGAACAGAAATTTATTATTTCATAGTTTTGGAAGCAAGAAGCCCAAGAACAAAGTATTGGCAAGGTTGGTTCCTTCTGTGGGCTGAGGGAAAAAAAAAAAAAAAAAACTCTTTTGTAATAAACTACCATTCAACTCAGAAATCCTATTACTGGCTATATATCCAAAATAAAATAAATCATTCTACCAAAAAGACATGTGTACTCATATAATCATTGCAGCACTATCCACAATAGCAAAGATATGGAATCAACCTAGTTGGCCATTAATGGTGAACTGGATACAGAAAATATAGTATATATACACCATGGAATACTAGACAACCATAAAAAAGAGAATAAAATAATGTCGCTTGCAGCAACATGGATACAGCTGGAGGTCATTATCCTAAGTGAATTAATGCAAAATACTGCAAGTTCTCGCTTACAAGTGGGAGCTAAACTTTGGGTACTCATGGACATAAAGATGGCAACAATAGACACTGAAGACCACTAGAAACGGAAGGGAGGGTGGAGGGCAAGGGCTGAAAAACTCACTATGGGGTACTATGCTCACTGTCTGGGTGATGGATCATTCATATCCTGAAACTCAGCGTCCATGTAAAAAATCCGCACATATACTCCCTGAATCTAAACGTTGAAATTATTTTTTAAAAACTTAAAAAGTTTAAAAAAGAAAGTATCTCTTTGTACAATTGTGTATAATTAAATTTGGATTCTTCTGCTGATTTGCATTGCTTTGTGAAGTTACAAATTGCAAACATGTTAATTGCCCACCTTGCAAATAAGAATGTTTGTAAGATTATCTTATATAATAATTTCTCAAATTTTTTTTCACTTTAAACATTTACATAATTTGAATATTTGGATCACTTCATTTCATTCATATCATTTTTGTTAATTTGTCATCCCCTCCTTTTGAATGTGCATAAGGAAGAAATGCTTACTTTTTAAAAAAGGGTAAATATTGCACTAAATAGCCTTGCTTTTGTCTTTATTTTTCCTGCCATGGTAGCAAATGTCACACTTTTATAACTTTCATACATTTATGAAGAAATTCTGAATAAAATATGCTTCGTAATAAAGTATACAATTGTGTGAATAATCCTGAAATTTGGCGGGACAAATAGAGTGTTTCAAGTGAAAAGAGAGAGAGAGAGACAGAAAGAGAGACAGAGAAAGAGAGTGCACACAATCTCCAAGACTTATTTGCTTCTTATCTGATTTTGTGGTTTAAGCGAACATGATAAATTACAATATGATGGTAATACATCACATCATAAAAAGCTTTTATCTTTAAGATAAATTCTGTTATGTGGTAGGCCAAATTCTAAGATAGCGCCAGTCTTAGTCTTTTACGGCCGGTATAACAAATTATTATGGTCTTGGTGGCTTTACCAACAGACATTTATTTCTCATATTTCTGGAAGCTGGAAGTCCAAGATCAGGGTGCCAGTATGGTCAGGTTCTAGGGAGGGCCAACTTCTGGATTGCAGACAACCATCTTCTCATAGCATCCTCACATGGTGGAAGGAGGGCAAGAGAGTGTTCTGAGGTCTCTTTTATGAGCTCACTAATCCCATTCATGGGGACTCCACCATTATGACCTAATCACCTCCAAAGGACCCCACCTCCTAGTACCATCACACTAGGATTCGGGTTTTATCATACTAATTTTATGGGGACGCATTCAGTCCATTGCAGCCATCAAGATTCCTGGCCCCTGGTAAACACAGGCCTTCTCTCAGTTATTCAGTCAAACACTAATCCAGGTGCTGCTGTGAAGGGATTTTGCAGATGTCACTAAATTCCCAAATCAGTCAACTTTAAAACAGGGAGATTATCCAGGTGGGCCTGACCTTATAGAATAAACCCTTTAAATATGGGTATAGGCATCAGAGAGGAAGTTAGAGTTTGAAGTGTGAATTGACTCTGGAGAGAGTCTCTATCTGTTGTTGGCTCTGAAATTGGAAGGGGCCATGTGGCAATGAATGGGGAGCAGAGAGCAGCCTATGGCTGATTGCCAGGAAGGAGATGGAGACTTGAGACCTGCAGCCTCAGGGGAATGGGTTCTTTAACAACCATATGAGATTGGAAGAGGACCCTGAGCTCCAGATGAGACCACAGACTAGCCAATACCTTGGTTTCAACCTTGTCCAGCCATGTCATGCCTGAACTCTGACAGACAGAACTGTGAGCAAATACATAGGGATTACTTTAAGCTGCTGAATTTGTGGTACTTTGTTATATATCAATTTATGGTACTAATAATTCTGTAAAATTGATAAACTTCCTAAAAAATTCATTTAGAGAATATCTTGCAAAAACAATCCTAATGTCATTTGAGTGAAAAGGAAATAGAAAACCCTTGTTTATGAAAACCCTCTTATGAAATGGAAAGGAAATAGAAAACCTTTATTTATTTGCAATATGTTGTTACAATATTCCTTTGACTCATCCATTTTATGAATATCCTGTTCAGACTCCATGTGGTCATTTTTAAAGATATGATTTTGGAGGGGAGCAGAGCAATATGGTAGAATAGAAGGCTGCACCAATTATCCTCCCACTCAACAAGAACAGCAAATTTAACAACTATCTACAGACAAAAAAGCACCTTCATAAGAACCAAAAATCAGGTGAGCACTCACAGTACCTGTTTTTTTTTTTTCTTTTTGAGACGGAGTTCTGCTCTTGTTGCCCAGGCTGGAGTGCAATGGCACGATCTCGGCTCACCGCAACCTCCACCTCACCTCCCAGGTTCAAGAGATTCTCCTGCCTCAGCCTCCTGTGTAGCTGGGATTACAGGCATGCGCCACCACATCTAGCTAATTTTGTATTTTTAGTAGAGACGGGGTTCCTCCATGTTGGTCAGGATGGTCTCGAACTCCTGACCTTAGGTGATCTGCCTGCCTCAGCCTCCCAAAGTGCTGGGATTACAGGCATGAGCCATCGCGCCCGGGGGGTTTTTAACTTCATATTACTGAAAGAGGTACTGAAAAGCATAGGAAAGCCAGTCTTGAATTGCCAACAATGCCCCTCCCCCATACCATTCCCCCTTCCCCTCCAGCCGCTGCATGGTGCAGAGAATCTGTGTGCTTGGGGAGGGAGAATGCAGCAATTGTGAGACTTTGCACTTAACTCAGTGTTGCCTTGTCACAGTGGAAAGCAGAATAGGGCTGCACTTACCTGATGCCACTCCCACTCCACCACAGAGGGAGCATTTGGACCGGCCCTGGCCAGAGATAAATTGCCTATCCCAGCACTCAGAACTTGAGTTCCCTCAAGCCTCACCACTGCAGCCTGGAGTGCTCTGGGGCCCTAAATAAAGTTAGGCCACAAAGACTGCAACTTCTAGGCAAGTCCTAGTTCTGAGCTGGGCTCATAGTCAGTGGACTCAGGG
The DNA here is from genome assembly GCF_000001405.40 of Homo sapiens. NCBI lineage: Eukaryota > Metazoa > Chordata > Mammalia > Primates > Hominidae > Homo > Homo sapiens. The sequence goes on along the minus strand of NC_000005.10, from coordinate 53,514,056 downwards.
GCGTATGACCTACTGAGACATTAGCCAGGGTGGCTAAGGGCATGCTTGCACTGCCCCTTCCCCAAAACCAGGCTGCACAGCTCATGGGTACAAAGAGACACCCCTTCCTTCTGCTTGAGGAGAGGAGAGAAAAGAATAAAGAGAATTTTGTCTTGCATCTTCGATACCAGCTCAGTCACAGTAAGATAGGGTGCCGGTCAGAATCATGAGGCCCCCTTTCCAGGACCCAGCTCCCAGATGACACTTCTAGTCACATGGAAACCCATTACCTTGAAGTGAAGGGCCCATTTCTGGCAGAACCTATTATGTCTGACTAAAGAACCCTTGGGGCTTGGCCCGGTAGCTCATGCCTGTAATCCCAGCACTTTGGGACGCTGAGGCGGGCAGATCATGAGGTCAGGGGTCTGAGACCAGCCTGTCCAATATGGTGAAACCCCGTGTCTACTAAAAAATACAAAAATTAGCTGGGCGTGGTGGCGTGCACCTGTAATCCCAGCTACTCGGGAGGCTGAGGCAGGAGAATCGCTTGAACCTAGGAGGCAGAGGTTGCAGAGAGCTGAGATTGTGCCACTGCACTCCAGCCTGGGCAACAGAATGAGACTCTGACTCAAAAAAAAAAAAAAAAAAAAAAAAGCCCTTGGGCCCTGCATAACCAGCAGTAATACCCAGGGAGTACACTGTGGGCCTTGGGTGAGACTCTGAGATTGTGGGCATCAGGTGACACTCAGCACATTTCCAGCTATGGTGGCTATAGGAAGAGACTCTATCTGCTTGAGAAAAGCAGAAGGAGGAGTAAAGGGGACTTTGTTTTACACTTTAGGTACCAACTCAACCACAGGATGTAGAGCATCAGGTGGGCTCTTGAGGTCCCCAAATCTAGGCCTTGGTTCTTGGACAGCCTTTCTTGGCCTACCCTGGGCCAGAGGGAAGCCTAATGTCCTAAAGGGTGAGTCCCAGGCCTGGTGATATTCATCACAAGCTGACTGAAGAGCCCTTGGGCCTTAAGTGAACATCGGTGGGAGCCTGACAGTACTCCCTGTGAGACTGTGGTGGTGGTGGCCACAGTATGAGGCTTCTCTGTTTGTGGAGGAACTAGAGGAGGGAGGGAAGAAGAAAGGGAAGACTGCATCTTGTGCTTTGAGTGCCAGCTCAGTAACAGTACAATAGAATGTAGGTAGATTTCTAAGGTTTTGAATCCAGGCCCTGGCTCCTGATGGTATCTCTGGACTCACCCAGGTCCTGACTCACTGCCTTGAAGGGAAGGACACAAGCCTGTCTGGCTTCACCACCTGCTGATTGTACAGCCCTAAGGTCTTGAGCTAACATAGGTGGTAACCAGGTAGTGGTTACCTCAGGGCTTGGGCAAGACCCAGTGCTATGCTAACATCAGGTCTGACCCAGCACAGTCCCAGTGGTGATGGCAACAGGGGTGCATGTGTCATCCCTCTCTCAGCTCCAGGTGGCTCAGCACAGAGAGAAAGACTCTGTCTGTTTGGGAGAAAGCAAAGGAAGAGAACAAGAGTCTCTGCCTGGTAATCCAGAGAATTAGGATCTTATCCAAGACCACCAAGGTGGTACCTCTATGAATCTGCAAGAACCACAGTGTTACTGGGCTTTGGGTGTCCCTAATGCAGATATGGCTTACATCACAACAGTCAAGTCCTTTTGAATACCTGGGAAGCCTTCCCAAAAAGGATGGGTACAAATAAGCCCAGACTGTGAAGACTATAATAAATACCTAACTCTTCAATGCCCAGACACTGACAAACATCTGCTAGCATCAAGACCATCCAGGAAAATATGACCTTGCTAAGCAAACTAAATAAAACACCAGTGACCAGTTCTGGAGAAAGAGAAATATGTGATCTTTCAGACGAAAAATCCAAAATAGCTGTTTTGAGGAAACTCAAAGAAATTCAAGATAACACAGAGAAGGGATTCAGAATTCTATCAGAAAAATTTAATGAAGAGAATGAAATAGTTAAAAATAATAAAGCAGAAATTCTGGAGTTGAAAAATGCAACTGACATACTGAAGAATGCATCCAAGTCTTTTAATAGCAGAATTGTTCAAGCAGAAGGAAGAACTAGTGAGCTTGAACAGAGGCTATTTGAAAATACACAGTCAGGGAAGACAAAAGAAAAAAGAATAAAAAAGAACGAAGCATGTCTGAAAGATCTAGAAAACAGCTTCAAAAGGGCAAATCTAAGAGTTATTGGTCTTAGAAAGGAGGTAGAAAAAGAGATAGGGGTAGAAAGTTTATTCAAAGGGGTCATAGCAGAGAACTTTCCAAACCTAGAAAAAGATAACAATGTCCAAGTACAAGATGGTTATAGAACACCAAGCAGATTTAATCCAAAAGAGAACATCAAGCCATTAAATAAACTCCTAAAAGTCAAGGATAAAGAAAACATCCTAAAACAGCAAGAGAAAAGGAACAAATTACATATGAAGGAGCTCCAATATATCTGGCAACAGACTTTTCAGTGGAAATGTTACAGGCCAGGAGAAAGTGGCATGACATATTTAAAGTGCTGAAGGAAAAAAACTTTTATCCTAGAATAATATACCTGGTGAAAATATCCTTTAAGCATGAAAGAGAAATAAAGACTTTCTGAGACAAGAAAAAGCTGAAGGACTTCCTTAACACCAGACCTGTCCTACATGAAATGCAAAAAGGGTACTTCAATCAGAAAGAAAAGGATGTTAATGAGCAATAAGAAGTCATCTGAAAGTACAAAGCTCACTGGTAATAATAAGTACACAGGAAAACACAGAATATTATAACACCTTAACTGCACTGTGTAAACTAATCTTATCTTAAATAGAAAGACTAAGCAATGAACCAAAAAAAAAAAAAAAAATGAAAACAACTTTTCAAGACATTGTACAATAAGATGTAAATAGAAACAACAAAAAGTTAAAAAGCAGGGAGACAAAGTTAAGGTGTAGAGTTTTTATTAGTTTTCCTTTTTTTTGTTTTTGTTTATGCAAATGATGTTAAGTTTTTATGAGCTTAAAATAGGTTATAAGATAGTATTTGCAAGCCTCATGGTAACCTCAAATCAAAAAACATACAACAGACACAAAAAAAATAAAAAGCAAGAAATTAATCATATACCAGAGAAAATCATCTTCACTAAAAGGAAGACAGGAAGGAAAGAATGAAGGAAGAGAAAACCACAAAACAACCAGAAAACAAATAACAAAATGGCACAAGTAAGTCCTGACTTGTCAATAATAACATTGAATAATGCATAGTCTCTGCCTCTCTGCCTTCTCCCTCCCCAAGCACACAGATTCTTTAATAAATGGACTAAACTTTCCAATCAAAAGACAGGGTGGCTAAATGGGTAAGAAAAGAGACCTACTGATCTGTTGCCTACAAGAAACAGATTTTACCTTTAAAGACACGTATAGACTGAAATAAAAAGATTAAAAAACACATCCCATGTCAATGAAAACCAGAAAACCCCAGGAGGCTCTGTATTTATAACAGGCAACATAGATTTCAAGACAGAAACTAAAAATGGACAAAGAAGGTCACTATATAGTGATAAAGGGGCTAATTCAGCAACAGGATATAACAACTGTAAATATATATGCACCCAACACTGGGGCACTTAGATATATAAAGCAAATATTACTATAGTTAAAGAGAGAGATAGACTCCAAAACAATATTAGCTGGAGACTTAAGCACCCCTCTTCCAGCATTGGACAGACCTTCCAGACAATCAACAAAGAAACATCAAAGTTAATCTGCATTATTGCCCAAATTGACCTAACAGTTATTTATGGAACATTTCATCTAATGACTGCAGAATATATTTTGTTTTCCTTTGCACATGGATTATTCTCAAGGATAGACCGCATGTTAGGTCACAAAACAAGTCTTACAATATTCAAAAAATTAAAGTAATATCCAGCCTGTTCTTTGACCACAATGGAATAAAACTAGAAATAAATAACAAGAGGAATTTTGGAAGCTGTGCAAGTGTGGAAATTAAACAATGTACTTCTGAATGACCAGTGGAGAAATGAAGAAATTAAGAAGGAAATAGAAAAATTTCCTGAAACAAATGAAAATGGAACCCTAACATACTAAAATCTGTAGATTCAGCAAAAGCATAACTAAGGGGAAAAGTTTATAGCTATAAGTGCCAACATCAAAAAAGTAGAATGGATTAAAAATATGTTACATATACACAATGGAGTACTATTCAGCCATAAAAAGAATAAAAACCTGTCCTTTGCAACAACATGGATGGAAGTAGAGGTCATTATGTTAAGTGAAGTAAGTCAGACACATAAAGACAAACATTGCATGTTCTCACTTATTGGTGGGAGCTAAAAATTAAAACAATTGAACTCATGAGGATAGAGAGTAAAAGAATGGTGATATGGTTTGGCTCTGTGTCATCACTCAAACCTTATGTCAAATTGTAACTCCCAGTGTTGGAGGAGGAGCCTGGTGGGAGATTATTGAATCATAAGAGTGAACTTCCCCCTTGCTGTTCTCATGACAGAGTGTTCATGAGATCTGGTTGTTTGAAAGTGTTAGTACCTCCCTCTTCTCTCTCTCTCTCCTGCTCTGCCCTGTGAGGATATGCCTGCTTTCCCTTTTGCTTCTGCCATGATTGTAAGTTTCTTGAGGCCTCCCAGCCATGCCTCCTGTATATCCTGCAGAGCTGTGAGGTAATTAAACCTCTTTTTCAAAAAAAATAAATTACTCGATCTCAGGTAGTTCTTCAATGACAATGTGTGACAATGAACTAATACAGAAAATTGGAACCAGAGAAGTGGGGCATCACTATGAAGATAGCTGGAAATGTGGAAGTGACTTTGGAACTGGGTAAAAGGCAGAGGTTGGAGCAGCTTGGAGAGCTCAGAGGAAGACAGGAAAATGAGGGAAAGTTTGGAACTTCCTAGATACTTGTTAAATTGTTGCGATCAAAATGCTTATAGTGGTATGGATATTGAAGTCCAGGCTGAGGTGTTCTCAGATGGAGATGAGGAACTTCATGGGAACTGGAATACTCTTGCTATGCTTTAGTAAAGAAACTGGTGGCATTGTGCCCCTGCTCTAAAAATTTGTGGAGCTTTGAACTTGAGAGAGAGGATTTAGGATATCTGGCAGAAGAAATTTCTAATCAGCAAAGTGTTCAATATTTGGCCTGGTTGCTTCTAACAGCAAAAAGATTATCAGAAACTGGAACTTATGTTTAAAAGGGAAGCAGAGAGGCTGAGCAAAGTGGCTCATGCCTGTAATCCCAGCACTTTGGGAGGCTGAGGCAGGCAGATCACCTGAGGTTGGGAGTTCGAGACCAGCCTGACCAATGTGGAGAAACTCCATCTCTACCAAAAATACAAAATTAGCCAGGGGTGGTGGTTCATGCCTGTAATCCAAGCTACTTGGGAGGCTGAGGCGGGAGAATCATTTGAACCCAGGAGGCAGACGTTGCAGTGAGCTGAAATCGTGCCATTGAACTCCAGCCTTGACAACAAGAGCGAGACTCCATCTCAAAAAAAAAAAAAAAAAAAAAAAAAAAAAAAAAAAAGGAAAGCAGAGAATAAAAGTTTGGAAAATTTGCAGCCTGACTCATTTTCTGGGAAGGAATTCAAGGCTGCAGAAATTTGAATAAGTAATGAAGAGCTGAACGTTAATAGCCAAGAAAATAGGGAAAATGCCCCTGGGGCATCTTGCGACAGCCCCTCCCTTCACAGGCCTGGAGGCCTAGGAGGGAAAAATGGTTTCATGGGCTGGGCCCATGGCCCAGCTGCTCTGTGCAGCCTCAGGACATGATGCCTTACATCCCAGCCGCTCCAGCTCCAGGCATGGCTAAAAGGGCCAAAGTACAATTCAGGCCATTGCTTTGAGAGTATAAGCCACAAGCTTTGGTGGCTTCCATGTGATGATGGGCCAGGGGGTGCACAGAGGGCAAGAATTGAGGCTTGGAAGTCCCCATCTAGATTTCAGAGGCCATATGGAAAAGCCTGGATGTCGAGGCAAAAGTCTATCATGGGGTGGAGGCCTCATGGAGAACCTCTACTGGGGCAGTGCCAAGGGGAAATATGGGATTGGAGCTCCCACACAGAATCCTCACTGGGACAATGCCTAGTGGAGCTGTGAGAACAGGGCCAATGTCTTCCAGACCCCAGAATGGTAGATCCACCCACAGCTTTCATTTTGCCCCTGGAAAAGCCACAGTCACTCAATGCCAGCTCATGAAAGCAGCCACAGGGGCTGTACCCTGCAGAGCCATAGGAATGAAGATGCCCACACTTTGGAAAACCATCACTTGCATCAGTGTTGCCTGGATATGAGACATGAAGTCAAAGAAGATTAATTTGGAGCTTTAAGATTTAATGATGACTCTGCTGGGTTTCAGACTTGCATGTGGCTTGTAGCTCCTTCGTTTTGGCTGATTTCGCCCTTTTGGAAGGGGAGCATTTACTCAATGCCTATACTGTTATTGTACCTTGAAAGTAACTAACTTGTTTTTGACTTTACAGGTTCATAAGCAGAAGGGACTTGCCGTGACTTAGATAAGACTTTGGGCTTGGAGTTTTGAGTTAGTGATGGAATGAATTAAGACTTTGTGGGACTGTTGGGAAGGCATGATTTTGTTTTGAAACATGATAATTGGGAGGTGCCCGGGGTGGAATGATATAGCTTGGTGCTGTGTTCCTACCCAAATCTCATGTCAAATTGTAATTCCCAGTGTTAGAAGTGGGTCTGGTGGGAGGTAATTAAATCATGGGGGTGGCTCCACCCCTGCTGTTCTCATAATAGTGGATGACTTATCATGAGATCTGGTTGTTTAAAAGTGTGTAGCACTTCCCCTTTTGCTCTTTCTCCTCTGCTGCCCTGTGAAGACATACTTGCATCCCCTTTACCTTCCACCATGATTGTTAGTTTTCTGAGGCCTCCCCAGTCATGCCTCTTACACAGTCTGCAGAACGGTGAGTCAATTAAATTTCTTTTCTTCATAAATTACCCAGTCTCGGATAGTTCTTTATAGCAGTGTGAGAACGGACTAATACAGATAGTTACCAGAGTCTGGGAAGGATAGTCGGTATGGGGATGGGAGAGAAGTAGGGATGGTTAATAGGTACAAAAATTTAATTAGATAGAATGAATAAGGTCTAGTATTTGATAGTACAACAAGGTGACTACAGTCTACAATAATTTATTGTACATTTAAAAATAGCTAAGAGTATAACTGGATTGTTTGAAACACAAAAGATAAATGCTTGAGGTGATGGATATCCCATTTACCCTGATGTGGTTATTATACATGCATGGCTGTATAAAAATATGTCATGTAACCTATAAATATATACACCTACAATGTACTCATAAGAATTAAAAACAAATAATTTTTAAAAAAGAGAACAAGACATGACTTTGAATTACTCTGCCTACATTTTTTTCTCCACTTTAGAAAAGACTAAATGAAACATCCATGTAGAACTAGTTTTAGTTACTCCAAAGGTTGATAATTATTTCCCAAGATTTCTATATTATTATTCTCATTCTCAAACCAAGTTAAACCCCACTGATTACTAGTTTGTCTCTGTTTAACTATAAAAAGCTTACATTTTTAAAACAGATATTTTGGCTATTCACTTTATATATTTTCAGACATTTAGATCTTGAATTCCAATTAGATTTTCCTACCTTAAATCTTTATCATTGATTAAATTTCTACCATATATTTCCATTGTCAAAATGTAGAACATGCCTATCCTTTGACAGAAATTACAGTTCTAGGAATTAATTCTAATATGTATATCTACATGAATATGTAGATATATTAGAATATATATTCTTTCCTATTTGAAGCATCGTTGTTTAAAATATCAAAATACTGGAAACAATCTAAATGTCTAAAAATAGACTAAGTTGTGGTACACCTATGCAATTTAACTATGTATCTTTATGTTAAAAATAAGCCAACTGCTGGGTGCGGTGGTGGCTCATGCCTCTAATCCCAGCACTTTGGGAGGCCGAGGCGGGCGGATCACGAGGTCAGGAGATCAAGACCATCCTGGCTAACACAGTGAAACCCCGTCTCTACTAACAGTACAAAAAATTAGGTGGGCGTGGTGGCAGGCGCCTGTAGTCCCAGCTATTCGGGAGGCTGAGGCAGGAGAATGGTGTGAACCCCGGAGGCGGAGCTTGCAGTGAGCCAAGATCGCACTACTGCACTCCAGTCTGGGTGGCGGAGCGAGACTGTGTCTCAAAAAAAAATAAAAGTAAATAAAAAAAAATAAGCCAACTGTATACTGATGTGGAATAATCTGTATGATATAAGAAGTATCAAAGCAAACTGTACGATAGAATATCTAGTATGTTATAATTTATGAAAAACAAATGAAAATATAGTTACATGCTTGCTTATGCACTGAATATTTCTGAAAAATATACAGAAAACTGGTAACGTTAGTTGCTTCTGGGGAGGAGAACTTGATGGCCAGGGTCTTGGGGTAGGAGAGAAACATACTTTCTTTTCCCTACATATTCTTTTGTTCCTTTTAAGTTTTACAGCCATGGTATGCATGCATTTCATATCAAATCAATTGGCCTTCTTTTCTTTCAAATAAGTGCTTATATTTGGTGATTTTAAGAACACAATATACAAATAACTCTCCGCCTAGGGTGGGAGGAGGAGCAAAGTTCTTCTATTTTATAGGAATGTTGTCTCTTTTAAACACAATTATGGTTCCTTAAAATTTTTATTAAGAGCAGGGAGCTTTCTATGATATGCGGCTTCTAAATACAGGTTTTTTTTTTTTTCTTAACAATTGTAACCTATAGTCTTAAGGCTATGTTAATCTCAAAGCATGTTTATACTGACTATAAGAAACAATGTGACAGAATATTTGTTATCTGAGTTATGTTTATTTACTTGGTTTTAAATATTTGCCTTAGCAATGTGAATTTATTAACCTATCTTGTGATAATTAACACGCTGACTATGATCTTACTGACCCCATTATAGTTTTTCTTTTTTTTATTTTAGATATGGGGTCTTGGTCTTGCTGTTTTGTCCAGGTTGACCTTGAACTCCTCCAGCCTCCTGAGTACCTGAGAGTACAGGCATACACCACCACAAAAGACTTTCTCTCCATTAAATAAATAGGATAAATTCCTTTGTTAATTAAAAAATGTAGCAGATTCTGAGTCTAGAGTTCTCGCCTCAGTTGTGCAAGAAAATAAAATGTGCTTATAGCAGATTCATTATCAAAAACACAGCAGAAAACTTTTGCTTTCAGACAAATTGGTACTGTGGTCCTGGAAACAAGTCTGAACAGAGGGGTGGTGGAACAGATTGCTTCAGCCCTAAAATCAGAGTGTGCTAATAAAATGGCTGAAGAGGACTCATGAAATCTCATTTTGGTTTTCAGTGGAAGCCACCTGTCTTTACTGCCTATTTCCCATCTGAGAAACTGCTGTACTCTCTAAATTAGATAAAAAAAAAAAAATGCAGACATTCAGATGTATTGGGTAAGGATTCAACATTTAGAAGCAGTGTCAGGAAAGTGGTGTTTTTAAATGATATGAAATATGGTGGAACAAATTGAGATGCAGTCGTATCGGGTTGTGGTAGAGAAATGATTTTCTCCCTTAGTGTTTTCTCTCTCCTTTTTCCTATATGAATTAAGGATTGATCAACCAAAAATCAGGTCTGGATGGGAAGTCTTAGATGGCTCCTCTGTCAGGCGCGGTTCTGGTTGGAAAACAGAATTCACCTAGATAGGCTAGGAAAAACCCACAGTCATGGCTGAACTACTCACAGAGGTGTGTGCTGGGGTGAGGGTGGTAAAAAAGGGATGTTTCGCTAGAAAGGAAAGGATTGGTGTGGGGGTAAGGATGGGTGGGCACAGAGTTTCTGGAGCTAAGAGAGCTGGGAACCTGTAGATAAGGCCACTGTGCTTTTCCTGGGTAGTCCTGGAAGAAATCAGCTACTATTAGAGAGGTGGTGCTGGAGCAGAGAGGCAGAAATGAGTCAGTCTCTTACATCCCTAGCTTCCCATGATCTGCTTTCTTCTCAGCAGCCTGGCCAAATCTAGACGGAAACCAGCTCCCATGGGGGTATGGGAGATGATGTCTCCAGGGCTCACCCTTCCAGGGCATGGAGGAGGAGAGAGAAGGATGGAGAACGGATGGGGAGTGGAAGTGCAAAAAATAATGATAATAATAATCAGTGCACACAGCATTGTACTACATGTATTAAAATCCTCTGGGCAAATCCCAATGTGATGCAATGTGTATGTGTTTCTCTGTCATGTAAGCTGCTAGTAACCTTGGTCTGTCTGAACCCCAGCTGGCTTTGGGTGACAGAGGAGCCCTATATGAACTGATGTAGGGTTTCAAGGAAAGATTATCTCTGGATATCTGTTTGTTATATATGCATATGCATCATTGCTATAGTATGTGGCATATTATATCTATAGATATGTAATTAATATTCTAGACAGACAACAAAGTGTTTGCATAAATTTTCAACTTCTTTTCATCCCAGAGGAACTAAATTAACAAATTAAAATCTGAAAATAAAGTGCACATTCAATTTTAAACAATAAGAATATGGATAAGATTGGAGGATATTGTGAAAGATTGTGTTCGGGAGAAAACACATAGTTAACTCTTTACTCCACCCACATTTTGGAAGGAAAAGCTGCAATTAAAAAATTGTAATTGGTGAAAATAATTTAAATTAGTAAAACAAAATTAACATTCAGATGACAGAATCTAGTTTTCTACTTAGTTTCTAAGTGGAAAATAATACATTCTTATTTTAGGTGTGAAAATTTTTCTTAAAGAAAAAATAATTTGCTCTTATCAGAAAAAATGAAGGTATATAAATATATTTGCAAAACAGTTGTATACTTTTCCATTATGAAGTAGAACAAGTACAACTAAAGCATTACGTAGATTAAAGTGTTTTATAATAATAATTTTCTTTTCCATTATCACTTAACATGCAAAAGGGAAAAATGAACTTTTGTGTGATGAAACTTCGCAACACACCAATAAAAACATGGAATATAATAATTAATTGCCTCCAGACTGACAGCCATGCGGGACCAAAATTATTTTCTCTGCTTTGGTAAAATTTTCATGTGACTCTGGTTGTTGTAGTTTTAATTTTTATGGTAAGGCTTTTAGGACAAAAATAGTATATGATAAGACCCAGAAATTTATCATTTCCCTAGTTTGAGAAGTTTTTTAGTGATGCTAATGGAAGAGTGTGCTTTGGTAAATTAAGTCTTTTTCCCCTAGAATCCTGACTTCTTTCCCCACCATCTCTGAAATAGTGCACTTATTTCAGTACTGTTACAGTAGGTAGCTAGTCAGACATGAGCAGGGCAGGAGAGGGCCCCCCTCACCCCCCATTACCACACGGAATGTCAGGTGACCATCAGATGATGGTCAGGCAGTTGTTAACGGTCTCTCTAAAATAATAATTGGTCACGCTGGAGCCAGAGAAGGGAGTCTCCCAATAGTTAGAAAACACATGAAATGTTGGTCAGCAGCTTCCCGATGAGATCTCAGGAGCTTGGCAAGAGGGCTCAAGCATGTGCATTCAAAGGCAAAATGACAGAGTTTAACTGGTGTATGACCTCCTAGGAAGATTTGACTGGCAAGGGAAGAACACCTCAAGTGAGCATGCATACAACTCCAATAAACACGCTGTGCATGCTCCCCTCCCAATTGCTAGCAGACCACTGTGCATGCGGACAGCCCTTCCCAAGGAAGAATTAGGGGAGAAGGAAAGCAAGACCCCAGAAGCATGCCAACATACAAAACCCCAAGTCAAAAGGTCAAACCATGCACTTGATCTCTCAAGGTACCCGCTTGGCATGCTTCCAAGTGTACTTTACTTTTTTTCTGTCCTGCTCTAAGGCTTTTTAATAAACTTTCACTCCTGCTCTAAAATTTGCCTCTGTCTCTCCTTTTGCCTTATGCCCCTCAGTCAAATTCTTTCTTCAGAGGAGGCAAGAATTGAGGTTGCTGCAGACCCCATACAGATAAGGATTTGCTGCCAGTAACAGAACCATCACTGCCATCGATTTTAGAATGTATTTACTGTCCTAAAAAGAATTCCTGTACCTGTTAGTAGTCGTTTACCATTTCTCTCCCATTCTTTTAGCTCCTGGAAACCTGGAATCTTCCTGTCTCTATAGACTTTTCTATTCTGGACATCCGGGTGAATTTTTTAAAGTGTAGTCTTTCTCTGACAAATTCTCAATTTTATATTGACTTATTACATGTTAATATAAATTTGTTTATATTTTCCTCCTAATTGACTATTGAAATTTTACATTAATACTGAGGTCCTATGTAAGAATTTTGAAAATATTACAGTTGATCCCCCGACTCCTATTATAAAACATAAATAATGACACCTGTGAGTTTTTGTTTAGGTGTAATTTGGCCCATAAGATGTAAAAGCACTTCAGGAAAATTTTGAACAGTAAATAATCAACTAATTAATCAAACAAATAACCCTCATGATGCTACATTAGTCTGTATTCATTACCTGTTCCTAGATAATAGTGAAGGAAAATGTTTAGCCTAATCTGGTTCTTTGTCTTTCTATCATCTAGTTCTCTGGCATATGTCATTAGCACTGGAGACCTGATTTTCCCATGTAAGGATTTTTATTATTATCTGAGAATTCTTACTTTTCTAGTCTTTGCTTGAGGTTACCCTTACCTTGACTCCTCAATGATGTGTTTGTAAACACTAGCTCCTGCACTGATCCACTAGAGGCTGGAGTTCAGGAAGCTTTTGTTTACACAATATTCTGCCAAATGCTGATTGCTTTTGTTTGTTATTTGGGAGATTGCTTCTCACTGTGTCTTCCTGCTGTTGCTGTTCTCTGCTCTAGTTCTCTGTCTTCCCCACGTTCCTCTGAATTGTGTTGCAACAATGCATCATTTGGAGGCGGCTGTCTTACTAAATGGAGCATTTGGCTTGTAGTAGATTGTGAATGGCTTCTGGTTGTTGTATGCTCCTGAGAAAATACCCTTGAACCTATTGATGAATTTTGTTCTTTCTCTTTGGCGGTAGCCACTTGCAGTCTTATCTTTAACCACTTAATCCCTATTTTGTTTTTGTTTGTTTGTTGGTTTGTTTTTTGAGCTAGGGTCTTGGTCTGTCACCCAGGCTGGAGAGTAGTAGGGCAAGCATACCTCACTGCTGCCTCCAGCTTCTGGGCTCAAGGGATCATCTCACCTTATCCTCCTGAGTAGCTGGGACTACAGGTGTGCAACATCATGCCTTGCATATGTGTGTGTGTGTGTGTGTGTGTGTGTGTGTGTATATATATATATATATATATTTTTTTTTGTAGAGACAAAGTCTTGCTATGTTGCCCAGGCTGGTCTTGAACTCCTGGCCTCAAGCAATGCTCCTGCCACAGCCTCCCAAAGTGCTGAGATTACAGGTGTGAACCACCATGCTCAGCAATACTAATCTTTTATTTGGTTCATCTAGTAGTGTCTACCTATCACTGTGGCTGCCAAGATCTTTGGGACACCCTTCCTACAATGTTTTACTTCTCTATGCTGAATCCCACCTCCCAATTTAGAATTTAGGTAATCTTACATTTCCCAGCTTCCCTTGTAGGAACTTAGCCGCATCAGTCAGACGTACTCCCATAAAATTTTGATTTGGAAGGAATCTTTGTGGGGAAACAAGCAAGGTAAAGGGCATTCATTCAGCAGAGGCAGTAGGTTCTGTGGGTCTGTTGCAGAGGTGCAGTTTCCTGATCATAGAAGAAGTGTGATCAGGCCGGGCGCGGTGGCTCACTCCTGTAATCCCAGCACTTTGGGAGGCCAAGGCGGGCGGATCACAAAGTAAGGAGATAGAGACCATCCTGGCTAACATGGTGAAACCCCATCTCCACTAAAAATACATAAAATTAGCTGGACTTGGTGTTGGGCGCCTGCAGTCCCAGCTACTCAGGAGGCTGAGGCAGGAAAATAGAGTGAACCTGGGAGGCGGAGGTTGCAGTCAGCCGAGACTGCACCACTGCACTCCATCCGGGGTGACAGAGCAAGACTCTGTCTCAAAAAAAAAAAAAGAAAAGAAAAAAGAAGAAGTGTGATCAATAAAATACCAGGATTGGTCATAGAGATCTGCAGTGGCTAGCATATGGATTTCATTTAAACACTTGATTATATTTGTATACTGAGACATACACAGAAGATTCTATAGATTGACAAGTGAAGGAGTGGAGAATGGAATTCTTTTTTTTTTTATTCTTTAAGTTTTAGGGTACATGTGCACAATATGCAGGTTTGTTACATATGTATATATGTGCCATGTTGGTGTGCTGCACCCATTAACTCGTCATTTACATTAGGTATATCTCCTAATGCTATCTCTCCCCCTCCCCCCACCCCACAACAGGCCCCAGTGTGTGATGTTCCCCTTCCCGTGTCCATGTGTTCTCATTGTTCAATTCCCACCTATGAGTGAGAACATGCGGTGTTTGGTTTTTTGTCCTTGCGATAGTTTGCTGAGAATGATGGTTTCCAGCTTCATCCATGTCCCTACAAAGGACATGAACTCATCCTTTTTTATGGCTGCATAGTATTCCATGGTGTATATGTGCCACATTTTCTTAATCCAGTCTATCACTGATGGACATTTGAGTTGGTTCCAAGTCTTTGCTATTGTGAATAGTGCTGCAGTAAACATATGTGTGCATGTGTCTTTATAACAGCATGATTTATAATCCTTTGGGTATATACCCAGTAATGGGATGGCTGGGTCAAATGGTATTTCTAGTTCTAGATCCCTGAGGAATCGCCACACTGACTTCCACAATGGTTGAACTAGTTTACAGTTCCACCAACAGTGTAAAAGTGTTCCTATTTCTCCACATCCTCTCCAGCACCTGTTGTTTCCTGACTTTTTAATGATGGCCATTCTAACTGGTGTGAGATGGTATCTCATTGTGGTTTTGATTTGCATTTCTCTGATGGCCAGTGATGATGAGCATTTTTTCATGTGTCTTTTGGCTGCATAAATGTCTTCTTTTGAGAAGTGTCTGTTCATATTCTTCGCCCACTTGCTGATGGGGTTGTTTGTTTTTTTCTTGTAAATTTGTTTGAGTTCATTGTAGATTCTGGATATTAGCCCTTTGTCAGATGACTAGATTGCAAAAATTTTCTCCCATTCTGTAGGTTGCCTGTTCACTCTCATGGTAGTTTCTTTTGCTGTGCAGAAGCTCTTTAGTTTAATTAGATCCCATTTGTCAATTTTGGCTTTTGTTGCCATTGCTTTTGGTGTTTTAGCTGTGAAGTCCTTGCCCATGCCTATGTCCTGAATGGTATTGCCTAGGTTTTCTTCTAGGGTTTCTATGGTTTTAGGTCTAACATTTAAGTCTTTAATCCATCTTGTATTAATTTTTGTATAAGGTGTAAGGAAGGGATCCAGTTTCAGCTTTCTACATATGGCTAGCCAATTTTCCTGGCACGATTTATTAAATAGGGAATTCTTTCCCCATTTCTTATTTTTGTCAGGTTTGTCAAAGATCAGATAGTTGTAGATATGAGGCATTATTTCTGGCGCCTCTGTTCTGTTCCATTGGTCTATATCTCTGTTTTGGTGCCAGTACCATGCTATTTTGGTTACTGTAGCCTTGTAGTATAGTTTGAAGTCAGGTAGTGTGATGCCTTCAGCTTTGTTCTTTTTGCTTAGGATTGACTTGGCTATGCAGGCTCTTTTTTGGTTCCATATTAACTTTAAAGTAGTTTTTTCCAATTCTTTGAAGAAAGTCATTGGTAGCTTGATGGGGATGGCATTGAATCTATAAATTACCTTGGGTGGTATGGCCATTTTCACAATATTGATTCTTCCTACCCATGAGCATGGAATGTTCTTCCATTTTTTTGTATCCTCTTTTATTTCATTGAGCAGTGGTTTGTAGTTCTCCTTGAAGAGGTCCTTCACGTCCCTTGTAAATTGGATTCCTAGGTATTTTATTCTCTTTGAAGCAATTGTGAATGGGAGGTCACTCATGATTTGGCTCTCTGTTTGTCTGTTATTGGTGTATAAGAATGCTTGTGATTTTTGCACATTGATTTTATATCCTGAGACTTGGCTGAATTTGCTTATCAGCTTAAGGAGATTTTGGGCTGAGACGACTGGAGTTTTCTAGATATACAATCATGTCATCTGCAAACAGGGACAATTTGACTTCCTCTTTTCCTAATTGAATACCCTTTATTTCCTTCTCCTGCCTGATTGCCCTAGCCGGAACTTCCAACACTATGTTGAATAGGAGTGGTGAGAGAGGACATCCCTGTCTTGTGCCAGTTTTCAAAGGGAATGCTTCCAGTTTTTGCCCACTCAGTATGATATTGGCTGTGGGTTTGTCATTGATAGCTCTTATTATTTTGAGATATGTCCCATCAATACTTAATTTATTGAGAGTTTTTTAGCATGAAGTGTTGTTGAATTTTGTCAAAGGCCTTTTCTGCATCTTTTGAGATAATCATGTGGTTTTTGTTGTTGGTTCTGTGTATATGCTGGATTACGTTTATTGATTTGTGTATGTTGAACCAGCCTTGCATCACAGGGATGAAGCCCACTTGATCATGGTGGATAAGCTTTTTGATGTGCTGCTGGATTCAGTTTGCCAGTATTTTATTGAGGATTTTTGCATCGATGTTCATCAGGGATATTGGTGTAAAATTCTCTTTTTTTTGTTGTGTCTCTGCCAGGCTTTGGTATCAAGATGATGCTGGCCTCATAAAATGAGTTAGGGAGGATTCCCTCTTTTTCTATTGATTGGAATAGTTTCAGAAGGAATGGTATCAGCTCCTCCTTGTACCTCTGGCAGAATTCGGCTGTGAATCCATCTGGTCCTAGACTTTTTTTGGTTGGTAAGCTATTAATGATTGTCTCAATTTCAGAGCCTGTTATTGGTCTATTCAGAGATTCTACTTCTTCCTGGTTTAGTCTTGAGAGGGTGTATGTGTCCAGGAATTTATCCATTTCTTCTAGATTTTCAAATTTATTTGCGTAGACGTGTTTATAGTATTTTCTGATGGTAGTTTGTATTTCTGTGGGATCGGTGGTGATATCCCCTTTATCATTTTTTATTGTGTCTGTTTGATTCTTCTCTCTTTTGTTCTTTATTGGTCTTGCTAGCAGTCTTTCAATTTTGTTGATCTTCTCAAAAAACCAGCTCCTGGATTCATTGATTTTTTGAAGGGTTTTTTGTGTCTCTATCTCCTTCAGTTCTGCTCTGATCTTATTTATTTCTTGCCTTCTGCTAGCTTTTGAATGTGTTTGCTCTTGCTTCTCTACTTCTTTTAATTGTGATGTTAGGGTGTCAATTTTAGATCTTTCCTGCTTTCTCTTGTGGGCATTTAGTGCTATAAATTTCCCTCTACACAATGATTTAAATGTGTCCCAGAGATTCTGGTATGTTGTGTCTTTGTTCTCATTGGTTTCAAAGAACATCTTTATTTCTGCCTTCATTTCGTTATGTACACAGTAGTCATTCAGGAGCAGGTTGTTCAGTTTCCATATAGTTGAGTGGTTTTGAGGGAGTTTCTTAATCCTGAGCTCTAGTTTGATTGCACTGTGGTCTGAGAGACAGTTTGTTACAATTTCTGTTCTTTTACATTTGCTGAGGAGTGCTTTACTTCCAACTATGTGGTCAATTTTGGAATAAGTGTGTTGTGGTACTGAGAAGAATGTATATTCTGTTGATTTGGGGTAGAGAGTTCTGTAGATATCTATTAGGTCCACTTGGTGCAAAGCTGAGTTCAATTCCTGGATATCCTCATTAAGTTTCTGTCTCGTTGATCTGTCTAATGTTGACAGTGGGGTGTTAAAGTCTCCCATTATTATTGTGTGGGAGTCTAAGTCTCTTTGTAGGTCTTTAAGGACTTGCTTTATGAATCTGGGTTCTCCTGTATTGGGTGCATATATATTTAGGATAGTCAGCTCTTCTTGTTGAATTGATCCCTTTACCATTATGTAATGGCCTTGTCTCTTTTGATCTTTGTTGGTTTAAAGTCTGTTTTATCAGAGACTAGGATTGCAACCCCTGCCTTTTTTTGTTTTCCATTTGCTTGGTAGATCTTCCTCCATCCTTTTATTTTGAGCCTATGTGTGTCTCTGCATGTGAGTTGAGTTTCCTGAATACAGCACACTGATGGGTCTTGACTGTTTATCCAATTTGCTAGTCTGTGTCTTTTAATTGGAGCATTTAGCCCATTTACATTTAAGGGTAATATTGTTATGTGTGAATTTGATCATGTCATTATGATGTTAGCTGCTTATTTTGCTCGTTAGTTGATGCAGTTACTTCCTAGCCTCAACAGCCTTTACAACTTGGCATGTGTTTGCAGTGGCTGGTACTGGTTGTTCCTTTCCATGTTTAGTGCTTCCTTCAGGAGCTCTTTTAGGGCAGGCCTGGTGGTGACAAAATCTCTCAGCATTTGCTTGTCTGTAAAGGATTTTATTTCTCCTTCACTTATGAAGCTTAGTTTGGCTGGATATGAAATTCTGGGTTGAAAATTCTTTTCTTTAAGAATGTTGAATATTGGCCCCCACTCTCTCCTGGCTTGTAGCATTTCTGCCAAGAGATCAGCTCTTAGTCTGATGGGCTTCCCTTTGTGGGTAACCCGACCTTTCTCTCTGGCTGCCCTTGATATTTTTTCCCTCATTTCAACTTTGGTGAATCTGAGAATTATTTGTCTTGGAGTTGCTCTTCTCGACGAGTATCTTTGTGGCGTTCTCTGTATTTCCTGAATTTGGATGTTGGCCTGCCTTGCTAGGTTGGGGAAGTTCTCCTGGATAATATCCTGCAGAGTGTTTCCCAACTTGGTTCCATTCTCCCCGTCACTTTCAGGTACACCAATCAGATGTACATTTGGTCTTTTCACTTAGTCCCATATTTCTTGGAGGCTTTGTTCATTTCTTTTTATTATTTTTTTGGAGAATGGAATTCTTAGCTTACTTGGGAGTCAAGAAATGTGGATAAGTGAAGCAAACCAGGCAAAGGACAAAGGGAGAATGATCGGTGCAGTGGACTTGGGGGACACTTACCCCATCTAAAGGAGAGAGCTGCTGTTTCCCTGCTCCTGGGGATTGTGCCTGTGTCGTGTCTCAGAATCAGTGATGCCCAGGCTTCAGATTTTTTCAAGAGAAAGTAGAAGTCTAACTTTTTGGGTGAAATTTCCTGAGTTTTAAATATTACCAACTAATTCAAAATTATTTTAGAGATTTGAGTGACCTAATAAAATATAAGTCAGGTATAGCCTGTGGGTTGCCAGTTTTTGATCCCTGCTTCACTGGAGAGAAGATGAGGTCATCAGGAAGACCCGTAAGAAATGGAGAGATATGAGGGAGTGGGAATACAAAAGTCAGGGAAATTGACAAGAGGGAAGCCTGGTTAACACTGTACAATTCAAAGGGTGGTCTTATTAGATACGGATAGTATAGTGTCCTTGTGTCCATTATGTAGGGTCGCTTGGAATTCGTTGGTAACCTTTGTCAAGTCTCTTCAGAAGAATAGTAGGAGAAAAAACCAAATTGCAGTGGTTTGAGGAATGAGAGAGAGTTGACGCAGTGAAGACAGAGAGTGGAGACTACTCCGAGGGTCGTGTCTAGAAGAAGATAAAAGAAGCTTTTTTTTTTTTTTTTTTTTTTTTTTTTTGTGATACAGAGTTCATTCTGTCACCCAGGCTGGAGTGCAGTGGTGCGATCATGGCTCACTGAAGCCTCGATTTCCCAGTCTGTATTACTCAGGGTTCCCCATACGGACAGAACTAATAGGATACATGTATACTTGAAAGAAAGTTTATTAAGAGGAATCAACTCACACAATCACAAGGTGAAGTCCCACAATAGGCCATCTACAAGCTGAGGAGCTAGGAATCCAGTACTGGCTCAGTCCGAGTCCTAAAACCTCAAAAGTAAGGAAGCCGACAGTGCAGCCTTCAGTCTGTGGCCAAAGGTCCGAGATCCTCTGGCAAATCACTGGTGTAAGTCCAACAGCCCAAAGGCCGAAGAACCTTGAGTCTGATGTCCAAGGGCAGTAATCATCCAGCATGGGGGAAAGATGAAAGCCAGAAGACTCAGAGAGCCAGCTTATCCCACCCTGCCCACCTCGTTCTGGCTGCCTTGGCAGCTGATTGGATGGTGTCCACCCACATCGAGGGTGGGTCTCCCTCTCCCAGGCTAGTGACTCAAATGTTAATCTCCTTTGGCAACACCCTCACAGACACACCCAGAAACAATACTTTACCAGCTATCTAGGTGTCCTTCAATCCAATCAAGCTGACACCTAATATTAGCCATCACATGGGCTCAAGTAACCCTCCAACCTCAGCCTCCCAAGTAGCTGGGACTACAGGTGTGTATCACCATGCCCAGCTAATTTTTGTATTTTTCATAGACATTTGATTTTGCCACATTGCCCGATCTGGTCTCAGACTCCTGGGCTCAAGAGATCCTCCTGCCTCTGCCTCCCAAAATTCTGAGATTACAGGTGTGAGTCACCACACCTGGACAAAAGAAGCTTTTTTTTTGAAGGTCTAGCCAAGGCTGAAGTATATATATATTATAAACATGTTTTATATATGTAACATGTTTATATATAACAAGTATATATATAATAAACATGTTTATAATATATATACTATGTATGTATGTATGTATTATATATGTATATATACATGTCTATGTTTTAATTAAGCAAACTTTAATAATTATATTGTTTCAATTTTCTATAATCTTATTTTTAAAATTCTGTGAAGTATATTTATAAGCTCAGATGAATAAAACTACTCAAGGGGGGAACTTAAAAATGATGGAGGTGAAGTCTGTTAATAGAGTGAGTTTCTAGAGGAGAAGCGAGAAGGTGTGGTGGAAAACAAAGTACGAAATGGAAGATTCTCTGAGATTAGAACGAAGGAACTTAGAAAAGGTATGGCATTGGGCAAACTTACAGCTAATGATGACAGTGGAGGAAGCTGAGGTAATTCTTTTCTAGTTCGTTAGAAAAGCTAAGGTTCATTGATAGTGAGTGGAGTGGGAGTGAAAAGCCTGCTTGAAGAGGGTGGAGAAAGTTTAAAGATACCAGTGAGGGAGATGGGATGAAGATATATATATATAAAATTATATACATATATTATATATATAAAATTATATACATATATTATATATATAAAATTATATACATATATTATATATATAATTGTATATGAATAAAACTACTCTGGGGTAATTATATACATATATTATATATATAATATATAAATATGTATTTATAAAATACTGCTCAGGAGGCTAAATAACCCAGTTGAGACCAGATCCCATACTTGTGTAGTGGCACTGAAGGATTTCACTGTTGCTCTGCAGCATAGGATAGGTGTGAAGAAGGTGGATTTCACTCATTAGTAGTTAGGATTTCAGCCAGAGGGTGTGGAAAAATGGGTAGGTATTCACAGACCCAAGGTTCTGGTGAAGAGGATGGTTGAGGTGATTGAGGTGGAAAATGATACAAGACCAGGAAGGGTGGAATAGCAAGAAAATGGAGAGAGAGGCCCTTTCACCTCTTAGTTCAGGCAATGGACCTTGGGGCATTGTTATTCTGCATGCATCCCTTGGAAGGTTTCACTTACCATTGCCTGGAGCCCATGTTTCTAGTGCAGCAGGTTACTTAGATCTCCCAGTCCTTAGAAGAGGTAGTAAGGCAAATAGCAGTTTTGGTTTCCTGACCCATGGATGAGGCTGAAGTAGTATCCTAAGGGATGATGCAGAACTCCAAGAAATTGTAGGTAAGTTCCAGAGAAGGGAAGTGGACCAAACGCCAATTAGTGAAAAACCAGAGTTGGAATGTTACTACCCTTCATTCAAAATTCTAGTCTCTTCTTGACAAACATACCACCTAATTAATATGGCTGGAAGCGATGGTGAAGGTGCGTCTACACCTCTTAGTCAACCCAGCTATGTCTCACCGGGAAGATGGTAGACGATGACAATATTCTATCAGGAAACATACGCCTTGTGATTTTTATGGCCAAATGCCTTTGCCACCACCAGGTACATCCCTGTAGCACAGGACCAAGTTATATGTGAGAATTCTGCCGAGGAGACGCTGGGGGAACAGGGCTTCCCTAAAGCCCTACCAGAGGCATGGGTATTCTGGCTGCCTTTGGAACATCAGGGAACTGGGGCTCACTTGGAGCTTGAAATGATTCTAGAGTAGTGGTCCTCAAACCTTAACACACATTAGAATCATTTGGAGAGCTTGTTAAAACATAGATTCCCAGACCCTACCCTAGTAAATTAGATTCAGTGGTTCTGGGATAGTGCTCAAGAACTTGTGTTTCTAACAAGCTCCCAGATCTTTCTGGTGTTCTTGGTCTAGGCACTACACCTTCAGCAGCACTGTTTCTATTTGGGAATTGTATTGACTGGGCTCTGGTTCCACATGCCCAATGAAGAAAGTGCTTTAAGTCCGATTTGATGACTTCTCCTGGGGCACTGACTCTATCTTAGAAGTCCCAGGTGTTGCTGCCTTTTGAATAATCTAACACCTCTGCAACCTGCTGTCATTTGAGCCATAAGCCCACAGCAATCTCCAGAAACTATAGAGACTGGCCTTCATCTTGGTCTTTTGTTGTTATCATTGCTTATGAGTTGTACTATGACCATTATCATCCCATTGGTTTTTTTTTTTTTGGTGCTGAAAAAGAAATTTATCAAGATCTTTTTTTTCCAAACTGGAATCAATGTAGAGCCCCCTCTTTCTCACCAGGATTGTGACTTTTGCCTCTAACAACTTCTTAGGGCCCAATATTCTTAAGAAAAGTGTATACTTGCTCTTTAGACAGAGACTTGAGTCCTTGGGGAATGAGTACAACAGATATTTATTTGGTGGGAGTGTATCTGGCTCCCAACCTTGCCAGTTGGTTCCCTGGCCATTTTCTTAAAATAGAAAAATGACACAGCACTGCCAGGACTACATTTGGTCTAATCCAAAGAGTATGTGTCTGAAGGACTCTGCCACAGGAATCTTGGTGATACCAGCCAAGATATCTGAGGTCTAAGGATGGCAAAACCCAGGAACCATCCAGTATTCATGGGGGGATTCCAGCAAAATAGAAGCTGGGATTTGGACATGTCTGGGCAGGTCCACTGACTACATAGGGCAGGCATGCCTGGTGTCTATTTACACAACAGCTTTTGGCTGAAGAAGAATTGTGTGGCTGCTCTGAATGGAAAATGGAATGGGAAGAAGGGAAACATGTTACTCTTAGGACCCAGGTTTTGAAAACTCTAATAAACAAGTTTATTAATTGTATAATATATGCATTGTTTCATATCTGGCAACT
Source organism: Homo sapiens (assembly GCF_000001405.40). Lineage (NCBI taxonomy): Eukaryota > Metazoa > Chordata > Mammalia > Primates > Hominidae > Homo > Homo sapiens. The sequence continues at coordinate 53,490,669 of NC_000005.10, read as the reverse complement.
GCACAATTTATACTCGGATTTTTGAGACAGTTTGGGAATAGTTTATCCTGTTATTATCTTCAGGAGTCTATAGTCCTCCTACAGGAAATTGTATCAAAATTAAAGAAGACTGAGTTAATTTATTGTACTGCCAGGAATTGTGCTGAGAGTGTGAATTGAAGGACAAAAGACACATTTTGTGGCTTTGAAAATTTCAGATGGTGAGTGAATTTTTTCTAAATTTCATGGGAAATAATATATCTAAACGTTTTATTTTGAAAGGTACACTTTTGCCGTACCACCTAGAACTTCATGAAGTTTTATTAAATATTAACATGGATAAAATACTTTAAAAGTACGCTTACCTTCCATTTTAAAAATGGCTTCCGCTTGGGCTTCTGGTCTCGATTGATATATGTTATATGTTGATATATGTTATATGTGAGAATTCTGCCCAGGAGATACTGGGGGAACAGGGCTTCCCTGAAGCCCTAACAGTGGCATGGGTATTCTGGCTGCCTTTGGAGCATCAGAGAACTGGGGCTCACTTATCATTATACAAACTGTCTACTGAAGAAGTTCCTCTACCATTTCTCATTCATTGCATTTTCAAGGTAAGGTTTGATTGATGAGTTATTATACCACCTTTTTTCTTTAATTAATCATAGTTATTATAATATTAGAGGACACTTATTTTCTGACTGTTTTTTAAGTGCCAAGCATGAATCTAAGCACTTAACACATTATATCTCTTTTAATCCTCACAACATTGTAATGAGAGAGAGACTTTCCTTGTTGTGATTATGTAGGTGAGGAAACTGAAGTACATAGGGATTAAATTGCTTGTCAAATAATACATAGCAAGCAGTGGGGAGAATGAGGGTGTTGGGTGTTTGGAGTGTTACAATGAAGGTACTAATCATTCTAAATTGTAAGATGATGATAGAAAGGCTGTTTCTCAGTTTGGGTATGGTTTAGGTGATAGGAATTCTCTCATTGCACATGTGAATTCCCCCAGTAGCCTTGTTAAAGTCACTGGAATTGTTTTCCAGTCTTTTTATCATACAAAATCATTTTTTTAAATGACTCTGATAATTCATTCTTTTCCCAGAGAATGGGGAGAAGCAGTTTGCTGTGCACCTCTCCTTCTTGAGAATGACTTTTTAAAAAAAGCATTAACTTTTTATTTGGATATACGATATTTTCAAACTCATAGGAAAGTTGCAAAGATAAAGATAGTGCTAAAAATACCCTATAACTTTTATTGAGATTCGCTTATTGTTAACATTTTATTCCATTTTCTTTATCATTCATGTACTCCCTCTTTGCATACATGTGAACAAAATAATAAAACCTATATATTTTTTTCTAAGTCATTTAAGAGTAAGTTTTATACATTGTGGCCCCTTTTCCAAAATACTTCAGTGTGTATTTCCTGAGTCAAAGAGTATTCTCTCACATAACCACAACACAGTAATCAAATTTTAGTAGATTTAACATTGATGCAATACTTTAATCTTTGGACAGTATTCTGATTTTATCAACCGGCCCAATATTGTTATTTACAGCATTATTTTCCTTAGGAACAAGATCTGATCAAAGGTCAGGTACTGCATTTAGCTATCCCATTTGAGAATAACTTTAATTAGCCAGACTTTATTTTTGCTATACTTGAGGAATCATATCCCATGTAGTATATAAACATTTTAATTTAAATTAGGCTTCTGACAGATCTTTTATTATTAATTTATATTTTGTAATTCCATTCTATTAATTACACTATATGCATGTGAATTAGACTTTTTTGGGCCATAGTTGAAATTCTAACAATAGTCTAAAGATATTAATCTACTTTTAATTTTAAAAGAGATTTCTATTTTTTTGGTACTAATAAGTGTAATGCTAGGTGACTGGAAAAGTGGAAAACTCCAAGGAGGAAAACGAGATACCGTCCAGTGTTTAAGAGGAATGATTGATGCTGACAAATTTGGAATAAAAATTTTAAATAAATAATCTGGATGTTTTCTAAGGCAAGCTGTTGATTTTATCACTTCCCATTGCCAAGACACACATCGGTGCCTGTTAAATTTGACGTTTTTACTCTGATCGTCAGTGGCAGCTTTAAAGCATCTGTAGCATCCCAGGATCAAGCAACAAATCAACTCCACGAAGGGCTGTGAAACCATATCTGCCCGTTTCCTTTCCCGAGAGCCTCTCTCTAGTGGCAAGCCAGTAGCTAATCTACACCGGAGAAGTTACGACCCTTGTCTTTTGCAGTTAATGGCAGCCTGTTTGTTTTCTGCACCTCTCTTTTCCTTTTGGGGAACACAGGGCTGAAAGGTAACAAGATCCAACAGGGCTCTAATCATTATATAAACTGTCTACTGAAGAGGTCCCTCTACCTCCACCAAATTTCTCATTAGGTGGCCACAGTTGAGAGCCAACAGTCTCTGGCAACAATTTTGAATAACTATTCATATTAAAGAGGCTTTTTACAAAAGGGATAAACTTTTAAGAAGAACTTGGGTCATGGTGTTTGAAAGAAATGATATGTTTATTATTGTTTAGCGATGCTGGTAATATTGACTATACTTTGCTCTTTCCCTCCCACAGTCCTGATACTTCTTTACATCTTGAATTTCTGATATTTTAAATATAATTAGGCTTTGAATATGTAAGTACATAATTGGAATTGGAATTGAATCAGAAACTTGTGTTGATGCTCCAGTTATATATTCCTATGCATTATATTACAGGGACTAGTGAATGATGGCCCAAATGCCAATCTGAGGCTTGCATCTTGTACTTCTTTGATATTTTTAATATATTTAGGCTTTGAGTATGTAGCACACAATGAATTGGAAACTTATGTTTATGATCTAGTTATGTATTCCTATGTATTACAGGGACCATTGACTGATGTCCTAAACACCATTCTGAAGCTCTAATAGTGTCTAGTGTAAACTGTGAAATATTGATACACTTCCTCTTACAATGAGTGACATTATTTGATCCCTAACCATGGACATCATTGTGGAAATTCACCTCCACCCCATCCTCACCTCATCAAGTCCCTAGCATTCCAACACTATAATGTCTACTTCTGCAGCTGATATTCTGATTTCTAGAATGTGTTTGTCAAATATTATATCTGTTGTCAGCTTTCCTTGTGATGTGTGTTGTTTTTTAAAAGACTGAAACTGCACTGGATTTATGGGAAAGTAAGATGAAGCGTGTCCCTGGCTATGGTGATGAGCTTGCAACAAGGACAGCTAAAACGATGGTGTTTTTAAAGAGGAAATATTAGCCTTGGCATATTGCAGGAAAGAACCCACATCTACAGTCTGTTCCTTCTGTGGTTAGTGACAGGTATATGCCACTCCTACAGTGGGGTTGCTGGACCTCAGATCCCTTTATCTTTCAAACTCCAGTGAAGTGATCTGTACTGCCCTGGCCATGTAATTTCAGAGATAGCTACATTCCTCAGCAAAGGTATCATACACATTTTTACTCAAAAGTCCAAATAACTTCTTTGCATCATCAGGAATTGAAACCATTGGCTTTTTAAAATTTTTTTATTTTTTCACTCATCATTTATTTACAAATACACATTATAACTTTTATATACATTGCACATTTACATGGTAGAAAAGTACAAAACTATATATTTAAATGAATTTATATTTTAACTTGCCATGTTTGAAAATATAAAATTGCATCAGAAAAAAGTATTATGAAAAGCAAGAAACTTGAACTGATAAAGCTTTGATATAACTTTTAGTGATATACTGGTTGAAAAAGAACTAATTTAAAAGGTACAGCTGAGTAGCTTAAAGGAAACACCTAACAAAAGGTTGAATGTGTAGCCTTCAACATCCTTTAGTCTCCTGACACCCACATCATTTCTTTGTATCTGTAACATCTTAAAAGTACATTACTAGAATTCTAATCATCTCCTCTCTCACAAATGTCTTCATCATAACAAAAGAACTGAAGTAGGAGTTTCCTCAAAGATGCTTATCTTCTGTACCTTGTATTTGAGTCAGAGTTATAATGCCTTTTGGTCAGTCAAGGTTCCTTGTAAACAAAACCCGAGGGATCATGTATGTACAGATCAGGCAGCAGAGAATCCAATAAATAAACATGACAGAAACTGACATGCAAGTTTGTTGAAAGTGGAAAAGAGTCTAACAGTGAAATGAAGGGAGACAGATGAGTGAGTGAATAGTAAGGAATGGACTTAAATGGTTTACAAGGAAAAAAAGCTTTTACTTTACAAGCAAGAGACCTCACAATAAATAACAACTGCTCTTCCTTTCACGAATAAATTTCTTCAAAAACAAGGTATACAGTCAACCAGACATTTTATGTATAAATTATAAAACATGACACAGTATAAATAAATGTCTACAAGTCTCAACTATGGGCCTCATCCAGTAGACCTCACAATGAATGCCTCTCCGTGTCCAATGAGTAACAAGGTGGCCTGGGAGAGAGCTTTAGGACAAAGGTCCTTTAATGTATAGTTTTCCCCCCAAATAAATAAGCATACACTTATTTACAGTATGGACAATATATTTTTCTTTTTTTCTTTTTCTTTTTTTTTTTTTTTTTTTTTGCACAAAGGCTATGTCAACACTGAACACTTATAGAGAGTTTACCACTCTAGAATAGAAGATATAGGAAAGCTGTAGTCCTGGTCTTCATCTTCCTCCTCTTCCTCGGTGTCTTCCGAAATGGCTAGATGGGGGAATACAGGGGAGCTGTTGTTTAAATACGGACAACAACAGCGCAGAAGCAGCTCAGTGTATGTTTTCAAAGCCCTCTGATACAGCCATATTACAGCGTTGCATTTTTATGTGACTTGCAGTGAGATGCTTTTTTTGTTTTTGGCATCTGCTGTTATGCAATAAGTTAAAAAAATTTTTTTAAAGCATAATCTATGAAGTCAAAAACTGCAGAAAGTTCTGAAGAATCAATGGCTCAGGTTTTACGGGCAGATTCCTGAAATTAGATAAAAAGCGCTCTTGTGTTCTAGGTATAACTGCTTTGGGTCCTTAATTCAGAGTTAGTAGAGGCAACTGCAAAAAGCAGCAGCCCATGTGTGATAATATGAAGCTGTCGTTGGAAAAAAAAAAAAAAAACTTTTGAAGCAGTTAGTTTAGACTCAAATGTTAATAAAGCAAACAGCAAAGCACACTACCAAAACACAAGAAATAGGGGAAAACAACTGGAAATAGATTTCTAGAGGCAACCCCATTGATGATCACCAGATAAGTCCTAAAAGCCAAGAAACATCGCAGAGAATTTTCTGTGGATTATTGAATTGCTGGTGATACTTAGCAGCTACCTAATTTGAACAGAAATGGATTTATGGGAGATCTGCGTGCTTTGTAAGTGTCCATTCCCTAGGGATTGCCTGGGAAAGCCTTAAATGGCAGCAAGGTTAAAAATCGCACTTACAGTTGCAAGATCCGGAGTGCTTTACTTCCAGTAGCACACCTGAGGAGCAGGCAGCTTCCTTCATGGCACACTCGCTGGCATAAGTGGCATTGTCACTGGCACAGACAGGCTCATCCGACTTACTGTCAGGGCACAGCTCATCACAGAGGGAACACCGGCCTCTCCCAACCTTGAAATCCCATAAACATTTTTTCCCACCAGTGCACTGGATATCTTCACAGGACTTTGCTTCTAGGATATAATACATCTGTGATGAGTAAACTGATTTCCCCATATCCCCCTTTTCTCCCTTTCTCTAGTCCTCTATCAATAAATATAAACATAATTTATTTTATATAAACATAATAGTAATAGCCTATTACTAATGGGGGTAATGGAGATATTATGCAAAAATGCTGGATAATAAAACTGAAACTCAAATGCACACACACATACACACGCACAAAACCCCTGCAGTTTCTTACATACTACATTAGTGCATTAAAAGGGTATTTTTTTAAGAACAGGATTTTACAATATTCTCAAGTTAAATATGTATCTTATTATTTCCCACAAGTGGGATCTTTTACAAAAGAAAGAATTCCATTAATTACTAGAATCTGACAACAGATTTCTGGAACTGCTAAGTAATTATTTTTCGCTTCCAGCAAGTCTGGCACTTAAAAAAATGTGTAAAATTGAGTAAGTTCTAAGTTTTCTAAGACGGAATACTGTTCCTTGCTTCCTGCTGGCATTTGAATATATGTGTCAATGCCTCCAGAAGACAATGGTTTCCATGAGGAATACTGTGGTCACAACACTTTCCCCAAATTGCAGCGTATTTCTCCCTATGGTGTTTGGGGACGCCTTGGGCTTTACTTATTAGTTAACCCCACAGTTTAATAATAGAACTAGCCTGTTTTCTCTTTTTCCTTCCTCAATCCAGAATACCTACTGATACACTTTCCCTCATAGGCTAATCCAATAGATCTGCCCAGCAGGCAGGTAGCCTTTCTCAGGTGGCAGGCACTGGAGTAGGTGACTCCATCATTCCCACAGAGATATTGCTCAGAGGAAGCAGGCTCTGGGCAAATCCGATTACAGGTCACACAGTAGGCATTATTGGTCTGGTCCACCACACATGTGGAGCTGCCTGGACAGAAAACATCCCGACAAGTCTCTGGAACAAAGAAGGAAACACACATGAATAGGTACCTTCTAGTCCTTAGGGAGTGAGCACTTGAAGTTACCAAGGAAATCATGACACTGAAGCATCCAGCTTTCAAAAGGCACTTAGGGAGCCCTGTAGTTTTCAAGAGAGAATCTATGACTAGGTTGGTCCCCTCAGTGTTCTTAATGAATCTCTAGAGGTTAGAAAAGGACTCCTTTATTTGGTTTCAGTATTACTATTATCAGGCTCTTACTGCGGACTACACCATCCCCCAAGGGTCTTCTAGAGGGTCTACTTTAGGTACAAAGCTGGAGGAGGGGACAGATCCAGTCTTGCTCAACAGGGTAGGACCTACTTTTACATCTGCCTTGGTACTGGACTTCCAGTTCTGGCTGCTCTTTACATCTTGCCTTTAGGAGTGCACATTCATTGCGGTAGGTTTTCCCATCCAGCCCGCAGACTGGACCCTTCCAGGTGATGTTGGAACAATCCGGGGCGCAGACGCAGCGGGGTTTGTTCTTCTTGTTCATTCGGCATTTTTTCCCAGGTCCACAGTCCACGTTCTCACACGTTTCTGTGAGTTAGAAACAGGCATGGATTAAAACCAGAGCCAGGCAGTCTGCAGGTCAGCCAGGAGGGCTTCGGGTGCCTTGCGCAATCATGCAGCCCTGAGTTTGCGCTGGAGGGGCCCCAGGCTCTCTCCTGGAATATTGGGAGTTGGTGAAAGAGTGTGGACCTTGGGCTGTGCCCCACACCCAGATCTCTCTCATTAAGGAGCACAGGTTGGTGGGTTTCACCACCACACTTGGCTAAGAAGTCTGGCGTGTATTCCCTACAGCCTGTAACAGGCAGAATTAGAGTCTGCACGGCTTACCAGGGCAAGGGACAGGAAGGGGAAGCCCAGGAACAAAGCTCTCCTACTCCCAAACCCCAGTCAGGTAGTGGGGAAGCTAAGGGTAAGACGCCCTCTACTGAGGGCCTGCAAGTTGGGAAGAAGGAGTCCTACCTTTACAGGGGATGCAGTTGGGGGCGCCCCCGTTGAAAATCATCCACTTGAAGAGTGTGTTGTCATTCACGTCCTCCTCGGTCCACGAGGTGCTCAGCCGGCCGGTGCTGCAGCACTCCTCCTTGCTCAGTTCGGTCTTGTACAGGACCTGGCAGCGGCCGTTCTTCGCTTGACGGAGCCAGCAGTTCCCAGCTGTGAAGAGACAAGGGTGGGGAGGTGGGTGAGTGAGCAGTGAGCGGTGGCAGGGCAGGGAGAGCGAGGTGGCTAGCGAAGGAGACCCGGCGGGGATGGGGAGGGGGTGAGCGTGGAGGAGGGGAAGTGAGAGAGACGCGGGAGAAAAGTAGGAAATAAATCGAAAGGGGTGGAGGGGTGGAAAAAGAAGGCAGTGGAGGGGGAAGCCCTGATCACAGAGATGGGAGGTGGGCGAGAGGGAGGGAGGGAGAGAGGGAGAAGACAGGGCGCCCCAGCCATATCAATGTCAGTTACCAGTGACCCAGACACAACACGTGCAGCTTGCATTGACTTTTACTAGACTGTTTACTTTTATTCGTCCCATTTCATAACCTGCAGAGACTCGAAGAGCAGATTAAAGAACCTGACAAAAACAGGATGCGACGGATGTTTTTACATGCTGGTTTCATGTAGGCGGGTACAGGAATTATTTGTGACAGGGGTTAAGAAAGTAAGAGAACGAGAGAGAGGAGAGAGGAGAGATGGAGGGGAGAGAGAGGGAGAAGGAAAGAGAAAGAAAGAAAGAAAAGAAAGAAGAGAAAGAAAGAAAAGAAAGAGAAAGAAAGAAAAAAAGGAAGAAAGAAAGAGAGAGAGGAAGAAAGAAAAGAAAGAGAGAGAGAGAGAAACAGATCAAGCAAAAGGCACTTCTGAAAAATGAAAGCAAAAAAGCAACCCGGCCCAGCCCGGAGCTACCCCGCGCGGCCTCCAGGCGCAGCCAGCCCGACGGGCCCGTTTTGCAATCCGCCAGACCGGAGCACGCCCGCGGCCACCGCGATCTTTCGAAATCTCCGAGGGCTGCTTTCCTCCGCGCCCACGTCCGGGCACCAGGCAGAGCCTCTCCTCTAAAGGCGGGCAACCCAGCGCAGTGCCATGCAGACGGCGAGGGGCAGTGCCCAGGAGGGCAGTTTACAACATACTTAAAATGTTAACGCTGAAGCAGGGAAAGTAATGCCTTAAGGTGGGGGGAGGGGGGAGTCTTCCTACCATTTCACGGTTATAAGTACCTATCTCATACCTAGCAAGAAATATTTGCAAGTGATTTCTCCCTCTTCCCCCTTTTTAATGTTCGGATTTGGGTCGAGAAGACTTCTCATGAATCACCAATATGACTTTAACAATCATTGGATCGCAAGCTGCTATTATTATTTTAAACATTCTGCCCAAAGACTAATTGAAATAAACAAATCTATTTTTAAAAGGCAAGCTTCAGAAATTTGCTCTTAACCCATTTCAGAATTTAAGTCAGTTATGGGCTGCTCACTGTTTTACAGAAAGCTAAGGGTCAGAAAGAAGAATGAGGCAGAGGGGAAAAAAACTGTAAAGTGCTCAAAGCACTTTGGGGTAATAATTTGGCTTTTTTTTTTTTTTTTTTTTTTTTGCGAGAATGGGGGATGGGGTTGGAAGAAGCATCCACTAGGCAGAAAGCTACTTCCCTTGAAAATCTTCAGCACCCACATTTCCAAGTTTGGGCAAAGTTTCTGAAACCACGTCCCCCAGCCACCAAATAAAATTCAGTATCTCTCCCCCAAACCCCCAGGTTTTCTTTTCTTTCTTTCCTTTTTTTTTTTTAAGTATCCAAAAGATGTGGGAGGGAGAGAGATGAGACTGCAAATGGGTCGACTGAAATCTCCAGGCTACTACTGATACTTGTTCCCTTCTTCAGAGCCAAACAGAGGAGATCACATCTAAAGTTATCATGGCCAGAACTTGGAGCATTTAACCCTAACTACTAAGACCCCAGCTCGCTCCCTTTCCTTTTTCAAGATAACCGAGCTCCAAACTCAGTTCCCAGTCCTAAAGTGTCATTGCCTACAATTTTCCCACTCCTCTCCATCCCGGAGTCCCCAAGTTGGTTCAACATCTTCCGAGAGCAGCGTTGCTCAGAACAGACCAAGTGGAGACCACAGAAAAGTCGACCCCCCTGTCCTCAGCCAAGCCTCCCCAGCGCATCCCCACTCGCTTACCCTGGGCACTGCGGTCCTCCATGAACTGGCAGAGCAGCAGCAGCAGGAGGCAAAGCCCACCCGGCTGGTGCCTCGCGCGGACCATCCTGGGGGCAGGCGCGGGGCGAGGAGCGCAGCGGCGCGGGGAGCCGGCGCGGCGGCGGGTGGCTCGGGCGAGCGGCGCGCGTCGCAGAGGCCAGCGGCGGAGGGCGCAGCGATCCCGGCGCAGCCCCGCGCTCGCCGCCGGCCGCCCGCGCGATTCAATGGACGTCAGAAGCCGGGCGCAGCCGCGCTTTAAATCTAGACGGGGGTCTCCGCGGTTTGCGGTGGGCGGTCTCCCAGTGTGTGGGGCTGTGGGAGGGCGGCCGCGAGCGAGGGTGTGCGCGGCTCCTTGGGGGTGGGGAGCTTTCAAAAGTTCAGTGTGAATCAGGTGACATTTCCCACCTTCTGGAAACCCTTCCCAATTATCTTTCGGAGGTGCCCGAAATCAAAACGGCTGGAAGGGAATCGTCGAGTTCTTATTTGCGTAGGAGCGAGAGGGAGGGGGAAGGCGACCGGGGCGGGGGTTGGGGGCTACGCGTCGGGGGTGGGGAGTGGGGAAGAACACCCACTTCAAGTCCTGCTCGCCGCCGCTCGCCGGCAGCGCCGGCGCGCCCGGGGTGGCGGGTGTGTGTGTGAGTGTGTGTGTGAGTGTGTGTGCGCGCGCGCGCGAGTGTGAGAGGGAGGGCGCGGTGGGGGCGCTGGAGGCGGTGGCGGGGGGAACCCGGGAGTTTGTCTCCGTGCTGCCTCTCCTCCGCTCCAAAGAGACTTTTGCAAACGGCCGAAGAGCCCCGGGCTGCCCAAATATCCCGCCCCGGGTCGGGTCGGAGCGCGCCGGCCTCGCGGCGGTTCCGGGCACCCGCAGCCTGGGCGCGGGACCCGCGAGGTTTTGTGTCTGGGTCTGTGAGTGCCTGACTTTGCAGCCACCCCCAGCCCAGAGGTGTTGCTAGGAACCCCGGCCCCGGCACCTTCCACCCTGGCAGAGCGCTACCGAGACGCGGCCCTTCGTCTGGACTAGTCGGAAGCAAACAAAAATGTTTAACACCTCAGGCCCGGTCTCCCCGCGGCACAGCCTCGCCCTCTCCCTTTCTTTTCTCCCCTTTCACTTCGCGGCGTCTGGAGTCGGAGCCCGGAGCGGGGGCGCCGACGTAGGCGGTCTGGCCCCCCCTTCCTCTCCCGCCTGGAGACTCCCCAGTTTCTGTCCTGTGTGCCTCTGTCTGTCTCTCAGTCTCCTCGGCTCCAATCTCTCTCTCTTTCTGTCTCGTCTTCTCTCTTTTCGCGGAATAAAAAAGATTGCAACATCCATAATGAACTTCTGTAGCCTCAGTTTATTAAGTACAGTGCCTGGCATTCTTCGCTGAAAGTTGGCGGGTCTCTCATTTATAACATTTTTGGCACCGCTGAATGAAACTGAGGAGGCGATATTTCCTTTTATATAAAACGATTACTTCACGGAAAATGCTATATTGTTTATTCCAAAGCTGCCTTTTAAATTTGTTCTTTTCGCATCTGAAGCCCGAAGGACAACAGATAGCGAAGTATGCAGACAAAATTCTTGGACATTCGCAGGTCACTGGGATTTGTTCTACGAATTTCAAATCTGCCCTTCTTCCCCCCCTGCAACTGCCCTCCCCCCGCCAGACCCTCCCCCAGTCCTCCTCTAGCCCTCCCACCCCCCATCTTCCGTCAACCTTCCCCCCTCCACAACTGCAAATAACTCAGTGATAACAGATTTTTTTCCACCAACTGCAGGAGATAGTGCTAATCTTTTAATAAAAGATCCCATTACAATGGGATCTGTCTGGACAGACTATAATAGATCCCGAAATACAGCCGTGCTAATATTAGAAGACAGTTGTTTGGGTGCCTCTCAGACGGGCCCAAGCCCCCCTTTGAAAGTGGGCATGAATCACAAAGCCCCGCGGCCGCCGCACCTGCACCGCGCGCATTCGGTGCAGCAGGCTGGTAAAAGCGGGTGACCTCGCCGCCGCTTTTCGCTTTATAATTACCGTCATGAGGACGGGAGGGGAGGGGCTCGGGCGGCCCGGGGGAGACTGGATTTTGCTCACTTCAGACGGCTGTGGGGGCTCCACATCCTTCTTAATCTTTCCAGAATCATTCTGTCTGTTTCTGTCTCGCTGTCTCTCTCCCCTTCTCCCTTTCCCTCCAGTCCTCCAACTCATTCCCTCTGCTCTCTTTCCCCTACTCCTTCCCCTCTTCTCTCCTTCCCTCCCTCTACCCAGACTCTACCCGTACTCTCCCTCCCTTTTCTCCCTCTCTTTCTTTTCCAGTCTCCTTTTCTCTCTTCCCTCCAACTCATTAATGTAGAGTTGTTTAGTGCCCTCTAATGGCAGACGACATTAACAATTAATAGCAAACTGTCCCCTTTGCAGGAGCCGCCACTCAATGGCAGAGTTCCAAAGCTGAATTTATTTCTTCTTTATTCAGAGAAATGGTATAGTCCTTATACAATGATGTGCTGGAGGGAAAGTTTGTTTTCTCTGCTTAAAGGTTCCCCCACCCCTGCCCAGGGATAAGTTAAAGGAAAGAGAAGCTAACAAGTATTGTTACTTGACTTTTCCCCCTACCCTGTCTTTTAATGGCAGCAAGAGACACAGCTTCTTTTTAAGGTAGAGGTATCAAACCGTATATCCAAGGTTGAAAAATAAACATTCCAAATGCATAAAAGATCTCAGATGGTAAGTAACTGGATCTTACAGCAATGCTATCAATGATCATACATAATTACATGATTTTATATTTGTCTCCAGTTTAAATATATTTATTGGTCCTGAATTGGCCAGTAGCCTCTGGAAACTGGGGTCTTTTTCTTAGACTTTCCACCCTAGGACTATACAAAATATTTAAATTTTACTTATATGCCTAGTTGTATATGAAGTCATCTTGCCTGGAGAAATATAGAATCACGTTTTAATCCATATTTATTTTCTCAATATCTTTGGGAAGATTGTTTTAAAGTTCATAATCTCATCATATTTTATAACCGTATAGCAAGGAGAATAGTGATATAACTTGTATGTTCTTATTAGATTTTAATTTTGTTCATTCCTATATGTACATATAACATGTTGATGTAAAAGGGTCATACAAGTATACACAAAGATTACCTTTTTGGGGGAAGGTCTGTGTAGCTAAATGAAGATTAGAATAGAAGCAATTTGGAGGGGCTAGTCAAAAAATTTTCCATGTTTGAGCAAAACTATTTAGTTTGTCCAGATACTTATTTTAGTTTATGTATATAGAAACAACTGATGTCACAAAAACTTTCTAAATTAATTTAAGTTGTATCCTCACAATTCCAGTATGATTGGGTAAAAGTAAAAATTTCATTTCTATTTCATTTTTTGTCTATGTAATGCCAAATGCTCAGACCAGTCATTTGACTAAATTGACTGCCTTGACTAGTTGTTTTGGCATCATGTAATTGTCTTGGCTAAGCCAAAGCAGACACAGTAGCTCTCATTGTAAAAAATGGCACCACAAATAGGAGTCCCTCAGTACCAGAGGGTGACCCAACACAGGATTACTTCTCGTCCCAGAGAAGGTGACCCTGCAGGTCAGGGTTGAGGTCACTGGCAAACACACTGTGGAAAACATAAGTGCTGTGTTGCTTTTGCCCTTTTGAATAAGCAGCTTGGTGTTTGTTTAGTGATACAAGCTCATCCTGTTTTTCAGCTGCACCTTGGATAGTATTGATCTGTTTGGGAGAATGTCTGCTCCAAATCAGCACAGATCAGTCACCATGACTCTTGCCATCTAGGGTTATTTTCAGATCATAACTGAGGAAATGAGACACAGGTCAATACTGGTTCCTTATAGGCTTTCTGTGGGCATCAGCAAGAGATCCATCCCATTTCTGTGGTATGAAATGGTACCACACCTGTTCAGTGACATCACAGAAAAACAGCTGCTATTTCTTTTACTGTTATATCGCCTGTAAATGTTAAATATTGGGTTTGTAGATATCTAAATGTCAAGGGGACATTTTAAAATAAAAATGTCGCCTTTCATTTTTGTTGTATGCCTCCAAGTTTGACTTCTTATTTTTCCTTTCTGCTCTGCCAAATAAAAATGTAAATTATGAGAAACACAATAGGACCACTTTGTAGCTGAATTTCTGGGCAGCACACAAAAAGACTACTGTTTTCTGATTGGTCTTTTGTCAGCTTCAAAAGCTGTCTTCCTTCTGAAGTTTATAAATTTAAAATATTAGAGTTTAGCAAATGATTCAATCTAACTCCCTAGATAGCTATTTAAACTCATATGACATTGTTATTTGAGACCAGAACTGACCTGGTTAAATTTCAGTACCTAAAAAGAGAATATGGAGGGAGTGGGGTGAGGTTATGTAGAGACTATTTGAAAGTCATGAACTGAGTAGCTTTTTTTTTTTTTTTGCCTTAAGATTAAATGTCAAGCTTTTTTTGAAGTTAGGTGTTTTGCAAAATGAATACATTTTCAAGTGCAAATAATCAATCTTGATTAAACAACAAAAGTTAAGCATTTGAAAAATAGGCTAAAATGATTTTAAAATCAGATTTTATTCTAGGTACAAAACAGTTACTTAATGTGTCATAGTCTTTGGCATTATGCAACTTCATAGGCTAGCATAAGGATTTGAGTAGGGGGATGGGGGCAGTAGTTCTGTATTGGTTGAATCATTACAGAACTAAAAAGTTAAGAAATGTGAGTACGTAGAAGCAATGTTTACCCAAGATATCCAAACTACCGGTCAATTAAGGTTTTAAAAAATCATTAGAAAAATATGTTTTATGTAATATATATATATATATATATATATAACTGAGAAAACAACGGATTACTTGAACTTTTCTCTTTTCAGTGTTGCTTTGGTGTTATACAGAGCTGATCAATCATGGATAGCTCTTCCTTTTTGATACTACTTGTTTCTGTGTAACATTTTTATTGCCTTGCTTTCCCCTTTAATTTTAGAAATATTTTTGGGTTTCCAGAAGTCAGCTAAGCTAGTTGTCACATAGTCACTTAAACTAGCCATATTAATATATTCAAGTTCAACATAATTAAGTAGTTAAAATAAATCTTAGTAAATAATTCAAATTATGCCTTAGAATGGGGATGTTACATTGGATTAATAGAAAATTCTAAAGTATTTTAGGTCGCTTTGACAACATAAATGATTCATATATTTGGATATGACTGAAAATATCTGTGTGTGACCTTTAGCACTTTTAACCCTGATTCCATTTACACTTTCAACTGCATAGAAGGTGTGAGGAGGGCAAACTAGGATTTGCTGTTCAGTTTCCCCTACTTTATGTTGGAAACAACGTGTCAATCAAAGTAAGAGCCACCTTCCTGGATTATTCATTGGCTGAAGGTGAGTAGCATGCTGTAGTTACTTTGGTATGTTTTATTTTCTGGTCCCTTATTTTAGCTTTCCATAGAGTAGCAGTGGTTTGCACACTTAATAACTAGTTCTTCTCTAGGTATTTGCCTATTTAATATTACCATCAGTAGTTGATACAATTGCTGTTTGATCATCCATCATATTGTCACCCCACTTTTTAATTTGACATGAATCCTGTCTCATTTCTGATGCTGAATGGTAAATTAAGAAGTGAGATACTGTTGCCAGGCG
Organism: Homo sapiens; assembly: GCF_000001405.40. Classification (NCBI taxonomy): domain Eukaryota; kingdom Metazoa; phylum Chordata; class Mammalia; order Primates; family Hominidae; genus Homo; species Homo sapiens. The sequence continues at coordinate 53,475,217 of NC_000005.10, read as the reverse complement.
AGATGTCAGAGGCCTGGCATTGAAAAGTGGTCAACCTGTGGGTTGGTAAGAAGAATTTACTGATGACAGTGTAGGTTTGAAAAAGGATAGTTTTATTAGAAAGAAAGAATGCTGCAGAAGAAGTGCAGCAGAGCCTCTCAGCAAGAGAGGACCCAGAGTGTTTTGGTAGATTTTTCCTTAGGGGTATTTATGGACCTTAAAGCAGGAGCTTAAGAGTAATTTGGACCACATTAGCCATGTAGGTCATGTTAAACAATAACGTTTGTAGATACCTTGGTGCCTTAATGTCAGCAAGGGTTGCACAATGAGTTTCAATATGCATACAAGTTACTTAACAAATTTTTGGGAGGGAAACCTGGAACCATATGCCTGGTTTAGATAATGGGAAAGTCGAATTACTTCTGAATCCCTCAGATAAGGAATTTTGTCTCTGGATGGCCTGCTTGATAGTCACCAGGTGATCTTTGCTATCCTCAATTATGTTTACAGTAAATTCAAATTTTACAAGTTAGTAGAACATGATTTTGAATATCCTATTTCATCATCTTGTAGAATTTTCAGTTAGTCTTGGAAGCAGAGAGTGAGTCTTACCATACACTGAATCTGCTGGCACCTTGATCTTGGACTTCCTAGCCTCCAGAATCATGAGCAATATATTTCTGTTGTTTATAAAATTATCAAATCTAAGATATTTTGTTATAGCAGCAGCATGAGCTAAGACAGTCATTGTTCCTCAACGGGGAATTCATTCCAAATCAATTTTGCACTTTTCCTTTGCACCTTTGTAAAAAATCAAAGAGCTTCGTAAGTGTGTATCTATTTCTGGGCTCTCTCTTATGTTCCGTTGATCTATTTGTTGATTCTATGCTGGTACCACACTATCATGATTAATGTGACTTTATAGTAAGTCATGAAGACAGGTAGTGTAATTCCTACAACTTTTTCTTTTTTTTCAAGATCACTTTGAATATCCTACTTGTATTTTTATATAACTTTTAGAATCTGTTTGTTGATTTTGCAAAAAAAGCTCGATGGGATTATGATTAGGGTAGATCAATTTGGTGAGAATGACATTTTAACAATATTGAGTCTTCAAAACCAATAACATGGTATGTCTTTGTATTTACATAACTCTTCTTTAGCTTCTCTCAACTGTAGTGTGTGTGTGTGTTTTTTTATTTTGGCTGTCATTGAAAAACATGCTGAAGTAGGATATTATATGTCATTTTAAGCTCTGTGTCTCAAAGGACCTCAATAGGTTATAAAGATTTCCTGGTGTAGGCTGATACTTGTTTTCAGACTTCCCCAAGCTGATTGTCTATGGTCAGTCAAAAAGAGTGTATTGAGCACACTTACCAGGAGTGGTGTGCTGACTCATCAAAATCTCTGGCATGCACTCTTTTGGTGTTTCTTTTAGACCATAGTCACTCCTTTAAATGAATAATCTTCATCACCATGAGATTTACACTCAGTGAGTGTTAAGAATAATTCTCTATTAGTTAGTGTTTTGTTGAGTATTATTTCATCATGTTCATGCAAATAGACTCCTCCTCAAAACTATCCATTATTGTGTTTAAGTTCTGAGAGATGGAAACATGCAGTTTCCATTATGCCAACATTTGGGTGGCAGTTACTTTCTGCCTTTATTCTTTATTGGAGAGTTATGGCATCTTTTCTGTTGTTATTGCTCTCCCTGACCCATTCATCCTCTCTGTAGTTTACTTTCCCCTTATATCTCGTTTTGCATCCACCAGAAGGGCTAGTGCTATACCCTAAACTTGTACCTTTTGTAGCATGTATTGGCTTATTTGGTTTTTCATGTAAATGCCACATTCAAAAGTAAACAATACTTTGTATCGTTTATCCAACAGTACTATTAAATATTTAACAATGGGTTGAGGTCAAATGGTGATGACACAACATGTGGAAATACGGGACAGGTGATGCATTAAGTGTTGAAATAAATTATTTCAACACATGGTGAGACTTGCTATTTTTTGGACTAAACATATATATACACACACATGTATAATGAGAACTACTAGATGAATTACTTAAAGGCAGTCTTGGTCAATGTGTGCTTAATGTCCCATAAATAGTCACTTTTTAGCAATATAAAATCATGAGTATATATACAGGAAGTTCATTTATTTGGTTTTTCAATACATTAAATAAATGATTCTCTTGAACTGGTCTCAGTGCAGTTTCCTTGCAAATAAAGATATGAAAATCGTCAACAGGAAACATGTGTTAATGGCTCACATGCTGGGCAGATGGAAACATAGTGTAGAAGAACCATTTAGTTGAGATCATTTTGGCCCCAATACTTCTAATTTTTGCTTTAGCAGAAAACATTGCTTTGGCCAGCCAGATGACACAACAATCACACTGTCAACATTTTCATTTTTGCCAGAGCACCAGATTTCCTGAATAAAACCATTAGGCAGTATTCTTAACTTTTTCTTGTTCCCAGTCCCCTTGAGAAGCTATTGAAAGATATGGACCATCTCCCCAGAATAGCAGACAGACACAAACACATACACAGCCACACAAAATGTTGCATTCATTTTAAGGAGGTCACAGGCACTCTGAAATCCATGCATATATCTATTATTTTATTCTTTAATAATAGCTACCATGTTTTAGTGCCCATTCCATGCTAGACATATGAAATACGTCATCTCTATTTTTTTTAACTGCTCTGCCAGGTAAGTGTTATTATCACCACTTCCTAGATCCCTCCAAAAAACAATAGGGCAAGGCTGAGTCAGAAGTACTTTACTGCCTAGCTTCTAGGAAGTGATTGTAATTTAGGCTTCCCAAGGATTAATGAGAAAAAGAAACAGATCTGTAATTACTCCCATATTCTAAGCAACCTAAGATACTTTTAAAGATAATGTTTTTTCTACTGTTATTCATAAAAACTAAAGCTGAAGAACATAAAACATGCAAGCATAAAAAATCAATTACATTTTCTAAATTCTCTGATGAAGATAGAGAAGCAAACAAGACTAATCTAGTTGTGGCTTTCTTGGAGATTTTAGGATGAAAGAGAAGGCAGATATTAAATAAGTAAGTACTATTCAATACATTATGAGGAAGAGGGTCAAGGAAAGCCTTCTTGATGAAGTGACCTTTAGCTGTAATTTTTGGTTGAGGAGGGGTTAGCCAGGAGAAGGCAGTGCTTGTGGAGAGATGGAAGAGTATTTGCAAAGCCCAGGAGGCAAGAAAGGAATCATATGAGGAACCAAAAGTAGTTTAGTAATGACCAAAGCACAGAGTTTGAGAAGGAGAGTGGAAATTGAGGAAAATGAATAAGTGGATGGTCTAGATTATATAAGCTCTTGTAAAATCTTGGGCTTACTGGTATTCCAGAGGAAATCCATGGGAATATTGTAAGTAGAAGGTGGCATAGGTCCCTTTTCACTTAGAAACTCTCTCCCCACTTGAACTGTGGAAATAAATGGGAAGGCATTAAAGGTGGTAAAAGGGTTACCTTCAAGATATAATTATCAGGTAGAATTGATAGATTCTGTTGATTGATTGAATGTGGGCTATAAGGGAAAAGGAGGAAACAAAAATGACTCTTGGGTTTCTGGTATGAATAAATGAATGGATGGTAGTATAGTTTTCTGACATAGGTAATAATGGAGGAAGGACAGGTCTGTTTGAGACTTGGATTCAATGAGCCTGTGGGAGTTAAGAAATTTTGAACGCCCTAAATTGCCAGGGTCACCTTTATCAAGAAATGTTTTGTGGGTAACACAGCTCAGCCTTCCTTGCTGACTCTGGAAACAGCCAGCTTTACCTAGATATGACCAATTACAACCAAGAATACAAGGCACTTTGAAATGAATTGATCAAACAAATAAACAAGAATAGGTGGTTGTTTCACTAATACCCGAGATAACACATGTTCCTTCTTGCACTTCCTAAGCACTAACTTTAAGGGACAGCAGCACTCAAGATATAAAACTTACATGACAACAGGATGAAAGAGGTCTGGCCAGGTGCTGGGTGCAGTGGCTCACACCTGTAATCCCAGCACTTTGGGAGGCCGAGGTGGGCGGATCACGAAGTCAGGAGTTCAAGACCAGCCTGGCCAACATGGTGAAACTCCGTCTCTACTAAAATTACAAAAATTAGCCAGGCATGATGGCACGAACCTGTAATCCCAGCTACTTGGGAGGCTGAAGAAGGAGAATCACTTAAACCTGGGAGGTGGAGGTTGCAGTGAGCCAAGATTGTGCCATTGCACTCCAGCCTGGGCAACAAGAACAAAACTCCATCTAAAAAAAAAGAAAGAGGTCCAAACACTGTCTCATGATACACCACTGTTTCAGAATCTTTGTGTTGTGTAGACCAATCTCAGTCTCCAGAAGGCCACCTAGGATCCAATGCCTGGAGTGAGGGTAAACAGAGTGGAAGATGAGAAATCCATCCCCAGCGATCGCTGACATTTAGTCATACATTAAACAATATTTATTAAGTATGTATAGTATTTATAGAGTGTAATTGAGTACCAAGTGATATGAAAACCATTAGGAAAATGTTTGCTGGGGAACTGACATTTATATGGTTCCAAATAAATCAGATGACTATTGTTTCAAGGGGGAAATCATAACAACGTAGTGGAAGGGTCAGCATGCAAATCCAGTGGTCAATCTTCATATTGCTGTGTTGGAACAACCAGCTATAGCTGCAACCTGATGTGATGGAATGCAAAGAAATACCTTACCTCTGATGAATTTTAGCCACAAATATGTAAATGGAATCTAATAAGATGTTAGCTCTTACTTCCCATTTATAGGAAATTCAGGATGTACCCAATAGAGAAGCAAACAGACAAATCCAGAAGGTGAGTCATTCTACAGAACTGACTTGATATTATCAATAATGGGAGCCTATGGATAAATGCTTCCTCTTTCTTTCTGAAAAAAAATTTGAGGTTTTCTGTGCAGTTGAGCGAGCAGTCACAGTGAAGGTGGCCAGCTCAGTAATGCACCTTTGTATTGGTTCCCTTTCTTTCTTCTCTCCTCCATTTCTCAATATTTTCCCCTGAATCACACACTCCAATCAACAGCTTACATTTGACCTAAGCCCTCCTTTTAGGCTTTGTTTCTGGGGAAACTGCACTAAGTGGAAGTGAAATGCTGCTGATAGGTTTAGGGAACCAATGAGGCCACAAAGTCATGTAGTGTTTTTCATACAACACAGACTTTCTGGATCAGTCAGGACAAAGATTACATGTGTATACCTCTTAAGATTATAGGACAGGAATGACAAATAGGTAAACTTGATCTAATGGGAGCAGAAAAGGATTCTAAAGCTATAATCAATTAATAGTATCTGTGGTAGGCACCATATAAAGGTGTATTATCCACATATGTTTGTCACCTTTAGACTAAAAAGGTGAAGGTGATTGAGGGGAATATAGGAGGTAATTACATACATTACTGGAGGGGGGAAAAAAAGGCCTTCATTTCCAGATGATTTAGACAGATCATTTATGAACCCTAGACAGTGCTCCTAGGCATTTCCCCCATATCCCCATTGAACTCCTCTTTATTCTTCTTCTCCATAACCTTACTGATCTCCAAATGTGCTCCTGCCTCAGAAACTTTACATTTATTGCTTCTTTGACTTGGAAAGCTTTTCCTTTAGGTGCAAGGATGACTTGCTCCTTCACTTCCTTCAGATCTCTGCTCAAATATATGTATCACGGGGGCTATTTAATTACTTTGAAACCTAATCTCTACTGAAAAGGCAGAATAAATGTTTATTTTTTCCCCCTTTACATGTTTTTAAAGTAAGATGTAGGTTGAATGGCTATTTCAAATGATGTTGACAAATGAGGTTTCTGTTGTTTGCTCTTGTTTTTCCTTTCTCAAAGACTGGTTCTCAAAAGATACCAATATGGACTTATGGGTATTCATAGATTTTCAATTAACTGTAACCATTGTTCTTTTATTGCCTAAAGCATTATAATCTTGGCCAGTGGAAGTCCCTTCAAGGTAGCCTCTGTATCTTTTTCACACAATCCTGTTAATCTTGGAAAGTTTGCTTGCTTTTGGTGCAAATTGTCCTAGACTGACCTTATATCTTTGCTGACCCAGGCACAGAATTAGCCTTTCTCCAAGAAGAAGACCTGATTTTTTTTATAACTGGGGAATGGCATTAGAGGTGAAAATCTGGGTGCTGGTGCTAGAGGTACTCCTTGCTACTAGACATTGCTTTTAGGATATTTTAATTGTACAGAGCTAGAAAAATATATTTTTTTAAATCACAAATTTATGTTGATATTTCCAGTTCCATTTCTTTAAAAAGATTACAGCTTTGGCTGGGCGTGGTGGCTCATGCCCGTAATCCCAGTACTTTGGGAGGTGGAGGCAGGCGGATCACCTGAGGTCAGGAGTTCAAGACCAGCCTGGCCAACATGGTGAAACCCTGTATCTACTACAAATACAAAAATTAGCCAGGTGTGGTGGTGCACACCTGTTAATCCCAGCTACTTGGGAAGCTGAAGCTGGAGAATCGCTTGAACCCAGGGGGCAGAAGTTGCAGTGAGACGAGATTGTGCCATTGCACTCCAGCCTGGGCAACAAGAGCATGACTCTGTCTCAAAAACAAACAACAAAAATTTTTTACAGTTTTATTGAGGTGTAATTCAAGTACCATAAAATTCACTTTATTTTTTGAGACAGGGTCTCACTCACCCTGTCACCCAGGCTGGAGTGCAGTGGCATGATCACAGCTCACTGGAGCCTGGACCTCTCGGCTCAAGGAATCCTTCTACCTCAGCCTTCCAAGTGTCTGGGACTACAGGCATGTGCCACCACGCTTGGCTCTTTTTTATTTTTTGTAGTGATGGGTTCTCACTGTGTTGCCCAGGCTGGTCTCAGACTCCTGCAGTCAAGTGATCCTTCTGCCTGGGCCTCCCAAAGTGCTGGGATTATGGTCATGAGCCACTGTGCCCTCCAAAATGTACTTTTGAAGTGTATAATTTAGTGGTTTGTGGTATATTCTCAAAGTTACAACTGTCATCACCAGCTAATTTTAGGACATTTTTATTACCCAGAAAGAAAACCTTTACTCATGTCACTTCCCATTCCTCCTTTCCCCTAACCCCTAGCAACTACTAATCTATTTTCTGTCTGTATGGATTTGCTTATTTTAGACATTTCATATAAATGGAATTATATAGTATGTGACCTTTTGTATGATTTTGCATCTTTCACTTAGCATAATGTTTTCAAGTTTCACCCATATTGCAGCATGTAGTATTGGTACTTCATTTCATAAAAATGGCTGAATAATATACCATTGTATGGATATACAACATTTTGCTTAACTGTTCATCAGTTGATGGACATTTGGGTTCTTTCCACCTTTTGGCTATTGCAACGAATGTTGCTATGAACATTCACATACAAGTTTTTGTGTGAGCATATGTTTTCATTTCTCTTAGGTATACACCTGGGTGTGGAATTGCTGGGTCATATGGTAGCTCCATGTTTATCTTTTTGAGGAACTATCACACTGTTTTCTGAACAGTATTTTGGAAACCATTTGTACCATTTTACATTCCCACTGGTAATATACGAGTGTTCCAGTTTCTCCACAGCCTCTATAACCTTTATTATTAATCATCATTTTAATTATAGCAATCTTAATAGTTGTGAAGTAGTATCTCATTGCATTTTTTTCTTTTTTTTCTTTTTGAAAGTAAATTCTACTTGAAGCTAAAATCATATAAAGAGATTTTATAAGGAAGAAACACAAAGCAGCAACCTGTAAATTTCAGCCTAAAGAAATTCAAATGCACAACCGTGAACTTTGGTACTGATAGACATAAGAGAGGAAAGTGACCCACAGAGCCTGCAGCACAACTTAAGGAATCTGTTTTGCAAGGAAACACATTTCCCAGGTAGGGTGCCAACTCTGTGGTTATAAGAAGGCAGCTCTCCATCAGCACAGAAAGATGGACATCTTGCAACTAAACCATAACAGAGGTGAGGGAGTGGGACACTTATTCACAGCTGAACATCTTTTGCATAAAACATGCTGGGCATAATTCCCTGGGTCTTGCTCTCACCTCCGTGGCTTTTTTTTTTTTTTTTTTTTTCTGGAGTCTCACTCTGTCGCCCAGGCTGGAGTGTAGTGGCGCAATCTCGGCTCATTGCAACCTCCACCTCCCAGGTTCAAGCAATTCTCCACCTCAGCCTCCTGAGTAGCTGAGATTATAAGCACCTGCCATCGCGCCTGGCTAATTTTTGTATTTTTAGTAGAGATGGGGTTTCACCATCTCGGCCAGGCTGGTCTTGAACTCCTGACCTGGTGATCCACCTGCCTCAGCCTCCCAAAGTGCTGGGATTACAGGCGTGAGCCACTGAGCCCAGCCCCTCTGTGTGGTTTTGATCTACATTTTCCAATTGAGTTTTAACTTTATATTAATTTAATTTTTTATCTTATAATTTTTAACTTAGAATTTTACTTTATCATTCTCATGGTGCTGTGAAAATCTCAATTCCTGATATCATTAATAAATCACTTATTTTTTCTATGCTATAAAGGATCTGATTTCAATACCTTGCTTTTTTATGGTATAACAGATTTTAAAACCCTTTAAAAATATTTTCTCTTAGAATTTGGTCTTTAGATTTGTCCTCCTTTGTAGAGAGAACACTCTTTTCAACAGGCTGGATTTGGAAAAGAGAAAAAGAGAATTTACTGAAACAGAAACACGGGAAGGATAATGGTATGTCTTGGTAAGTTTTAAACAAAACAAAAAAAGAAAACCTTTTTTTTCCTCCTGTGTAAAAAGGTAATACGTGTCACTGCAGAATATTTGGAAAATATAATAAAAGAGAAAATTGAAATCATGTGTTTTCTTACCACCCAGAGATAGCCATGATTAATGTTTTGGTGCATATCCATCCAGAGTTTTTTTTTTAAATCTAAGGAGATCACCAATACCAGTCCAACAGGGCAAGCAGCGTCTTACCAGCAGAGATCATGGTATTCTGGAAAATGTAGGAGTTAAAAACACTTTTCACTTTTCAGGATTCCTGCCAACATTCAGGGTCTAGCTTTGAGAAGGAAGGCAGGTAGGAAGTAGACAAAGGTTCAGGGTTCTCAGCCTGCAGATTGAGTTTCAGGAAGGGTTCCAGATCAGGTTGTCAATGAAGATATAGGTGACAGGACGGAAGGTTCCTGGGTCTGGGGAAAGTTACCTGTTGCCAAGCTCTGTAAGAATACAGAGTGGGGTGATGGCTACTGTGTGCTTCCTTTTCCTGTTCGGACTATCTCAGGAAAGGAAGTAGACTTGGTTTCTGCAGATCGAGTGCTACAGAGGCTCCAACCTTGGGTTCTGAGGAAGAGAAAGGCAGGGAACCAAGACAAAGACTAACAATGTGCAGCTTGAAAGTGAGGTCAATTTATTTTCAACTATATTACACATGTTTTGGAAAAAAAAAAAAATCTTTACAAATACGTTTTAACATAGTGATTTTTTTTTCAGCCTGAGCTACTAGCAAATGTAACTAAATGTTTAAAGAAGCACTATAGAGTTGGGATCACTGAGTATATCATGTTAATGACTGTTCTTAATGGAAGGAGCAGAAAATTGTATTCTTATGAAAAGCAATTAGAGATATTTGAGAAATGTGTATTCTTGTTGCTCTTACAATAGCTCAACAGCTTTTTTTTTTTTTAAATAGCTTTCAGTCAAAGTGATGTTTTTCCCCAGAAAATTCTAATAAGATGCAAGCTACACATCGGTAGAGTGCCTGGTCCAGTTGTGGGTGTTCAATAAATATTAAACACCAGCAACAATCATTTAAATTTCCTATGTTATGTTTTCCCTAGAAAGGATCTCTTCAGCAGAGCTATGGATTAAGGATAGCCTAGGGCTGCAAGAAAGAGAGACATAGTAACTTTGCCCACAGCCCAATCCCACATATCAATGTGTCAGAACAAAAAGATCAGTATATGGCGGTAACTCCTGCAATCCTTCCCGCACACTGAGCTGCCTTTTCTTGCTATTGGCTCTTTATGAATAAAGAGTGGAATCAGCCTGCGATAAGCCAACTGAGAAGTACTGGCATTTTGAAAGGGATAACCTGTGAATATGGTCTTTGGTTTTACTTACATATTTACATCTCCCCAGGTCTAGCTGCAACTTGAGAAGTTGGAAATAAGGAGATAAGTATTCTTTGGCTCAAATGAAGGGCAGAAGTCAGTCTCCCCTCTGATCTGCAGTCTGGATCTCGTATCTGTGAGTTGAATCTCTGTTGCATGAGGAACAAGTGCAGATTGTGCAACAGAGGGCCCCCTGTGTGCATCTGACAGGAGAAGTTTGTTCCGAGTGTCATAGTGTTGTTTTCATCTTGATAGACTAGCACAGTCTGGTGAAATGGTTGGGGGAGGGTGCCGGGGAAAAGAGAAATGCCCAGGTAGCTGAACAATGAAAGCTTGCATGTTACATGTCAGAAATGAAAGGGAGCTCAGTGAAACCACTGGTTAGCTGAGGCAACTGAGAAAGTGGAGTGGGGATTTCAGGAAGAATAACATTTGCAAAGACTGAAAATAATCAAGGGAATCAGAAGCATGTACTTGAAAAGTGATGGGAAATACAGTGGTATGTCCATTAACCACAGCACTATCACCATCAATCATCTTTAGTCTATGATGAGAATTCAAAACTCAAGAGAGACCTGTCTTGGCCTGTGTCTATACTTCATGTTGAAGTATTTATTTTTGTCCTTGGTGCTAGTAGATGCTGCTGCTGACAGCATTACTATTTATGTGTATGAATGGGGCTCAAAGCTGCCAGATTAATGACGCACAGTACAATCTCATCTAAGCACACATGTAGACAGGCTGTCACCATTGGTGGCTTTGCCTGTTCACCTCTGGGGTTGCATGAAATCTCAGTTAACAAAAAGGTCCTCTAGGTTTGAAATATGCAGCACAGATCTGTTGACTGCTTTGCTTTCCCAGGAGTCAGAGTATATGCCACATTACTAACTGTTCAGCTTCTACACATTCTTCCCACTCCTTTTAACTTGGCTCTGCCTCTAATCAAGCTCCTTTGGCCTGTGGTTGGCACAGCTGCTGTGGTTTAGTGCACATGTCCGGTGACAGAGATTCAATGAGCAGAACTTAAATGCTGATGGAGTGACTCTGGAACTGTGTTTTTGGAACCCTTGTGTTTCCACTCATGTCAGTTCTGGCACATGGGTGTTGATGTGGAGACTGCTGGGAATGTGGGTGGGGATCCAAGTTACTGTTGGTTGTCCTTTGAACAGGTGCTTACAGGGCACAGGTTTAGTTGACTGCCTGGTGTCATGTCTTAGTCCTTTTGGGGTGATTTCCACCAGAAGGGAGCTTCTTGAAACAAGTGTCCTATTTTTTTAGGCTGCCCAAGCATCTCTGAACAATAAGTTTCCTAGGTGGTGGAATTTGCATTTAGTTCTCTCCTCAATGGATTTGTGAAGGTTTCCTCTGTGAAGGTGGCTACACTACCTCAGGTTTGGATTATATTTTTGCATTGGGATTATTTTGCATCATCTAGGACAGAATCCCATGGGATCTCATGTTGTTTCTTGTGCTTTGGGTTTAGAAGTAGAGTCACTGAATATATAGAAGTTCCTGAATGATTGCACCAACGTTACATGATACTGCCTTCTGTGCTGGCTTGATTTTTAAGAGGATGCTGGGCATAGTCTGATTCTGGCTTGTAGAAGCACGGTTTTGTCTAGCACACTGCACAAATAGATGTACCCGAATTCAACTGGTGGTAGAGAGCAGATTTCATACTTTAGCAAAGTCTGCCATCGAATCTAACATACTGGCTTCATAATTTTAGGAGTTTAGGGAAATTCTCTTGTCAAGATACCTACTTGTTAGGAATCTGGCATAAGAGTATGAGTTGGGTTAACAGAATATTGAACCAATAATATCAAAGATGTGGAAATAAAGTGGGCCAGGATTAAGTTTAAATTTAAGAATTAAGTTCTGGGCTTTTTGAGGATTGTCTCTGATACCACAGAACTTGATCCCCTTGGTTCATTGAGGAAAAACGTATGTCTGTAAGACAGATGTGGAATTTGGGCACTTATTTTCTTTACCATATTCCATATTCAGAATTTCTGCTTCTCATCAAAACTTCTCTTTGCAAATAGATTCATATGGCTTGGTCAAAATAAAAATAAAAGAAGTGAAGCATACACATAAGAAAATGTCTCTTATTTGTTAAGTTGAATGGTTGATATAAATTTATATGTGTAAAAATTAAATAATGTATATATTTAATATATATGAGATTTTTAGTGTATATAGAAATGAGAAGTATACACATTATATAATAAATTGCTATATTGGGGGATTAGGGAGGGATTGATCTTTCCACTTTTTGGTATTATTTGAATTTTCATTCAGTATGTTAATTTTGTAAAGAAAAAATATATACGTTTATTGGTCAACTTTGGCTTTTTCTGAGGAAACCCTAGTCCCTCTATAAAGTGAAGCAACATTTTTTAATGTATCCCTAGCTGCTTAAGGATAAAAGAAAATTCAGGCAGGTTAAGTACTGGCAATTCCCAAAGATAAAATTGAAGACAATCAACACTAAGAATTAAACTAGTTGAATAAAGAGTGAAGGTTGCCAAGTATTATAAATATGTGGCTATTCACTTTATTATGTACAGCTACTGTGACTGATGGTTTTGACTCTCAAGAGAACAAAAGAAGAGAGAGATGCAATTGTGTCTCTTAAGGAGTGTCTAATTAAGGTATAGACTAAACACATTAAACAGCTATGCACTAATTCCAAAGCAACCTTAACCCATGTGAGTGACAGTGTAGCATAGATGATATATATCATGTCTAAGGGATTTCAGTATAGAAACATGTTCTATGTGAATTTTTTGGCTTAGCTAGTCATGGTCATTATGTTTCCATGAAAGGATCCTTTGAAATCAGTAAATCCAATTCAAAAAATACACATGAAAATGAATAAATCATATTTTAGTGTTCCCCAGAAGATTAAAATTTTTATAATCATTATGGGTAAAATGCTGTGGAAGAATGGAGGCATCAATAATTAATTTTTTCTGAAGAAATAGGAGAAGTGCTCATAACATATGGAAAAGATGTCAAAGGATGAGAATTATTTTATTATAAGAAGAATGAATAGATAAATATTACAGGAAAAAGCACAAGAAAAAGCATAAATGCATGAAGAACATAGGATTATGGGGCAGGTGATCGATGAATCTGTGAAGATTAAATTGTACAGGTCCTAGAATGACAAATTAGGACATTTAGACTCAATCTTGTAGATAATGTAAAGCTGTTAAAGGGCATGAAATGACTAGATTTGTACTTGTTACTATGAAATACACATGATAAATTATAATTCAGTAACTAAAAGAACATGTGAAATGGAAACCAATGGAATAAGTTTATAGCTTCTCAAACAGGTGCCGTTGACATTTTGGGTGTGCCTATTTATCTAATCATACTGCATATGATTATGACCAAAAGACATGATGATGAATACAGTCTTTGGCACTAAACCCATTCCTACATAATGCTGAAATAATAAGATTGAAAAATTAAATCATAGTTTTGTTTACAGTTACAGCCTTTTGCTAAATGTTGTACAAAAAATAAAACCTCAAAAGCAACAACAAAAACAAAAGAGAAAGCCTAAGGGAATAAGAAATCAGCAATTTTGCTTAAAAGCTTTTGTTGGCTTCACAGTACCATTACTAGTAGTACTCCTAACAGTTGCTTCTTACCTTTTAATGAGTGTCTACTATAGGCCATATAGTCTTCTAAATGGTTTGCCTTTATTAACATTTAAAGTTTCTCCTAATTCTAATTTTTACTTTTTCAATAAACCTTATTTGAAAGTAGATTTAGATTTACAGAAAAGTTGTAAAGAAAGTTTCACATACCCTATACTCAATTTCCCTTATTATCAATATCCTACATTAGGCTGGGCACGGTGGCTCACACCTGTAATTCCAGCACTTTGGGAGGCCGAGGCAGGCTCATCGCCTGAGGTCAGAAGTTTGAGACCAGCCTGGCCAACATGGTGAAACCTTGTCTCTACTAAAAATACAAAAATTAGCTGGGCGTGGTAGCACACGCCTGTAGTCCTAGCTACTTGGGAGAGTGAGGCAGGAGAATCGCTTGAGGTGGGGAGGCGTAGGTCGCAGTGAGCCAAGATTGCGCCACTGCACTCCGGACTGGGCGACAGAGCAAGATTCCATCTCAAAAAAAAAGAAAAAGAATCTTACATTAGTATGGTACATTTGTCACATTAGTGAAACAATATTGATACAATATTATTAAGAAAAGTTCATACTTTGTTTTAATTTCCTTAGTTTCTACTTAATTTTTTTTTTCTGTTCCAGGGTCTATCTGAAATACCACATTACCTTAGTCGTCCTATTTCCTTAGGCTCCTCTTGGCTATGGCAGTTTATCATGGTATTTTAATCATCATTATCATTCCATGTGGTAGGACTATTATAATTTTTTTTTTACAGATGAGAAAACTGAGTAACAGAGAGACTATAGCCACACAGACATGGGAGTCAACTTCAGAAATCTGGGCTGGAACCCCCACTCTTAAGCACCGCACTGTTTCTAATGTGTTGGGTACTCATTAAACGGAAAACATGTGCACAACTGTACACCTGAACTCGTGACATCAGGCTGCGTTTGGTAAGTGCTATAAAACCCCAAAGGTAAAGATTATTTATGGCTTGCAGGAGTTTAGTGAAATTTGTGAAAGATTTCAACAATGAGATGAAGTTTGAGCTAGGGCTTGAGAACTGGGAGGAATGATTATATGATACATTATAGCTCTTTTCAAATATGTTAAAATCCCTATCCCAATTCATTTTTATACTTCTCTGAGGTTTTGTCCTGGAGTGAATGGCTTGAAGACAAGGATTTTTGGGTCATGGTTTAATAAACTTTCAATTACCAAACAAAGTTATGGTTTGTAGAAATTCATTTTACTTCCAGGAGGACAAAACATTTAAAAAATACGTTTTTCAATCTATTTACGCTTAGTCTGAGAATTAGTTTGGTTACATTTTCAAACTCTTTCCTAACCAATTGGAGATGAGGATGAGGTCAATTTTGTTTGACTAATGCATTGTTGATTCTTTTACACCATTCTGGCACATAGAAAATAATGAATAAAAATTTGATGAATAAATGAATGAAGCCTGATTCAATTCAAAGAGATGTTAAAGATTTCTTGGTAATACTGTAGGCAAGTGGAGGCTGTACATGGTTTCCCTTATCAAATGCAAACACTGTTACCATAAGCCTAGCATCTTTAAAACACGTGTGCTTGTTCAGGTCCTCTGGAGTCTGTAAAAAGAAGGAACAGAGGAATTCCAGAGAGTCTTTGTCCTTCGCTCTTCTCATCAGCATCCCCAGTGAGAACTCCAATTCTCTGAATTTGTGAGAAAACAAAAATCATTCTCAGAAAGTTCTAGGAGTATGTTCTGTTAATGTTTACCACTTTTCTAAAAAGTAAGGAGTAAATCTTAGAATATCAAGTTTATTTATTGGAAATGAACTCTACTGAGAAATTATTTAAAAATGACAACCAGCAGCTTTACTTTGTATTAATTATCTTCACATGGTGCACAAATTAAATAATTCATGATTGGATTTAGAAAGTAGTAACATATTTTTAAAGTGCATTCTGCTTCAGGAGATAATGTGACACATACATCATATATTTAATCTTTAGAAGTTTTTAGAAAATAACCAGGATTTTCAAATTTGGAACATGGCACTTATGTCAACATCAGGTAGGACTGAAAAGATGCAACCACCCAAGGGATTCGCCTTGCCTGCTGTGTAGACAGAGCCAATTTATCAAGACAAGGGAACTGCAATAGAGAAAGAGGAATTCACGCAGAACCAGCTGTGAGGGAGACCAGAGTTTTATTATTACTCAAATCAGTCTCCCCAAGCATTTGAGGAGCAGAGTTTTTAAGGACAACTTGGTGGGTGGGGGGAAGCCAGTGAGCTGGGAGTGCTGATTGGTCAGGGGTGAAATCATAGGGAGACAAAGCTGTCTTCTTGCACTGAGTCAGTTCCTGGTGGGAGGAGGAGGAGACACAAGATCAGATGGGCCAGTTTATCGATCTGGGTGGTGCCAGCTGATCCATCAAGTCCTGGGTCTGCAAAATATCTCAAACACTGATGTTAGAAGCAGTTTAGGGAGGGTCAGAATCTTGAAGCCTCCAGCTGCATGACTCCTAAGCCATAATTTCTCACTCACGGATAGTGTTAGTCCTACAAAGGCAATCTAGTCCCTAGGCAAGAAGAAGGTCTGCTTTGGATGTTATTGTCTTTGTTTTAAACTATAAACTATAAACTAAGTTTCTCCCAATGTTAGTTCAGTTTATGCCCAAGAATGAATAAGGATAGCTTGGAAGTTAGAAGCAAGATGGAGTCGATTAAGTTAGATCTCTTTCACTGTCTCAGTCATAATTTTGCAAAGGCAGTTTCAAAGACACCCTTTGGAATTATGACCTCCTCCCTGCTACCCTCTCCTTCCCCCAAATAATGGGATATGTTTGAAAAAGGAAGATTAACCGATGAGAAGTCAGCCCCCAGATTAATTCTAAGCTTGCAAGAACCTGGAAAACTGCCTTCTAATGATGCTTATTAAATTTTAGGCCTTGGGGGGGGGTTTCAAGAGAGACCTGTCTTAGGATCAAGGGTTGCATGAAAATTATATTGTTTCTCAAATTTCTCTGAAGCAGTGATGGAAATGGCAATGACAATTTAAAGTGGATAAAGTCAAGGTCAAAAGAGACCTATAGAATTCAATTTATCATTTTACTTTCCTTTTGAATATCAGCTTATGTTATTAAGAGCTGTGTTTTCAATGTAGTTATAAATGTGTAAGAAATGTGATAACTTGGCATAGCATGGTGGCTCACGCCTGTAATCCCAGCACTTTGGGAAGTTGAGGCAGGCAGATCACTTGAGGTCAGGAGTTTGAGACCAGCCTGGCCAACATGGTGAAACCACATCTCTACTAGAAATATAAAAATTAGCCAGGTGTGCTGGGGTGCGCCTGTAATCCCAGCTACTCAAGAGGCTGAGGCAGGAGAATCGCTGGAACCCAGAAAGCGGAGATTGCAGTGAGCCAAGATTGCATCACTGCACTCCAGACTGGGCAATGGAGGGAGACTCAGTCTCAAAACAAACAAACAAACAAACAAACAAAAAAACAAACAAACACACACACACACACACATACACAAACACAAAAAAGAAATGTCATAACTCAAAGTAAAATTAATAAAGTAAAAAGAAAAAGCATAGGCACTATAATTAAACCTATGAAAAACAGAGCTATGATCACTGACTGCGGTTTTGATGTTTGGTTTTGACCGTGACGTTGAGAAAAATGGCAATATCTTTACATTTAAACTAAATAAATTTTGTTTGCTATATAATTTTGTGGATAGTTTGGAAATATTCAGATGATGCTGTGGATTTGTCTTGGCAATCAAGGCAGAAAGATGTCTTCGCACCATGAGAGCTGCAGGTAGGGGCAGGGAAGGAAGCTCTAAGGGTCAACCTTATGAACTGGTGAGTAACTGTCTCTTACAGAGTTTGATTTGAGCCCTATTTGTTTATAGGATGAATGATTTTTTAAAAAAGGTTTTGTAATTCTACTTTCACTCTAACATGCTGTAAACAGCTTTCTCTGTGATTAAATATATATCAAAAACATGATTTTTGATGACTACATTGGTTGCATTTAAAACTGTACAATCAGAGGAATGATGCAAAATATTTTTGTTTGCGACACAGAAAGACTTATTTTCTTCTTTTAGGATAAATGACATTGAATGAGAGAGCACCAGAGATAATCTTCTGCCTTTCAAATATCCTTCTCTGGTCAACATTCCACCATTGAGTTAGATACCTTCAGCGTCACATACTTTCCATCAAGAGTTATTTGTTAAAACCTGAGCCATTATCAACAAATTGTTTAATCATCAACAAACTCCCTGGTGCAGTTTCTCCATCTGTGAATCATCTCTATCAGAATCATCTGGAAGCTCTGTTAAAAACACTGATGTAGGGACCCCAACCCAGATACCCCTAGAATCTCTAGTTGGGAAGATGGGTGAGCCAGAGTGGTTCTTATACCCAGTGAAGTTCTAGAATCACTGAAATGATAAATTGACAGCCATCTGAGATAAAACTCTTTAGAATACAGAGTAGGCACCAAAGGAGGGAGGTAAGAGTATTTCAAGGTGAAAGAGAGAGGTAGAGATGAGGTAAGCTGGAGATGTCAAATCTGAGCTTCAGCTCCTTCATGATTCTGTTCAGGGCCAGTCCCTAGAAGAGTTAGTGTTCCTCTGGATGGTGGCTCTATGATTCTTTTCCCTCATCAGGAAAATGGGCAACTGCAAATCTTTCTTTTGGAAATGGCAGTGCTAGACCACAAGAATGTATGAAAGACAAAGAATTCTCAGAGATAAACTCCCTTAACTGAGTCCCTAGAGGCTTTTCATTTGTTCTGGCCCCAGTGACATGTGGTGTAGATCCAGATATGTCCTGGCTCTTGTGATCATAGTCTTTCTTTTGAAAACAGTTGCTGACAATCTGTCACTCCTTTGTGTTAGAACTCAGCCCGTTTGAAAATGCGGGGTATCAGCTGCTGTTGCTGTAGGTCCATTTCTGTTTTCCAGCAGGTGGGTGTGTCTGTCTCTTTCCTTTCATCTCCATCCAGGCTTTCTTCTTTCAGGCACTTTCCAGTTTGTCAAGCCAAGTATGCCTGTCATGTTGGAACCCAGTCCCGGGACACGCACCAGCTTCTCTTTGTGGTAATATCTCCCTTGATTGTGTTCCCCATTCTTCCTTATCTCCCTAAAGCCTATCAATCCATTCACATGGTCACCCACTATCCTAGTCTCTTTTTTGTGGATGCTCAAAAACTGCCAGTTAACTTAGTAGCCTCACTTCTTCTATCATTTCTCTTCATCTAGACTTGCCTTGTGCTTTTCTACTGGATCACCTTTGCAATTTCCTTCTCTTTTCTTCCCATTATTTTCTGTATCAAATCATACTAAGTGCTTCAGTAGCTGCCCTGAATCGAAGCATAGCTTAGTAGAAAGAGGGTGTTTTCAGACTCAGGCTAGAATTCAAGTCCTCTCTTTGCTGCTTATTGGTAGCTCTGAGAACAATAGTTCTGTCTTAGAGTTGTTGTAAAAATGTAATTAGATAATATAGGCATAAGCCAAGCATAGCACCTGTAACAATAGATGCTCAATACATGGTAGCTGTTATTATTCATACATTTTTTATGAAAGCTTTTCATACTACTGTAGCCCACAATGCTTCTCCCCTGCTCTTTGTAGTTATGTAGATATTTTTGAGTTTATGGAGCAGTGGGAAGCCAGAGTATATGTCCCCAACCATGTGACCCAAGAGTAAGGGGGCTTGTGTGTAGGAAGAAGAGCTGTGATCCACAAACATGTGGTATCTACTGTCTGCTCACAGGCAGGGGTTTCTCTTAGGACCAGGCCTCTGGTATTCTTTGCCTGAGTTTTGAAGCGGTTCTCTCCTTAAGCACAAGCCATTTCCAGGGGAATTTTCTTGCTGAAAGCACATGGTTCTCTCAGTGCCATTTTGTTGAATTGAAGCCTTGGAGTCCCAATTGGAACAGCTCAGAATGTCCTAGGTAAAGTCCTACCCAGTGGGGCCATGGAGCCTCCACCATATTATGGGATTTTGCTGTCTTATCTCTGGTGCCAACACAATTCTCTAGCCCTTGATATGCTTCTCATTGCTAGCAATTTCTGTTATTTGGTGCTGCACAAGAATTCTCTAGATTGGAGAGCCTGTAGACAATAATGCCCCTGGCTCATTAATCTCTGAGACCCTCAGGAATGAGCTTCTGGTACAGTTTACTCTTCCTTCCCTTGTGAACTTTCAAACTACAGCATGGACATAAACATTTGATACCTAGGAATCTCTGACTGATCACCGTATGGACCACAATCTCTCACATATGTTTTGATCCCAGGGTTCTCAAAGGAGTGCCACACAGGGGAGCATTTTCCATGAAATTCTGCTTTGTCCTACTCTGTCTCTACTCTCTCTATTAAAGGTTACTGTTGAGAACCACTGATAGCCTTTAGGAGTTTTGGGAAGGGGTAAAGATTAACTAGAACTCTGTGATAGAATTAGAAAAATATTTCCTAAAATTCTAAAAGATTTGCCGGAGTGGAAAATATAGGCTCTTCTTTTCTATCTCTTACTCCTCCCTGAGCATTTCAGTTAAGTAGATAAAAATGTATCAGAAAGCCAACCAACCAAACAAAAATCAAAACCCTCAACTTCCCCCCAAATCCCTAAAGCTCTCCAAAAGCCAGAAGGCCTATCCTTTCTTTTCTGCTCTTCCAGATTCAATTTGTTCATTCTTAGACTATGTTTCCCTTAAATTTCCCTTTTACAGCTTGGCTATCACTGGCAGCTCTATCCCCATGTTCTGGCCATTCCCCAAAGTCCACATATTATCAGGACTCCCAGAGACTTACTGTTTGTGCTTCATTTGATGCAGATCACATAATGCTTAGTAGTTGTGTCTTTTTTATTATGAAGATTGTATGCTGCTTAAGGGTACATAAGCTTATACACTCTATTGAAGGTAGCATGATAATTTCCAAAAAGCAGCTGCTTAATGCAAATATATTGATGGGTTATTAACTTTTGCCTTAGTTATACTTTACAATTTTTCTGCTTGCCAAATCTGCTTCTAGCCAACAAATGATTATTTGTGGCACCTGGGGACAAAAATGGCATGGAGAACTAAAACCTAGAGATAATCCTGTAAGCTCATTTAGAACAAAGGCTTAATTATCCCCCTATCAACTGAGTCTTTTATCTAAGCTGAGTGGCAATAAGCAACAAACTGATGAGTTTTGTTTGCTCTGCTTGCTTTGGCTGCTGTGAATGTCATAAGGAACACAAGTCAGAAAGAAGAAGCATCAGGTGTGCACAGGATGGTCTGTTTGTTTCTGGTCATGTTGATCAAAGAGCAACGTGTGTTAAGTGCATCATTGAACAAGTCTTTGGCCTTTCTACCTGGGCAAACAAACATCTGACAATTTGTTTCACAATAGACTGGAACTAGTCTGGGAATGTTACTTAGTTTCTAATGCCTGATTTTCCTCATTTGTAAACCAAAAGGCTAAGTGATGCTATTCCTGTAGATGGAGGTGGACAAGTGCCATTGGGGAGGGGGTGGGGGAATAGAAATAAGAAAGGGGTTGGGACTTCCCAGTGTGGCCTTTTACTGCTGCCAAATGGGTGGGCTTCGGCTTCTCCCTCCTGTTCCCTCACTACCCCTAACCCTCATGGACCAACAGCCAGAGAAAGCTGGTGACCAGTGGTAAAACCTGTTGGCATCCTAAAAGGGTATCAATTCTACCTCCTAGAAACTTTTAAATTCCACCTCTTTCTGCTACTGCCTCCCTAGCAATGGGTTTATAGTGAAAATATTTGATAACTGGTATGGCACAAACACTGTCCAGTAAGGATGAAGTCTGGTTATAAACAATCAAGAAGGTTAAACTGGTGAGTCCTGCTCTTTGAAATTTAAGGTCCAATTGCCTCTGGAATAGATTTTGTGGGGGCTTCCTTAAGTGGATCTTCTAGTGTAATCTAATTCATGGCACAGCAGCCAGAATGATCTTTTTCAAATGCAAATACTCTGGTCATCTCCCCACCAAACTTCTTAAAATCTTTCCATGGCCATTTACAGCTCTCAAGATAAAGAGAACCTCCTTAACATTGCCTTTAAAGCCTCACATAGTTTATTCCCTATCTATCTGTAATATAATTAGTAGCCTATCTCCTACGCAAAGCTGTAAGTTCTACTGGGGGAAGCCCTGTATTTGTTTTTTTCCACACAATTCTTTCCCTGATGACCAGAGCAGGAGCTTGTTAAATATTCTCTGAGTGAATAAATAAATCATGAAACAATCCCAGTTTTTCCAACATGTATCTACATAACTGGTCCAGGGTTTTTATTGCATATACATGTGAATGTATTTTTAATAAACAGTTTCATAGAAGATACTTGTTCATATTCTTCATGTTGTCGAATAGTGCATTTTCCTGGTGGAGTGTCAGACATCTGGAAGCTGTTCTAAGTCACCCTTTTTGTTTCATTCCCCCATATCTAAGCAGTCATGTGGTACTATCAGTTTTACTTCCTAGATGGTTTTCCCAGTCATTCCTTCTCAACCTTTGGCTGTGCCTTGGTCCAGGTCTCATCATTTCTTACAGTTATTTCTGACCTGGTCTCTCTGCCTTCTTTCTGTTCTCCAGTCCATCTTCTGCAGAGCTGTGAGGACAAAGATGGAAACTTTCTAAAACCCAAACCTAGTTATGTCACTCTTGCCTTAAAATTCTTCAGGATGCCCTACAGAGGATCACGTTTTAGCACAACTTATAGAACCCTTCACAATTTGGGACCTGTCTACTTCTTGGGAACATCCTTTTAATAAATATTTATTAAACACCTACTATGTGCCAGGGGTTCCACTGGAAATATGATGGTCAAATAAGGTAGTATTTTCTTGTCCCTTACTGAAAATATTGTCTAATGATAGATTCACCCTTTGGGACAAACATACGTAGCTACTATGTGTGGTTCCTGGAACCTGTCACCTTCTCATATTTCTTTTTTTTTCTTATTGTACATCATAGATATATGCTTTCATATTTCTTTGCGGTGACTGGGGTGCCCCTTCTATTCCTCACCTTTACCCACATCTGCCTGACAAACTATTTATTTTTCAAGACTTAATTTAAAAACTATTTTTCTTGGAGTACTTTGTCTGATCATCTCCCCTCCCACAGAAAGAGTTCGCTGTTCTTTCATTTTTTCACTCCTAATAGTCATATTTTATATTTCTTTATTTTTCTCTACACTATTCTCTAGACTCCACATAACACGATAGTTTGTCTTAGTCATTATCATTTCTCCAGAGAGTAGATGGGTGCCTGCTAAGTGGTAAGCAGGTACTCAATAAATGGTTGTTGACTGGGAAAATGTTTTCTTGTAATGTGAGAACCCAGAATATGTGGTTAATATCATGGACCCTTTTGTGGCAAACATTTTTAAAATCTTAAGAAATCATAATTTATAATAGTAATTTGTTGATATATTTAAAAGTTTTGGTCTATTTTAAATGTAGAGTTCATTTTATTCAATGTCCTTTGTTTAAATGAAATCCAGTTGTAATCTGACTCCTTTTAATACTTATTATCAACTGTGATAAAGAATTAACTTGTATAACTTGAATGATATATGCACACTTAGGACAAAATTCAGCAATAACAATTTTCATTTGATTCTTTCTTACTTTGATTTGTGATGGGCTTTGGCATGGTTTGGTATGGTAAATGTTGATATTTTCCCTTCTGGAATTTCCAGATTTTCTTTCTATTGATAGAGATAGACATTTTAGCAATTTATTTGCAATCTAGGCCTCTCAGCCATCTCTTTTTCCCCAGGACACCTATTTATATTTCCATCTCTTGGTTATCCTTAAGCATAAAGTCAACATGAACTACTTCCTGTGACAGCAAATCCTGGTTAGAGCTCTCTGGGGTATGAGGATTCCAGTAAAGAGTTGTCTGAGATGGGACTACTAGGGATTGGTCTTGTCAATTCACAAATATTTATTAAGCACCTGCTCTGTGCCCTACTCTCCAGCAAGGTATAATTATTTTTGTCTTTTCACCACTGTATTCCAATGCCTAGTAAAAGCCTGATGAATATTTTTTGAATGAATAAATCCTTGGGAGATATGGAGGCTGCTCTTGGGGTGGGGGGAGAGGGCAGCTGGGCAGAGGAGTAGAAAAAGAACCATTAACCATGCTCCTACTATGTGCTAGGCCCTATGTTTACACTTTCCACATATTGTGATGCACATTTTACAAGAGCACTTTGAGGTAGATGTGGCCTTTATTTTCCACGAAACCCTTGTTTTCCCAGCTGGAGAGCCAAGGAGTAAACTTGGAATCACATAAACAGTATCATTGTGTTCCTAGTTCTGTACTTACACTGTCTCTATTGACAGACCTTAGCTCTTCCAAAGCCCCCCTCAACTATTATGGAAAATGTCTGGGGGTGTCCTCTGTGTACTCATGAAAAGAGGCTTCTTTGCATTTGCCACTGCCCTTCCATTTGTCACATTGTGTCTACCATTTTTTGGCCCCACTGGTCTCCTGCTATAATGTTTCCACCTGTGGATTTCCCCAGGGGTTGAGTTGTTCATTATTCTATGCTCCTGAGGCTGCTTCACTGTCACATGGCAGCCCATTTGGCCCACAGATGATGCCACAGTGTCATGGAACTGTGAGAAAAACAACTTGGTGACTAGATGATCTTTCTCTGGCAGAGGACAAAACATCTGGAGGGAAGGGCTGGCCTGGGCAAGGCACTTATCTAATGTGCTCCTCCAAGGGTGTGAAAGACAGAGGCACAGAAATCACTGCTATGCTGGAGGTGGAGGGTGCATAGCTGGAGCTTCAGGGTAAAGAGGTCACTGTCTGGCTCAGACCACCTCACAATTAAGTTTGTTGTTAAAATAAATCTTCCAACCCCACAGAAGAAGAATAAAGATTGGAAAGGCTTGGCATCCAATGGGAAATGCCTCAAGGGAACAAGTGATATGTCCTTTTCAGAGATCCACAAAGGTTTAGCTAGGAGGGATGTATGACAGGAATAAAAAGCCTGTAAAAAACTTATAGCTTTTCCTCTTTCTCTATTTCTGCAGGAGAAAGTGTCATTTTTACTTCAGCAGTTCCAGGAAGTAGGATTTTGTTTTGGTTAATGTCTATGTCCGCTATTGGAAAGAGCCCCCAAAGTCTAAATTGGTATAGAAGAAATAGGGCAGAAAGCAATCTTTGGAAGAATAATAGATTCAGTCTCAAGAGGTAAGGGGATAATGAAAGGAATAAACTGCAGCATGGACTGGAGTTTTAAGGGTGGAAAATGTAAGTGAGAAAAGAATGATTATTGAGCAGCTGTTAAGAAGACTTCAGAGATAATGATGGAAAAGGAGGAGCTTTAGGATATTTGCTGTGTCTCTTTGAAAAAATGTCAGTAAAAATTTAAGATATTTTCAAGAGTATCCTTGGGTTTTGGACTTATGTTTCTGTTGAATTCAGCACTGATCTTAGACTGGTCATGAGAATAGTTCAGCTATATTTGTGTTGCCATTGTATTAAAGAGCCAAGGTGAAGCCATGAAACCATTGATCAATGGAGTGATGGATTATGAAGTTCTGACAATATGAGTTTCCAGAGACCAGACAAAGCCAGAATCAATATGGGCTGTGGTTGTTGGTAAAGGTTTTAAAGAGCTCCATGGAACATAGCTGGGAATTAGATCTAACAAAAAATATATAGGATTTGAATAAGATGAGGAGAAAAAAGGACATTAGGTAGTAGAAATATCCCAAGTAAAGGCATCAAGGTAGGAATGAGCATTGCATGTAAGGGGAATAGTCAGTTCAGTCTAAGTGAAAGAGAAAATGGAATGATAAATAGTAATTGGGAATTAGAATCTATCAGTAAAGTTAGTATGTATTAGAGGTCAGGTTATGCAGGTTATAGAGGATTTTAGATTCTGAGAGTGATGAGAACTAGGGATTGAGAAGGATTATCTGAAGAAAGAAAGTAATTGAAATGGAGGGAGCCTGGAGACACTTTTTTTTTTTTTTTTTTTTTTTGAGACAAGGATCTCTTACTCTGTCACCCAGACTGGAGTGCAGTGGTGTGATCATAACTCACTGCAGTCTCAAACTCCTGGGTTCAAGTGATCCTCCCCACCTCAGTCTTCAGAGTAGCTGGGACTACAGGCACATGCCACCACATCCAGCTAATTAAATGTTTTTTTTGTTTGTTTGTTTGTTTTGTAGAGATGGAGTCTCTTTATGTTGCTGGGGCTGGCCTTGAACTTCTGGCCTCAAATGATCCTCCCACCTTGGCCTCCCAAAGTGCTGGTATTACAGGCCTGAGCCACCATGCTTGGCCTGAGGCTTTTTAAAAATCCACATGGGAAGCATTTTAGGGTTTGGACTCAGTTGGGAGAAAATGTTGAAAGGATGAATCATAGGATTTTGTAACTGATTAGATGTAGATGGCAGATGTGAGACCAGAATCAAATATAATTCTAATTTTTCTGGTCTAGAAGTTTTGGAGCATTATGGCTTCATCCTTTCATTTATCCACTTAATATTTTCATTTATTCAAGAAATATTTATTGAGTACGTGCTGTATTTTTGGTACTGGGATACAGAGAATAAAGATATCAAAAGCTCCCCAACCTTATGGAGCTTATGTTCAAGTGAAACAGATAATAAAAATGTAAATAAGGAAAATATGTAGCATGTTAGCTGTTGATGAATTATTTGAAGAAAATTAAACAGAGAAAGGGAATAATGAGTTGGGAGTATATGAAGAAGGTACAATGATAAATAATTAAAGTAGGAAAGCTGGTAAAGAAGATAGTTGTCAGAGAGATGGACAAAAAACGTGAGTTTGGACGCATAAGTAATATTATTTTCTGGAAAATGTAGGCCAAGAATTCTTATGGGATGTTAGGAATGGAAATATATGTTTGGGAGCCACCAGCATAGCTGTAGTGATTGAGGCTGGCATCCCCGATTGAGGCAAGCCTGAAGACTCAACCTTGGAGGCTACCCATTTTTAGAATTCTTTGGAAAAAGGAAGAAGACCCAGGGAGGGAAGAACAGTCTTCATGATGCCAACAGGTTTAGAAAGAGAGGCAGGAAAGAAAAAGAACTTAGTCCTTATGAATGTTTTCACTTCTGTTATGTAGGTGATAACTAAAAGGTCTAAGTCATCAATCTTTTCCTGTACCCACAGTCTTAATCTTCCTCTGGTAATGTCTTATGACAGTTCCTGCAAATATCAGGAAGATGGCAATGAACCACTTTGTTGCTCAGAAATGGATAACCAAAGTGAAATTTACTTTTCTCTAACACTAAAATGAACCACTGAAATGATAGTGTCCTAAACAGTAGGTGCCTTATAAGTACTGAAGACTTTGTAGAAATATTTATTTCACAACTAACCCATCCACCCACCCTCTGTAAAGCACTTATACTATGTATCTTTATGCCATAGTCCCAGCCTTGAGGTTTTATAATCTAGCATGAACAATACCAATGTGGCATGTTATGAAGGGTCTTTAGACAGGAAAAAGCCTGTAAGTAAATATAATACATGAAACAAAAAGTAAATAGGTAGTTGACTTACATTGTCTTCGGAAGTGCATGGCTTACCAATTAGGCAATTACTTGTGCTCATTTTTACAAGGTAATGTTACTAATCCTTTCCAATAAAGTCAAGGCTGATTATGTATCTGTTATCTGTTTCCTCTGCATTAGAATCTGTTTTTTTAAATTTTAAAAGATTACTAAGATATACAAATCAAGCAAGAATGCTGTAGGGCTCAGAGGGATTGAACTATGAGTCTTAGCCTGTGAATTGTAAAGGTACCCTCTGCTGACACTCTTGTGTGAACTCGTAGGCTGGTATAACAGACAACAGCGATGCAAAAACAAAACAACAACAACGACAACAACAACATAATTCCATGAGACTTTAAGTGATTGTGACCTACATCTCACATTACAAAAATGTTATATATTAATGACCTCTTGTAAAATCAGTGTGTATTCTATTGAATGGAAATTTAATGAGAAAAAAATGGAGTAACATTTAATATTGGTCAAAAACTCTTAACTCACTAGTTTTAGAGAGTTAGTTTACTACCTCTTTGTTCTGTTCATTAACTTGCATGGGAATTAAAACAATCATGAATAATGGAAGTGATTGCAACACAAATTCCTTATCTTATAACAATGCCACATGAAACTAGTAGAGGCTGAAAATATTTGTTTCTATCCTTACATTACACAGCCCATCTTTCAGTGATGGAAAGAAGCAAGTGATCATCTTTAGTCTTGATGCTCATGAATTATGAGTCATCCTCAGCTTGGGAATCTGGAATTGTTGAGTAGTATTAGCCCTGACTTGCGAGCTCATGTTTTGCTATTGGAAACAAGTGCTTCCATTTCCACCCTGTGTTCTGCCCTTTTTTTCTCTGAAGTTCAGGACTTACAAAATTTTCAACTTGAATATTTTTAACTGTTGCTTTTTTTTTTTTTTTTGAGACGGAGTTTTGCCCTTGTCACCCACGCTGGCGCGATCTCGGCTCACTGGAAGCTCCGCACTACCGCCGCCCCTCCCCCCAGCCCCCCCCCACCCCGCCCCCAATCTCTTGACCTCATGATCCGCCCACCTCGGCCTCCCAAAGTGCTGGGATTACAGGAGTGAGCCACCGCGCCCCGCCTAACTGTTGCTTTTTCTATACCTAGTAACATAGTATCAGAATTCTTGAACTGACAATGACAGATGTTTAAGAATCATTAATTTTAGTTGCCAGTTTTTTTTTGTCAGACCAGACATTTCTGTTACTGAAGTTGATTTAGTTTGTGTTTCTTTGTTATTTTCTTTGTTTTGATTACTTTTATAATGTTCTTAAAATATATTTAAAAATGGACATATATGAACTCATTAGTAATCTCAATATAATATTTAAAATAGCCTTAATGTTGTTTTAGTTGTGAAATTTTGTTTCCCTGTAATTGATAAACAGAACAAAGAAAAGTCAAAGAAACAGTAGGTAAGTTGATTTTCATAATCCTTCTTTCATAGGATCATCTGGGATGTATTAAAAACTTCTCTTTACCTTAACATAAAATCTAAGCAGGAAATAACGTATTTTTACAGAAGTGAATCACTCATATTTGAAGTTAGTGAAGTTGTGGGCATACTCAGATTTCTTTTTTTGTTCAAGAAACTTGAAAGATACTTTACTGCATGCTTTAGTCTGGCCAAATAAAAGGAGAAATTGGGCCCAAGATTCAAGAAAAGTATGTGTGGTGTACAATATCTGTGTTAGGATATGCTTTGAAAGACTCAAAAAAAAAAAACTTTACATATATTCCAACATATCACATATCTTTACATATTATTAGCATCTTAAAAAGCTGGACATAAAACGAAATGTGTAAAAGCCAACATTATGTCATGAGGAACAAAAAAGAGAAGAAGCAGACATTATATACTTTCTTATATGCTTTACCAAAATTCCTTAAAAAATAAACTAGACTATGGCTTGCAGCCATAGGTGTAAAATAGATTATAAATTAATTTGGAAGCAGGTGTTTCCATGGTTGTGGGAAAAACAATGCCAACTGAACATTTTCATAGCATTAAAAGAGCAGACTATGGTTATGCTTACAACAGGCAAGAAAGAGAAATAAGATCATAATCCTGGAACATATTCCTCACTTTCTGAAACAAAACCTGGAGCCATAAATGCTGCAGCTGGAAGAGTTTTGTAGGAGTTTTGATCTTGGTGGGCGAATTCAGCATTAACATCTTTAAGTCAGATGCATAGCTTGCAATAAAACCCATATCCATGAGGTATTTTCTTTTCCCAACTGTGAAGTTTCTGTTCTTTCTTTTTCTCTTAAAAAGAAATAAACAAAGACCAAAAATTATTGTATTTGTTAAACTTCAATTTGTCATTTCTTGGAGCAAGTAAAGTTGCAAAGGAGAAATTCTCAAGCCAGCCATATATATAGTTATAGTATTATTATTTTTTATACTCACTGGCACAGAATCCTATTCCATTAGTGAGCTGTGTTGAAGAATAACATCTATGCTTCCCTGGGCAATATTTTCCTCTGATAAGAATTGCGTTTCCATTTGATCACAGATTGCATCTATTAGTTTTCAAACACCTAATTCTAGCAACTCCCACCCCTTTCATTTTCATTTTAGGGCAAGGAGAAAGATCTGACACAGGACTCAGTTGTCGTTTCATTCCCTGGCTAGGGATAAATGACAACAACTGTGATGTCTTTTTCATTCTACTCTCCATAGACCTTGGAGATTGTTGTGGAATACTCAGATACAAAGTAAAAGGAACAAGTTACCTGACCATTCTAATAATCTTTTGCTTGATAATTAAAGGGACTGTCATATCATATACTTTATGTCATAATTATGCATACAGTTAATATAAAGTATATATGAATATACATATATAAATACTAAAGATGTAAGGAAATAAGTACAAACAGTTGATTTTTGTCATGTTTTAGTGATAATTTTAGTATATCCCTGTATTTTCATTAACTTAAAACTACTAGACAAAAAAAAAAGGAATAATGTATTCCACAGTTATTTTCCACCATCTTCAATAAACTGAATTATCTATTGAATTCCCTATGGCTGAATCATATGGTATTGTTGTTTCCATAGGTAAAAAAATAACTGAATATTAGCAATGTCATATGTTTCAACCTAATAAATTGAAGTTCAGTCACCAATCATGTGCTTCCCTTTGCTGGTTCAAGCTGAAAATATTTGCAGCAGGAATCTTTTCTCCATATACTTCCATTGGAGGGGCTCAGCTTGCCCCCACTAATCTAACACGTGTTCTTGTTTCCCCTTCAGAGGGCTCATTTTCTTCTGCCTCCATATTTTTTTTCCTGTCTTTTAGTTTCATCCTTGATGTTTTCACTTTTGTTTTTCTCCTCTGAACCCAGGCCTGCTGTCCCCCTTCTAAGTATTTCTGCAATCTACAACTCCAGAATTCTTGCAGCAAATTACATTCCACAGTACTTCTCCCTAGTTAGTTGGTCACTCAGTTAATAACATTTACTGACAGAATGTAGCACATTATGATAATAGAAATTATAGGAAAAATGAAAAGAAAAAGTCTCTGCTACTTTTAAGGAATTTATAATCTAGTGGATAAAATTAAAACTGCACTTATGGAAATGACTGAAGAAAACAAATAAGACAATATTTTAACCCACATGGCAAGCTGGAAAACAAGAATTAGGTGATTTGGGGTTGGGCGCAGTGGCTCCTGCCTGTAATCCCAGCACTTTGGGAGGCTGAGGCAGGAGGATAGCTTGTGCCTGGAAGTTTGAGACCAGCTGGGGCACATAGTTAGACCTCATCTCTACAAAAAATATTTTAAAAAATTATTCAGACATGGTGGCACGCTAGTCCCAGCTACTTCGGAGGTGGAGGTGGGAGAATTGCTTGAACCCAGGAGGTGGAGGCTGCAGTGAGTCATGATCGCACCACTGCCTCCAGCCTGGGTATAGAATTCATCTTGGTTGACAATGCAAGTGATTTTTCAACTGACACTCCACTGGTAGTTGGGCATCCCAAGCTCATTGCCCCACAGCCATCTCTGATATCACAGATTTAACATTGAACTTGGGCTGGGTGTGGTGCCTCATGCCTTTAATCCCAGCAATTTGGGAGGCCGAGGCGGGCGGGTCACCTGAGGTCGGGAGTTCAAAACCAATCTGACCAACGTGGAGAAACCCCGTCTCTACTAAAAATACAAAATTAGCTGGGCATGGTGGTGCATGCCTGTAATCCCAGCTACTTGGGAGACTGAGGCAGGAGAATTGCTTGAACCCAGGAGGTGGAGGTTGCGGTGAGCCGAGATAGTGCCATTGCACTCCAGCCTGGGCAACAAGAGGGAAATTCCATCTCAAAAACAAAACAAAACAAAAACAAAAAAAAATTGCACACAAAAAACATTGAACTCGCTTTCTTCTCCCAGCCAGAGGTTCTGACTGCATGCAGAATTGTTCCATGTAGGACAAAAGGAAAAATGTTTCTGCAGAGAGAAAGAGAGAAAGAGAGAGAAAGAGAGAGAAAGAAAGAGAGGGAAAGAGAGAAGAATACAGATAGAGAACAGGGGGGTGTGAAATATATACCCATGAAATTTTCTCCAAGTCTTTCTACAGGTGCTAAACTCAAAATATGTTTGGGTGTGAATAGATTTTTGCAGAAACCAGTGACCAGACTTGGCTTCCTTCCTGGATTGATGTGTTGCAGTGCAAGGCAGAAGCCCAAGGAAGCCACTCCTGAGCCCTGGCAGGAATCGCAGAATTCTGCCTTTCACAGTCCTACAGAATTTGCAGTTGTCCAAATTTAAACAGATTTCAAAATTCTCATTTGACACCTCTGTTTTATTTGGGGGTTCTGTCCAGTATCATTTGAATTAAGAGACTGTACTGAACCAGGAGTACAGCCTTACCATGACTTCCAAACTGTAGAGTGCATTGTGCAGGGATAGGAGGAGCTTGTGGAATCTGCTAAAACTCTTGCTAATTTTGGAAATTCCATTTGTATTAAGAGTAAATGTATGGAAACCATTTTGAGATAGATAATATAGCCTTTGGAGGAAAATGCATTGTTTAATATTGGCTACTTCAGAAAGAAGCTCGGAATATGCTGAATCATAAACAAGACATGTGGTAGCTTTGGACAATTTATGAGATGTAAGAACATACATAGGACATCCTGATTTGAAGTATGATTTTGTTAAGAGAGAGGAAAGACATTTTGTGGCAAACTCCTACTGGCAGGAAAGCCCCTTACTTTTCCAGAAATGAATGTCAGGAAATGGAAGAAAAACCAGAGAGGTAAACTACTCCATCTCCATGAGCTAAGATGCTCACATAAACACCTAATCCTCTCTTGTATGTGGATGAGGCCCCAGGGAGAGGAGCTGCAAAGGGCAGGGTGCCCACTTAACAATATCCTTCCACTGGGTGGACTCAAAGATCCAGGGAGGCCTCTAACTCTGAGGGTGAAGAAAATGTGGCACAAGGTTTGGGTTGGGAGTTCATCCATTCTTGGGGCTCCCTTAAGCCCTACCACTGTCAACTCCATTAACAATAGTGGTATATTCACAGGATTCTCTTCCTCTAGGTTCTTTGGAGATCTCCATTGACAGAAAAGGCCTTTGTGGTTGAGCTGAGTGGAAGCAACCCATTAGGTAAATGAAGAGGCAAAGCTGGATGAGGATTCTAATAGGATCTTTAGAGACTGGCTTTCTCCAAGGTCTTAGGATAAAGATAGAAGGACATCAAGGCCGTTGAGTGAGAAGGGTGGGTGTGAAAGGGAACTGAATGCTGAGTCGTCAATGTGCTGTATCTTCTCCTTTCCTTTCCCTTGGAGGGAGAACTTGGTAAAAGCTGTGAAAGACTGATAATATTCCCCTTCTCTCCTTCACTTAGGGGAAGGTTTAAAAAAAAACACTTGATTGCAATATGATTGACATATGAAAAGCTGTATGTATTTAACATATATAGCTTGATGAGTCTGGGATAAGTTTAGGCCTGTGAAACCAACACCATCATCAAGGCCATAAATATATTCATTACCTTTCAAAGTTTCCCCCTGCCCCCTTTATTAGTATTATCATTAATTTGTTTGTGGTAAGAACACTTAATATAAGATCTATCCACTGGGCACGGTGGCTCACACTTGTAATCCCAGCACTTTGGGAGGCCGAGATGGGTGGATCAAGAGGTCAAGAGATCGAGACCATCCTGGCCAACATGATGAAACCCCCTCTCTACTAAAAATACAAAAATTAGCAGGTTGTGGTGGCACGCGCCTGTAGGCCCAGCTACTCGGGAGCCTGAGGCAGGAGAATCACTTGAACCCGGGAGGTGGACACTGCAGTGAGCCGAGATCATGCCACTGCACTCCAGGTTGGGCAACAGAGTGAAACTCCGTCTCAAAAGAAAGAAAAATATATAAGATCTATCCTTTCAGCAAAATTTAAGTATACAATAAGAGAATATCATTACCTGTAGGCACTTTGCTGTGTAGTAGATCTCTAGAACTTATTTATCTTACATAACTGAAATTTTGTACCTTTTAACTGTTACCTCCCCATTTCCCCCTCCCACCAGCTCTCAGCAACCACCACTCTACTCTCTCTTAACAAGATGGGGAAAATTGCATTCACCAGAATTCACTTAGACGGGCAAATGTCTTTGAGAAAGGGCTTGGAGTACAGAACGAGCTTTCAATATTATGAATAGAGGTCTTTAAAAAAGTTAGATTCAAGGGGCACATGTGCAGATTTGTTATATGTTATATTTGTGTATTGTATAATGTTGAGGTTTGGGCTTATAATCATCCCCTTGCCCAAGTAGAACACAATACCTGATAGGGATAGAGCTCTTTTGAGCTAGACAAGCAAAGACCTTGCTCACTTCTTGGAGAGAAGGAAGGATAGATTGGTACTGGTGAATCCACCTGGATGACAGAAAGTCATGTGCTCTAAGATGCAATCTCTCTTCATGGCTGTCTAAATTTGTAATAAAGGTAATAAATTCAAGAAATGCTGGGGCATGAGTGGATTTTGGTGGAAGCCAATGAGGAGGTTTAAGTTGGAATTACAGGAGCACATGGATAGGAGAGTATGGGGTCAGATAGAAGGATGAGAAACTTGAACGTCCCCAGAGTGTTCTGCATCCTTACAGTCTGTATAATTGGCAGCTAATTATACATATGTATGATATGATGTGTGTGTTCATGTGTGTGTGTGTGAGTGTGTGTGTGTGTGTGTATGTGTGTGTGTCACCTAGCTGAGTGAAAGAAAGGAGTCATATCTTTCTGGGAACCTTCCTGGCCCCAGGACTGTATGTTTCCATGGCAGCACTTTACACACTGTATTATAATTACAACCCTTTCCACTCCTTTTTTTTTCTTCTGGACACAGACGTTTCCAATCCACTGAACTATCACTGTTCCCTCACTCAAAGGCTCCCTTGTCTTTCTGTTTCCATAGGAAGTCCATGCAGATGAGGCAAAATCCTTTCAAATAATTCTGACCTTGTCCCCATCAGATGGATCTAATAAGACCAAAATAAAAAGGAAGGGTGTGGGGGAATCCTCTTTGAGTCCCACATGACTGCCATCCTCATTCCTGCCTTTACATCTTTGTTTATCATAGCCTCTTGTCCAAATGTCTTCCTTCCACCTAAATCTTACCCATTTTTCAAGGCCTAGCTACAGGCACACCTTCTCCTAAGCTTTTCTGTGGTGCTTCTAGTCCTTGTTGATCTCCTCTCTAGCAAATATCTTGTCTCTCCAAGTCCATTGCCTCATGAGGATGAGACAAGTTTTATACTTCTGAAACTCCCGTGGTGTGTAACCCACAGTGAGCATTTAATTTAAGTGCATTTATTGCACAAGTAAGTGTGGTCTACTGACTAAAAATGTAAGCCCCTAGAGGGCATGGTCTAGGACTTGCAGGTGTTTCTTACAAGCCTTCACAGATTTTAGTGTGTTAGACTATATTGAACAATGAGAACGATGAGAGTACTAGAAACTTCCTTAAAGACTCAAGGGGGTGCATGCTGGCTCTGATACTTTATGATGGATGTGTAACAGCAATAAGCTGTTCTGTAGGTGTCCTCTCAGTGGCCAGGCCAAGAGAACAATTATTACAATTATCACCTACTGAGATTTCAACCAATTTCCTTGTGCAATTGTTTCTATAAGGCTTCTTAAAGGACCCAACATCCTGACTCTGAATTTATCCTGGATTGACTAATGTATTATTATTAGTAGAAAAGACACAAGGGCAAAGTGTAAGTAGAAAATCAGCAGCCATTGGTCCATAGTAAGACTGGAAAAATGGAAGTAAGCCAGAGTCTCTTTTCTCACTCAAAGAGCTCATACCTTTCTTAAAGTCTTGTGTTATTAATAATAATAATAAAAAACTTTGTCAGCTACTTGGATGCAGACAACATTCCAAAACCAACAGAAATGGTTTTGAGGAGCCAAGTCTTAGGGTTTGTATAATTGCTAAACACTGTGCTTCTCAACTTTCATAAGACAAACCCATCTTCAAAATTTATTTATGAGATGAATAATTGAGCCTGAAAATTTGAGTCTGACATTTCCTGTCCCTATTGTGGACCTCTGCAGAGTTGTCTTAATCACGTTTTCAGTAGTGTCCAAGAATGACATTGTTCTGACCCTTTTAAAGCAGAAACCACAGACTTTTTTTTAGCATAAGCGATTGCCTCAATTTGGTAACCATTTCCTTTGGGGCATGCAATTGTTTCTTTTTTACTGGTGGAATATGTCCTGCAGAAATGGAGGAATCACATCCTTTGCCCAGCTTTCCCCTACTCTGTCAATGCAATGGAAGATTTGACTTCATAAAAAGCCATTATGTGTCATAGAAAAAGGATATTCTTTTTCATCCCTGTAAAAGTTATCTTGCCCAGGGAGTCACATAGAGAAGGGTTGGGTGAGGCAGGAATGAACTGACTCATTGATATATCTCCGGTGAACTCTCTGGATTGCTTTAGAGGGATGAAATTAAGCAGTTGAATGATTGTCTAAATTCCGAGGCAGGGAACTGGCTTAAGAACAACAAACACAATTTGGGCCTGCATAAAATAGAGGGCTTTTTAGGGGATCAGAAGAAACCTGTTTTGCACAGGTGTTACTCTAATTGTGATCCAGAGCTATGGAGAATTTCACAGTGTGCTGTGGTTCCTGCACTGAGACCACAGCTGTTATAATTCATGCTCCTTACCCCGTGTGGTGGTCTTGCATTATTACATAGGTCCATAATAGGATGCACAAAGAAAAATAAAACAAGATATCAAGGCTCATGCTTTGTTTGAGTGAGTGGGGGTAGCTTTCCTCCCGTATGTAGGTTTTGATCTGTTTAACAGGCCTTTGGAGAGCCAAATGTACAAAATGAAAACTTCTCCCAGTATTTAGAGTCACTTTTTTCAGTGGTTACCACGTAAAGATTGCACATACTTTGAAGTTAATGTGGAAGGCAAAATTAAAGAAAACAAAAACAAAACTTTGATGTTCCGGAGACCAACATCCAGGTCAATAGGATAAAAGCTTCTGGCCGAGCGCGGTGGCTCATGCCTGTAATCCCGGCACTTTGGGACGCCGGCGGATTGCTTGAGCCCAGGAGTTTGAGACCAGCCTGGGCAACATGGTAAAACCCCGTTTCTACAGAAAAGACAAAAAAAATTAGCCCGGCGTGATGGCATGTGCCTGTAGTAGCAGCTACTTAGGAGGCTGAGGTGGGAGGATCACCTGAACCCGGGCAGTCTAGGCTGCAGTGAGTGGTGATTGTGCCGCTGTACTCTAACCCAAGGGACAGAAGAAGACCCTGTCTCAAAAAAAAAAAAAAAAAAAAGAAAAGAAAATTTCTGAAAATTGGGATTTTTGCTATTATCTCTCTTAAAAGTTGGCTTGGTCCTGAATGTTAAAAAGTCTTTGAGATACAAATTATTATCTGCTACATTTGATTCTGGGGGTAAGAATAGAAAATATCCATTCCTTTTCATTAGTAGATTTACATGGTGATCTGCTTTTAAACTGGTGGTTGAGTTTCGTTGGGGATTGTAATTCTGCACAGGGTCAGCAGAAGGTTGTGAAACATGGGACGCAGTAAGGTCAATCAGTTTTTAAGGTTGTGTGTCTTGTTTGTCACGCTTCCTGGGATGAGGAAACAAGGTACTTAATATCTGTGAAATTAACATTTAAAAAAATCAACAATAAATAGCTTTTCCTTGGTTACTCAGAACTCGTTATTGAACTGTCAGTGGGATTGCTGGGATTGCTTTTTAATTTTGAAAATCTTGTCACTCTATCCTAGGTGACTATCTCCAGTTGAAAACTCTTGGTGTTGGATGTTCTTACCTCCCCAACTTTCTACAGAGCTTTTTCTTTCTCACTGAACTCTATATAAATTGCTTTACAGTCACTTTCACACATGGCTATATTTCAGTGCTTCTTCCTTCCTGTTCCCATAGCACCTTATATATTATATTGGCAAAGGGATTATAAATACTTCAAATAATAGGAACTATTGTACTCTTATCTCTGTATCTCTATTAATCTAAATTTATTCATTAGCTCAAAGATTATTCTCCATCTCTTACTTTTTTTCACAAGCCTTTGTTTCTTTTCTTAATAGGCCCTCTTTTTATCATCCCACTTAGAGACAGTCTTTTTATATAACTTTAATGTGGTAATCTTCAAATTAAGCTACACATTGGAATCACATAGAGAGCTTTAAGAAGATACTAACATTTGGGTCCCATCTCTAGGAATTCTGATTTAATTGGTCTAGAGTGTTGCCTGGACATTAAGTTTTATTCCCCTCCAGAGCTCCCTGGGTGGTTCTGATGTCCAGCCAAGATAAAGGGCCACTGCTCTGATGACCTATTGATACTAATCATGAGTTTACTTGGCTTTGTGCTCTCTGCCAGTGTGTAGCATTTTAACCTTTGCAATGATTTTTACTTAAAATAATAAAACTAATGATTACCGAGCACTTCATTTAAGAAACACTTAACAATTTATTTTCCCTTCACAAAAATAGTATGAGATAAGAGATAGTGTTGTTCCCATTTTACAGATGAAGAAACTAGAGCATGAGGAAGGTAAGTAAATTGCCTCAAGTCACAGAGCTGGTAAATAAATGGCAGAGCTGAGATTTCTACCCAGGAAGGTTGGCTCCAGAGTCCACCTTTGCAGTCATGACATTATGCTGTTGTCTGTCATGCCTTCTTGGGACAATGACTTCTGATTAATGGGGATTTCCAATTACAGAGAAAATTTGCTAACTAGTCACGTAGCATTTCTGTCATTGCTTTTATCTATATGGGTTTGCACTGAGTAGTATGAGGAAGAAGAAATTCCTACTACAGAGAGGAGACAGACCAAAATATACAAGAAAATATGTCACAGAGGCATAGAAACACTTAATCTAGTGTTTTCAACAGTGGCATTATTGACATTGTTGGTCAGACAATTTTTTGTTGAAGGGAAGGAGGAGCTGTCTTCGTCATTATAGGATGTTGAGCCTCTACATTCTACTCTGTTGATGCCAGTAGCACCCTTCTCCCAAGTTGTTACAATCAAAAATGTTTCCAGACATTGCCAAATGTCCCCTCATTGAGAACTACCACTCTAATCAAACAGACTTTGAGTTAGTAACAGTAATTAAACTATTAAGATATTGTGTTGGATAGTGACAACTTTTTACAATGAAAATGTGTCATAATTTGTTTATTCAAATGAGCGTTTCCACCCAAGTAATTGGCTTGGAAGCCTGCACACTTATTCCAATAACATTGCTGTTGCTCAAAATATTTTTGAAGTTTTGTTCAGATCATGTGGTACAATTTCTTCATATTACCCAGAATAATAAATCATCCTTTAATGGTGGGCTTAATATTTAGAAAGTTCTAATAGATATTTAGAGCCAAGGATGATGAGCAAGGTGTGTTGATAAAAATGAATTGTAGAGTTTTATTTTTTCAACTTTAACAACGTGGTCCTTCACGTATGGCTCATAAACTATCTTTGACATCAGTTAAACAAGAAGAGTTCAAACTGATGTTCTGATTTGTAATATCCTTTGTAGAAGTCCTTCCAGAATTTTTTCTCTGAGGCCTAATGATATGAACACTGTGGAAGTGCTCTTCTGGCCAATAATACCTCCCCTGTCTTCAGTGTTCTCTAGGAAGGCTGGTTATTTTTGTTCAAAAATAAATTTTGAGTTTTAAGCATCACATATCATGCATGGACTAAGAATTTGCTTGGGTGAGCAAGTCCCAGTACCAGAGGAAAGTGGGAAGATTCTTAAAGGGAGCTAGTTTTGAAAGAGGAAAAAGCCATAGACTGGCTGAGAGAAGCTGGGGAAGTAATCCAGGTAGGGGCAGTAATTTGGGCAAACCTTTGGAAGTAGGAGGGAGTTAGTCATGAGCTCGGGATGGTAAGCAGGTCCACTTAACTGCATTGAGAGTCTAGGACTGTAGGTCTTAATCCTGGCCATGTATCAGCATCATCTGAGAAGCTTTTTGTTTGTTTGTTTGTTTGTTTTTGTTTTTTGTTTTTTTTTTTAAAGATAGCTGCTTGTGCCAGGCATGGTGGCTCGTGCCTGTAATCTTAGCACTTTGGGAAGCTGAGGCCCGCAGATCACCTGAGGTCAGGAGTTCAAGATCAGCCTGGCCAACATGGTGAAACCCCGTCTTTACTAAAAATACAAAAATTAGCTGGGCACGGTGGCATGCGCCTGTAGTCCCAGCTACTCGGGAGGCTGAGGCAGAAGAATTGCTTGAACTCAGAAGGTGGAGGTTGCAGTGAGCTGAGATCATGCCACTACACTCCAGCCTGGGTGACAGAGTGAGACTCTTTCTCCAAAATAAATAAATAAATAAATAAATAAAGCTGCTTGAGTCTCACACTGGACCTATTAAATCAGACTCTCTGCAGATGGGCCTTGAGCCTTTGTGTTTTGTTTTGAAAATCTTCACAAGACATCTTGATGCCTAGGCATGTTTGAAAATCAACTTAGTGAGATATAAATTTTGTTGAGTAAAGAAAAGGGAGCCTGCAATCCATGTTTTGCATGACTCACAAAGCAAAAGAGGGCCAGATCAGGCTTTTGAGCAGGGAAGAGATAACCTCATGCAGTTTTGTAGATACCAAGATGATAAGACTGATTTAATATCAGAGAACCCAAAATCAGGTTAAATAACGTGTCCAAGTTCATGTAGCCAGTAAGCAGAAAGCTATGGCATAATTCCAAGTCTTTTGATTTCACTTCAGTGTTTGTACCATGGAGGCAGACCAGAGGAAAAGAAAAAAAAAAGATTTGATGGTAAGTAGGAGAAGGAGAGAGGTTAGAATACTATGAAAGATATCTCTAAATTGAGAGTCGTGGATAACAGGAGGGAAGAAAACTGAAAATTGAACACCTATCATGTGCCAGGGTATATCTCATTTAATCTTCCCAAGACCACAACAGGGTAATAGTGGCCCATATAAGGATGCTGAGGGTCAAGGTGGTTAATAGTTTGCCCAAGGCCACACAGACAGGAAGTGAAATTCGGACCTACACCTAGGTCTGCTGGCTCCAGAGCTCATGCTCTTCACTATTCTACTTGGTCCCTCATCGGAGAGCAGTGCTTCTTATCAAGGGCAATTTTGCCCCCAGGGACATTTGGCAATGTATGGAGACATTTTGGGTTGTCACAGTTTTGGGGAAGTTGGGGGCTGCTACTGGCATCTGGTGGGAGGGCCAGATATGCTGCTCAACCATGTGCACAGCAGCCACAAAGAATTATCCAGCTCAAAATGGCAGCACTGTTGAGGCTGAGAAACTCCAGCCCAGAAGGATGGTTGTAGCTCA
Organism: Homo sapiens; assembly: GCF_000001405.40. Classification (NCBI taxonomy): domain Eukaryota; kingdom Metazoa; phylum Chordata; class Mammalia; order Primates; family Hominidae; genus Homo; species Homo sapiens. The sequence continues at coordinate 53,434,003 of NC_000005.10, read as the reverse complement.
GAAAGTTGGAAATGAAGGACATGTTGATGAGCAAGTTGATGAAAGGATTTCAAACATTCGTGTATTAGGTATTCAATTAAATCTAGCTGTGTCTCCTCTCTTTCTGCCTGAGTGTTACATGAGGCTGAGATGTTGCCCTATATGTTATAATCTAGTTACTGACTTTCTCATGCCTAACTGACTGCATCTTTACAAGAGCCCTCCTTCAAGACCCCAGATGGGTTTACTGCAAGAACGGCTCTTGTGCCAGTTTCTAACCACCTGTTAAGGTGAGGAAGCTTTAGTTCCCCCATTTCTTTCTCTTTTTTCTTTCGGTTTTATTATTATTTTTCTTTTTTTTTTTTATGACCCATTGAGTTCTTGGCAGATCTGTTAGACATTTTCTCCAAGTTTCTCTTTTGAGCCTTTTATCTGAGGGAGGTGGATCTTTGTTTACCCAGACCTGAGTAGAAATTACCAAGACCAGAGGCCACAATGAGGCAGCCATTTTTAGTCACTTTCCACCTGGGCTGAATTTGAGCCAGAAGATAAGAGACAAAATATATCCCATTATCAGCCCCCTAAGCCATCTACTCCCCCTGATTACTCCCACAGATATTCTTGTTTCAATGCCAGTAAGCCCAAATACTCTGTTTGTGGTGGCTTGGAGCCAAAATCCAGGTGTGATATTCCAAAGCATTCTTGTAGAGGAATTTTCAGCTGGTATTTTGTTTACCTGCATTTTTGGCCCATCTCAATCCCTTAGGAGCCAAAAGCTCACAGAACTGTAACATTTCTAACTCTTACCATACCTGTCTATAAAATATGCATGAATACAGACTTTACACAATGGATCTGTGGCCTTTGGTGACCTCTTCATTGCCTTTAACTTTCTTCACGAAATTCCAAGAGACTGTGGAAACACCTCCTATCTTGCTACTGCTCATTAGGAATCTAATACCCTCTCACAAAATGCTCTAGGGTTCTTGGCAAGGAAAAAGAAAGGCTGTAAAATCAAGATATGTTGTTCTTAGGATTACTTTATATATATATTTTTTGAACGCTCAGCTTAAGGCAAACCTGGAAGAAAAGCATAATAATTATACTAGTCATAAATGAATATTACCACCTTATCCATTCTAGAAGAAGATTTAAAAATAATCTAGGTTTGGATTTTGATGTGTTTGGTGTTGGGATCAGTCTTCCCCAATACCTTCCTCTTTACGAAAAGAAGCCATTGTGTTGTTCCTCTCACTTTGGGGCTAGGAGGTATCTGTTCTGGCTCACTCTGTGACTTTCTCCTTTGCTCACCTTGCAAATGTTCTAGGCCTTATCTCTGATGTCTGCCTTGGCCTCTGGGAATGCTGCACAGCACTGGCCATGGGTCAGTAGAGAGAGACTTATGGCAGAAGGCTTGCAGGCAACTTTTTCTCCTACTACCTTTATTGTTTTTCAATCTTGTTTCTGCATCTGTAAAATGCAGATAATGCTACCTGGCTTCTTTGCCCCATACATGAATCAGGAGGACTTTGTCTTATTCATTGTATCTAGAGCAATTCTTGGTGCCTAGGAGCCACATAATAAATATATGCTGAATGAATGAATAAACATCATGTAAAAGTCTCCAATTCTAAATGAATTTAAGGTACTTCTTTTTTGGAGAGTGCATTGCATTTTAAACTAGTCTGTTTTTAGTACATATAGATAAAATAAAAATTTTCAATGATATTTCTGCCCTGGCTTGCTTCCGGCCCTGGGCCATGCAACAATTGGAAAAACACAAGGAATGAGATTATCATAGATTTTTCCATGTAAGTAGTGAGGGGCCCTTCAGAGCATGCAGTATTTTTCCCTTGGCATGGTTTTAGTAGAAAATGCTTATTATTATTTATTATGTATTTCTTAAGGGAAAATGGTATAGAATCTTCATCTAGATTTTTCTGATTTTAAGATTTATATGAAGATGAGAACTAGATTAGGACTTAGGTTCTTACTGAGTCCACTGCACTTGTATTTCCTGCATATGTCAAAGCATGGATACCCGTGGCCTTGGCTTACAGCTCAGGAAGAGTGAAGAACGTACAGCCGATGCCTGCCTCCTGATTCATAAGCATGATGCACACACACACGTTATCAGGACAGTGGCAGCCCATTCAATGGCAAATCCTGGAAAAGTTAAACTTTAGTACTTGTGTATTTTGCTGATTCCCTGTTGCACTTCTGCTGAATCTTAGATAACTTGAGCCTGCATATGTTTTTGTTTAAATGACTCAGGGTAAGTTTCCTTCTTTGAACATCCCTATGATTAAAAATTCAGGCTGGGCACGGTGGCTCACGCCTGTATTCCCAGCACTTTGGGAGGTTGAGGTGGGTGTATCACCTGAGGTGAGGGGTTCCAGACAAGTCTGGCCAACATGGTGAAACCCTGTCTCTGCTAAAAATACAAAAATTAGGTGGGAGTGGTGGTGGGTGCCTGTAATCCCAGCTACTCAGAGGGCTGAGGCATGAAAATCGCTTGAACCTGGGAGGCGGAAGTTGCAGTGAGCCAAGATCGTGCCACTGAACTCCATCCTGGGTGACAGAGCAAGACTCCGTCTCAAGAGAAAAAAAAATAAAAAAAGAAATCGAATGTTATGATATCTTCTGCCATTGGTAATCTGCCTGATCCTTTAAATAAAAACCTCAGGGACACATGAGACTTAGAATTTTTAGAGTTGAGATTTGTTAAAAGATATTTTAGATTTTTTTAAAGAGGCAATGAGGTGCATTTACTATGTAACACTCTCATCTGGGCCTGGACCAGCAGACATAGTCAATAATTAGAAATTCAGGTCAGATTTTGCCACCAAATGAGTTCAAATCAAGTTAGGTTTTGCCACCAAGTGAGTTTAGAAAACAAACAAACAAGTTTTGGTTTTTAGAAACTTTCAGATGTTTGAATTTTGGAAAAGAGACTGCAGACAGGTATTTCAAAACCTCAGTTATTGATTCACTGTATTTTTAAAAGTTCCACTAATAGAGAAACTTAATTTTATTGACAGCCTTGTAGAGAGAGGTAAGCATCTTGCCTTGAGGTACTTTTTTTCTTCACAGAAAGCCTACGGGCGTTTCTGCTCACAGTCATGTGAAAATCAGCTTAATGTATTTCTTGTTGCAGGCTGTTAAAATGGCTTGAATTCCACTAGAGGGCAGTTGGGCCTTATCTCAGTGGACTTTATGGTTACCAGATCTGGTTCTGTCATAATTGGGTAATTTTTGTCACTGACCCCTGTTGGGGCCAAAAAAAAAAAAAAAACCTCCCCGTTGCCCTCTGGAGGCTCACTGAAAATCACCGGGAAAAGGCAGATTAATAGAAGAGAAGGCGTAAAAATTCATTTGATCATAGTTTTAAGTGACATGGGAGCCTTCAAAAGGAAGACTCAAAGATACAGGAGAAAACTGTCCATTTTTGTGTTTAGGTTCAACAAAGTACAGATAGTTGTGTAGAAATGCGATTGGACAAAACAGGTATGATCTAATGCTAACAGACTGAATGGTGAAGCCCAGTAAGGCTTGTTCATCTAGATTCTTCTTGACATCTCTGAGCATGCATTTCTTTCTTCTGTGTATGTGGCAGGGCTCTTTCTGGAATGGGGATCTTATGACCTACAGTCAAATAGGGTAAGTCAGATAATTTATCTATGGCCAGTTTTTACACAGGAAAGTGGGGGAAAACCTGGAGTGGTTTTTAGGTTTTATGGCTGGCTTTGGAGAAAAGGGGTTCTGGCTTCTATGACCTGCCTTGGGGAAGGGGGATTCTAGTTTCTGTGGCTAGCCTCCAAGGAAAATGAGGGGCCAGAGGCAGGAGGGAAGGAAAAAGTCAGAGAGAGCTGCTTCTAAGGCTTTCATGTTGGAGTATTGTTTTCTGAGCCCCATACACCACCACTCATTTCTGTTTCTACTCAGCAGCTGTCTGTCCCACTTGACATCACCTCACATACATCTAGAGGTCAGTGATTTCTGTGCTTACATTTCCAGCCTATGAGGCTGTTCTGAGCTCCTATTCAGAATCTCTAGTTAGCTGTTTGAAAGACCGTTTAGTCTATTGAGGATTGACCTCATGAGCGCCATTGCTTGCCCTCCACCGCATTTCTTGTCTTCCAGTGCTCCATGACTCAGCAAAAGTCAACACCATCCATTTGGTCATGCGAGCCTAGGAATGTAGGCTTCATCCTCGACATTCCCCTTTCCTGCATAATTCCTCATCAAATTCCCTCTACTTTACTTACCAAATATACCCCCATGGTCTGTCTACTTTCCTACATCTCTACCCCTAGCTACCACCTTCTTTTGCCTGGCTATTAGACACCTAACTGGTCTCCTAGCTCTACGCATGCCTCTCTGCCTTCTTCCAAATTTCTCTCTTATTCTCTCTTTCCCCTACTGCCAAGTCTCTAGACTTTTTGATTAATCTCAATTTTTATCTCCACATTTATATATCCCTATCCATTATGAAATATTGTTTTTTTTTAAAAGCATGTGAAAGACCAGTGCACTGAAAACTCAGTTTTCTAAGAGGGTAGTGGTTCATGATATATGTAAGTAGTCCTCACATTGTGTGAGTCCTACATGCATGAATTTAGGTTATTATGAGTTATTTACATAACACCATTTCCCTAATACCAGCCTTCCAACAATAAGTTTCAAATTTTGGATCAATTTCTTAGTAATTTTCTTAGGTATGACTTCCCCTTGGAGATCTGGACAAAAATAAAAAGTGAGCACATGTACATAGATAGCTGTAAGATGCAGAGGGGGTACTAGAAAAAAACACACATCTAATTGGCTGATGGTTTCCTCTGGGAGGGGAGTGGAAATAGGGGTATAAAGAGTTGTTTATCTTTTATTTTTATCTATTCAAACATCTGTACGGTTTGAATCTAAAACAAAAATGTAACCAGGCATTACTTATTAAAGAAAATAGGAAAGAAAGGAGTAAGAATGATAGATTATAAGTGATTTTTAAATCTTTTAACAAATGTCCTCCTGAATTGTTCCAATAATTATTTTTAAGATACTGGAAAGACTCAATCTCCCTAAATATCTCCTTTATATCAATTCCAACACCAGAAATTTGTCATTCATTCAGTGAATATTTTACTGAAGGTGTCTTGCAAACAAAACTCCATGCTAAAATTCCTTTCTTTCTGTCTTTCATAATTCCTTATTAAAATGCAGATACCTCCTCTTCATTCTCCGTGGCTAAGGTGTGAAAACCATCTTCAATAAACACCTTTAGAGATTCTGGCAACTAAGAAAAAAAGGGAGCCTGTTTGTGTTCCTCTATCCATCCATTTATGTAGCCATTATTGAGTATTTCCAGTCACTATGACAAGCTGAGTGAATCTGATGAGCAAGGCAAATTAAAATCTTCTAATTTACCAAACAAAAACAGTAGAAAGAAAAAAATTAAAAAAAGATAATTGCATTTCATAGCTTCATATATACACGCATTAACTTAAAAAAAAAACTGAGAAACGAGAAAAACCACTGAGAAGGCATGGGGCTGGGGGCCACTACACAAGGTAAGGCAGTCAGTGTAAACATCCTACTAAGACTCATAAAGAGAAGAATAACATTTAGCTCAAAATCATTTAAGTTGCTATAATGTCCCCTTCCTCTGTGTCCAACCTGAGTACTCTTTAATAAAGTCTACTTTGCACACATATACCCATATATGGCCCCTCTGGAAAAAAAAAAGAAAAGAAAACAAATGGGATTATGTCTTTGTTATTTGTTAACTTGCTCTTCTCCTTAATTAGATGTAGAAGATTTTCCAAAATGAGTAAAAAGTCTACCTCATTCTTTTTGATGTTGCCTCAGTGTTGCATCATATGGATGCACTATTATTTATTTACCATTTCTTTATTAATGGACATTTGCTTTCTCAATTTTTTTCAATAACAAACCATGCTTTATTGAATCTTCTACTTTTGTGCACATATTGAGTTTTTTTCCCATATGGATTCTTCAAAATGGAATTACTAGATCAAAGAGTATGCACATTTCAAGTTTGGATAGACAATGTCAAATTGAATCAATTTATACTATGAGTGTCCTTTCTACTTGTCAAGATGTAACATTTCAATAATTGTTTAAATTAAATGATGTCCGATAGATGAAAAATATTTTATTGTTTTGGTTTGCATTTCCCTGATATATAGTATAGGTGAAATTCTTTTTATGTGTTTAGTGGAGATTTATATATTTTTGGTCATATCTTTTGCTCAGTTTTATAAACTTTTTTTTTAATTGAGAAGAGCTCTGCAGAGTCATTTGTTTAATTTAATTAAAAAGCATTTATCATCCATTGACATTATGTAGGCATCACACTAGGTGTTGATGTCTCAAAGTTGTACAATATAGAGTCCCTGCCCTCCTAAGGGTGGGGTGGTTGGAGGGAATGCAGATTTGCAAAGAAAATAAAAGCAGTAAGATGTTCATACTGTCATGTTAGACAAACTGCCTACTTAAGAATATTGGATTGCTCAGTCATCTCAGAGGGAGAAAGATTGAAAATAGCATAAAAGTTCAACTCTCTGGTAGCAAACCCGCAATATATTGAAAGTTGCTTACTATGTTTTAGCTTAGTGTTTTATGCTTAAATATGCCTCTTAACATATTTAAGTCAGAAATTACTACTTATAGCAGTTCTGAAGGCCAAAGAACTAAGAACAGTCTTTCAGGTAATTATTTCAATATTGAATGTTTTTTTTTTTTTCCCACTATGTCTTTACTTGCAGTGATGCTGTCACTCAATTGGATCAGAGTTGTTTGACAGCTTCCATGACCTTTCACTACACACATGCAAGGAGCCATACTCAGACCTACACAGATAGAGCCACACAGACACAGCTGCACCAAGTGGCATTATGAGAAAGGACTAGACAGGATGCAACTGTGATGTTACTTAGGTGAGGAGGCCGCTCCAGCTGAAGAGGCTCACAATGAGATTTCTATCTGCCAGAGATTTGAGATCGCTATCTGCCAGTTATGTCAGGGAAGTAATTTAACACATCAGTGCTGCAGTTTAAGATGAACTATAGAGACTTGGGGGAATTAGTAGGATAGTAAGTGCTTGACTTATGTCCAGGAAAAGGGCAGATGTACATCTTGATGGTAAATTATAAAAGTCAACTTGTACAAAAGCCACTGATAATTAATTCTCTTCTTCAATTGGAAAGCAAGATGGGTGGATGAAACTTACTGAGAGTGATCTCCCCTTGGATTTAGGCTGGCAGAAGAGTAGGTAGGCTTATTTCTTTTAAAGCACAATCCCCTTGATACAGGCCAGAAAGGAGATACGGGGTGGGCAGGATTTATTGCTCAGGTCAGTACAGAGAAGCTCAACAGGCCTCCTTTCTGGCTCTGAAACGGTGCTAAGTAAGGGGCCCCAGGGCAGGGGGAGGGTGTCAGAAATATGATAAACCATGAAATATGATAGTACATGCAAAAGCTTGTAAATGGTGAGACAAAAGTCACAAGGAATTATTTTCGGTAAAAAATAGAAATCCTACCTATTGGCATCAAATTTCTGTTATAGAATGGGTTTATAAGCAGCCCTCTGGTTGGAAGAGGATTTCCCTGGAAGCTGTGTTTACACAGCGAACACTTTGTTTTTGTTTAGATCACATGTGGGCTGGGAAGAAAGGAACCCATGTAGATTATGGAGTACTACAACACCCCATGTACTTTCAAAGAGACCCCTGAAGCACCACCACTGAGCCTCACAAATATTTTGTCGAGATAAGCACTGAAAACAAAGATAAACTATGACCGCCATCTTGTGGTGGGATCCACCATTACCAAGTTGGATTGAGTGTGAGGTGGTGGTAGTGGGGGAGGGGCTGAGACACATTTTCTTTTTTCTTTCTTTTTTTTTTTTCACTTGAGGATTCTGGTAGGGACTATAAGGAGAAAACCTCTTGGATACAAAATTTGCCACCCGGCAGGAGAGCTATGTTAGAGGTCTTCCGTTAATTTGATTTAGGTTTCTATGGTGTGGAGAATCTGGAGTAGTTTTGAGAGAGTATTTGTCATTCCTTATCTCCCTGTTCCCAGATCCCTAGCTTGGGAAGGTATTTTTCTCACATTCTCCAGAGTTCAAAGAGCTTACCAAACAACAGAAACCCAAGATTTATTCTTCGATATTATTCCATTATATGCCACACCAGAGCACATTTGTTTTCACAACATTTAATTAGATTTCCCGGAAATGGAAAAGCCATTTGTTTTTTTATGGATTTACTATCAGTCTGAAACCTAAGAACCTTTCCAATATTTTAATACAAACCAGCCATACTGACTTAAATTAAAGGAATATGTTCAAAGTAGAAATAACACTGATAAAAGAGGCTTTTGATATGTCCCTGATAGCACCCAGCCTAACAGGATGACATTTTGGTGAAAGTAAGTAAGATGTAGTATCAAAGGGAAATTTTTCTTTCTTGAAATATTTAAAGCATCATTTGCTTTTCACTTGGCAGAACAATGACAACAGCAACAAAAGAAACCACGTGGCCGTTTTTCACTTTGCAAAGCATTCTTTACAGATGCCTGTCTAGTTGTTCTTGGATGGCTTCAGGGCACTGACACCGCATTCATCTTTGAAAGTTCTCCACCAGGTCCAAATGGCTGCTGTTGATCCCAGGAATGAGTGAACTACACCATGCCTTCCAACGGGTTCAGCGTTTTATTTGTCTGTAATGTGGTAGGCTTAGGAACATATCTGGCTGAAGACGCTTATCTTTCACTGTGTCAGAATCTTTCAGGGCTGCAGCATTCTATGTTTCTAATATCTAGGCAGGAGGACAATCAGATTATAAATTTGGCAGCAGTACCTAGAGTAATGCCTGGCACATGATAGCTGCTGAATGAATGCTCCAAGACCGAAGGATCTAGCTGTTATCTTGAAACCTAGCGATATACTGAAATTCTTGTACTAATGTCTACTTCAGCCCCCTCTCCTAACACATGACCTCAAACTTGGCTCTATTGTCATTTGAGGCTGGATAATTCTGTTACAGGGAGCTGTCTTATGCATTGTAGGATGTTTAGCAGCATTCCTGACCTCTACCCACTAGATGCCAGTAGGATGCTCTAGTTGTAAAAACCAAAAATGTCTTTAGATTTTGACAAATGTCCCCTGGGGGGCAGAAATATCCCCTGGTTGCAAATCACCATCCTAAACTGAGCGTAGTTATGTGGAAGAGATATGGCCTTAGGCATTAGTTGAGTCAGCAGTAGTAAATCATGAAATATGATATGAACACCATGGAAGTGCTCTTCTGACCAACAATACCTCCCCTGCCCTCAGTGTCTCTAGGAAGGATGACCATAAATGTTTTAACTGAGATAGTTTTGCAGAAAGTTGAGAGCAAATGATGAACAATCAATCAGCCAGGGAAATGGTTCCTTTTTGTCTTAAGAAAAAGAACAGTCACTTGGGAGTAATGCAGTCATTTGTAAAAAGCAGGTGTCCAAGAGATAGTGTGTGTAAAGAGGAAAAAATTGGATGGGAAATTAGCAGACTTGCACGCTAATCCTGGGTTGGCTACTGACCAGCTGTGTCCCATAGAGGAGCTCTCTTCACTCGGCTGATAATAAGGGGGCTGAACCAAGTGACCCATAAAGTTCTTTCTCCTGCTCAGGTGTGAAGAAAATCACAGATTTGTTTGTCTAATGAATAGCCCATTATTACGTATTTTTGCAGAGGAGGAGCCATGCTTTGACAGAGTACAAGGCTAGAATCAATGAGGGGTATGGGAAGATAAATTACAGGGTTTAGGGGATGCCGTAATCTAAGACGAAGGTAATGGAGTTTCTGTTGAAAGGAAATAAAGTATGATGAGTATGACACAAAAGCCATAATACATCTTTGCTGCTCTCTCACTCTCTTTCTGTGTGTGTAGGTTGGTGGTAAAGATGCTAGGTGGGCCACAGTTAGCAAGCTAGTCAGCTTCCTCATAGCTCCTCAGGGAGGAGGGTTTGCTCAGAACAGTCTCTCTTGCCAAATGTGAAAACCACGATCATAGGTTACTGTCAGCAATGGGCAATCTTGGAAGTGTATGGAACCTCTCATCAGAGCATTCAATTGATTCAACTGAATTCTCTTATTTTGCTGATACACATGTCAAAACAGTCCATAAATATTACATCTTGTAGAAACCAATGTCATGATTCATTGACTAAAAAAGTAAAATGACCTTGAAAGATTCTGATATTCAATAGCATAGAAGTCAGGGTAGGACAAATCTGGCTGAATTGTAAATGTTTGAAGAGTTTTTCAGCCATTTTGGGTTTGATAGAACAGCAAATTCATTTTATGAAGCAGTCTTACCCTCACTTTCTAAACATGATGTATGTTTGAAAGAAATTCATTCCATATGTTTTTGTTTAATTTTACTTAAATCATCAAAATATTATTTCTTGAGACTTGTTTGATGTCTAAGAAGTATTTAAGTCCTTTGAATAATTTTAAAAATATACATTTTTCCTCTTTAAAACAGGAAATCACTTATTAAAGAGTTTAAATGGGTTTGGACACAAATGAGATTCAGACTTGAAATCCTGACCCTGTAAGATTAGGGAAAGTTTGAAACTTGCCAAAATAGACTCTCCCATTCCTCCCTAAAAGTCAGTACCTTGTGATATCATATTGTCAGCAGAATTACTTGGGCATAGTTCAACAGAATGAAATGTTTTGTTATATTTTTCCTCCCAGTCATAGGGTTCATAACCTCAGTAAACTTTGACTCCCCTCTCTCTCCGTCGCATTGGCCTTCGTATCAGGTAAGTCACTAAATCCTCTACCTCTTTGGTCTGTCTCTCTCTCAGGATTTCCATTGCCTCAACCTCTCTCAAGCTTTTGTCTGGATCCAAGCTTTTGTCTGGATCATAGCATTTGCCCTGTAGCTGGCACCCTCCCTCTGTCTGGTTTCTCCCTGCACCAATCCAATGTGTATGTTGTTGCTTTTTAATCCTCACTAAAACATCACTAAATCTTCCCTAAACAATCACCCTTCCACTATACAACCTTCAGTGGTTCCTAAGGCCCATTGATCCTTTAGTCTTATTTGATGGTTCTCTGCACGCACTGCCCTGGTATATTTTTTCAAACCGCTGGCCAGTGGAGAAGCTCTCCTTATGGTGGCTTGGTTGCTATGTGAACACAACACATGTACACTGGTCTGTGATGCCTTTCTTCCTCGTCTTCCTACTCATTCAGTGAGAACCTGCCAAGTCTCACTTCCTTTCTGATGACTTCTGCCTGTGGGATTACTCCCTCCTGAGAGTTCTTACAGCAATTGTCTCTCTGAGTTGGTTTCTGAGCTTATGCTGCTGCATACAATTCCTTTACTTCATACATGTTTTTGTCTTGCTTCTTTACCAGGACTAGAGACTCAGTTCTCCAGCAGAAGTTCTCCAAGTGTGGTCCCTGGACCATAACATTAGCATCACCTGAGAGTTTGTTAGACCTGTAATTTCTTAGATTCCACCCTAGATTTGCAGAATTAGAAATTCCAGGGGTAGGGGGTAGCACTCTGTATTTTAATTAACAAGCTCTCCAGATGATTCAGGTGCGTGTTCAAATTTGAGAACCAGGATTGTGAAAGAAAGAGACACATCTTAGAGTTCTTGGCATCCTCCACAATGCCAGGACAAAGCTGAAATGTGGAAGTTACTAAAATCCTACCTAACTTGAATTTTAAGACAAGTTTTCAATGACAAGCAAGAAAATAGAAATGCTTTCAAAAGCTATGAAATTTTAAGAAATAAAAAGCTACAATTTCTTACTGATTGCAATGAAGGATCGAATAGCTTACGAGTTTAATGGTAAGCCTCTTGAAGAGAATTTCTTCTTTTTTTTTTTTTGCTTTTTCCTTTCATTAGAATTTTAGTGTTGTCCAGCACTGAGTAGTCAAATGATGCTATTCAGCACACTGTTTCCAACATCCTTAAAACACGAAATCTGTAGTTTAGAGATGATTTTTTTCTTGGAAGGTTGTGTGGTTGGTGGCCATATGTGAGCATGGAGGATAATTTCCTTTTCTTCTCTTTCCCATTAAAGTCCTTTATTACAGTTTGGAACTCTCATATAGAGATGAATGTTGCTGTAGAATAAAAAAATCATGATGTACAGAAAAATGGACCCTTTGGGTATATCTATACACCAAACAGAGGGGAGAATAAATTTAACTTACTGTTTTTAAAGAAATGTAAATATTTCATTGTTTTCTTCTCTGCCCTTGTCCAGTCAAATCGTATACATCCCCAAAATTTATAGACTTTAGTGCTAAGGGAGCCTTAACCCAGTTGTATTTTTTCCACACCCCTCAAAAGAGCATTGTACAGTTAGGGATGAACCATATCAAGTCCCTGGCTCTAGCAGGCCTGTGATTGGGCACTGAGCCAATCTGATAATACTTGCACCCATGAGCCCAGGTAGATGATAGAGGAGTCAAAGAGCTACCTTAACTTCCATTGGTAGTAGTCAGTGAGCCTGGTTATTTTTTTGCTTTCTTTTTTTTTTTTTTTATGTTGTTGTTAAAGACAACAGGTTAGTCAGTGTGGCATTGGAGAAAAGGTTGTGCTTTGAAGTCAGACAAACCTGGGTTTAAATCCCTGTTCTGCCTCTCTAAACTAGCCATTTGTTTCATGTTTGTTTTTCCTTTTCTAATGAGAATCCTAATACCTATCTGCCCTGCAGGGTTGTTGAAAGAGGTATTGATAATGTATGATGTACATGGCCCAAGTTAGATGCTCAGTAAGTGAAATTATTATTATTAGTCTCTGACTAACAATTACTGTTTGTAGTTCTTTTGTTTTTAATTTCAAAGACATAACTTGAATGAAGTAATCCCATTCTTCGCTTTTTTAATTTCAGAGAGCTCTGCTTCTAATTGTTCTTTTCTGATAGTAACTGGGTTGCATTGATGTAAAGTGTATTCAATGATTTTTTCTTTTGCTTTTCCTCTGTTCTTTTTTATTGAAGCTGTACCTCTTGAGTTTCTATGAAGCAGGTGTGTATCTCTATCAATACTATGAAGTCTGTCTAGACCTTCCTTTTTTCATGAGATTAGTATTTGTTGAGTGGTCTCTGCCAGGCTCTGAGGATGCATAAGTGTGCACAGGGAATAGTCAGAGAGCTGAAGTAAAAACTTGTTGTGACTAGAATAATCCTATTGTCCAAATTGTCCCTATAAACTCAGACTTAGGAGTTGTTGAAGCAGGTATATGCCTACATGGTGAAATTTTCCAGGACTAAATAATAGGACATTTCCCCATCTGTTTATAGTAGACCTGGTGCTTCCACCCTGAGAATCAGTGTTTAGTCAAGGCCTTGACTCTTTTATTTGCTGATGAAGGAGAATGTGTGCAAAAAGCTACACTTTTCCCCTGCAGCATTCTCTGAGCACATTAGCAAAATTTCAGTAACAGATCAGCAGCATTACCTTAGTAAAGAATAGGGAACTGACAGAATACACTCATGAAAGATTTGCTTTCGTTGGGGAGGCCATCTGGAGAGGACTGCCAGGACAAAGGCAGCCTGGGACAGGGTGGAAGACCTTGGGCCATTAGGGTCTGTGGTCACCTCCAGGATGACCTCCAGTGATTCTCACTTCTTGTTAGTCACACTCTGTGTTGTTCTCTCCCATTTTGAATAAGGGTTACCTTAGTAACCAATAGTACATTGTGGAAATGACTCCTAAGTGTGACTTCCAGAGGCTTCTGCCTTACTCTATGAGATCCCTCAGATCAACTTCTCTTACGGGAAGCCAGCTGCGATGTCATGAGGACACCCAAACAGCCCCATAGTTTCTTGGGGTAAGGAACTGAGGCCTGCTGCCAGCAACCAGCACCAGTTAGCAGTATGTGAGTGAGCCACGTGGGAAGTGGATTCTTCAGCCCCAATGCAACCTTCAGTGACTGTAACCCCAGCTGACGTTTTGACTCTAACCTTTTGAGGGAGTCTGAGGCGGAACCCACCAAGCTAAGTTCCTAGCCCACAGAAATTGTGTGAGGTAATAAATAATTATTATTTTAAGTCATTAAGTTTTTGGATAATTTGTTAAACAGCAATACATAACTAATACAGAACCCAGCACATGGTGCTAGATTCCTGGAAGAAAAGAGCAACGTTAAAAGAAATATTAAAAGCGTAGATCAGGGAGGCCAAAGAGACATTTTCTTCACGTTTTGCCCCAAAGTGGTATAGTTTACACTTTATAAAGGGGATGTAGTCATGGGGCTGGGAATGGTGGGAGAAAATGAATTCAATAACTAATTCCCAGAGCACCTGGATGAAAGGAAAAAAAGGCAAAACGATGAATGTTAGTTTGGGAAGGACTCCTGGATATGAAGGCTTGGAAATGGATCTTTCAACATCCTGTGAAGTTGTGAAAATTGTTTTGTACTTGAACAACCCTTGGATTTCATCAGACAGTAGGACCACAGTAATGTGGGTAAAAAAAAGTCTCCTGAGATCCTTGAGTCATTCTTTTTTTTCCTCGTACAAGACTCTAGTTAAGGCTACCAAAGACTATCTCACCTTTTACAAGTCAACATGCCAATGAAGGCAGCAGTTTCAAGGCTTGGCAAAAGGTTTCACATTCATTTAAACAAAAGGGGCTCTTTCTAAAATTATCTCTAGCTATATTAAACTATGAATCATGTTTGTACCTCTAGGAAGGACTTAAGTCACATATTAGCATTTAGGGAAGAAGGCTTTGTATTAGAGAGTAAAAAATTTTTAAAAAACAAATTGCTGTCTTACTACATGGTTTTATAACTGTCAACTTTTTATGTGTTTTCAATTGGGGGAAAGGATGAGTTTCTTTGGAAAGGGGCAAGGCAGGAAATCAGTAATGATTCATACCACTTTTTCACATGCTTCTCTGATGAGTTTTAATCACAAATCTGGGTCCACTTGTGTAACAAAAACATTAAAAGAGGGTGTTTTAAACTACGTCTTTTTATTAATCATGTATTTGGTCTTGTAAACAATACACGCAAGCACATCCTTGTTACGTCAGTTGGAAAACAGTGATTAACTAGCTGTTTAGGAGACGGGAGTATCTTGCAATTTTATATGCACTTCTCAAGTAGCTGTGTGTTTTCTCTTGGGTGATTTAATTTGATTTAGGCAAATTAAATTTTAGAATTTAATTGATTTTTAATTTTAATGATCTCTCTCTTCTATGCTTTGCATTTAATGGCATTTTTTAGGACTGCCACAGTAGTCTTTTGAAAAAAGGGCACATTTACTTGAAAGAAATATACTTTGTTATTTCTGAGTCCCTTTGAAATCGCTGAAGATGGTTTTACTTTAGCTTTCCCTTCAGCCTAATTCCCTTTTCCCCTTTGTTTCTATTGGGATGAGGTAATCCTGGGTTTGTAGAGTCTTTTGTGATGGAAATGGCTATGACCACACAGACGCGGCATAATATTTACTTGGAATAAGAGAAAGAGAAATATCAATAGTGCTGCTCACCAAGCATTTGAAAATACGTGTGTCTTTCATTTCCAGAGAGAAAAATACCACTTTGCATGTTCATTATTAATTTGGGTAACTGAAATATAGTGTGTGTTCATAAATTGTGAATCAAAATTGAATGAGAAGAGGAGTGAAATTTAAAAATTAATTATGGCAAGGTCTGAAGTTATGAAGGCCAGATGTATTAACGATGCATTAATATAGTATAAGACATTCATAAGTAAAATAAGGAAGTTATATGGAGCTGAACAAGCTCATCGAACAAATAGGGGTGTATGTGAGTACAGACCCTAGCTTCGTTGTTGTAGCCTGATTCTGAAGAACAGGTCAGCAACCTTTTTCTGTAAAGGGCCAGACAGAAAATATTTTAAGCTTGGAGGCCATAGGCCTCTATCACAACTACTCAGTTTTGCAGTTGTAATAGAAAGCAGCCATGGACAATATGGAAATGAATAGATGTGGCAGTATTTCAATAAAACTTTATTTATAAAAGCAGGCTGCATGCCAGATTTGACTTGGAGACTGTAGTTTGCTGCCTCCTATCCTACAGAACATAATTTTTCTTATTTACTTACTTGTAGACCAATGCATTGGAAAGGGAGTTTGAAGCAGCTTACAAGTACAGGTCGAGCATCCCAAATCTGAAAATCTAAAATCTGAAATGCTCCAAAATCTGCACCTTTTCCAGTGCTGACAAGACATCCAAGGCAAATGCTCATTGGAGCATTTTGGATTTTGAATTTTTGAGTTTCAGATGCTCAACTGGTAAGCAAAAGGCAAATTTCCCAAAATTTGAAAAATCCTTAAAAATGTATATAGCAAGGTCAAGGCACAGTAGGACCTGGAGAGATTTTGTGGGTAGGAATGGAGTGGGCTCCAGCCTATAGTAGATTGAGTACATCTATTGCTAACATCCGGGAATCACTTGGGAGCAAAGTCAGTGTCTGTGGACCATTCAGTTTTCATTTGAGTGAATATTATATGTAACCTGTGCTGAGGATCTGCGTAGATGCCCTTCATATCAGCATTGGTGAGAGCCTTCCAGGTGGGGCCCTTGACACCTAGAGGGGTGATGGTTGAAAAGAGAAATCTCCTACTCTATACCCCAGTGTGACTAAACAGGCCTAGCTCATCCCCTCAACCCCTGCCACTCCACTCACCAAATGGAACAGAAATTAAACACAGCCTTTTTAAATGTATATATCCTTTGTCCCTGTGCTTCCACTTGCAGGAATCCATCCTAAGAAAAATTTTAGGGAAGCTGCTAAAAACTGATATGTAGGCTGGGTGCGGTGGCTCATGCCTGTAATCCCAGCACTTTGGAAGGCCAAGGTGGGCGGATCACGAGGTCAGGAGTTCAAGACCAGCCTGACCAATGTGGTGAAACCCCGTCTCTACTAAAAATACAAAAATTAGCCAGGTGTGGTGGTGTGTGCCTGTAATCCCACCTACTCAGGAGGCTGAGGCAGGAGAATCCCTTGAACCCGGGAGGCAGAGGTTGCAGTGAGCTGAGATTGTGCCACTGCACTCCAGCCTAGTCGACAGAGTGAGATTCCATCTCAAAAAGAAAAAAAAAAAAAAAGAAACAAAAACTGATATGTAATATTCAAATTTCAGCTTCATTTATTAAACCAAAAATTGGAAAGAAGATAAATATCCAACAGAAGGAGAGTAGGTAAGTAAGTTCTGGTATATATGAGATGAAATAATATATTATCTTTTAAATGGTTTTTGAGGACAATTTTATGACAGGGAAGTGCTGAATATAATTTTAAATGAATATAGAAGAATGCAATATGATCATAATTTTGTGGAAACAATATTGCAAAAAGACTAGAAGAAAATATATTGTGGAGGAGATCACTAGCTATCTACCAGAATCCCTTCTCTTCTTCCTGATATATGGGCACACTACATTTCCCAGCCTCCCTTGCAGTTGCATGTGGTCATATGACTAAGTTCTCTCCAATGGTTTGTGAGCATAAATGATGTATTCCATGTACAGGTTTGACTCATAAAAATTTCTCACACATGTTTTTCTATGCCTTTAAATTAAAAAAAAAGTTTTACTGTCTTCAGTTGATTTGGATGTTGACACTCAGGGCAACCTTGGAAGTCACATGATGAAAATGACAGAGTGGTATCAGCTTAGGATCCTGAATAGCCACAAAGAGATGAGTTGTCCTGCTGACCTGAGTGCTCATCTAGGACTGTTACTTGAGGACTGTTACTTGAGGGAAGAAATACATGTCTATGAAGTTCAGCTACCATGGTGATGCCTGATAGAACAGATGGGTGTGCATGTGAAACACCCACTGAGGACTTCCAGAAACATTTGGTTGGGGGGTGGAGAAGGCATGTTTTATAGGAACCCAGGGACTTTTATTAAAAAATGGGAATATAAACCAGTAACCTTTTAGCTGCTGTTCAAATCATCCCTTGCACCTGCCTGCTGATGAGGTCTGAGAAAACTTGAGCTACATGTATTATTTGTTTGTTTATTTATTTATTTATGTATTTTTGAGACAGGCTCTCATTCTCTTGCCTGTGCTGGAGTGCAGTGGTATGATTTTGGCTCACTGCAACCTCAACCTTCTGGGCGCTCAGTTGATCCTCCCACCTCAGCCTCCCAAGTAGCTGGGAAGAAAGGTGCATGCCACCACACCCAGCTAACTTTTGCACACATTGTAGATAAGAGGTTTTGCCATGTTGCCCAGGCCGGTCTCAAACTCCTGGACTCAAGCCATCCCATCCCACCACCATGGCCTCCCAATATGCTGGGATTATAGGTGTCAGCCACCATGCCCAGTTGTACATGCATTTTTTTTAAACTTATTTTTAAAATATGTATTTAATTAGGAAAGTTAGGAAAAATACCAGTGTATACATAATGAAATGGGGAGGTATAAATAAATCTAAAAGTGTGGGCAGAAAAAGAACAAATTTATATAGAAGGTAAAAACCCAGGAAGATGCTGTACACGTGAGCCATTGAAACCTACACAGTTTCTGAAAATTGAGCAAAAGTTTTACTCTGATTTTCCTACCAACAAAAGTGATTTGTTAATTGATTAATCCACCAGTCTCTTATCTCTGCAAATATTTCCTTCAGCAATTATTTCTGAAAGAAATTTCTCAATGTCTCTTTATATAGGAAACAGCACCCTCAGCAATATCCCTTAGAAAATACCAGAATGGGATTTACAGTGCTGCCTCAAGATGAACTGAAAGGACATTGAATCAAAACAAACTTTAGGAAAAGAGAATCTAAAGAGGGATTGGGAGGGACAACTGGACAATGGGACATCGGTGATGACAGCCCCACTTGATCCAGGAATTAAACCTGTGTCCAGAAAAAGCTTTGGGATTTCTGTCTTTCAAATAGTCTTTCATTCATATCCTTGCTCTTTGAGGCGTTTTACAAGTTGGGCAGCAGGTGATTTTCAGGAGCTTTCTCAGTAACTGCTATAGGCTCCCATCTTCTTCCATTTGCCCACATGTCTGCAATAACTGCTGGAGAAAAATAACTTCTCTATTGCCATCTGAGTCTTGAGGGAGTTCTTTTCAAGAACAAAATTTAACTTAGAACCATAGTTATAAGGGATTCTGGGAAATGCATTTCTGAGTTTCTCCCTTGTGGTGCTGAGCAGGGCATAGAAAGAGGAAGATATAGTGCTGAGTGGATAACAGATCATCTGGCACACTTTGGTATATGGGGCAGACTTCCAGTATGGCAAGCCACCAAACAGACAGGCAAACTGAATTTACCAACAATAGGTAGTTATAACTTTTTTTTTTTTTTTTTTTTTTTTTTGAGACTGAGTCTCTCTGTCACCCAGGCTGGAGTGCAGTGGCACGATCTCAGCTCACTGCAACCTCTGCCTCCCGGGTTCAAGCTATTCTCTTGCCTCAGCCTCCCAAGTAGCTGGAATTACAGGCACTCGCCATCATACCAGACTAATTTTTTTATTTTTGGTAGAGACAGGGTTTCACCATGTTGGCCAGGCTGGTCTCAAACTCCTGACCTCAAGTAATCTGCACGCGTCGGCCTCCCAAAGTGCTGGGATTACGGGCTTGAGCCATGAGGCCCAGCAACATTTTTTGATTAAAAACATCTGATATGTTGTGGCTCTGTCCCCACTCAAATCTCATCTTGAATTGTAGCTCCCATAATTCCCACGTGTCATGGGAGGTAATTGAATCATGGGGGTGAATTTTTCCTGTGCTGTTCTAATGCTTCTTGTTGGCAGCTGCCACCTGTCTGGTGATTCTGTCCAGATCTCTCGTCCCTGAGGTGTCACTTTGCAGCCCCCATCTTGGTCCTTTTCCACCATTTTCAGCCCCTCCTGGGCTTGGAGGACCCAGCGGGCCATTCTCTTGGAGCCTCGGCTGAAGTGGCTGGGCATGACGCTTTTACTCTGATGTCCCGCATAGATCTTGGTCATGGAGTCAACCCCAGCATCACCTGTAGGTACGGGTGCTGTGCTGTGGAAGCAGCTCATGTGTAGAACCAGTTTTCATCACAGGGAGGAAGCTCTTTGTGCTTGGCCAGCTTGACGGTGTCCACCCATCCAGGGACTTTCAGCTTCCTGGACTTTTTGAGAATGGCTGCCAGAGCTCTAATGAACTCCTGCTGGTTCATGTTCTTTTTTTTTTTTTTTTTTTTTTTTTTTTGAGACAGAGTCTCGCTCTGTCGCCCAGGCTGGAGTGCAGTGGTGCGATCTAGGCTCACTGCAAGCTCCGCCTCCCGGGTTCATGCCGTTCTCCTGCCTCAGCCTCCAAGTGGCTGGGACTACAGGCGCCTGCCACCACACCTGGCTAATTTTTTGTATTTTTAGTAGAGACGGGGTTTCACCGTGTTAGCCAGGATGGTCTCGATCTCCTGACCTCGTGATCCGCCCGCCTTGGCCTCCCAAAGTGCTGAGATTACAGGCATGAGCCACTGCGCCCAGCCAGTTCATGTTCTTTACAGTAATTCCCCAGGCATTGTGCAGCCTCCGTGCTGCCAGCCAGGGGAAAGGGATCAGATGGTTTTATAAAGCGCAGTTCTCCTGCACACTCTCTTGGCTGCTGCCATGTAAGATGTGCCTTTGCTCCTCATTTGCCTTCTGCCATGATTATGAGGCCTCCCCAACCTAGTGGAACTGTGAGTCCATTAAATCTCCTTCCTTTATAAATTACCCATACTCAGGTAATTTATAATTACACATACTCGGGTATGTCTTTATAGCAGCGTGAGAATAGACTAATACAACACCTCAAAAACAAAATTATATGCAGAAATTAAAGCAAAATTTTATTAGAATTCTTAAAAGTGTATGTGGCACGCTGATTATAGTTAATAATGTATCATATACTCAAAAATTGCTAAGAGAGTAGATCTTAAATGTTTTCACCAAAAAAATGAGGTGATGAATATGTTAATTAGCTTGATTTAATCATTTTGCAATGTACACATAATATTAAAACATCACATTATACCTCACAAATATATACAATTTTTATTTGTCATCTAAAAATAATAATAAAAAAAACAATTTAGCTGGGCACGGTGGCTTATGCCTGTAATCCAGCACTTTGGGAGTTTGAGGTGGGCTGATCACCTGAGGTTGGGACCTCGAGACCAGCCTGGCCAACATGGCGAAACCCCGTCTCTACCAAAAAATACAAAAATTAGCCAGGCATGGTGGTGGGCGCCTGTAATCCCAGCTACTCAGGAGGCTGAGGTGGAAGAATTGCTTGGGAGACAAGAATGAAACTCTGTCTCAAAATAAATAAATAAATAAATAAATAAATAAATAAATAAATAAAAATTTAAAAACCAGATATCGGTGACCTCCAGAGTGTTCACTACTTTAAGAATGTAATCTATTTGGCATTAGTTTCTGAGGTGCTAGTGCCTTATGTCTAAATATTCACAGAAATGGCTAAATCAAATGTTTGCTTGTGCAAAAAAAGTTATCTATATATAAATGCACAGGGAGAAAGATACACACCAATCTGAGAATAAAAGTACATCAGGAGAGGGGAGTAAGGTACTGTAGGACCAAAAGTAACTTTTATATAATTTACATTATTTAAAAATTATAAAATATAATTTTTTGTGTATTAATTCTATAATTAGAAAGAAAAAATAGAGCTATCCCAGGATGATTAGTACCTAAAACTAATTTCTGTGATGCCGTATTCTGTGACAGCTCTTGAAGTCAGCAAATGATGGAGAGCTTGACTTCTACAATTTCTGCATTAGCATGATATGGTATATGACTTTGCTTATTATTTTATGCTCCTAGGCCTGTTTTCCTGCTTGTAAAACAAGAGGATTGGAATAGATGGTTTCTAAGATCCTTCTCAGCACAGAAAGCCTATAATTCTAGGTTTTGTTGGAGTGAAATACTGGAAGCATGGAACAGTTCTGGGGGTGGGGAGATGGTACTCCAAGGATGGTCTCTGGGAAGCAGGAACTGCCTTGAGGCTACTAGGAATTCAGAAAGTGGAAAGGTGGGGAGTTGAAGCAACTTCGTATCTATTAAAATTTCACAGAAGTTCAGCCTTTTCCTATGAGGCACTTGGGCTTGCACAGGGAAACCTGTCCTAATGTCTATTAACAGGGTTTAGTTTTAGCTGGTTTGCAACAAATTGCTCTATGGGTAAGTTATGGTGGGTATCCTTTCTGACTCTTTGGGTCTATGTTACATAGATTGTTGAATATAAATTCTAGCCATATGTCATACTTAGGTGCATCCAAAGAGAGATACTTTTTCCTTACATCCATTAGGAAGAATCTAGATGTGGAGTCTTGAGGTTTTCACCATTTTCTACTATTCAGGGATCAAATTTTGCTAACAGTTTATGTTAAAGCAGAGGATCTACCCTTTTAGGGACTGAAAGACTGAAAGTGAATGTGAATATCCTTCAAGTAAAAGTGAAACTAGACGAATTATTTATGCAATTTAAAGAGAAGAAACACATAAAGACTTTATAGCATATCAGTTGAAAGAAAATCTCTTAGTAAAAAAGCATATCAGCACAAAACAGCCTTAGTTTTCTGTTACTTGTTATAAAACATAATACATTTTCACACCACTTCTTGGGTAGTAGTATTTATTTTGACATTTATTACACATCATTTATTTCCTGAATACTGCATGTTATACAGCAGAGTCTATTAGAGATACTGTGCTTTAAAAGCCCCAGAAAAATACTCAGAAAGATGGAAGACACAGGTATAGGAGCTGAAAAGTAATTCTGTATGTTCACAAATAGAAATGGTCAATATTAGGATGTTAATTTTCCCCCATTGACATAAATTCAACCCAAACCTAGTCAAAATACAAGTAGAATTTTTTTTGATAAGCTCATTATAAACTTTATGTGAAAATGCAAAGGATCTAGAAAAAAACAACAATTTAGAAAAAGATGAACAAAATTGGAAGACTTACACAGCCTAATTTCACGACTTATGATAAAGCTATGGTAACTAAGATGGTATAGTCTTGATGTAAAGATAAAAATAAATAAATTGAGACTCTGTCTTCCAACAACAACAACAACAAAAGATTAATGACTGCCCTTCTGGATTTCAGACTTGTGCGGGGCCTGTAGCCCCTTCATTTTGGCTCATATGTCCTATTTGGAATGGGAGCATTTATCCAATGCCTGTAACCCCATTGTGTCTTAGAAGTAACTAACTTGCTTTTTATTTTACAGGCTCCTAGGCAGAAGGAACTTGCCTTGTCTCAGATGAGACTTTGGACTTGGACTTCTGGGTTAACATTGGAATGAGTTAAGACTTTGGGGGAAATGTTGGGAAGGCATGATTGGTTTTGAAGTGTAAAAAGATCATGATATTTGGGAGGGGCCGGGGCAGAATGATATGGTTTGGCTCTGTGTCCCCACCCAAATCTCATCTCAAATTGTAATCCCCATAATCCTCACGTGTCAAGGGAGGGAAATGATGGAAGGCAATTTGATTTTGAGGGTGGTTTCCGCCATGCTGTTCTGATGATAGTGAGTGAGTTCTCATGAGATCTGAGGGTTTGACAGTTTCTCCTTCACATGCTCTCTCTTGCCTGCTGCCATGTAAGACAAGCCTGCTTCCCCTTCTGCCATGACTGAAAGTTTCCTGAGGCCTCCCCAGCCATGTAGGAACTGTCAGTCAATTAAACCTCTTTTCTTTATAAATTAAAAAAAAAATCAATGGAACAGAATAAAAAGTCTAGAAATAGACTCATGCATATACAATTGATTTAAGAAAAGGTATCGAGGCAATCCAATGCAGAAAGGATGATCTTTTCAACAAATGGCACTGAAGCAATTGGCTAGTTGTGTACAAAGAAGTGAACCTTGACCCTTACATCACATCATAAACAGAATTTAACCCCAAATAGGTCATAGATCTAAATGTCAGTACTAAAAACTATAAAACTGTTAAACAAAAACATGTGAGAAAATCTTTTAGGTGGTGAGCTTCTTGTGGCTAGGGACCCACCCCATCACTCTTCACTTGTTTTTCTCTCTTTTCTTTTTTCTTTTTTTTTTTTTTTTGAGACGGAGTCTCGCTCTGTCGCCCAGGCCGGACTGCGGACTGCAGTGGCGCAATCTCGGCTCACTGCAAGCTCCGCTTCCCGGGTTCACGCCATTCTCCTGCCTCAGCCTCCCGAGTAGCTGGGACTACAGGCGCCCGCCACCGCGCCCGGCTAATTTTTTGTATTTTTAGTAGAGACGGGGTTTCACCTTGTTAGCCAGGATGGTCTCGATCTCCTGACCTCATGATCCACCCGCCTCGGCCTCCCAAAGTGCTGGGATTACAGGCGTGAGCCACCGCGCCCGGCTTCTCTCTTTTCATCACGTACCCTGGCTCATAGAAGGTATCCAAGGAATGCTGGAATTCAATGAGATCTTGCTTTGTGGCTCTGAGAGTGCTGATGGTCAGGGAACCTAGGTTTGTGCGCTTATATTTCAGATCCCCGGTATATTCCCCCAAGGTTTGGCTTCACTCCTTTTATACTGTACTGGTGGAGAATGGGGAGTTTCAGAAGCATCAACCCCCACTGGGTAATTCTTTGATGCCCCTCCCCTTGGGATTTGCCTACAGCATTTCTAACCTGAAAGAATGTGACCTCCAATACTGGGGCTCCAATCAGCGCTAGTAGATCCTACCCTGGTTTGAACCCAGTGATGCATTGCTCCCTGGCCACCCATACTGAAACCCTGAGAAAACACAGTGTGCCAGAGCACTGAGGTTTATTGGTGCAAAGGTGGCTCAGCTCACGGTAAGGGTTGTTCCAAAAGAATAGAGTGAAGGGCACTTAAATCACCATAAGCAAGCAAAATATTTATTTTTAAAATATGCACTGGAAGGATTTGATACTATTTTTATTAGAGGAACAAACTCTCTTAATTTCCTGTTCTCTGAATTAGAGGCCTCCAATTCATTTGGCTCATAACCTAGACAAACCCTGGGAAGATATACTGCAACTGGGAACGCTTTTGACTTTTCCTTCTTTATAGCCTCGCTATTATGCTACCTATTTTCTAAGCACTGGCAACATTTTCATGGAAAACTTGAGATGATCTAGTCTGGGTGGAGCCAGAACTAGAACCAGACCCAGGTGAGTCCTTGTGGAAAACTGTTGTCATTTAACAACATAGGTCCTACTCGCAACCGGAATACAGTTGCAGTTTTAGCACGTGTTAGAACTGAATGGTTGGAGATTAAGAAGGGTCACCTTGCTCAGAGCACACCTTGTACATCTGTGAACTTTAGATTCATGCCTTCTTAGTAGCCATCACGTCTTTTTCCTTGATGGATTTTCATTCTCTTCCATTGTGGTTGAAGCACTGGTTTGTCTCATGGCAGTGGGTGCTTTACGTTCAGTGACACTTTTCTTCATGGAATACCAAAAGAGTATTGCCAGATAAGCATCGTTTGATTCAGGTCAAGATTACTGTAAGCTAGGTGACTTCACCCAGAAGATGGACTGCTCTAGGATCTGGAGTTACTTTAGAACACCCTCCTACCACACTCAGCACTTCACCGATTCTATTTCACAAACTATAATGGTCACATATGACAATCATTTAAGCAAGAGCTGTGATAGTTACTATGTTGCTATATTGGAGGAATTCTTGATAATCACGTAATTTATTCCCATTTCCAAAATGACCATACCTATATGCTTGGACATTGTATAAAAACATTATATTTGAGGGTTAAATTAGCAAAATTATCTTCAAACAAACCTAGATTTGTATGTGTTACTTAATGATAATGATGGGGATACTTTCTGAGAAATACATCCTTCAGTGATTTCGTTGTTGTGTGAACATTATAGAGTGTACTGTCACAAACCTAGATGGTATAGCCCACTATGACCCAGGCTATATGGTATAGCCTATTGCTCCTAGGCTTCAAACCTATACAGCATGTTTCTGTACTGAATTGTAGGCAATTGAACACAATGGGAAATATTGGTGTATCTAAATGTAGCCAAACATAGAAAAGGTTCAGTAAAAATACAGTACAAAAGATAAGAAGTGGGTTGGGGGTGGTGGCTCATGCCGGTAATCCCAGCACTTTGGGAGTCCAAGGCGGGTGGATCACCTGATGTCAGAAGTTCAAGACCAGCCTGGCCAACATGTTGAAACCCCATCTCTACTAAAAATACAAAAATTAGCAGAGCTTGGTGGCAGGCGCCTGTAATCCCAGCTACTCGGGAGGCTGAGGCAGGAGAATAACTTGAACCCGGGAAGCAGAGGTTGCAGTTAGCCAAGATCATCCCATTGCACTCCAGCCTGGGGGACAAGAGCAAGACTTCATCTTAAAAAAAAAAAAAAGATAAGAAGTGGTATATCTGTATGGGATATTTACTGTGAATGGCTTGCAGGACTGGAAGTTGCTCTGGGTGAGTCAGTGAATGAGTATTGAGTGAATGTGAAGGCCTAGGACACTACTGTTCACTCCTGTAGACTTTATAAACACTGTACACTTAGGCTACACTAAATTTCTAAAAGATATTTTTCTTTCTTTGAGAATAAATTAACCTTAGCTTACTGTAAGTATTTTACTCTATAAAGTTTTTAATTTTTTAAACTTTTGATGCTTTTATAATAACACTTAGCTTAAAACTCATAGTGCACAGCTATATAAAAGTATTTTCTTTCTTTATGTTTCTGTTCCATATGTTTTCTTCTATTTAAATTTTTTACCTTAGTTTTTCTTTTGTTTTGTTAAAAACTAAGACCACACACATACATCAGCCTAGGCTTACATAGGGTCAGGATCATCAATATCGCTGTCTCCCACCTCCACATTTTGTGCCACTGGAAGGTCTTCAGGAGTAATACCATGCATGGAGCTGTCATTCCCTATGAGAACAATACCTTCTGGAGTACCTCCTGAATGACCTGCATGAAGCTGTTTTACAGTTAATATTTTTTCATAAGTAGATGATGCACATGGTAAAATACCAATAAAAAGTATAGTATAGTAAATACATAAACCAGGAGCACAGTCACTTATTGTCATTATTATATACTATACATAATTGTATGTGCTATACTTTCAAAGGACTGAAAGCACAGTAGATTTGTTTACACCAGCCTCACCACAAACATGTGAGTAATGCATTGTGCTATGACTCAGAGATGGCTGCAAAGTCACTGGGCAATAGGAATTTTTCAACTCCATTGTAATCTTGTGAGACTACCATTGTATATGTGGTGTATCATTGACCAAAATGTCATTATGCAGTGCACGACTGTATATACATATATGAAATGCACATGTACGTAGGTTTTTTTTTTGTTTGTTTTTACATCTTTCGACAGGCTTCATAAAGTCAAGATCTTTTTGTCTCTCCTCACTGCCCACTGCTCCAGATACTTTAAGAGTAGCTAGCACATTGGCCCAAGTCAAGCAGAAGAAGGGCTGAATGTTTCATCTGTGGATTTCAAAGAACTTAAATTTTATACTACTTCCACATTCTCTGCTACTGCTATAACATTGAGGCTTTTTTGTAAGCTAGTGTTCAAAAATCACGGCTAAGAAAGCAATGTATGTTGATAGGTTCTAATGTGAACTAGGGGAATTCCACCTGAAGTTGGTGGTGGCTTTTATGGTGCCTGACTTGCCTTCAGTGCTGGAGTTTCACCTTGTGAATTAAGATCTTCTAGGGCTGCTATAACAAAATACTATGCACTGGGTGACTTAAACAACATACATTTGTTCTTCACAGTTCTGGAGGCTGGAAGTCCAAGGTCAAGGTGCCAGCAGGGTTTGATTTCTGGTGAGGGTTCTCTTCCTGGTTTGCAGATGGCTGCCTTCTTGCTGTGTCCTCATGGTGGAGAGAGAGAGGCCTCTGGTCTCTTTCTCTGTACAAGGGCATCAATCTCATTATGGGGGCTCCAACTTCAGGACCTTATCTAAACCTAATTACTGCCCCCCTCCAAAGGCTCCACATCTATTCCATCACATTGGGGATTAGGACTTCAACATATGAATTTTGGGGTTACACACATATTAAGTCCATAGCATACTTCTTGCCCCTAGTTGCATGTTGGTTCTTTCTATGACTTTACTGAACACAAAGCATAGCAACCTGAATAAGATCGTAATTGTGCTTCTCATCATTGATCCCCAGGAATAAAAGGCCTTGCGAATTTTAATTCTTATAAATTTTGCCTTAAAAGAATATTATGCGGCTATGACTAAAGTCTAGCATCCAGAGAGGTCTATGTTAAGAATTCTTCAAAATTAAATTTATTGGGGATACCCTGAATAGCACACTTGGCAGGAGTTATATTTTTAAACTGTGTAGGCTGGGAGGATTTTACTGTTTACTTTTGGTATAAACAGATTTTTATCCAGCACTTACCAGCAACTTGACCTACATTTCACATGGTACAACAAAAAATTTCAATGAGAAATAGAAAACAAGAGTACTGGATTTAAAGCCAGGAATATTTAAGAGAGGGGGTGTTTTTAGGTACTTCTATTTACTGTCTTAAAAATGGATGTAATACCAATGAAGGTTCTAGGATTTTATTTCTGCCCACATTTAAAATGTTCTGAATACCACCAATGCATGTGGTTTACTTTCATAAAATGTTTACAGAGCACAGTTAAACAGCATCCAATTTCTGGGGTTAAACTCAGAATATTACGTATTTTACTGAAGTAGAGTGTGATCTCTTGAGTAAAGCTGGACAGTAGGGGCATTTATACTGTGCTTTTAAGTTCTAAGCCAATTCCATTAATTGTATTGATGCTCCAATCCGTATTTTAGTTATAACCACTGTGGCAAATGATATTTATTGTTCTTTCATCTTTCTATTTTGGGTGAAGGACAAATATTGTCATATATTTTGAAAACCTTTTGGAAAACCCAGAAAGGAATAGACTTCTTTTTCTTCCACTGTGCCAGGCCTCTTGGTACAGTTTTTGAAACCCAGTCAATATTTTACCATTAGAGTACATTTCAACTCAAAATAGCTGCATTTTGGCCGGGCATGGTGGTTCATGAACAGATCACCTGAGTTCAGGAGTTCGAGACCAGCTTGGCCAACATGGCGAAACCTCATCTCTACCAAAAATACAAAAATTAGCCAGGCATGGTGGTGCACAACTGTAAACCCAGCTACTCGGGAGGCTGAGGCAGGAGAATCACTTGAATCCAGGAGGTGGAGGTTGCAGTGAGCCGAGATTGTGCCACTGCACTCCAGCCTTGGCTACAGAGTGAGACTCCATCAAAAAAAAAAAAAAAAAAAAGCTTATTTCAAGGGCTCAATAGCCTCATATAGATAGTAGCTACAATGTTGAATAATGAAGAGCTAGAAGAATAAACATCAAAAATATTAATAGTTGTTATCTATAGGTTGTACAATTATGAATTTATCTCTTTGCTTACTCATATTTTCTAGATTTATAATAAACATATGTTACCTTCATAAGATGAGAAATCTATGCTTAATTTAAAATATGTCATAAAGCAACTTTATATGGTGAAACTCTCATTTGTTCATACCTCTAAAAATTCTAGTGGAGAGAGATGTAGTCTGTTTTTAAGACAGTTGAAGTTTGTGACTTCAGTACTACAGGCATTTCAGAGAACTGTGTGTGTGTGTGTGTGTTTATGTATATAAAGATCCTGTATGAAGTCCTTTCTGTGGACCCTGGCAATCTCTACAGTCATGGAGGTGTAGTGGCCCTGAGGCACAAGAACAAGCCTTTTGGTGATGATCATTAGCCTGAAGTTGTAGTCCTGAATTTTGATCAAATCCATTTTTCTTCATCAGAGTATTTTTACATTTGTCAGCCCAGGACGACCTACTGGACCAAACACAAAATCTGGGATAGATAGTTCTTGGGTTAGTTGTAGAGGTTAAGTGTGAGCATTTCAGAGTATTTGGGGCCAGATTCCCATCAAAAACAATCCGTTGGGAATTTGGAGTACCCAACTGTTAGCCAAGTTAGGGTCTAGTTCAGTATTCCTATGAAATGACACACTGGAATTATTCTGTCAGAGGGAGCTATGGAATGTACCCCACCACATGATTAGATAGCTCTGAACTATAAACAGTGGAACTGTTGGAATGCCAAATGGAGTCACATGGAGATAAGTGACACTTTACATCTTAGTGGCATCACAACAAACTACTATATTCGTTAAAGATTTACACTTTGGGTACCTTGGCCTATGTAAGTGATGGCCTAAAATGATGGCCTAAATCATTTCTTGTTCCCTTAGTATTTATTATAGTAAAATTAATCATGATAAAAATCATTTGACATTAATGCCCATGTCATAAGTACTTATCAAATTTCTGCCCCATGATTCATTATTAATTTTTCAAGATATTCTCAGATGTTCTGGGGATAGAGTTAAGATGTCCCTGGGATGATTTTCCAAGGTTATGACTAGAGCAATTTGGTCCAATCAGACAAAGTCTCATGTGCCTGTAAGCATAAAGCAACTTCCAAGACACATGCGCACCAGACCACTGGAATTCCTTGGCATTGTTTTACGAAGCAGGAGGCTTGGGTAGTGGGACACTCAATAAACTACTCAGTATTTCTTTTTGTTTTAAAAACAAGTCATTCTTACAAAACAAGCCTTGTCTTTGGTTTCCGAACCACAAAATTCTGAAGCTGGGGTTTTCAGGAAACCACTGTATTTCTGAATGAAATGTTGCTAAGCCCCATCATCATTTTTGGTTATTGCACTCTGTTCAGAGGCTCTCATGGTTTATTATAAGCCATTTCATACAGGCCTTGGTAAAGATACTGATGTAGAATTAAAGAGAAAAGATGTGACATCTCTTCTTTTTTTAGGCTACAAGAATTAATTGACATTTTCCCTGGCCATTTTCTTTGACTCATTGGCAGAATAGATATGATACAAAACTGCTCTGTTCCCTGTTTCATAGAACAAACTATTTGAGGAAGAATGTTTTCAATGACATTCCACGGAGTGGAAAAATTAGTCTCCTCTATGTACAGGGATAGTCACAGAAATTTTATGGTCTATCAAACCTAGGATTTGGAAAAAATAATCCAGTGAGCTTTACTAAAGTTTCCAAAAAGACTTTGCATCAGGGCAAATTGCTTTAACAAATAGACCCCAAAGTATATAGGTTCAAATATAATACAAGTTTATTTCTTGTCCATATACCAGTGGTAGGCAGGGGAAAATGTGGGCAGTAGCTTTTCTCCACACAGTCATTTAGAAATCTAGGTTGATAGAGGTCTTGCTAACTTCAGTATATGGATGCACCAAGGTTTTCCCAACAGGGATTTCCTACTAGGGAAAATAAGCCAGAGAAAAGAATTTTATGGACCAGAACTGGACATGGCATGTAACATTTCCATGGCATGAGTGGAAATCTTGAGTTCATAGGCTAGAACTCAATTTATATGGTCTTACCTAGTTGTAGAGAAGACCGGAAAACGTAGTCCTTAGCTGGGCAGTCACTTTTCAAAGAATCTCTACACTGTGGATGGGAGACCATGAATTTTTGGTGGACAGTTAACTACCTACATCATGTGCTCTACCATATTTTTTTTTGAGAAAATTTAGACAGATAAAGAATTAACACTAGTGTTTGAAATGGAAAATATCAGAAGAATAAACCATTCTCCCCATGAATAGCCTTAATGGTGATACCTTCACCACTGTCTCTACTATCTCCATGAAACTACTGTAGAGGAGACTGAAGAAGGAAGAAAATGGAAGAAAAGGAGGGAATCTCAGAGGAGGGGAAAAGGAAGAGAGAGAAAAAGAGAGAAAGGGAAAAATATTGTGGGAAACATATGATGAAGGGGTGGGAAAAATAAAATTGGACTTCCCTGGATACACTTGAGGGATTAAAAAAAGTTAGCAGCATTTTACTTCTCTTGCAGTTTTCCCTCTCAAATGTGAGATAACTTCACACAGATTTTGTGTGGGCATAGCTGGGCTCTGGTTTCCCTTCACTTCAGAAATGTTCTAATACTGATTTACCATTACATTACATCAATAAAAAGATAATATATGAAAAGACTTTGTAAAGTACAAAGAATTATCCAACTGTAATTAATACGGATTTTAGCATGAGACCTGATACATATTTTTTAAAGGCTATTTAAAGGTTGTTCCTGGGCTAACTCAGAAAATCATGATTTATTAATTGCAAGTCCTTTATATTTTGTTTTAAAATTGTATTGTATATTAAAATATAAAATGCATACAGGTAGAGGCATAAATCCCCATTGTGCTGCTTGATTAATTTTTGCAAAATGATTAGGAAGAAACATAACATTACCAACACCCAGCCAATCCTCTCATGCCTGTTCCTAATAATGATCCTCTCTTGTTCCCTCAGAGGTAACAACTTACACTTCATATAAATGAAATTATATGCTTTGATTTTATTTTCTGTGAGATTAATTTATACTGCTGTATGTGGCAGTAATTTGTTTATTTTTATTACTGTATAAAATTTCATGATATAAATATACTTACCTATTTTACTCTTCAGGGGCATTTTGGTTTCCAGTTTTCAGCTATTACAAATAACATTGCTATGAACATTCTTGCACATGCTCTTTTGTCTGCATATATACACATTTCTCTTAAATATTTTACCTATGAATGAAATTTCTATGTCATTGAGTGTGTATACTCTTGTAGTATATATAGCTAAATGGTTTTTCAAATGGTCACGATTTATCCTCCCAGTAGCAGTGGAGGAGAGTTCCAGTTTCTCCACATCCCAGTCAGCACTTATTATCATTAGTCTTTTTAATTTTAGTCACTCAGATGGATACATAGTGGTTTCAGATTTTCTTGATTAATGATCCTGAGCGCTCTTTCATATGTTTGACAGCCATATCCTCTTATGAAGAGCATGTCCATATCTTTTGCAAAAATAATTGTAAAAATAAAGTTGTTAGTCTTTTTCTCATTACTTTGTAGGACTGTCATATACTCTGATCAATCTTTTGTCAGATATCTATAATGCCTGTATCTTCTTCCCTTCTGTGGTTTGCCTTTTCATTCTCTTAATGATGTCCTTAAATGTGCAAAAGTAATTAATTTAAACAATCATGTTCTTTAAGGATAATGCTTTTTTCATGTGATGGTCAAGAAATTTTATACTATTCTAAGAATATGAAGATAGCATACTTTTTTCTGGGGATGTTATTGTGTAACAACCTTTAATATATATATTTACAATGCTTGGAATTAAATAAAGTTTTAATATGGCATGAAGGTAATTCAATATTTTTTGCATCAACTGGATATCCAGTTTTCATAGCACTGAGTATAGAAAAGACTCTCCTTTCACCACTTGTAATGTAATAATGTCTTACCCAGATCCCCATTTAGCAAGGCAGTGCACCCACACCTCTAGATGCTGTGTGTCAACTGCTAACAATGTCAAATGTTTCAGAGAATTGCCATCTTCTAATGAGAACCACCACCCCTGGGAAGTTATATCTCCTCTGGGAATGGTCCTCAGACAGTGAATGACTAATATGGGACTACTGCTGGATTCCTTGCCTCAAGAAGGGTCAACACCACGGTGTGGTTTATGCTTCTGAGCCTCCCCTCTGGATTAAGCCGTAGCTAGCCTTTACCAGAAAACACAGCCTTACTTGGCTCTTTATCCTTTCCTGTTATATTTCCTTCTCTCCCTATATAGGAATAATTTCCTGAAAAGCACTCTCTCAAATCACATGCATTACAAACCCTGTCTCAGGCCTTGTGTCTGGGGAACTCAATCTAATGCAGTCATTTCCAGAAGTGCTTCCAGGAAGCAGACTCTAGGAATGGGATCCCCAATTTGGATCACTTTCTGGATGCATGACAGAGTACCTCATTACCAGTTCTGATAGCCTGTTGTGGTATGCAGTAGAGGACAACTGCTGAGACATTCACTTGTAGTGAACTAGGATAGGATATTATGAAAGAGGTTGCATAGGTTTGTAAAATATCTATGGCATTTGGAACATAGAAGAGAATAATTACAAGAACTGGAAAATTTGGTGGTTGTTGCAGAATATTTTGAAAAGAGAAAATTATAGGCTCAGGAAATCTGCCACCATTTTATTTTATTTTATTTTATTTTTGAGATGGAGTTTCGCTCTTGTTGGCCAGGCTGGAGTGCAATGGTGCCATCTTGGCTCACCACAACCTCTGCCTCCTGGGTTCAAGCGATTCTCCTGCCTCAGCCTCCCGAGTAGCTGGGATTACAGGCATGTGCCACCATGCCCAATTAATTTTGTATTTTCAGTAGAGACGGGGTTTCTCCATGTTGGTCAGGCTGGTCTCGAACTGCCGACTTCAGGTGATCTGCCCACCTCAGCCTCCCAAAGTGCTGGGATTACAGGCATGAGCCACTGCACCTGACCCTCTGACACCAATTTAAAGCAAAATGTGAGAGTTAGGGGGCTGCTTAGGTCGCCTTCAAAGTGACCTCGTTTCTCGCTAGTGGAGGACAGATACAGCTGACGATCAGGCCCAGGACCTAATTTCTAGGAGTGGCAGTACTTCAAAGACAGGTGAATTCTCAGTCTAGCCAAATTTCCTATGCTAAAGATAATCCCCTGATAGAGAAGGAGTGAGACTGTAAGACTTGATAGAAGGTTATCTGGGTAGATATATTGAGCATTAATAATCCTCTTGTGCTCTCTGGGCTTGTAGAAGTGGCACCAACTCTCCATTGCAAAAATATAGAGTCTCCTTTTCTTGAAGACTATTAGACAGGTAGCAATAAAGTATTGATTCTCTTCAGAATTTGCCCTCAATTCTCCTTCTGACCACTAGACCAATACTAGGATTACATTTAAGCCTAAATCATCCAGGCATGTGCTGGGGAAAACTAATAAGGGGGAGTGATTATATCTTTTTTAATAAGAAGGTACTGTCCATGATACAGAATTTAACATATGGCAAGCACCCTTGGAGATAATTCTAGTACACTGCTGGATTGCTCTTGGACCTTTATGGAAAGTCATGGTCCACATTAAATGAGATAGAGAAGCAAAAACTGCTATGGCAGATTGTAAAGAAAGGAATAAAAAAGTTTGGAGATTCTATACCCATGAGGTTGCTAACTTGGATTGAATTGACTAATTTCTTAAAAGACACAATCTAAAAAATAATTACATAAAATACACAATCTAGTAAAATTTGTACAATAAGAAATAGCTAATTCACATAGGTGTATATCATTAAAGAAATGGAATCAACAATTAATACTGTACAAAATAGAAAGCACCAGGCCCAGATGTTTTCACTTGTGAATTCTACCAAACATGAAGGAAGAAATAATGCCAATGCTTTACAATATCTTCCAGAAAATCTGAGGAGAGCAAAACTTCCTAACTCATTTATGAGGCTAGTATTATCCTGATACCAAAACCAGATAAAGACATTACAAGAAAAATATACACTGACACCTCTTGTGAACACAGATGCAAAAATCCTCAATAAAATATTGCAATTTGAACCTCAGGAAACTCAAGACTAAAGGGAACAGTGCCTGGTTTTAACTTCATATCATTAAAAAGGCATAAGAGGGTAGAAAAGATAGTCTTGAATTGCTGCCACCACCCCTTCCCCATTCCCTCAACAGTTGCCACATGGCATGGAGAATCTGTGCGCTTGGGGAAGGAAGACCATAGTGATTGTGGGATTTTGCTTTAGAACTCCATGCTGTCTTGACACTGTGAAAAGCAATTTTAGGCAGAATTCAGCTAGCACCCACAGAGTGAGCATTTAGACCAGCCCTATCTAGAAGAGACTTGCTCATCCCAGCAGCTGGAAACTGAATTCTGACTAAAAGGGGCTAAAGTGCTCTGTGACTCCAAATAAACTTGAAAGGCAGTCCAGGCCAAAAGCACTACAATTCCTGGGCAAGTCCCAGTGCTATGCTGGGCATGGAGCCAGTGGACTCTGGGGGCACATGACTCAGTGAGACACCAGTTGGAGTGACCAAGGGAGTGCTTTTGTCACTCCTCACCCAACCCCAGGCAATACAGCTTGCAGCTCCGGGGGAGACTCCTTCCTTTGCTAGAGGAAAGGAGAGGGAAGAGTAAAGAGGACTGTCTTGCAACTTGGATACCAGCTCAGCCACGTTAAGATAGAGCACCAGGGAGAGAGCTGAGACCCTATAATAGTCCATTCTCACACCACTATAAAGAGCTTCCCAAGCCTGGGTAATTTATAAAGAAAAGAGGTTTAATTGATTCACAGTTCCACATGGCTGGGGAGGTCACAGGATATTTAAAATCATAGCAGAAGGGGAAGAAGCACATCTTACGTGGTGGCAGGTGAAAGACAGTGAATGCATAAAGGAGGAGCTGTCAGACACTTATAAAACCACCAGACCTCGTGAGAACTCACTCATTATCACGAGAACAGCATGGGGGACACCACCCTTGTGATTTAATCACCTCCCACCAGATCTCTTCCTTGACACTGGGGGATTAAAATTCAAAATGACATTTGGGTGGGGACACAAAGCCTAACCATATCAGATCCCCAATTCCAGGCCCTAGCTTGTAGACATTTCCAGACACACCCTGGGCCAGAAGGGAACCCACTGCTTTGAAGGAAATGACCCAATCCTGGCAGGATTCATCACTGCTGACGAAACAGCCCTTGGGCCCTGAATAATCAGTAGTGGTACCAGGCAGTAGTCCCTGTGGACCTTTGGTGAGATTCAGAGATGTGCTTCAGATGTGACCGGGCATATTCCCAGCTGTGGTGGCTATGGGAAGGGATTTCTGCTTGAGAAAAGGAGAGGGAAGACTAAAGGGAACTTTGTCTTGCAGCTTAGGTACCAGCTCAGCCACAGTGAGGTAAAGCAACAAGTGGGCCCTTGAAGTCCCTGATTCCAGGCTTTGGCTCTTGGACAGCATTTCTGGACCTGCCCTGAGCCAGAAGGGAGCCCACTGCCCTGAAGGGAGAGTCTCAGGCCTGGCAGCCTTCTCCATAAGCTGATTGAAAAGCCCCTGGGCCTTGAATGAACATCAGCAGTAGTCAGGTAGTACTCATCATGAAAATGGGGCAGTGGTAGCCATGAGGAGAGACTCTTCTACATGTGAAAAGGGGAGGGAAGAGTGCTGCGAGGATGGTTCAACACATGCAAATCAATCAAGTTAATACATCATGTCAACTGAATGAAGGACAAAAATCATATGATCATTTCAATTGATTGAGAAGAGATTTGATAAAATTTAACATCACTTCATGCAAAAAGCCCTTAAAAAGCTGGGTTTAGAAGGAACATACCTTAACACAATAAAAGCCATATGTGACAGGCCCACAGCTAGTATCATACTGAATGGGGAAAAACTGAAAGCCTTTCCTCTAAGATCTGGAACATGAAAAGGATGCTCACTTTCACCACTGTTATTCAACATAGTGCAGCAAGTTCTTGCTAGCACAATCAGACAAGAGAAGGAAATAAAAGGCATCCAAATTGGAAAGGAAAAAGTTACATTATCCTTGTTTGCAGATGATGTGATCTTATATTTGGAAAAATCTGAAGACCACTAAAAAATTATTAGAAGTGATAAACAGATTTAGTAAAGTTGCAGGACACATAATCAACATACCTAAATCAGTAGCATTTCTATATGCTAACAGAGGACAATGTGAAAAAGAAATAAAGAAATGAGTCCCATTTATAATCACCACAAATAAAATTAAATACTCATGAATTAACAAAAAAAAAAAAAAAGGAAATCTCTACAATGAAAACTATAAAACAGGCCGGGTGCAGTGGCTCACGCCTGTAATCCCAGAACTTTGGGAGGCCAAGGCGGGTGGATCATGAGGTCAGGAGTTTGAGACCAGCCTGGCCAACATAGTGAAACCCTGTCTCTACTAAAACACAAAAAATTAGCCGGGCATGGTGGCGGGCACCTGTAGTCCCAGCTACTCGGGAGGCTGAGGCAGGAGAATCACTTGAACCTGGGAGGCAGAGGTTGCAGTGAGCTGAGATTATGCCACTGCACTCCAGCCCGGGTGACAGAGTGAGATTCCATCTCAAAAAAACAAAAACAAAAACTAAAACCATAAAACATTGATGTAAGTAATTGAAGAAATTGGAGAGGACACAAGAAAATGAAAATATATTCCATGTTCATGGATTGGAAGAATGAATATTGTTAAAACATCCATACTACCCAAAGCGATCTACACATTAAATGCAATCCCCATCCAAATACCAATAACATGCTTCACAGAAATAGAAAAATAACCCTAAAATTTATATGGAGCCACAAAAGACCAAGAATAGCTCAAGATGTCCTAAGCAGAAAGAACAAAACTAGGAATCCCATTACCTGACTTCAAATTATACTGCAGAACTCTAGTAACCAAAGAGCATGGTACTGGTATAAAAACAGACACATAGACAAATGGAACAGAATAGAGATCTCAGAACTAAATCTATGTTTTTACAATGAACTCATTTTCAACAAAGATGCCATGAAGATACATTGGGGAAAGGATAGTCTCTTCCCTAAATGGTGCTGGGAAAACTGGATATGCTGGGAAAACTGGATAACCATATGCAGAAGAATGAAACTAGATCCCTATCTCTTGTCATATACAAAAAACAAATAAAAATGTATTAAAGACCTAAATCTGAGACCTCAAACTATGCAACTACTAAAATAAAACATTCATGAGATGAGACGACCTACAGAATGGG
Organism: Homo sapiens; assembly: GCF_000001405.40. Lineage (NCBI taxonomy): Eukaryota > Metazoa > Chordata > Mammalia > Primates > Hominidae > Homo > Homo sapiens. The sequence goes on along the minus strand of NC_000005.10, from coordinate 53,395,279 downwards.
AGAAAATATTTGCAAACTACCCATCTGACAAAGGATTAATAACCAGAATATATAAGGAGCTCAAACAACTCTATAGGAAAAAAAAATCTAATAATCTAATTTAAAAATGGGCAAAAGATCTGAATAGACATTTCTCTAAAGAAAACATACAAATGGCAACAGGCATATGAAGAGGTGCCAACATCATTATGCATCAGAGAAATGCAAATTGAAACAAAAATGAGATATCATCTTACCCCAGTTAAAATGGCTCTTATCCAAAAGATAGGCAATAACCAATGCTGGCAAGAATATGGAGAAAATGGAACATTTGTACACTGTTGGCAGGAATATAAATGAGTACAACCACCATGGGGAATAGTTTGGAGCTTTCTCAAAAAACTAAAAATAGAATTACCATATGATCCAGAAATCTCACTGCTAGGTATATACCCAAAAGAAAGGAAATCAGTATATTGAAAAAATACCTGCACTCTCAGTTTACTGTAACACTATTCACAATAGTGAAGATTTGGAAGTAATGTGTGTTCATCAACAGATGAATGGATAGAGAAAATGTGGTGGTACACAATGAAGTACTATTCAGCCATAAAAAGAATAAAATTCTGTAATTTGCAACAATATGAATGGAATTACAGTTTATTACGTTAAGTGAAATAAGATAAAGATAAACTTCACATGTTCTCACTAATTTGTGGGAACTAAAGTTTATAAGAAATGAACTCTATAAGATAGAAAGTAGAATGATGGTAACTAGAAGCTGAGAAGGGTAGTGGGGTGGGGGAGAAGTGGAGATGGTTAATTGATATAAGATTATAATTAGAATAAATAAGATCAAGTATTTGATAGCACAACAGAGTGACTACAGTCAGCAATAATTTATTGTACATTTTAAAATAACTAAAAGAGTATAATTGGATTGTTTGTAACACAAAGAAAAGATAAATTCTTCAGGTGATGGGTGCCCCATTTATCCTGATGTGATTATTACATATGGCATGTCTGTATCAAAATATCATATCATAAATATGTACATATCATAAATATGTACGCTTCCCTTGTACTCACAAGCAGTTTTAAAAAATTTAAAAAGTGCTGTTAAAACTTTGTTTCATCCATAACATTATTAAAAATATTGTATAAAATTTCCTTCTGGCAATGTGTACATGAAACATACACTAATTTTGTGTTTAGACTTGGGTACCATCCCCAAGATATCTCCTTATGTATGTGCAAATATTCCGAAATCTGAAAAAATTCAAAATCTAAAGCAGTTCTAGTCTTAAGCATTTTGAATAAGAGATATGCAATCTCTGTTTCTTATGTGAGTTTTGATAGTTTGAGTCTTTCAAGGAATTTGTCAGTTTCATCTAAGCTATCAAATTTGTGAGCATAGAGTTGTTTATAATATTCATGTATTACACTTTTAATATTCATGGGGTTAGTAATGGTGATTCTTATTTTATTCTTATATTGGTTATTTGTGTCTTCTCTCTGTTTTTCTTTGTTAGCCTGGCAATAGTTTTGTCAACTTTAGTAATCTTTTTAAAGAATCAGCTTTTGATTTCACTCATTTTCTCTTATTATTTTCTCATGTTCAGTTTCATTGACTTATGTTCAAATTTTTATACTTATTTTCTTTTGTTTCATTTAGACTTTAATTGTTCTTCTTTCTCTGGTTTCTTAAGGTGGACACAGGTTTTTGATTTTAGATCTTTCTCCTTTTTAATGGCATTTAATGCTACAGATTTCTTTCTTAGCACTGCTGTAACTCTATCTCACAAAGTTTGAAAAATTGTATTTTACTTTCGTTTAGTTCAATATTCTAAATTTCTCTTGATATTTCTTCTTTAAGTCATGTGTTATTTAGAAATATGTTGTTCAATTTCCAAATATTTCAGTGTTTTCCAGCTATCATTCTGTTGCTGATTTCTCCTTTAATTCCATGGTTGTCTGAGAACATGCTTCATATGATTTATATTCTCTTAACATGTTAAGGTGTACTCGGTGGCTAATAATGTGACCTATCCTGGCGAATGTTCATGTGAGCTTGAGAAGAATGTGTATTTTGCTGTAGTTGGATGGAGTATTCTATAAACATCAATTAGATCCAGTTAATTGATAGTGCTTTTCAGGCCAACTGTATCTTTATTAAATTTGTGCCAGCTTGACCTATCAGTTACTGACAGAAACATATTAAAGTCTTCAACTATAATAATGATTTTTTTCATTTCTTCTTGCTGCTCTATCCATTTTTGCTTCATATATTTTGACATTATTGTTAGGTGCATACATGTTTAGGATTGTTATGCCTTCTTGGAGAATTGAGTCCTTTTTCATTGTGTAATATCCTCTTTAGCTCTGATAATTTTCCCTCTTCTAAAGTCAGTCACATTTGTCTGAAGTTATACAACTACTTCAGCTTACTTTGATTGGTATTATTGTGATGTTCTTTCTCCATCCCTTTACTTTTCTCTTGAGTCTTTATATTTGTAGTGGGTTTCATAGAGACATATCTAGTTAGGCCTTTTTTAAAAATCTGCCTTAACAATTGTAGTCTTTTACTCAGTGTTTTATACTGTTACCATTTAAAGTGGCTATTCTGGGCATGGTCGTGTGCTCATATAATCCCAGCTCTCCTGGAGGCTGAGACAGGAGAATCACTTGAACCCAGGAGGGAAGTTTACAGTGAGCTGAGATTGTGCCATTGCACTCCAGCTTGAGCAACAGAGCAAGACTCTGTCTCAAAAAAAAAAAATGGCTATTTATATAAATAAGTTAATATGTACTATGTAACTATTTTTTATTTATTACATTTTTTTGGTCTCCCACTCCCAGTTTTAATTGATCATTTTATATGATTTTAAAAAAATCTGTTTTAGCATAACAATTATACTTTTTTGAAATTAAAAAAAAGTTTCCCAGAGGTTGTAATATATATTTTTAACAAATATCAGTTCACTTTCAAAGAACACGTGTAATGCAGATGCCTTATAACTGTGTGCTCAGTTCCTCTTTTCAGTCTTTGTAACATTGCAGTCATTCATTTCACTTATCCATATGCTATAGACATTGTTACTATTATTACTTTAACAAATTGTTACTATTATTACTTTAAACAGTTATCTTTTAAGAAAAAGAAAAGTAACAGATTCTATGTTATCTTTATTTGTTTCTTCACCGATGCTCTTCTTTTCTTTCTGTAGTTCCAAGTTTCCGAACTAAAAAATTTCCTCTGCCTGAAAGACTACTTTTAACACTTCTTTTAGGGAGGTCTGCTGGCAATGAATTCCCTCAGTTTTTGTTTGTCTGAGAAAGTCTTTATTCCTCTTTCACTTTTAAAGGATAACTTTGTTGGACATAGAATTCTACACTGGTAGTTTTTTAAGACTTTAAAGATTTTACTTCATCCCTTTTTTGTTGTATAGTTTACGATGAGAAGCCCATTGTAATTCTTATCCTTCTTCCAGTACAGGAAAAAAAGTTTTTATCCTTTGGATTCTTCTCAGATTTCCCTTTAGTTTTTGTTAGTTTTTGCAGTTTGAATATGACAGTGTAGGTATGTGTGTGTTGATATTTATCCTGCCTGGTGTTCTCTGCACTTCCTGGACTTATGATTTGCTGTCTGTCATAAATTTTGGAAAATGCTCAGTTTTTATTAGCCTTTGTTCCTTCAGCTCCTTCCTTCTTTCCTACCTCCTTCTCTCTCTCTCTCTCTCTCTATATATATATATATATATATTCTCTGGCGTTTCAACTATGCACATGTGACACATTTTGCAGTTGTCTCATAGTTGTTGGATTTTCTGTTAATGAGTTTTTTTTTTCATTCTCTTTTCTATCTTTGTTTTAGTCTGAGAAATTTTGTCAATATATCTTCAAGCTCACTAATTCTTTCCTTGATCATGTCTAGTCTACTGGTGACCCCATCAAAGGCATTCTTTATTTCTGTTACAATGTTTTTGATTTCTAGCATTTCCTTTTTATTCTTTCTTAGAGTTTCCATCTTTCTGCTTACATTATCCATTTCTGTTTACATGGTGTCTCCTTTTCCTCTTAGCGTACTTAACATATTAATCATAGTTATTTCAAATTCCTTGTCTGAAAATTCCAAAATCTGTGTCATATCTTGTTCTGATTCTTGATTTGCCTTTTCAGACTAAGTTTTTTTTTTTATCTTTTAGCATTATGTGTGTGTGTGTGTGTGTGTGTGTGTGTGTGTGTGTCTGAAAGCCAGACATGATGCATTGAGTAATAGGAACTGAGGTAATAGGCCTTTAGCATGAGGTTTTATATTTATCTAACTAGGATTTCAGCTGTTTAATGTTTGTTGTAGCTGTAAATGCTAGAAGCTTCAAATTCCCCTAATGTCCTTGATTTTGTTTCCTCCATTGTCTTTAGACTTCCTTAAGAACTTCCCTTGACTCTTTACATATAGTCTACAGCTTGTGTCTCTGTCACAGTTGTTTTACTAGGGCCTGTTGGTGTGGTGGTGAGGTGTGAGGAAGAAATGGCATTTTGTAATCTTATAATTAAATTTCAATCTTTTAGTGCACCCGTGTCTCTGGAATGTGATCTTAAAAGTGTTTTCCAGTAGTATAGCTCATTCCCTAATTCCTTTCCATGGCTGCAGCTCTATTACTTTGAAGCTATAACCTTTACTGACTTTTTTTTCCCACCTTAGGGGAGGTGGGTTAGAAGGAATGCCCTTTCCCCAGACAGGATAAAGCTCTGGCAAAGTCTTTTCCCCTGTAAGTAGAACTTTGTTAAGGAGAGGGCTCTGAACATATTTCACAATGATTAACCTTTTCCCACCCCCAACTGCCAGAGCCATGAGGGGATTTCTTTGGGATCTTCACTGTGATCACTTGGTAGTGCTCCTGGAGGTAAAGCCCATGGAAATCTGGGGAAATACCTAAGAAAAAGGCCTTTAGGAAATTTTTACCCTCATAGTAATCCATACCCAGTCTCCAGAAATTCATCAAAATTTCCATTTAAGTGTTCCTATCAGTTAACAGCTCTTGAGACTTTTTCTTTAGGTAGTAAGATTTCAACTGTGACTTAGGATTCACTTGTTTCTCCAGATTTTAGGGTGATGGTTTTCCCTGAAACTTAAGTTTTCTGATGAGTCCAAGAAAAGCCATTGATTTTCAGATTACCCAGATTATCTTGTTATAATAGGAGAAGTGATGATTTTCATGCTCCTTACATGTTGGAATTGAAACTTTAAGTTGCCCAGTGACGTTTAATATAATTATGAATATGATTAAACTTAGGCCTACCACTTAATTAATTGTTTTATGTTTTCCCTCTTTTTTTGTTTAAATAGATTTTATTTTTTTAGAGTAGGTTTAGTCTCACAGCAAAATTGAGTGGAATGTATAGAGAAACTTTTCATATACCCCAATCCTCTACAAATGCATAGTCTCCTCCATTATCAACATTCCCCACCAGAGTATTACAATTTGTTACAATTGAACCACACTGACACATCATAATCATCATCTGCCATTATAGTACCATACAGAATAACTTCATAGCCCCCAAAATTCTCTATGCTTCATCTCTTGTATTTTTTCATTTTCCCCTTTTTACCTTCAAGTAGATTACTTGAATATTTTTAAAATTTCATTTTAATTTCATCTGTTGGCTTGTTAGCTATACCCTACATTATTTTTAGTGGTGGTTGTAGGGGACTACAATATGCATTCTTAATTTATAAAACTATCTTCTTAGATATAACATTGTGAAATTTCAGACAAAGTGTAAGAATCCTGCAATGATATAATTCTATTTATTGTCCCTTCAGATCTATTGGCAATTCATCCCCTTAGTTTTCTCTCTTCTGAAAATGCCTTTATTTCACTGTCATTCTTGAAGGCTAGTTTTGCTAGCTGTAGAATTCTTGGCTGAGAGGGCTTTTTGTTCTTCATTATTTCAAAGATTTTGTTCCACTGTCTTTTGTCTTCCATAGTTTTAAATGAGAAGTCAGAATTCTTGTTTCTTTGTGTTTAATGGATGGGTTTTATATGGCTGCTTTCAATATTTGCCCTTTATATTTGATTTTTAGCCCTTTGATGCTGATATGTCTACTCTTGGTTTTCTTTGCATTTATTCTGTTAAAATTCACTGGTTTTCTTAAGGCTGTAAACTTACACCTCCAAATTTGAGGCATTTTGGCTATTATTTCTTCAAATATTTTTTCTCCCCCATTCTTTCTTCTGTGTCTATTGATATGATAAAGTGATTTTTCTTTTTCTTACCTTGTTAATGTGATGGATTACATTACTTGATTTTTGAATGTTGAACTAGCCTTGCATGCCCGTATGAACTCCACTTGATCATATATAATTATTTTTATACGTTGTTGGATTTGGTTTGCTAATATTTTGCTGAAGATTTTTGCATCTATGTTCATAAAATACATCGGTCTGTAGCTTTTTTCCTCGTATTTGTCTGGTTTTAGTATTAGGGTAATGCTGGCTTCAGAATAAGTTAGGAAGTATTCCTTCTGCTTCTATCTTTTGAAAGAGATAGTAGAGAATTGGTATCATTTCCTCCTTAAATGCTTGGTAGAATTCACCAGGGAAACCATCTGGACCTGATGTGTTCTGTTTTGTAAGATTATTAGTTATTGATTAAATTTCTTTAGTAGCTATAGGCCTATTCAGATTGTCCATTTCTTCTTATATGAGCTTTGGCAGATTGTGTATTTCAAGGTATTGGTCAATTTCATTAAGTTATCAAATTTGTGGGCTTGTAGTTCAAAGGTGTGTTCATGGTTTTCTTTGCTTATCATGGAACTCTTTATCTATTTGTTCATACGTTTTCTTTATTATCTTTCTGATGTTCCTGGGATCTATAGTGATGGCCTCTCTTTTGGTTCTGATATTGATAATTTGTGTCTTTTTTCTGTTTCTTCTTAGTCTGGGAAGAGGTTTATTAATTTTTTAGACTTTTCAAATTGCTATCTTTTGATTTTGTTAATTTTTGATTTCCTGTTTTCAATTATATTGATTTCTGCTTTGACTTTCATTATTTCTTTTTTAAAGCTTACTTTGGATTTAATTTACTCTCCTTTTTCTAGTTTCCTAGGGTGGACACTTAGATAATTGATTTTAGATGTTTTCTTTTCTAATATACTCATTCAATGCTGTAAGTTTCCCTCTAAGCATTGCTTTCATTGCATCCCACAAATTTTGATAACTTGTATTTTCATTTAGTTCAAAATATTTTCAAGTATTCTTCAAGATTCATTCTTTGACCCATGTGTTATTTAGAAATGTGTTGTTTAATCTCAAAGTATTTTGGGATTTTCTGACTATCTGTCTGTTATTAATTTCTAGTTAATTCCATTGTGGCTTGAGAGCAGATGCTGTGTGATTTCTATTTTTAAAAATTTGTTAAGATGCATTTTATGATACCAAATATGGTCTATCTTGGTGAAAGTCCCACCCGAGTTTAAGAAGAATATGTATTCTGCTGCTGTTGAATGAAGTGGTTGATACACATCAATTTTATTCATTTGATTGCTGAGCTTGACTATGTTTTTTTCTGATGAGCTGCCTGCTGGATCTGTTCATTTCTGATGGAGGAGTATCAAAAATCTTCAACTATTATAGTGGATTTCTCCATTTTTCTTGCAATTCTATCAGTTTTGCCTCCTACATTTTGATGCTCTGTTTTTAGGCACATACACATTAAAGATTGGTATGTCTTCTTGGAGAATTGGGCCCTTTGTTATTATGTAATTCCTGTCTTTATACCTGGTAACTTTCTTGAATTGTAGCTCCCATAATGTCCATGTGTAGCTTGAATTGTAGCTCCCATAATGCCCACGTGTCATGGGAGGGACCCGGTGGGAGGTAATTGAATCATGGTGGTGGGTTTTACCCATGCTGTTCTCGTGATAGTGCATAAGTCTCACGAGATCTGATGGTTGTATAAAGGGAAGTTTCCCAGCACACTTCTCTCTTGCCTGCCATCATGTGTGACTTTGCTCCTCATTTGGCTTCTGCCATGATTGTGAGGCCTCCCAGCCATGTGTAACTGTGAGTCAATTAAATCTCTTTCCTTTATAAATTACTCAGTCTCAGGTATGTCTTTGTCAGCAGTGTGAGAACAGATTAATATCTACCATGTTTGTAATATCTATATTGATATAACTATATGCCTAGGTGTAGATTTTTTTCCATTTATCCTTCTTGGTGTTCTCTGAGCTTACTGGATCTGGAGTTTAATGTCTGATTTAATTAATTGGAGGAAATTACCAGTCATTATTGTCTTGAATATTCCTTCAGTTTCTTTCACTTTTTCTTCTCCTGATAGTCACATTACCTGCATGTTACAATTTTTTGTCATTGTCCACAGTTCTTGAATATTCTGTTCTTCTCTAACATTTCATTATTTATTCCTTTTCAGAATGTCCAGTTATTCTTTCTTAGAATGTGCATTACCCATTCATTATTGCATGCTGCCTAGTTTTTTCATTACAGACCTTCACATATTAAATCATAGTTGTTTTAAATTCATGGTCTGATAAATATAACATATTTTCCATACCTGGGTCTGATTCTGATGCTTGCTGTGTTTCTTCAAACCGTGTTTTTTGCCCCTTAGTATGCAATTTTTTTTTGTTTAAAGCTGGACATAATGTGCTAGGTAAAAGGAACTGGGGTAAATAGGCCTTTAGTAATGTGATGTCGTAGTAAAGTGTGGGGGAAAAGGAAGCATTCTATAGTCCGATGAGTAAGTCTGTGTCCTTTGGTGAGCCTGTGCCCTGGGCTGCAAACCTCATCATTGCTCCTCAGTTCATACCTTCTTCCCCTTGGGTGGGACAGGATGGTTAGAAGGGGCTGGGGGTTGGATATTTCCCTTTCCCCAGGTAAATTAGTCTGATAAAACCTTGGCAGGTTAGGGTCTGGTAAAATTGCTTTTCTTGAGAGGAGGCCTTATTAGGAGGGACAGAATGCTCTGGCATATTTCAAAATGATTATTTTTCCCCATTCCTTGGTGGAAGCATGAGGAGATATTTCTCTGATCTTCACTGTGATAACCTGATAGAGCTCCTGGAGGTAAAACTAAACTGTGGAGGCTGCCTAATGACTAGGTCCCCCTAGTGTGTTCAACTCTTAGACTTGTCCATTCTGAGCCTCCAGCAATTCGTCTATTACAGTTCAGGTTTTCCTAGCCCACTGCTGATTCCTGCAGTTTCTGCTTATGAGTTTTTGCTTTGGGAAGTTGGGATTCTCTGTATCTGTCTGTCTCTCCAATTTTGGGGGCAGTGGTTTGCCTTGTGATCTCACTTCTCTGATGGTGTAAGCTGTTGATTTTTCAATTTGTTCAGTTTTTTACTTCTTGTTATGACAAACAGAGTGGTGACTTGCAAGCTTCTTACATGCCAGACTGGAAACTGGGAGTTCTTTTCTTTCTTTCTTTCTTGAATTCCATTTACACATGTATTGGACTTTTGATATTGTTCTACTTGTTCCTTTAGTTTCCTCATTAAATATTTTTTCTCAGCCAGGTGTGGTGGCATGAGTAATCCCAGCACTTTGGGAAGCTGAGGTGGGAAGATAGCATGTGCCTAGGAGTTTGAGACCAGCCTGGGCAACACAGGGTGACACCAACACTACAAAATATAAAAACATTAGCCTGGCATGATGGCTCACACTTGTGGTCCCAGCTACTTGGGAAGCTGAGGTAAGAGGATCTGCCTGAGCCCAGGAGGTCAAGGCTGTAGTGAGCTATGATCCTGCCACTGCACTCCAGCCCGGGTATTACCCACAGAGTGAGACCTTGTCTCTCTCACACACACACAAATGCTCTTCTTCACATTAAACAATTTCTCCTGATCTACCTTGATGTTCACTGACACTTCTGTCTGCCATCTTTATTTTGTTGTTAAACCAATCCTGCGTACCTTCATTTTAGAAATTTTATATTTCAATTTTAGAATTTGTATTTTGTTCTTTTTTATAGTTTCTATTTTTCTTCTGAGATTTTTATCCTTTCATTCATTAGGAGTGTATTTTCCTTTACCTTACTGAACTTTGTTGAAATAGCAGCTTTATAGTATTTGTTTGGTAATTTCAATGGCAAATTCATCTTATGGTTGGCTTTTGCTTTTCTATCTTCTCCCTTGAGAATGAATCACATTTTCCCACTTCTTCACATATCAAGAAGTTTTAAATTATATCCAGGATACTGTGAGTTTTATGTTGTATGGTCCTGAATTCTGTTATATTTTTCCAAAAAGGATTTATGTTTCTGTGCTAACAGGCAATTTACCCAGTGAGATGCAAATTGCAAACTCTGTTTTGCCTATGGTAGGTAGCAGCTTAGATATCAGTTTTGTTCTTTTAGTTTCAACTGGAAGTTGTTTTGGCTCCATCATCTGGTTCTTCATACAAGAAAGATAAAGGTTTTTTGTTGTTGTTTGCTTGTTTGTTTGTTTTTTTGACAGCATCTTACTCTGTTGTCTAGGCTGGTGGAGTGCAGTGGCACAATCACAGCTCACTTCAGCCTTGACCTCCCCGTCTCAAGTGAGCCTTCTACCTCAGGCTCCCGAGTTGCCACAATGCCCGGCACATCTTTTTGATTTTTTGTAGAGATGAGATCTCACTATTGTTGCCCAGGCTGTTCTCAAACTCCTAGACTCAAATGATCCTCTTTGGCCTCCCAAAGTGCTGGGATTACAGGTGTGAGCCACTGCGCCCAATTTAGAACGTTTCTGTTTTTTCAAACAAAACAAAACAAAACAAAGCAAAGTATAAGCCACCTTGCAACATGCCATGACTACAGACAGACTGCTTTCAGAATAAAATCACAAAAATAGAAAACTCATCCTGCACTGTTGCCTTCTTCCAAATGTCAATATCCCCTTAACATCTCCCTGGTCTTTTTATTCTCTAGAGCCCTGAAGTAGTTGCCCACTGTATTTTGTCCAGAATTTATATTTGTTATTTGCAGGTTGTTTTGTCTGTTAAGGATTTATTCTACCATACTGGAAAGAGAACACTTTCAGACTCTGGTTTCACTGCAAGATTCTCTAGTCTGTACCACAGCCGAATGACCATCAAAGAGAATGTTTAGTTTTCTGAAATTCCATTGCCTCACCAGTAAAATGGAGTTTCAAATGAATCAAAACATGTAAACAATGTATTACTGTTCTCCAGAGAAGCAGAACCAATAAGATATATAGAGATATATGAGAAGAGATTTATTATAATAATTGGCTCACTTGATTATGGAGGCTGTGAAGTTCCACAGTATGCTATCTGCAAGCTGGAGAACCATGAAAGGCGGAGGTGTGATTCAGTATGAGCCTAAAGGCTTGAAAACCAGGGAAGCTGATGATCTAACTCCCAGTCCTATAGGCTGGAGGCTTGAGAATCAGGGTGGGAGGTGATGGCAGGTAGGTGGTGGAGTTTGCTGGTGTCAGACTCTTAAGTCCTAGAGTCTGAAGTCCTCAGAAGCAAGAGCTCTAATGTCCAAAGGCAGGAGAAGATGGATGTCCTAGCTCATGAAGACAGAAACGGAATTCATCCTGTCTCTACATTTTTTTTTTTGTGACGGAGTCTCCCTCTGTCGCCCAGGCTGGAGTGCAGTAGCGCGATCTCGGCTCACTGCAAGCTCCGCCTCCCGGGTTCACACCATTCTCCCGCCTCAGCCTCCCGAGTAGCTGGGACTACAGGCACCCACCACCACGCCCGGCTAATTTTTTTTGTATTTTTAGTAGAGACGGGGTTTCACCGTCTTAGCCAGGATGGTCTGGATCTCCTGACCTCGTGATCCACCCGCCTTGGCCTCCCAAAGTGCTGGGGTTACAGGCCTGTCTCTACATTTTTGTTCCATTCATGTCCTCAAGGGATGGAATGATGCCTGCCCATGTTGGTGAGGGTAGATCTTCTTTACTCATCTACTGATTCAAATGCTAATCTCTCCTAGAAATACCCTCAGAGACACACCCAGAAATAATGATTTTTCAAGTATCTGGGCATCCCTTAGTCCAATCAAGTTGACACATAAAATTAACTATCAGAGGCAACAATGAAATGTTAATTTTCTTTCTCCATATCTTCTCTTCTTTCACAGACAGATTCAATCTGTAATCCTGGATTTTCCATGTTCAAAAGCCAGCCTGAAACCATCATTTCTGGCAGCAATTTTATAAAGTATAGGCTCTAATTTTCTGGCCTTGCTCCATTTAAGTGAGAACTTCCCCTACCTGTCAGGTAGTGGGAATAGGACAGGAGGAAGTTATCTAATCTTAGTAAAACCAATAGCTTAAAGCTGAACTAAAATAAACATATTTGTTCTTACAAGTCCTTTGGCTTTTTCCCCAAACTCCCCCAATGCCAGGCAGTTTTTATAAGTCATCTCTTCTACTAGGCCTTCTCCATGTTGCTAGTTCCTTCAGTTTTTTCTCCCAGTTTTTCATAGGAAGTTTACTGACCTTCTAAAAGTATTAATTCATTTTATATGCAGAAAGGTTTAGTTATAATCTTGTCTTATCTTATTTCCTGTAATTATCTAAAAGCTCTTTTTTTTCACAAATAAAATGGCCATGAAGTATTAGACTAATTGAACTCATTTATATGCCCAGAGAGGAGTACTATGACCAATGACCAACTTTTAAGCAAGGATTCTTGGTTTTGTTTGCTTGTTTTGAGGTGGAGTTTCACCCTGTCACCCAAGCTGGAGTGCAATGGCTTGTATTTTTAGTAGAGATGGGGTTTCACCATTTTGGCCAGGCTGGTCTTGAACTCCTGACCTCAAGTTATCTGCTTGCCTTGGCCTCCCACAGTGCTGGGATTACAGGTGTGAGCCACTGCCTGTGTTGTTTGTTTTTTAAAAGTTGCCATTCCATTCACTTTACAAGGGAAAGAAAAATGATGTATATCGGCTCGCAAGATCTTATTTGCAATTCTGAAATCCAAAAAGCTCTGAAAATTTAAGTTCTTCTGCAAGTTTGGTACAGATTCATTTGGCTGAAAAGCCTGACTGCAACTTGTATGAGGTTTTTCTTAGCCTTTCATTATCAATTTAGTGTAAGCATTCATATATGTCACTGCAAAAATATTGATGTGGTTGATTATGGGCTGCTGCTCAACATTCCAGATTTGGTGTTTTGTAATATATAGCATTATACATTACCTGTCTAGAATTTGAAAAGTTCTTAATTTCATTTTAATTAATTAATTAATTAATTAATTAATTTTTTTGAGGCAGGGTCTCACTCTGCCACCCAGGCTGGAGTGCAGTGGTGCAATCACATAGCTCACTGCAGCCTCAACCTTCTGGACTCATTTGATCCTCCCACTTCAGCCTCCCGAGTATCTGGGACTGCAGGCGTGCACCACCATGCCTGGCTAATTTTTATATATTTTGTAGAGACAGGGTTTCACCATATTGCCCAGGCTGGTCTTGAACTCCTGGGCTCAAATGATCCTCCTGCCTCATCCTCCCAAAAGGCTGAAATTACAGGCATGAGCCATGGCAACTGGCCCGAAAATTTCTTAATTTTAAAACAACACATCTTGTTCTTAGGGTTTTGGATAAGGGATTTCAGATCTACATTTATAAAGACAATGTTTTACAAACTTAAAAATGCTTCATAAATTTTTATCACACTCACCTTAATAAATTGTTAGAAATTATTAAAACAGTACAAATTCATGGGCAGAGTATCTCCTCTAAGTAATTTCTAATAAACAGATGGAATGGAAAACTTCTATTTTATGTATACATATATGAAGTATAGAAGTATGGGCATATTCATGTCTTATATTTTATATTAAAAATTATATTCCATAAAAGCAATTATTTAGAGATAATATACTATTGTGTTAAACAACCACCAGCAAATTAAATTCGACATGATATAATTAACTAACATTAATTTGCATTTAGATGTTAAGAAAAGCAGCAATTGGAAAACCACAATCTACTCTAGTCAACAACATATGCTGATTGCCCGAACTACAAAAATTCTAACTTTCTGCACATTTGCATGCACAGTCCAGTCCAAACCTTGCAAAATTTCAAAAAGTTGTATGATAGCCAGACTTGAAAGCAAAGCAAATTCTCAGAAAGCCTTAAGAATGAGCTATTGTTAACTTATGAATATAAAATGTCAGTAGCCTTTAATTAGTCATTTTACAGTTATAAGGTAATAAGGTATGTAAAAATGAAAGCCAAAAGAATTTATCTTTTCAGGTTGGGCACAGTGGCTCACATCTGTTATCCCAGCACTTTGGGAGGCGAAGGCAGGAGGATCGCTTGAGTCCAGGAATTTGAGACCAGCTTGAGCAATGTAGTGAGACCCCCATATATACAAAAAAATGTACAAATTAGTCAGGTGTAGTGGTGTGCGCCTGTTGTCACAGCTACTTAGGATGCTGAAGTTGGAAGATCGCTTGAGCCCAGGAGTTTGAGTCTGCCGTGAGCCACGATGGTGCCAGTGCACTAAAGCCTGAGCAACAGAGTGAGACCTTGTCTAAAAAAGCAAACAAAAGCCCCCAAACAAACAAATACAGGGTCTTCATTTTTATGGTTAATTCTTGACTCATTAAGATTACCCAGTAGGCCAGAAACCATACTATAAAGGTCATTGATCTAAAATTATGGTTATTGTGTTGAATGGGTGATGGTGTTTGGTGGTAGGGCTGAAGACAGACGGTAAGACTGTTTTTCCAACATAGTACAGACATCGAAGACATAAGAGCAGGAGTGAACAATGAGATATCCACTTTGTGGGTACTCATAGAATTAACATTAACAAATATAAGGAAAATACTCTGTATAATTGTTCTTTGATGCAGTTCACAAGATCCACAAAACCATTTCATTTTCCTACATTTTGTCACAAGTGCGGATGTTTTAAAATGATGCAAGGAAGTTACATTATAACAACAAGGACAGGTCGAAGCCCTTAAGTTGTTTTAGGTAAATGGACCTATGGTTAGAACTTTGTAACTTTTTACTGTCAAACAGGCCTCATGAGTTTTTCGTTTTGATGATTAGGGAGGAGAGGATTTTAATCCAAATAAAATTTTTAGTGAAATTGTACTGTTGCCATTTAAACCTCCAAGACCGAAATTATATTGACCCTGTGAGTGCATCTTTGAGGTCCCGATCGAAATCACTATATCTCTTGATTAGATGTGTGTATTTTCATTTTTGTTGGTTTTCTTTTTTGTTTTCTTGATTTACAGGGCTCTGTAAAGTCTTTCATTATTTTCCCTTCTAATCTGTAGATTTTCTTTCCTTAGATTATTTATTATGGCTGGCTCTTTTTAAATTCTTGCCTTATTTTAAATATCATTATCACTTCCCTTACCCTGATTCTGTCCTTGCTTTATTTTCATCATAACACTTTTCTTCGTAACACTTAAAATTATGTTAAATGTTTCTTTCTTTTTAATTTCTCCCCCACCCCCTCCTTTTTTTTTTGAGACAGTCTCGCTCTGTCTCCCATGTTGGAGTGCAGTGGTGCCATCTTGGCTCATTGCAACCTCCGCCTCCCGGGTGGAAGCAATCCTCCTGCCTCAGCCTCCTGAGTAGTTGGGATTACAGGCATGTGCCACCACACCCGGCTAATTTTTTGTATTTTCAGTAGAGACAGGATTTTGCAATGTTGGCCAGGCTGGTCTCAAACTCCTGGCCTCAAGTGATCTGCCTGCCTCGGCCTCCCAAAGTGAATGTTTATTTCTAGTCTCTCTTCATACCATGCCCATGTTGGTTTTAGGACAGCAGCAACCTTGTATTGTTTCCTACTAAACTGGTAGTCTAAGAACAATAGGTAACACAGAACAGGTACTTAATAAATATTTGTTGAATAAATGACTTAACATGTGAATGAACAGATGAAGAGTTAAAGTGAAGGAAAATTGCAAGTATTTGCAATGGGTGAAAATGCGAGATCCACTATCACTTAATTATTTCTTGGATATCTTAAATGCCCAGTACAATATTAATACTATGGAGTGTTTAGATTTTGGCTTAAAGACTTTGAAACTGGGAGTGAATAAAAAAAGTACTGTCCTCCAATATATCTCAAAAATTGCTGTGATTCTTTAAAATACTTATCTCTAATGGGACACACTGAAAAATGGCAGCCAATGCATTAGCATAGCATTCAGAGACATAAAGCTTAGTGATACTCAAGGCTGGAAAGGTCTTTTATTCCTTCCCTTAATTCCTTCCCTTCACTGTCTGATTCCTCAGCACAGGAGGCTGGATAAAGTTGAACTGTGTTCCTGATCAGTCAAGCCAGGGCTGGGCTGATGTCCTGCAGGGTAGGACAAGGCGTACCAAAATTAAAAAGTAGAGTATTTTTTAGTTTAAAAGGTAAATTTGAGCTTCCAAAAATAAAAATCGTAGTATATTGGGTAAACAATGAAGTAAAACTGAGGACAGAAACAGAGTAATGTTGCCCAAGAAAATGACTACACATGTTCATGACTCATTGCTTTTGCTCACTAAACTATATGATGCATGGGGAGATTGAATTGGTATGAAGGAAGAGATTTGAATAAGGCTTGTAGATATACTGAGAAGAACACTAAATGTGGCCTCTAGCCCTTAAGATATACAATCTAAGGAAATAATCTAACTTCTTTGAATATGTTTTCGTATCCATGATGTGCAAATATAATATATGACTCAAAGTCTGTGTGTGTGTGTGTGTGTGTGTGTGTGTGTGTGAAAATTAATCAAGAGGAAGTAAAATAAGCTATCTTGCCTACAGGATTTACTAAATTTGTTGAAATGTCATCTTATGAATGCTAGATCAATATTTGAAATCTACTCACCTTTTGAAAAGCCATGAATCTGAAATATAGCCTAGGATATTGAGAGAGCAATTTTCTCAGGATTCATCATTAATCAAACATGTATTGAGCACACCAGTTTGCATAAGCACTGTACTAAGCTCCCATGACTCAAAGACAAAAGAAATATAATCTAATGGAGAAATTAAGATGTATATAATGCGGTTGTTATAAAAATGTCTTTCAGCTATAATACTGTAAGTAACAATGATTTAAAGTAGAACGTGACTAGTACAAGAAGAGAAAATAAAAGTGTTGTACGCATTAGAAGACATAGAGAGAACTTTCATCTGCAGCAACATGGAAATACAGGGAAGGCAATATGGAAAATAGAATGCTAGATAACAATTCCTTTATAAGTTAATGTGGCACAGGTATGCTATAAAGATAGTTTTACATGGATATATTTTTTGATGCCTCACTTTAACATTGCAAAGTGTCAATTTTCCTAGTTGTATAATGAATATTTTAATTTTTTCATTCTTTTATTTGAATAGTGTTTGTCATTTACAGAGTCTATAATGTACCTATTAAACCTTTGACGATTTGTAAGAGTGAACCCAGAATAGAGCTAACAATGGATTAAATTGTAAGTGGCTTCAATTCTTCTGATAGAAATTGTGAGACTGTCACACTTGAGAGCTAATTTCTCAGCAGCATAAACCACTGGCTTCAGGAACATTTTGTTCTGAAGCAAATGCTCAAGGTATCTTGATTTAAGTGAATTTATTTAGAAAGTGAGTGGGGTTGAATCTTATGCAACTGTTTGATTAAGTTTGACATTCTTGGGAGAGTGATACTTACTAAAAGGTAAGGCTGTAAATGACAAAAAAGTTCCAGAGGAGGCTCTAACAAAATAGAGAACATGGAAACCATTTGAAAGTTTGAAAGTAAAAGTTAGTGAAGTCATGGAAACTGTTAACCTTTGGAAGACAATTTTGAACTGTGTTTAGGAAAAAGTCATGTACAACTCAACTACCTCTCTGAGATTTGAATCTCAACCTCCATTACTTAGTGTCTTTCAGCTCCCCACACATATTGTTCCCTATCCAAAAATCTTGGACTGAAAAAATATCAAAGTCCTACATCGACTTCCTGTAATTATGCCATCATTTACATGAAAAAATTATATTGTATAAACATGGAATGACTCTGGGAGGCAGCAAGACAGAATTGTTGAAAAGTTCACGTTATATTGAAAGAAAGGCATTATTATTTTCATAAGGCACAGAATACTTTGAATTACCTGCAAACAAATCCTTACCAAGGCGAGAGAAGGCCTGCTGTGTTTTGGTGAATAGATAAGATGGCATTTGAAATAACACATTAATTGTTTATATACAAATGATGCTATTAGATAGTACTAGAAAACAGTTTGTTCTCTTAAGTAGGTCAAGCATTCCCCCCTGAAACCTTGTTTACATCAGAGATTTCACAAACATAAATTGCTCTCTAGAAATACTGCAAAAGAAGCCCAAGTCAAATATCACAAATTCCAGATTAATGGACCTTGAATTGAAGAGAGAGTGCTGCCTTTTACTTATGTATTAAAGTTCATAATATTTCGTTATTCTTAATCAGTTGATAATCTGCATGAATCCACTGGTTAAAAACAATTTTACTGAATGTTTGGAATGCTTTCCTGTGAAAAACTTCAGATGATATAATATGGACATGAAATTCTAGATCTTCCAGAGTCAATATTTAGCTTAATTCTCCCATATTTTTAAGGACATGAACATTTCAGCTGCGAGATCTAATGGGCAGAGGTGTTGTAAATAGACTCACCGCCAATGGTCTCTTTTTGACATCTCTGCCCTACCCATGTGCCTGAGCTACACAAATGGCCAAAAATGGAAGAAACAAACCAACATTGTAGTTTCTTTGTAAATGTTCTTTTAATCCCACTTCACTTCTTTGAATGGCCTTAAAAATTACACTAATCCATGACAATCATGCTCTTTGCAGTCTCTTTTCTTGAAGATATTTATCACAAAATGGATCTGCAGTGCATGCTGTCTTCCTTGGAAATTTTCCCTTCCCTGGCCTTCCCTTCCCCTCCTCTCTTCTCTCCTCCTCTCCCTTCCTTTTTTCTTTTCTCGTCCCTGTCCGAATCCTGATGGAACAAATCCTCACTGCCAGAGTTAGCAGAATCCAAACTATAATCGTCCTTTTAGTATAACACATACAATAACATATTATAGCAGTGAACCAGAACTAGAACCTTTGTAATTTATTTTTTTTTAAAAAAAAGGAACAAAATCTGTTGACTTAAAGATGAACTAAGACCTTATTTTCAGACTAAAAAGTAAAATAAAATCAATCCCCTGGGTTTTTCTTTTCTTTCTTTTGTTCTTCTTTTTCTGTGTGGCTTCATTATGAAATAAAATGGCTTTATAAGTAAAACAAACCTGTATACAAATGACTAAAATAAAGGGATAAAGACTTATCCCATTTTTTCTCTTTTTCACCCAAGGAACTATTTTTTCACCTAAAGAGAGATCTGAAGACTTAAACATGATTCCCTGAAATAACCAGCCAGCAATTCTGCAAAAAGGGAACCAAAATAAATACATCTTCTTAGAAGTCAGTTATAATTTCACATCTGACTTTTTTTTTTCTCTTTTGCTTACATGTTCCTTAATCCTTATTCCTCTCTGTCCCCATTCTACCTCCTTTGGGGAAGAGCCAAAGATCCCGGTAGGGTATCTGGTCTCCCCCTTCCTTGACAACTGATATTCTACTTGAAATATTTCTCATGCAGATTACTTCAGGAGACTGGGTAATTAATGCCTTGTGATGACAATGACCTAGAAAATATCCTTAAATAATTGCTGCTAATAGGCTCAGTTTTGTGATGGATATATTCTTAGAAATAAATTGTACCTGAATTTTAAGTGAACAGCTCAGGGTTAATCTGATTTCCTTTGGTTTATTTTCAAAGGAATGAGTAGTTTACTTCCAAGAAAGTTTATATTTTGTTTATGCTAATGTTCTTTTAGGCTATATTTGATGCCTCATTATAAGGCTGTTCCTTGTGCCATGACCTTCATGTCCAATATGGACGAATTAAGCCTTTTGATTATGCTCTAATTCTAAATGTACAGAGACTAATGTCTTGATGATGAAATGATCTTACTTCCTTATTTCAAGACGCAATGGATTTAGGTCTAGTGATATCTTTGTCTGAGGCTTGTAATCTTGATGAGGTTTACTATTTTCCTGTTGATCTATATCTTCCTTCTTTTTGAACCAGTGATTTCTGATCTTTCGTTCTTAAGACTAGGTTCTAATTCGCATATCTAACTCCAACTCTTAGAGTTATTTCTCTGCATAAACTGGGCCACACATTATACCTTACTGAAATAGAAAAAAGAAAGAAGAAATTTGCATCTGGTCATGCCCATGATACTTTTCTCTCAGAGGATCTTTACAAGTAGGTTTATTTGCGACTTCAGATTTTAGATAATCAGTTTTACTCAGAGGTCAAGAAGTTCAAACTTTTTTTGTGGGGAGGGGATAGATGGAGAACACAGTGAAATTTCAGAAATAAGTACTTCATTCCAAGATCTGGATGCTGAGTGTTGGAGGACTCATTTGACATTTTATTTTAGAAGCTGACCCAGGAGGACTCTGGTGAGGTGGTATTGAGATATCCTAGTTAATGTGATATTTATTCTTGAATGATTTGATTTCAATACTTATTTGGAATCTTTTAGAAGAAAAAAAAACCAAAAAACCTTCAGCATCTATGGAGGAAAGCAGGTATATGCCACATGTCTTTGACAGCAATGCATGCTGTTTTGATTGATGCAACATATTTACCTTGATAAGTTCCCTCTCATTAGTTTACATCTATACTAAATTAAACTAAAATCACCAAGGAACTGTTGTCTTTTCTGTGATGAGGACCGGTGTGATTTTGCATATATGCAAATAAGTACTTTAAAATATTTTAATAAAACATTTTAGGTTGAAAAAATTAGCACAAAGTCATGAAATAGACAAATGTCTATGTAAATCTAGCTTAAGAAATAAGACTTTACAGTTACTATTTCCTTCTTCCATTGACAAAGATAAACATAGTCTTGAGTTTTCGTGCATGTTTTTATTTATGTATTTATTTATTTTTGTAGATTTAAGGGGTGCAAGTGCAGTTTGGTTACACAGTTATATTGTGTAGCAGTGAAGTCTGGGCTTTTAGTGTAACCATCACCTGAATAGTGTGCATTGTAGCCATTAAGTAATTTGTCATCCCTCACACTCCTCCCACCCTCCGGCCTTTCTGAGTCTCCATTGTCTGTTATTCCACTTTCTGTATCCATGTGTACACATTATTTAGCCCCCACTTATAAGGGAGAACATGAGGTACTTGAGTTTCTGTTTCTGAGTTATTTCACTTAAGATAATGGCCTCCTGTTTCATTCATGTTGCTGCAAAAAACATGATTTCATTCTTTTTTTTATGACTAAGTAGTGTGCTACAGTATTTCCATACCACATTTCCTTTGTTTAATCATCCACTGATGGGCATCTAGATTGTCTCCATGACTCTGCTATTGTGAATAGTGCTGTGATAAATATCCGAGTACAGATGTCTTTTTCATTTAATGATTTGATTTCCTTTGGGTGGATACACAGTAGTGGGATTGCTGGGTGGAATGATAGTTCTATGTTTAGTTCTTCAAGAAATCTCCATACTGTATTCCATAGAGGTTGTACTAATTTATTCCCAACAACAGCGTATAGGTGTTCCTGTTTCTCCGCATTCTTGCCAACATCTGTTATTTTTAGACTTTCTAATGATAGCCATTCTGACTGGTGTAAGATGGTATCTCTTTGTGGTTTCAATTTGCACTTCTGTGATGATTACTGATGTTGAATGTTCTGTCAAGTGCTTGTTGGCTATTTGTGTGTCTTCTTATGAAATATATCTTCATATAATTTGCCCACTTTTTAATGAGGTTATTTGCTTTTTTCTTATTGAGTTGTTTGAGTTCCTTGTAGATTCTGGTGGATATTAGGCCTTTGTCAGATGCGCAGTTTGCAAATAATTTCTCAATCCTGTAGGTTGTCTGTTCATCCTGTTGATTATTTCTCTTGCCATGTAGAAATTTTTTAGTTTAATTAAGTCCCATTTGTCTACTTTGTATTTTTGATGCATTTGCTTCTGAGGTTTTAGTCATGAATTCTTTGTCTAGGCCAATGTCTAGAAGAGTTTTTTCTACGTTTTCTTCTAGAATCTTTATTTATTTATTTATTTATTTTATTTAGAATTTGTACTTTATAAGTTTCAGGTTATACATTTAAGTCTTTAATCCATCTGGAGTTAATTTTTTTAATATGGTGAGAGATATAGATCTAGTTTCTTTTTTTCTCTTTTTTTATTTTTATTTTTTAAGAAACTTCACTAGCAGGAAAGGTCCAGTTTTATTTTTCTGCATGTGGCTATCCAATTTTTCCAGCCCCATTTATTGAACAGGATGGCCTTTCTCCAGTGTATGTTTTTGTTGACTTTGTTGAAGATCAGCTGGCTATAGGTATGTGGCTTTATTTCTGAGTTCTTCATTCTGATCCATTGATCTATGTGTCTATTTTTATACTAGTACTATGCTGTTTTGATTACTATAGTCTTGTAGCATAATTTAAAGTCAGGTAATGTGATGATTCCAGCTTTGTTCTTTTTGCTTAGGACTGCTTGGGCTATTTGGTCTCTTTTTTGGTTCTATATGAATTTTAGGATTGCTTTTTCTAATTCTATGAAAAATGACATTGATATTTTGATAGGAATTGCATTGAATCTGTAGATTTCCTTGGGCAGTATGTTCATTTTAATGAATGTTCCTTCCAATCCATGTGCATGAGGTGTTTTTCCATTTGTTTGTGTTATCTACAATTTCTTTAATCAGTGTTTTTTAGTTTCCCTCATAGGAAACTTTTACCTCTTTGGTTCAATGTTTGCATGTTTTTATATTTTGCTAATTTTGCATGCAAGCTTAAACAATGGTATACACACACTTATACACACACACACATATGTTTATAGTTGGTCCTCATTTGTGGATTCAATACTTGCAAATTTGTCTACTTACAAAAATGTATTTGTAACTCCAAAGTCAATATTAATGCTGCTTTTACAGTCATTTGCAGGTATACACAGAGCACAGAAAAATTTGAGTTGCTCAACTCACATTTTTCCAGCTGAGGACAAGCAAGGTGATGCTCTACCTTCTTGTTTCAGCTCTCATACTGTAAATAAATGTCCTTTTTACAATCCATTTAGTGTCATGTTTTTGTGCATTTTTGCACATTTTGTTGGTAATTTCACTGTTTAAAATGTAGTGTTGAAGTGTTTCTAACATTCCTAAGTGCAAGAAGGCTGTCATGTACCTTATGGAGAAAATGTATTTGATAAACTTTGTTCAGGCATGAGCCATAATGCTGTTAGCTGTGAGTTCAATGTTAATGAATCAACAACATATATTAAATTAGATGTCTTGAAACAGAAACACACACAAAACAAGAATATGTATTGATCAGTTGAGGAAAACATTGTACCTGAAATTCAGAGGAATCTAACCCTGTATTTCCTGTTTGAGCAATGGTTTAGCTAATTCAGTGTTCATGGTGACTTTATAGAAAATAACTACCATGAATAATGAGAGTTGACTGCATATATATATATATATTATATATATATATATGTATATGAGAAAATATACATTTCTCTTTTCAAATAAAAGTCCAATTTTGTGCAATTTTGTTTTAGATATATAAGTATGTGAGCATATAAATATATAAATATATGTATACATATATGTCTATGTATCTTGGTGATTGTATAAATTATATTTCTTACTCTTGGTCATGGTAGAATTTTTTTTAAATTTTAATTTAATTTAATTTTAAGTCCTGGTATGTACATACAGGATGTGCAGGTTTGTTACAACCCATCACCTAGATATTAAGCCCCACATGCGTTAGCTATTTATCCTGATGCTCTCCCTCCCACCTCTCCCCTGAGAGGCCTCAGTGTGCATTGTTCCCCTCACTGTGTCCATGTTCAGCTCCCACTTAGAAGTGAGAACATGTGGTGTTTGGTTTTCTGTTCCTGTGTAACGTTGCTGAGGATAATGGCTTTCAGCTGCATCCATGTTTCTGCAAAGGACAAGCTCTTATTCCTTTTTATTACTTCATAGTATTCCATGGTGTATATGTACCACATTTTCTTTATCCAGTCTATCATTGATGGGCGTTTGGGTTGATTCCATGTCTTTGCTATTGTGAACGGTGCATGCATGTATTTTTATAATAGAAAGATTTGTATTCCTTTGGGTATATACCCAGCAATGGGATTGCTGAGTCAAATGGTATTTCTGATTCTAGGTCTTTGAGGAATCACCACACTGTCTTACATAATGATTGAACTAAATTACATGCCCACCAACAGTGTAAAAGTGTTCCTATTTCTCCACAGCCTTGCCAGCATCTGTTGTTTGTTGACGTTTTAACAATTGCCATTCTGACTGGCGTGAGACTGTATCTCATTGTGGTTTTGATATGCATTTTTCTAATGATCAGTGATGTTGAGCTTTTATTCATATGTTTGTTGGCTGCATAATGTCTTCTTTTGAGAAGTGTCTGTTCATGTACTTTGCCCGCTTTTTAATGGGGTTGTTTGTTTTTTTCTTGTAAACTTGTTTAAGTTCCTTCTGGATATTAAATCTATGTCAGATGAATAGATTGCAACATTTTTCTCCATTCTTAGGTTGTCTGTTCACTCTGATGATAGTTTCTTTTGCTGTGCAGAAGCTCTTTAGTTTAATTAGATCCCATTTGCCAATTTTGGCTTTTGTTTTTGTTTTTGTTTTTCTGTTGAAATCTTTGCCCGTGCCTATGTCCTGAATGGTATTGTCTAAATTTTCTTCTAGGATTTTTATAGTTTTGGATTTTATATTTAAGTCTTTAATTCATCTTGAGTTAATTTTTGTAAAAGGTGTAAGGAAGGGGTCCAGTTTTGATCTTCCGCATATAGCTAGCCAGTTTTCCCGTCACCATTTAGTAAATAGGG
This sequence comes from Homo sapiens, assembly GCF_000001405.40. Lineage (NCBI taxonomy): Eukaryota > Metazoa > Chordata > Mammalia > Primates > Hominidae > Homo > Homo sapiens. The sequence continues at coordinate 53,370,374 of NC_000005.10, read as the reverse complement.
AATCCTTTCCCCATTGCTTGTTTTTGTCAAGTTTGTTGAAGATCAGATGGTTGTAGATGTGAGGTCTTATTTCTGATATCTCTATTCTGTTCTATTGGTCTATGTGTCTGTTTTTGTACCAGTAACATGGTAGAAAAATTTTTAAGCCACTTATCTATAATGGTATTCACATTTAAGTTCTCCTGGACTAAAGATTGTGTACATCAATGAAGCCAGTCTAGAGGTTAATTAAGTTGACCTCTATAAATCATTTAACAAAAAAAATTGCAAAGTTCAAAATAACTTTCTAGAAATAATGGCTCAATGTTTAGAAGAGCCAACAATTATTACATCTATCAATAGGGCTCAATTGAGCTAAATTTCTTTAGGATCTTTAGTAACTCAGGTTAGTATATCTTAAAGCTTCTAAATTTCAAAGGTGTTAGGGCCATGTCAGGGTTTTACTTCAGGTCTGTTCTGTGCCAAGTCAAGTGTACATAATTCTCGTGGGAGGGAAAGCTAGGAAGATTCTTTCCGCATGATTCTTGTGCATGAGAACAACCCTGGGGAAACATAATTAGGGAAAAGAGAATAGGAAAAATATATCAGCTCCTTAGAGAACTTGGAGAACTCGTTAAAGAACAAGATAACTTGATGTTGATGATCTGCAATGCACTGGTTAGGTTGTTTGTGTTTGGATCATATCAAATGTTATTCAGTTCAACACTTGGAGTCAATAAAACTTAAATTATGCAAACATCTTTGGATCTCATAATTAAATCTCATGTTTTCTTATTATCTTCTCTTTAATATCTAATGCTAATATCCATTAGAAGAGGTTTTGTTATAAACCACTGCAATAGGAAGTCTAATGTCTTCAGGTTGCCCTAATAAAGACTGAAAAGTAACCTCTAAAACTGGCACTGTGGATGTAATGGAAACAAACAAGACTTGAAATTTGCGTTTGATCAGTTGCATTCTCTTGCATCATCTAGACTTGTTTTATTCATAATGTGTTTCAGCCCATCAGAAAAACAATGCCAAAATATTAACAATGCAAGCTTTTGAAGGCTTGTTTCCTTGCATTACATTGTGTCATCTTTGGCTTCATCTGTAAAGTTCAATTTTTATGTTTCTTCTTAGGTAGAAAATTCTTTCCCTGAAGGGATGTCATTAACACTGTTAGTGAGTAGGTGCTAAGGGATGCAACACACTCTCTTTAAATTATGTAAGCCAGTTTTATTGTCCTTTCTGCTGGAATTCCTGCACCTCCCTTGCTGTTGATTGGTCCTCCATAGGCTTTGGCTCTTGATTGGTCTCTGCTAAGACAGAACAGTCTTTTTTTGTGCTGTGTTTAACATTAAATTGTGGTCCACAGAGTTCTTGCAAACCGGTAAAAACTAACTGAGCTTCCCTTAAAGTCAATTTCTTCATTGGAAGGTTCCGAGTGATTTCTACAGACTTACACTTGGGTCCCCCAAGTTCTTTAGGGAGGTAGAACTTTCTGAGTCAGAGGCTCTTATTAAAGTTCATGTATTTCAAGCAGGTGCCTCTCATTCTAAAGAACTGTGGGTAGAGTGAAGAATGATTTTGAAATTTCCATTCTTAACTCTTTCTGCCTGGCTTCCCTGCTTACCAGATGTCTTAAATGTGTTGCTGTGTCACCATTGTACATTGACTCAGCTAGACGTTGACCTTAGATTTACCTCAAGGCACTCAAGCCAAAGGAAATAGTTAAGCAGGAGCTAGAGCAAACAAATAGGCCCACATGCCTTATATGTTTACTATAATCACCTGCTTAAATGAAGGCAATGTTAATGCAACTAGGAATTATTTTTGCATTAATAAAAAATAGTTCTGATGATATCTAGTAGCAAAAGTAATTCTGACAAGGAACAGTGGTGGCCTCAGGGGAGATAAACTGGGTGGCTAGGGTAAAGGGAGGGAGAAAGAAGGAAGGGTGATTTACATTAATTTCACTGAACAACCTTTTGGAGTTTGTATTATCTATTTAAAAATAGAAAATGTAGAACAAAGCAAATGTAAATAAAGACAATGAAAAGAGAAAAATATTTCTGCCCCATTACTTTAACTAAAAAGGAAACAATGGCATACCGGTTTTTAGGAGAACTTTCTTTTGTTATTGTGGTTTGCCTTCTGATGAGTCTGTAGCCTTTCTGAACCTAAGATCAACCTTGAGGATGGTGAGGAGGATACTTTGATGAACGTGGAAATCTCTTTTGCTCACATGCAATGGCATGTGCTATTTTGTATCTCAGGTTTCATTTGGGCATTTATCAAAGCATCGAAGAGTCAGAAGGGTTGCTAAAGGCCATCATTTAGAATTAACATCTATCCTCCTTTTTCTTTTTACAAATGAGAAAGCTGAGGCTGAGGGCTACATCAAGAAGTATTCAAGCTTACACAGGCCTGGTAGGGCTGGGTATGATGCTAGATTGGGGGTTCTTTCCTCAATATAGTTATAGCTGGTGACTTACTCATATAGAGAACAGTGACTTAGTTGGTGAATGTGGACATAATTACAGGCAGAATTTGGTGTCAGTATCAGGAAAGCCCAAAGATTCTTTGTTTTAAATTTATAAAAATGTCAGAATGGAGAAAACTGCACCAAGTGAAGGACAATGTAAACTACAATCCAACCTCATTTCTCTATTGGAGTGGAAACTTGGATGGGAAAGGCCATATTTCATGCAGTGATGACTACCCTAACAGTTTCACACACTCCAGTGAACATTACTAGTTTTGCTCTCCTTGTCCATATGTGTTTGCTTTTGTGCCTCAAGGAAAGTGGGAATAGAAAGAGCAAGGCCTTTCCAGGAGTGGAGGCTAAATGGCCTGGTCTTCCAAGACCTCAATGGAGTAGGCTCTTAGAAAAATACTACGTTGGAAGGAAAATTTAATTAATTAAAATCTAAATGTTGGCTGGGCGCAGTGCCTCACACCTGTAATCCCAGTACTTTGGGAGGCCAAGGTGGGCGGATCACCTGAATTCGGGAGTTTGAGACCAATCTGACCAACATGGAGAAACCTCGTCTCTACCAAAAATACAAAATTAACTGGGTGTGGTGGTGCATGCCTGTAATTCCAGCTACTCAGGAGGCTGAGGCAGGAGAATTGCTTGAACCTGGGAGGCAGAGATTGCAGTGAGGTGAGATCGCACCATTGACTCCAGCCTGGACAACAAGAGTGAAACTACATCTCAAAAAAAAAAAAAAGAAATCTAAATGTTTTTGTGAGGACAGATCAAGAAGCTTGTGAGAAAATAAAATTGTGGTATTCTGATGCAGATGCTGGTTCTTAAGAAATAGGAATTCGCAGCAAGTGGCCTATGTCACTCTGAAGGGGTTTTCACCATTGGAGCTGTACTAAGTTGTGCCCAAGGATGGGGCTGTGGTCTGGGTCAGAAGTGACTTGATTGGTCCATTTTTACTTGTATTCCCAAGAGTCCCTGAAGTCTTTCCCTGAGATGGAGCTGTATCACTACAATCCATCAGCACGTGACTATTAGAATGTACTTTAGAAGACGTACTTCCGATCTGATGAGTATTGCTTAAAATTTTTAACAGCTTCCCATTGCCTTTGGTCAAAACTTGTTCATGAAGTCAAAACTTGTTCATGAAGCTTGCAAACCTGGTCAACATCCCAGCCCCATTTTCCTCCATTCCCCATGAACCTGGAAGTCCCAGCCTCTCTGAATTGCTTGCAATTCCTTGAATGTACAGCAGCCTGTCATGTCTCTGAAACCTGGTTACCTGCAGTTGCAAGATGCCACCTCCTTCTTTTTATTTTTTAACCCATTTCCTGTTTGCATTTGATATCTCAGTTCAAGCATCATTTCATATGTTATTTAGTCATCAAAGATTATTGTTACCGGGGACAAAGATGAGTAAAACATGCACCCTACTCTGGAGGAGCTTTTAGTCAATGAGCAATAGATACGTAAACGAATGATGAGCAATTTCCACATCTCTGTACAGGCAACAGTAGGGCATACGAGAGAAACGGAAAATATTTTTTGATATCTCCAGGCTTTCAAAGCCCCTGACTCAGTGCTCCCACACTTACTAAAACTACCACACACTCAAATCATTTGGATCTTAATCACTGGCCCATTTTCTCTTCCAGGAGAACCATCTTGATAATTTCTAAATCTCTAGCCTCTATTGCATATTGGCCTATGAGAGTTCTCCCAAAACGTTTACTCCCTTAGTAAATAAATGTAGGAATGATGACACCCAAGAAGTCCTAGAATCCTGTGTAATCCAGTCAATGGCAGGGAGCTGGGAGTCAAAGAGAATTGGGCCCTGAATATGTGACATAGCAGGACAAATCTACCCATAAGCTCAGATAATGGAGGAGAAGCATTCAAGAATCTTATAGATTAAGCCACTCAGCCGAGAAAAGAATGGAACAGGTGCTGAAAAGAAGTAGAAACAAGAAACCTGAAGACCAATAAAGAAGGGAAGGGAGAGAGGTACTGGTTCATCCTCTGAAGTCAGGAGAGCCAGTCCCATCTAACTCAGCTGAACATTTCTAGGACGTTTCCTAACAAAATGTTCTGATTTCCCCCCTTGCACCCTCCTTATTTATTTATTTAGTATTTACTTATTTATTTATTTTTAATGAGCTTAATTAGGTTTTTTTTTATGCAACCCTAAGAAATTTTACTTACATATTGTTATTAATGTACTCACGTTTTTAGAACAACACGAGGGAAAGAAATTAGCACATAATTCACGAATTCATGAGGACACTTCCCCCTACTGACTATATTTTGATCCACTGTCATATGTTTACATTTAAAAAATATTTCTGAATAGATTAAAAAATGATGATGAGTTTGTTAGTCTTATTACCTGAAAATGAAAATGACCTGGACTACTATAGCCAAGAGAAGGAATGAAATGGATCAATTATTTGCTTCATTTGGCTGGTCATCATTATTGATTTGTTTTGGTTTAAATGACCCAAAAGAGTGTTCTGAAGCATCTCCCAAGGATCATAAGCCGTCCTAAGTCCACATCCAAATCTGTATAATTAGTAATTCTTGTAACTGGCAATATGACCTAAGAGCAATTGAGAACACTTTGCATGCAAGCCATAAGAATATATATCCTATTATAATAACAAAGGTCAGATGTATAGGGATATTAATAAAACCAAGAAATTCCTAGTGTTCTTGAAGAAAAGGAGTAAGATTTGACTAATTAACTTGGAATTCAGGTTTAGAACAGATAAACATACATTCATCAATTATGCCAAGCTTTTCTAATTATTCAAAGCTAAAAACTATTTGGAGATATTCCAAAGACTTCTACATTTTTATAAGTATTGATAAGAAAAATAAATCTCCTTTTCCTGATTTTAGGGAAACAGACCTATATGCTATGTTTAGTTGCAGACACTTTCCATCTCTTATGTTCTATGATAGTACATCTATCTCCTTTACAATTATGTTACTTTGTTCTTCTGTTAATGGTTTTATTATTGATATGTCATTTATTTTAAGTTATCCCCACTCCTGTTGAACATGAATAAATAGAGGATATTTCCTTCTCTTGCAGCTATATTGATGAACCTTTCACAGTTTTTATTCCTTCCAGTCTGAAAGAAACTCCCCACCATCCAAAGCAGACAGGAAAGTCCCCACATGTTGGAATGGGATGCTACACTCGCTGTTCCCAGGGCAGCAGACCTTCATTGTTCCTTCTATACAAAATTTTTCAAGCAGTACACAGTCTCAAATTCTGGGCAATAAAAAGGAAGTGACTGGTTTTTATTATATGCAGGATATTAATGCTTATAAACACTTATTAATAATATATATTTTTATGCTTAATAACTAATAGCTCAAGAAAGTAGTTTATATATCCCTACCTACAGAGGGAGGCAAGCCAAGATCCAAGACACATCTCCGATTTGGGATTTAAAATCTGCTTCCAAATTGAAGTGCTTAAAATCAGTTGTAAATTCTAATACTTTGAAATTCACTTTGGAAACTTTGGTTTGCTGTTGGAGAGAGATATGACATTTGCAGAAGAAAGTTGGCTGATGCGTGAGCTGTGGGAGGAGCATGTGCCCTTAACTAGCAGTGCTTCCTTCTTAACTGCAAGGTTCCTTTGTGTTCTCTGCACTCCTTTGGGGAAAGACAGCTTCAGTGAAGCTCTGCATTCTCAAACATCTATTACTCTTTGGCTTGAAGATTCTCTTTTCTACAAAACTTGTTGGATTTTCCCTGACTTCTTTTAGAAACTAATGTGCACTATTTGATTTCTTTTTTCCCTAAACAACTAATAGTTGTGAGCCTTCGACCAAGAATTACATCATTTAAAATGGAGAGAGACCACATATTCACACTGAGCTTTCTTCTGTGATCCAAGTCATATTGTGTCCATGCTAATTTTCATATGAGTACACAAGCTACGGAAAGGAAGATGGCTAAATATTCCCTAAAGGTTTTTCAAAAAGACTGACACCAACTGTTAAAAAAAGAGACAGTTAGACATTTTGAACATGGGTGGGCTATTTGTTATCATAGAATCATTTTTAATTGCTTAAGTTGATATAATGAGTTTTTGGCTATTTTTTAAAAGAGTAATTATTTTACGGAGATATATTGTGAAACATTTGTGGATACAATACTATGATATCTGAGATATGCTTTGAAAGAATATGGAAAGGAGAAGTAGATGGGAATATGGATCAAATAAGTTTAACCCTTAGTTGATAATTGTTGAAGCTAGGTTCTGGGAATAGTTTGTTATCAGTTCTGTCTACCATTTTATGCATTTAAAATGTTCTGTAGTAAAAAGCTGAAAAAAAAAGTCTTAAAATGTTCTATTGACAATTTATGGTTTCTTTCCGTGTGCTGTTCCAGTCCGGTCTTGGTTCTAGAAACCACAGGAGTGAGTAGAGAGAGGAACAAGACTAGACATAGAGTTGGTGATTGGAGTGTGTGATTGTGTCTATTTCAGTGTTTTTTTGTGTAACTGTGCATTTGCTCATATGTGTAGATTGGTCATTGATTAAGTGAAAAATTGGAAATATATGTAAAAGCTTAATAATGTATTCACTGTTTTTATATCTATACATTAAATTACTCATTTTTTAAAGTCCCTTTTATTAGTTATGTGCAACTGTATGATAGACTTGGAAATATCTTTAGTTCTCAAATTTTTTAGCTGTAAGCAAACTTTCAGGTAAACATTACTTTTGCTTAACCACAGAAAAAAATGTAAGAAAGATTGAACAACTTTCCTAACATTCATTGCATTAGTAGCATAGGCAGAAAATAAGACCATTAGTAATATTTTTAGCTCTCGGTTTACCAATTTCCATGTTATCCTAACATTCCCATGAGTTTTAGTCACAATTTTTATTTTTTACTATAATAAAATCAAATATTTTAAAACTTAGGCATCATGGAACAAGTTTAGATAATGAAGTGCCAACTGGATTTTGGCACCGTTCCTTGCATATTTGTCATCAAGAGTCAAAAGTAATAGGAGAGAAATTAGATAATAGCAGTTTGGTTTCGCAGAAATGGAATTGACATTGTACAGTCAGTGCTGTGGAATTCCGGATTCTGCAACTACAACTACCATCCTCTCTAATCAGTTTCAGCAGATACATTGGGTTGAATTAACATCCGGAAATCTTTTACTACAACGAAACTAAACATTTTTGCCTAAGTCTACAATGTTTAGTCATAACTCATGTTTGTTCTTTTTGCATTCTGAAACTATTATACATGGCCTGTCATTGAATTACTTTCCTTTAGTGTTCCTTTGTTGAGTTTGGCCAGGAAGCCTGCCCAGCCTTGTGACCAACTAATACAGTATTAGGCATTTTGGAGACAGTGCTGTATTTCTTTTTGTAACAAAGTTTTCAAAGTCAAAATTGAACCAAATTCTCTTTGTCTGTCTGATATCACTAACTTTTAGTAAAAGGAAACTCCATTTTAAGGTAATCTCCCTGTCATGTGGTATTTCTCTTCCCTAACAGAAATTGTGAACTCCCTCTTGGGCCACGCGCCACCAAGTCCACTTGAACCACCAAGCACAACAGTCTTTATTTTATCTTTATTTATTTTTTATTTTTTTATTTTCTGAGATGGAGTCTTGCTCTGTCACCCAGGCTAGAGTGCAGTGGTGCGATCTCAGCTCACTGCAACATCTGTCTCCTGGGTTCAAGTGATTCTCCTGCCTCACTAGCTGTGTTTACAGGTGCCCGCCACTGTCCCTGGCTAATTTTTTGTATTTTTAGTAGACACGAGGTTTCACTGTGTTGGTCAGGCTGGTCTCGAACTCCTGACCTCAGGTGATCCTCCTGCCTCCGCCTTCCAAAGTGCTGGGATTACAGGTGTGAGCCACCATGCCCGGCCTACACAACATTTTTTAGATTTCAGCTAGGGTAACTGTGGTTTACTTCCCCAGTTCCTTAGACATGATTAAACAGAACACATTGTGTAGCTATGTGTGTGGACCTGGAGGGAGTTCACAGTTTTTGTTAGGGAAGAGTTAGTGCTTTGCCTAAAACAGATGGGACATGTGTGTACTACACTTGAGACCTCCATAGATTAGAATGAGTGTGAGAATCAAAGCCATTCTCTTTCCAAGTTTGGATTTGTTTATTTCTTTCTGTTTCTGCTTAATTCACCCTTTCAGCACCAAGTTGATAAAATATTACACGGAGATATTCTTATTTTGACACCAGCATACCAGCAGGTAGAATTGTGGGCAGGGAATAGACAGTATCCAAAGATTATTTTTGCTTGTTGGTAACTTTTGGGTAATCTTAAAATGTTAAACTAGATTCCATACAGTGGTTAATCCATACAATGGCTCTCTCTGAGAGACAGTTTACTGGTGGCAGCATTACCAAAGTCACAGGCAAATACCACTTCTGTGCCTTTTCCTGAGTCCAGATGATTGATTTTAAAATTAAGGAGTTTCTGCCATTTTCAGTGAAAGAGATTAAGGAAAAATAAAAAGTGGTATAATAATAATGACACCATGGCCAGCTAGTTCCTCTCTAGCCACTACAGGTCACATTATAATAATAGAAGTATTAATCCTTACTTATCCCACCATGAAACAAAGACACAATGGCGATCACTGTTTTAAATGGCAAATTCTACTCTGGTAAGTAAATTAGTCTGCAAGCTTTAACCAATAAGGAAACACAGAAGAGAAAAAGTCAAGAACAGATAAAATTTTAAAATATGCTTAAGGTCATGTAGATGACTGTGTCAGTGTTTAATCATCCTGCCTTTACCCTTTGACAGATAGAGACCCTCCCTCAGTCATCAGTTGGAACAGCCAAGCAACTCTTCTGCAATGTAGATCCAGGGGACAGAGTGACTCATAATCCTTCAGTGGTGATGTTACTATTAGAAGTCAGATCCAGCCACAAATATGTAACCCAGTAAGATATCCATAGGAAAATAAATTCAAGACAGACTATCCTCTATTCCAAAGTTAGTCTCTTAGAATTAGTCAGGCCTTTTTGATTTGAACTATGTTTTAGAAAAGGTTTAACTTCCTATGGAATAATTCATTTGCTGAATGATAAAGTCAGTTCGGAAGTATCTGGGGTTGCCATCTACATAGCTTGCACCCAAATAAAGAGAAATAAGCTAGAGTAAGCTTTGACCCAGGTGCCTAAATAGGTAAGTTAATACACCCAAGTTCTCAGCAGTCACCATGAAAAATAAAAAGTAAAACCCAAAGACTACTGTTTGCACAATTCTTGACCAAGCATTTAAAAGTGTACTATGAAATGCTTATTAAACACCTTGCAGACACATATTAACATTCCTATTAAAATTAACCTGATCTTGGTTCAATAAACTCATGCCATGAAGAAATATGACATCTGTGGAACATTTAATCTCTGTAATTGGGTCGCAAAAATACGAAATAGAGACCTAAACTCACATGGAAATATTTACTTTTATTTAAAAACAGAATTCTCAAGTGCCTCTCTGCTTTCTGATTTCATTCAAGTCAAGAATAAAAATACTGAAATGTGGCAGGATTTCTAACAGAATGAAAGCCAAGAAACACTGAAAACATAGTTTTGAGATTTCCGGTTTAGTTTCCAGGACAAAGAGATTCATTGTTGGTTTTATCATCTATGCTACGTAGATACCTGGATAAACAAAAGCTGTTGACCTCTTTGGGGTCACCTGTTGCCCCATTTTGGCTCTGATTTTGCACTGCTCTTCACAATACAGTGCTGGGATGAATCCAACCTCTCTTTACCACAATGGCTCCTAATCATTCCCAAAGGAAGAACTGGAAAATATTTGGAATTTTTCTTCTATAGTTTCACATTAGTTTATTCTCAGAGCACTTATCATCTGTGTTTTGAGCCACATGTTGGGTAAAGAAATATGTAAGAGGGATTTAATCACTTTTTCTCCCTGAAGGGTGATATTGTATTTTTGTTAGCATAGTGTTTATTTTGTTTTGCTTTGACACATGGCTTCTGTAAAAATTTCAGTCAGTCTTCCTCTTCGGATTTAAGTACTCAATTCCAGGCAATGAAGACAAACACCAAAGCATGACTTTTTAATATTGTAAATTTAGTTGCTTTTCATGATTAATCTTTTCATGGTATCATTCAGCTCATTATCTTATACATATTGTCTGTAACACAAGAGAATGTATCAATTTTGTGAATTCATGACAAAATTTATGAGTACTCAGGTTCCACTTATCACAATCACAAATGCTGTTTTCTTTTCTTGTAAACTTACTTCATTCTTATGCTCAAATGAAGGAATAAAAGCATTTGCTAGCAGCCAATATTCTAATATCAGCTTTGCATACACAATTTTGTTAAATAAGACAAAGAAAAAACTGAAAAGGGAAACAGAAGTTATTAAATTTGGTTAAGGGATTACACCTGGTTTTCTGCTGCCCTGATTTGTTTTGGACGAGAATGCATTGAACAGATGTTATTCTTTCTTTCTTTCTTGCTGGGATTTTTGTCGGTTATGTTTCGACATATTACTCTATTTATTTATTTATTTTTTGCATTCCCATAGCCACCACCCTATGTCCACTTTTAGCTACATTTCAGAACTTAGCCATAGCCTCCTAACTAGCAATATGGCAAAATAGTAGCAAACTCAGGTGACTATTCATAACAGTAGAATGAAGCTGGTAAAACTCAGAGAGGCTGGGCTTAGCTGCTAAAACCCCCTTTGTGGTCAACTTATTGCCATTTGACTTCCATCTTGGATTATTCTTGCTGAGTTGCCATATACCCATTCTTTTTCACTACCTAAACCATTGCCTCACACCATGTTCCTTCAATGATTCTGCTACTAAACTGAAAGCTCCTGGTTTTATTCCTATTAGGCATGTAGGAATGACTGTTCTTTTATCTTCGACCCTGACCTCTAACTCTGGTATTTGCTTTCTGCTTATGCTTCCTGGCTTCCTTCTACTCTGCATCCACTCAAAACAACTAGCACTTTGCAACAACAGACTTCAGCTTCCACGACAATTAATAGTAAAAATTATGGAAGAATATAGCTCATCTTGATGCCCAGGTTATCTGCCACCAAGGGAATTATTCTATGGCTTTGTCTTCTGTGTACAATATCTGTTCTCTTTTCAGAGACCTTCACCAGTAATGTATTTATAAATGCAAACTGGTCTCTATTGGAAGGGAAGGTGAATAGCATTAAAGAATACTTTTGTATTCCATGAATTCTCAGAATGGTTTTTTGATGGATTAGAAGACTCTTCCAGGTTGCATGATATTTTTTTAGTGCGCTGACTTTTAAAGTTCTGGTATCATCCACTGTAAAGAGATAAAGTCAGCTCTTACTACATCAACGCTATATTGGCATCCATTCCATAACCTTGCCTTCTTTATTTTTGTGTCACCTGACATAGCTGAATGAAGCATATTATACGATTTGTGGCATCTTAATCTTTGAGTCTTCAACTATTAATAGCACTTTCCTTCTCTGTGCTGGGTATTCCGCTGCTTTTTTTCCACTGGTGTCTTTTGATATCACGTGTGCCATAGACATGTCAGCCCTTTAGGCAGAAGTTGCCAAAGTCATTTTGCTTTTGACTTTATCCCATTTCAGTCTGGCCTTTGAGTCTTGACTTACCTCCCAGTTTTGACCCATCTGCTATTCTTGGACTTAGCTGCTAATCTGGCTTTCTCCAGCTCTGGCATCCTTAATGGCTGAAACTCATTTGTCTGACTCTTTTTAATCTCAATCACATGGGTGGGATTTCCTCTTGCCCTGTCTTTAGCTCCAAAGACTCTACAACTTGATGATATGGTCAACTTTTGCGGCACAGAGCATCTTGATCCTCCAGTAAGGGCCTTCTGAAATACAATGCGGATTATTCTTCATTTCCCTCTCGAAATTCATTCTTTACCCTTCTCTTACCAGCTCCGTTCTCCAAAAGCCTGGCCTTTTTTGTTTTTCTTTTTTTTCTTAGATGGAGTCTTGCTCTGTCACCCAGGCTGGAATGCATGGCACGATCTCGGCTCACTGCAGCCTCCGCCTCCTGGGTTCAAGTGAATCTTCTGCCACAGCCTCCTGAGTAGCTGAGACTACAGGCATGTGCCACAATGCCTGGTTAATTTTTGTATTTTTAGTAGAGATGGGGTTTCGCCATATTGGCCAAAGCCTGGCCTCTTTATGGACGGTACCACTCAAGCTCCCTTGGCTTCTGGTTTCTATTTGAGTTCAGCAAAGCTAGAGATTAGCAGACAGGAAGTGAGAGTAGGTGGGGTATTTTTATTCTCCCTGTTTCTTCTCAGTTTGGGCAGTGGCCATCTTACTTTACCTATATTCACAGCTATTTTAGTTAGGTGGTCCTTCTCTTATGATTCTGGCTCTCATTGGGTAACACGATCCTCTTTTTGTCTTGAGTCTAGGGGAGGTAAAGGCTTTCTACTATACCTAGTCCTTGCATGTTTCACCATCCCTCATTGGTAGTCTTAATCAGGTCCACACCGTTATAAAATGTTTTATCTTAAAACTTTTTTCCACTAGCCCTTTGATTGTACCATACATTTCTTGCTGGATTTCTGATTAAGATGTGGGCATTGAGAAAAAGACAAAAAGCACAGGTAATTGGAAGTAATAGGTCTTTATGAATGTGACTGCCCTTTAGGAGACAGTGATGTGAAGGTCATAGTATATGTCTCAGAATTATGTGTACCTACACCTCAGACAGATGGAAAAACAGGCACTGTGAGGAGAAGATTGCTCAAGGAATATGGAGACCTAGGATTTCTCTTTGAGGGGATATTATGATATGAACATTATGATGGATACATTTAGATAGTCTTTTACTCTTCTGCTAAGTTAGTTCTTTATAGAACAAGCACAGTAACAGGCAATAGAGTAGGCATAGGAAAAGTTAGAGCAGAAGTTGGAGCATCATGAATGGATTTCCATCAGACAGTCCACCCAGAAGGACTTGAACTGTTCTCGTCCTTTGGGGGTAATGAGTATCTACCATACTGAAGCCAACTTAATAATTAAATTTAAAACTATATAACTTTGGGGATTGGCTCTCCTCTTTGCTGAGGCAGAAAAAAGAGCAATGGACAAAGCTCTAACACCTGGAATAGTGAATAGGTAAGAGTGTTTTAGCTGGATAGTGTGTTGAGAGAAGAACAGAGCCATTTCTGGCAGTCCTGTAGACTTGAGTGGTTCCATGCTTATTATGCTGAGCAGGAAGAAGTGGCCATGGGCATGCACCTGTTGAAGAGTAATGACAAAGGATTCTGAGATTTCCTGCAGAGCTGTGAGTCCTTAGGAGCGGGACCAGTAAGAAGCTAGATAATCCTAATGCATACTCATTTTCTAATGAAGCTTCCTTAGTGATATGGCAATGGTGCCAAATTCAAAGTTTAATTCAACCAATACACAAGTGACCAAAGTATTGCCTTAAATCACTGAGTTACAACTCTAACATATATCCGTATTTTTAAAGCCCATCAAATTGTAGGAAATTTGGGATATTCAATCACAGTGTGTAGCCTCTGGTATGTTTTTGGTCAAAAACACTGAACTATACAGCCAGAATTAAGTGGAAAGTTTAGAGATTATCCAGTAAATTCTTTTGTGGCAACAGCCAAAAGGGATTATTTTGGTCTCTGGTTGATTTTTTTTTTGGCTTATTTGGCCAATTTTAATTGGCTGTCTATGGCAGACCAAAGTTAACAGAAGACTGTGGGCTTCCAGACAAGGGACGATCATTAGCAGAATGAAATTGAGTCATATCCTGGGAAATCACAAAATCCTTTGTGTTTTAGCTGGGATTAAAAAGGAAAAGTGAAGGACAATATATCTGTAACTTATTTTTGGCACTAAGAAGTTAAATACTGAGAGAAAATCAGATGATGTTAAAAATAGGAGTTACATGTTTTAAAATTTTAGGTCATAGAGAAAAATTATTAACAATAAATATTTATCTTTTGAGCTATGCCTATTGAAATAGTTGATATATAGACCCAATTCAGCAGATTTCTGCTCTGTTTTTTGGGCAGAGGTGATTTCAGACAAGCCTCCAATCTCTGCCCTCTCTGTTTCTCCAGTTCTATCCTACTTAGTAAAGAACCACACAACCTGCACTCATGGTGAACAAAGCTATTATTTAATGGAATCTTTCCACTGTGAAACCAAATTATTTTAATTGGCTTAAAATAATAATAAATACTGAAAGCCAAGTACGCGACCTCTGGCCCTGCTGGCGTTTAAGATATCATACTCATCATACTTTCTGGTGAGAGTCTCAGGCCCGTCTCTGAAGAAGGGCCAAATGTAAATAAATTCATCATGTTTAGATCAGGGTTTTGCCAATGTATATTATGTCTCATATAAGCCCTTATTATATAACTTCCTTCTTTGGGTTTTACAGAGTTCTTGTTTGTTGACATTCAGGGTGTGTCTAGAAAGTGTATTTTTGATTCATCCTACTCACCTAGGCAGCGTGCCCTGGACATTAGGGGTTCTGGTTTATACTTCATGGTTTATTTTTTGTGGCTATATATTTCTTACATTTTGTTCATGTGCCCTTGGACTTCTCAGGAAAAGCTTAACAGCTCATTTTTATAAATCAATAAATAAGTAACTAATACATCATGGATCAAAGTCCACAATAGCAGCACTGTAGAGAGATTTATATTGTCCTAGGCACTTATGCACTTATAATGATGATATCCTTGGACCCAAGGCCTAACACATTTTTCATTAGAACTATTAGATTCCATACAAGATCAACAATGACAAACACTCTAGTGAAAATGATGAAAATTTAACAGGCTTCTTTTACAGACTTCAGAGTTTAGTGTTCTCATGTCCTCCTCTGTGGCCTGACTTCTTTCTATATTTCAGAATTCTCTTGTTTGATTTCCAAAAGCTACTCTGTTAATACCTCTTAAATTTAGAGGCATAATTGAAGAAGAATGAAACTTGGAGTTCCCAAATCTTTAACGACCCTCCCAGGAGCCAGGTTAGAAACTCTACCCAGGAGTAAGTATGCCTATCACTCTACATGCTCCAGGTTAAACTTTAGAACCTGTAGTTCAAGAGACGATTTTACCTCTTGTAAAATCTACCAAGTGTTCTTCGGGAAGAGAAGAGGGAGGTTTAGAGGGGCACTGCTTAGGAGTTGTAATGTGGAACATACCCTTTGCATCTGTGGATATTCATCTGCCCTGTTTAGCACTCTCTCAGCTCCTGACATAGTGCCTGGCACATGGGAGAACTCACACATTATTTGTCAAATTCATGAATGAATAAATGCAAATGTTGAAAGCAGGTAGAAAAACCAATAATTTAGTAGGTAGTATTAAATTTCTAACTTATACACATATTACCTATATTTCAAAGCAAAACAAAGGAACATTTGTTGAACAAAGAAAAATAAAGGCCTGACGCAGTGGCTCACGCCTGTAATCCCAGCACTTTGGGAGGCCGAGGTGGGTGGATCACCAGAGGTCAGGAGTTCGAGACTAGCCTGGCCAACATGGTGAAACCTTGTCTCTACTAAAAAATACAAAAATTAGCCTGGCGTAGTGGCATGAACCTATAATCCCAGCTACTTGGGAGACTGAGGCAGGAGAATCACTTGAATCCTGAAGGCGGAGGTTGCTGTGAGCTGAGATTGTGTCATTGCACTCCACCCCAGGTGACAAGAGTGAAACTCCATCTCAAAAAAAAAAAAAAAAAAGAAAGTACAAAGAAACAGGAAAAATGCAGGAGAGGCATACGGTGAACAGAGAGAAGAAACAAGATTACAACACTTTATTCTGATAATGTGACTGAATGTTATGGTATGCCAATGTGCTTAGTGTTCTTGTAAATAGTTTCGTTTTGACATTTTATGATCAGTAGAACTGGGCAGACATAAGCAAAATTATGGTCATTGAAATTTGTCCCAAAATCACCTTTAGAAACTTCCCTTTCATTGTTTCATTTCCTGAAAATAATAATAATATCAACAGCAATAAATATAACTCACAATTTTGAAGCCTTACTCTGAAGCCATACTATGAGCCTAAGGATGCTGTTTATATAACTGCCCTGAATTCTCATGACAACCCTATGAAGTAGGTGCCATTATTCCTCCCATTCGACAGATGAGATGAGGAGGCTTAAAGAAGTCAAGTTTCTTTGCCCAAGATCACACAGCATGCATGTGGCAGATTTGGACCCAGGTGGTCTTCACTCATACCCTCTGCTGGGTGCCCAGTGTCCTTAAAGCATCCTCTTGGTGCCTACAGCCCAACCCCCACTATAGTGCTTCCTCTGGCTCTGAAGCTTCAGGAGTCCTCTAGCATACCTGGATGGGTTCTACCTACTGAATATTTGTGTCCCCTTCCCCTGAGTTCATATGTTGAAATGCTGATTTCCAATGTGATGATATTTGAAGGTGCGGCCTTTGGGAGGTGATTAGGTCATAAGGATGAAGCCCTCATGCATAGGATTAGTGACCTTATAAAGGAAACTCTAGAGAGCTCTACTTATCCCTTCTATGTCAATACACAGAGGGAAGACTGCCATTTCTGAACCAGGAAATGGGCCCTCAACAGATGCTGAATCTGGTGGTACTTTGATCTTGGGGGTCCCAGCCCCCAGAACTGTGAGAAATAAACTTCTGTTGTTTATAACATTTAAGCTATGGTATTCTGTTATAGCAGCCCAAAAGAACAAAGATTAAGGAATTTTCTAATCTCCTGCCCTTTGAAACTTGTCTGTTTTATGTAATTTGGAGCCTACTGTGAGGAATAAATTATTGCTAATGGGTTAAAAGCTGAGAATGAGTTAATCTGTAATTATTCCAAGGAAATTCATTTATGTATTTAACAGAGGCTCCCTGAAGAGTGTGCTTTGCCCAAAGGAAGGACTACACTATTGAGAAGTTCTGACAGTTGGCATATCTCTGAAGAAGGGCACCAATTTGGTCAGGCTGTCTTTTTGGTGCCCTTGACTTCATGGTAAAAAAGCAGATGCCTTTTTGGCTTATGCTCTGGGAAGATGTGACAAGGGAGAGAATGTTGCATGTTCCTTCATTATTTACAAGTAATTCTAGTCATGCTCGTTCGTATGTATGTACTCATTTCACCTTTTGGTTATGAGGGAGAGCACCTAGGAAAGTTTTGGCTTGTATCCCCTGGGGTTTCTCAGGAAAATGGGTAGTTTGAAGGAAAAAAGACTGCTTGCTCATTTTGATTGACATTTGTGCTGATGCAGCAAGCAAACAAGCTTCTCAGTGGGTGAGTGTGTTCCGAATCAATGTCAAAATTCTTCCTTATAGTATTGCCTGTTGTAGTATACGTGTGTGGATGGAGGAAGAGAGATAGGAAAAGAAAAAAAAAGAAAAAGGATTTTTTTAAAACCCTGAATTTATTTAATTTGCAACTGAGTTTACATCCGTGCTTTTCTTTAAGGCATACCATAAATAAAAATTTCAATCTTGAATTAATTGATTTTGACTCTAACTCTATATATAGTCCAATAGTCATGTTGGAAAACTCAGAATAAAGCACAAATGGTAGAAAGAACAGTGATCTTTGAGTCAGAGGTCTGGGTTTTTGGATTCATCCTGCTGTATCCTAGCTTTGAGCACTTGGGCATTAATATGGTTTGCCTCTGTGTCTCCATCCAAATCTCATCTTGAATTGTAACCCGCAGGTGTTGAGGGAGAGACCTGGTGGGAAGTGATTGGATCATGGGGGCAGTTCCCTGCATGCTGTTCTTATGATAGTGAGTGAGTTCTCATGAGACCTGATGGTTTTATAAGTGTTTGGTAGTTCCTTTCTTGCTTATTCTTTCCTTGCCTGCCACCATGTAAGAAGTGACGGTTTCTCCTTCCTCCATGATTGTAAATTTCCTAAGGCCTCCCCAGCCAAGCAGAACTGAGTCAATTAAACTTCTTTCATTTATAAATTGTCCAGTCTCTGGTAGTATCTTTATAGTAGTATGTAAGTGGACTAATACAGGTGAGCTAACTCATCTCTCTGATACCTGATATCTGAAACCCTCTAAGTTTAGACATCCTTTAATTCTATAATTAATGATGTAAATCTTTGCCATTCATAATCCTGTACTTCAAGGATCTCGCCAGTGGTCTTAGGTTAGATTCCACAGTTGCAGATTACAAGACAAAGATTTTAAAAGGAACTAATTTTTTAAAGGCAAGTGATTTTTAAAGGAAGTGTCACAGGGAAGTTCAGGGAATGAATGGGAAGCAGGACAGGAAGTAGGAAGCCAAACAAAGATCCATCTCAAGGTTCTGCTGAACATTTCATCAGCCTTATCCACAGGGGGGCTCTGGAGTGCAAGTTGTGCCACAGAGTTGTCATGACACATCCAGGGGAGCTGGGTTTCCTACCCCTGCACTCCTTGAAGGCCATTTTGTCTCCTCTGCTCTCTCTCTCTCAATCACTTGAATTTTGGGTTTCTCCCAAGCATGCATGCGAAGAGACTCTAGTAGCCTGAGCAGTTCTTCTAAAAAGAGTAGGTGCTGGTTATTGGAAGTGAAGTATTACCAACGGAGAATGGCACACAAAAATGGAGAATGATTTGAGGAGATCTGGGCGGAACACTATTTTACTCTATGCTACTGTACACTGTGAGAAGACTCATGACATGACTAACTGACTGTCAACATTAAATATACAGGGAGAGAAAGATGGTAAACAAGGCTTAGAAAGAAACCACTTGAGGCTAAATACCATTGTCAGACCAAATCACTTCTTATCCTCAGGTCTGATTGCTTGCAGAGCTACAGGACATAACAAAGGGCACCAACAGTATCTGCTACTATGTGGAACTCAGATTCCCTCTTAGTTCTGTATGTTTAACATTTTTCACATTACTTATAAAGCAGAGATAACATTAGGGTAAAAGTTACCTGCTCTTTCTGTATGGAGTCCAGAATCTTATAAATGAGAATATGGTAAAAGGTAAATTGCACGAAGGGTAAAAACAAACTAACAAAAAGATCACGAAGGGAATCTACAAATATCCAAATATTCTTAAAAGCAAAGACATTTATGTTCAATTTTCAGGTTATGGTTTTATCCCTCCTCAGGCATACTTATTTTTTTAATGAGCTACTTAATTTTCTTGCAAGACACCTACATACTTAAAATGTTTCCCTTATGAATCAATTTTTTATTTGACAGAAGTGAAGATACTTGTGCCCATAAAAAATGCCATGTGTTTTTGAAGTGTTAGAAAAAACAGCTCTTTGGCACTAAACAAAGCTGAGGCAGGAACGCAGGACAGCAGCTGCAGAATGACAGAAAAAAATGTAAGATAATGAGCCATGTGAGAGAATGTATAATTTAATGTGGGGCCTCGAAGCAAAGGGAGGGAGGAGGACCGTAAATGAGAAAACAGTTAAAAATAGTGACTAAAATGACTTTAAATCCGATAAAACAGAAAATGAATCAATTAGTGCTTAAGCGTTGGAGGAGGCATGATGTTGTGAGAGAATCTGGAAAAGGCTGACAGATTTTTAGTCTATGAATTTAAATTCATAGGACCAACAATTTCTCTGCCTAGAGAGATTTACATGCTGTTTTTTCTTCTCATACTAGTTTACAAAATGACTTCCTTTCTATTCCACTTTCTGAGATGTGAGGCAATCTGTTAGAAAAGCCTCAGTTTTCAGTTTTCTGAAAACATTCCCCAAGATGTATGGCAAAATGTGTTTAAGTTTTAGAAAATTCCCGTAACTCCTGCTAAACTGTGGCTCTCTCTGCATATGGATATTAGAGGTGCTTTTTAGGAGTTGACTGAGTTGGCTCTTTGTGGCAGGTTGATGGAATTCTGGAAAATAGCATGTGGCCCTCTCTGATGCCTTTTTACTTCTTCCTGGCATTTAATTATATTATCCACTTCCCTGTGTATTCGATCCTCTAACAATAACATCCAGAGTCTTCCTGGTGAGTGCTTATTCCGTGGGAAGTTATGGAAAGCTTTTAAAAACTTGAAAGCTTTGAAGAACAGCTTGGCTAGCTGTCTTCCTGGAATGGTTTAACTGATGCTTGCCTTGATGGAAGAGGCCTAGACAACTTCTAGTAACCCTTCCCATTTCTAGGAAAAGAGTGTGTTGTCCATAACAAATACTTACTCACTGCTGTTGGAATATATGAAGGGATAAAACAGTATGAAAATGAGGTTCAGGGGTTAGGCCCCAGAAAATGACATTTTCACCTTAGAATTTGGGGACCATAAGAAACCTTTTATTTTGAACTAAAAATTCATTCTAACAAATATTTTTTCTTACTTGTAAGTTTCTACATTTTCATAATTCTAGCCCTGAATCCATCTTATAATAGATGTGTACTTCTAATGAGTTAACTTTCCAGTTTTTTTCCCCAATTTTCCCCTAAATTGATGGTATTTATAACAATCAACTTAGCCCTGAGGAAGCATGAGAGATAACATGTTTCTAAGAACTCAGAAATTGTTCCAACCTTATCTCGTTTATTGCAAGAATATATTTTGTAGAGAAATATGTATCCGAATTTTGTGACCAGCTTTGGTTTTCAATCCTTAGCTATTTATATTGAAGTAGTATTTCTAAAATAAGGTTTATGAACCCACTGCCTTGGAATCACCTTGAATGCTTCTTAAAATTCAGTTCCTTGGACTTCTTAAAATTCAGATTCCTGGACTCCAAAACAAACCAATCAAATAGAATTAGAGGGCTTGAGCCTTGAAATCTGCATTTTCCCCAGCTCCCGTGGTAATTCTTCTGAATGTGAAAAGTTGGGAGCTACTGGCCTGAGTGCAGAGTGAACCCCAGGCAAAATTGTGCAGTAGTCTTCAGTGAGGTTTGACTGCTTTTGTGTGTTCCTGCATTGCCTTCTGCCCCTCTGCTTGTTATTTCCATCCTTCAACATGCAATTCTGTAATGCATCAATGACTTGATTTGCTGCCCATCCTGATTTGTGTATTTTAAAAAACAGGACTTCTGAGGACAGCCTAAATGACTGCCTCTGTAATGACTGCCTCTGTAATGGTGGACTTTTAGCCACTGTGACAACGGAGTTTTTTGGGGCCAGAGAAACTTCCCAGCAACCATCACATCACTAGCGGAACTCACAAATGAATTTACCTACTCTCCAAGTGGCTTTTCTTAAGCCACTTTGTGTAAAGTCCCCGGAAGCAGGCACCTGGATAAGGGTGAGGGAACACTACAACAGCAATCTTTTAACTCCCACTGTCTCTTTAAAAGTTTTGAATTAGGGAAAATTCTTTCCCTCCACCAGAGGAAAACTTGCACAGTTCCATGACTTATTTGGTCCTTAAAGTGAAAAAAAAAAAAAAATACAGTCTCAATGGAGACATTTACTGTGTCTAGTTTCAGGTAATAATCAAAACTTAGAAGTTGATTTAAAACTAAATCTTCCTTTCTACCCAGCTAGGCCTTGCTTTGGGCTGTCTCCTTGGAGTGGCCTTTCTCTTCTTTTTTCCCATCTGGCATTTCTCTTTCTTTCCTAGCATGATAACTGTTATTTCTTATCCTGCCAGGCTTGGGCCAAGGGGATATTGGAGAATTCAGAGGGATAGGAAGGTTCTTACTTGACTGGTAGGGTTCTGAGATGGTTGGGCATTCTGAACCTGGAATGCTTCACCTAGTTCTTCTGAAACTGCCACTGGGTACCTTTGACTGCATGCCTTGTGATATGGGTGATGCATTTTTCTCAAGTTGTCTGTTCCCTCCTTAGTCCATGATTTTCTCCCCTCTCTCCTTCTTTTGCTAACTCTCTTTTCCCTCCTTTCTTCTTCTCTTTCTTTTTAGAATCTTTTTTCCTTGTTGGATCACTCCACCCAGACTGGCTTACCATGAGACAGTCCTCTTGAGAAGTATTTTATATGGCTTAAAAATCAGTTTTCTCTCTTATTTGTGTCAATGTGCATGCCTCTTTTACCTCAACAAGTTCTGGGGATGTAGGCAGATTCCAGTACAGCTGCAGCCTCTCCTTTGCCTTGGACTAGCCAGCTAGCTGTTTCAGTTACCTATTGCTGTGTAACCAACAACTCACACAGTGGCTTCAAGTAATAGTGACTTATCATGTCTTAGAGTTCTTTGGGTAGGCTGGTTGGGTTTTCTACCAGTTTTTCCTGGGCTTACTCATGAGCTGGATTCAGCTGGAGGGTTGACTGGGCTGAACCCTCTCAGTTTATACATCTAAAGTTAATGCTGGCCATTGACTGGGGTGCCTCTCCTTGCCCTCTATCCCCACCCCACCCTGTGTTTTTCATCCTCTGGCAGGTGAGATTGATTTCCTAAATGGTGGTCTTGATGCACTGCCCAAGAACCAGCAGTGGAAATTGCAAGGCTTCTTAAGGCCCACACTTTTAAGTCACATTACATCACTGTTAGCAAATTTTTTGGTCAGGACAAGTCTAAAGACCAGCCCAGATTCAAGGGCTGAGGAAGTAGACTTCATGTCTTGATGGAAGAAGTAACAAAATCACAATGCAAAAGAGCTTGAATATATGATGAAAGGAATTTGTGGTCATATTTTGTAATCCACTACACCAGCTTTTTAGTTTTCCAGATATATGCCAAACACTAGTTCAATGGGTCCCTGTAACTGCAGAAGACATGTGTGGAGCTCTCTGAGTGATTCTGTGGAATAAACTCCCTTACGCTGGGCTTGAGGGCAGGCAAGATGAAGGGTAGAAGGGCACACAGAGCTGCTCATTCAAAAGAAATACTCTGCAAACATCCTTCTAATTTCTAATGTCCCCATCCTTTCACACCATCATTGTGGGTGAGGTGTTTAAGAGTTAAGTAACACGATTGCAGATGACTCTTTTGTAAGCTCTTTACCTCCTTTAAAATGCAATATTTATTGTCTTCGGTGTCTTAGCCATAAATTTATTTTAGCATTTTCTTATACTTGAAAAGGATTTCCAGTGGGAACATCTCTAACTTCTGAGCAAACAATAACTACTAGTGCAGCTTTGTTGTCATATGGGTCAAAGTCTGACTCTCATATTTGCTGATTACTTCTTCCCACTGAGCCTTAAATGATCATGTCTGCAATGGGACTAATGAAACATACATCATATAAGGCTGTTTTGACAATCCCATTTCTTTCTTTTTTTTTTTTTTTTTTGACAGAGTCTCACTCTCTCCCTCTATTGCCCAGGCTGGAGTGCAGTGGCGTGATCTTGGCTCACTGCAACCTCTGCCTCCCGGTTTCAAGCAATTGTCCTGCCTCAGCCTCCTGAGTAGCTGGGACTACAGGCACGTGCCACCATTTCCTGCTAATTTTTGTATTTTTAGTAGAGATGGGTTTTCTCCATGTTGGCCAGGCTGGTCTTGAACTCCTGACCTCATGATCCACCCACCTTGGCCTCCCAAAATGCTGGGATTACAGGCATGAACCACCGTGCCCAGCCTCATTTCTCTTTTCCTGTGAATTATCTACTGTGCCTACATGACCCACTTCTTGCTAATTACATGTAAGATGAAGTTTGTTTGGGGTTTCCACAAAAGGCTTGAAAGAAGATGGCTCTTTCCTTTGACCCTCTTTCTTTGTTTTCCTAGTTTAGATGCTACTACGTAAGGACATGATATCTAGAGCTCAGACAGTCATCTCTTGACTAAGAGGTGACAAGTCTAAGGGCCAAAGGCCAATTCATGGAGAAGAGTGGAAATGTGGGATTGGAAGAAGATCCTGGCTGAGCCACTGAACTAATCTGGAAATGCCACTCCTAGGATTCTTATTATGTGAGAGAGAAAAATGTTTTTATTATTTTGTTACTGATGGTGGAGTATTTTACCTGCAACTTAAAGCATCTTCATTGATATAGTGGCTACTGTTATGGTAGGGAATAAATTAGTACTCAACTTTTTCAGATGAATTAAAAAAATAAGTAAAATGAGACTGTGAGAGTTAAATATGTTAAATGAGGCTTGCTATTAATTAGTAGAAGATAGATGCCTGACCTCTAACTCCAAAAAACATTTCTAATCAGCTTTTAAAAATGAGCACCTACTAATGAAGTCCCTAGAAAGCACCTTCTTCCATGCCCTATGTTCTTGATGTCTGTCCCTTTCTATTTTTACTTTTTTTCTAGCAAGTTGTCTGTATAAGATTTTGTAGCCTGGAAATAAATATTTGTAATATGTAAATATATGTGTGGTTTTTTTTTCCCCAGGCTGAGTGCAGTGCGTGATCATAGCTCACTGTAACCTTGAACTCCTGGGCCCAAGCAATCCTCCCACCTCAGCTTCCCAAGTAGTGTGACTACAGGGGCATGCCATGACACTTAATTATTATTATTATTATTATTTGTAGAGATGGGGTCTTGCTATCTTGCTGTGTTGCTAGTGCTAGTCTTGAAATTCTGGCCTCAAATGATGCTCCTACCTCGGCCTCACAAAGTGTTGGGATTACAGGCATGAGTCACTGTGCCTAGCCAAATATTTTTTACTTAACCAAAAATTGAGATATATGTTCTGAGAAAGTGATCTTGGAAAAGTTGCTTAAATTATCTGTGCCTCAGTTTTCTCAGATAATTATAAAATAGGGATAATAATAGCACCTACTTTATTTCTTGTTATGAGGATCAAATAAGGTATGGGCATTTAGAACAGTGGCTGATACATGGCAACTTCTCAGTGAACTTCAGCAAACATTATTATGGGAGAAATGAAACAGGCCATTCAGGTTCAGTTCAGCCAAGGAAAACTTAATTCTTTCGATTTCACTGTGATTTTTTTAGCTGTTATTTTTATGTTGGAATTAATCTTTAAAAATTATTTGTCCTCTTTCCTTATTTGGAAAGATTTTACAAGATATTATTTTTTATTGTCTATCCTAGAAAGAGAAACTTATGATGTTTAGAGATAGAAAGAATATTGTTTGGAAAATAATAATCTAAATGTTACCTACTTTTCCTGCAGTATGGGACAGAGCCATATAGAAACTGAATTTGTCTACTCGTTTTCCAGGGTATATTTAAATATGGGAGCCAAATTTCTGGTGGATGAACTAGAGAAGTTGCTGATATCCAAGACTCTTCATTTTAACATGAGTTGGCCTCTCCCAAGGAGTAGTGATAAATTCTACCTAGTTATAGGTATGGCATATCCACCCTAAGTTTGACTGGCATCTTATGGACATGTGCTCTCAAGCGAGAGTCATAGGTATGGAAAGATACCTTGGTGTAGCACATTTAGCGTATTAGTCAGGATTCTCTAGAGGGACAGAACTAATAGGATCGATGTATATATAAAGGGCAGTTTATTAAGGAGTGTTGATTCACATGATCACAAGGTGAGGTCCCACAATAGGCAGTCTGCAAGGTGAGGAGCAAAGAAGCCAGTCTAGGTCCCAAAGCTAAAGAACTTGGAGTCCGAAGTTCAAGGGCAGGAAGCATCCAGCACGGGAGAAAGATGTAGGCTGGAAGGCTAAGCCAGTCTAGTCTTTTCACATTCTTCTGCTTGTTTTATTCTGGCCACACTGGCAGCTGATTACATTGTGCCCACCCAGACTGAGAGTGTGTCTGCCTCTCCCAGCCCACTGACTCAAATGTTAATCTCCTTTGGCAACACCCTCACAGACACACCCAGGAACAATAATTTGCATCCTTCAGTCCCCTCAATATTAACCATCACATTTAGTAAATATTCTTTTCACTTTTTCCTTTGGCAGAAGCCTGGCTGGGGGATGAGTAGGTACCTTAAGACCAGGACTGGGCAGAATCCCTCCCTGAAGCAGTAAGAGACACTAGAGCAAGCTGCCTAAGTAATAACCTGTGAAAAAGGCCAATGCCCAAATGCCAGGGAAGAATTGCTGACCAATCTGTCCTGAAATGGGCTCATTTGGCATTTTCTATAGTAAGCTATAGATATGAAGCTTGTTCCCGAGGCCCGCAGCACTGGGCAAACTGGGGCCTAGTCTATCTGAAATTATCTGGAGGCTCCATCCAAGACTGTATTATCTGCTGAGACAGACAATGGAAGCCTCGGAAAGTCCCAGACAGATGGCCACGGGAAGACAGGTCTCAGAACGGATCCTCAGAGACATGTAGAATCAAGAACACTGACAGCATACTCGAGTGACTTGGTGAAGCTGGGGACAGGAGACAGGAGGAAAGCTGTCTGACACTCCTGAAAATCTTAAGGAGCTACAATGAGATGAATTTAGTGGGTACAGGGAGGGAGAGTTTCTTTTGTGGTCCAAGAGACAGGGCTGTAAAAATATAGCATCTCTAGAAATTTGAAAGTATTCCTGTCAGAATCTGATGTTTGGTTGAGGTGGCCAGACTACAGACAGTAGTTAAATGGCCACTGGATCCTTCTCCTCTGTTTTATCTCATAAACCTACTCCCTGCTGGGTCCTTCAGCTTAGTGTCCCAGTGAGTCAGCCCCAGATGTTCACTCTATTAGCTGGTTGCTGGCTTGTCTCTACTCTTCTGGCATGATTCTCAGTTGAGGTGCAAACCTTATGGTATGTATTCCAATGCCAGAAGCCTCTTGATGAGTTACTCCGTCAGGCAGTTTCTTGGACAATAGCCAGTGACTGGGCTTTCATACTTTCCTCATCTCTGGACTACAATATCGGGAGGCAGCCTGATATGTGGGAAAACAAGGTGGCCTAGTGAAAATAACATAGGCATTGCATCCACAGACAGGTCCTTCTGCCAATTACTGTATGATTTGAGACAAGTCTCTTTCCTCTGCTGGGCCAACTTCCCATGGCTGTCAAGTAAAGTTATGCTGACCTACTGTATTAGTCCATTTTCATGCTGCTTATAAAGACATACTCAAGACTGGGAAGAAAAAGAGGTTTAATTGGACCTACAGTTTCACATGGCTGGGGAAGCCTCAGTATCATGGTGGGAAGTGAAAGGCACTTATTACCTGGTGGTGACAAGAGAAAATGAGGAAG
Organism: Homo sapiens; assembly: GCF_000001405.40. NCBI lineage: Eukaryota > Metazoa > Chordata > Mammalia > Primates > Hominidae > Homo > Homo sapiens. The sequence goes on along the minus strand of NC_000005.10, from coordinate 53,342,945 downwards.
ATGAAAAAGCAGAAATCCCTGATAAAACCATCAGATCTCATGAGACTTATTCACTATCAGGAGAACAGTATGGGGGAACTGCCCCCATGATTCAAATTATCTCCCACCAGGTCCCTCCCACAATACGTGAGAATTATGGGAGTACAATTCAAAATGAGATTTGGGTGGGGACATAGAGCCAAACCATATCACTGGGCAAGATTGTAACAAGGATTATATGCAAAATTAAACAAGATAATGTCTATGAATCCTGCCCTAAGATGTGTCCATACTGGCCTTTCTAACATGTCAGTCAAGTGGTTGAGATTGGTTCCCCAAAGGCTGGTGGAGGACAGAATTCCCCTGAAAGGAAATTTGTAATTTTTGGAGCAAGAAGCCAAGCCAAGCCCAGCCCATTAGGGAAAATCTTTATCCCTATGCAAACCCAGGGGCCAGAGAGGGGTGTTTGGGAACTAGTGTGGATGAGGTTCCAGAAAGATGGCTGCAAACAACCTCAGGGCATCTACAGCCTGCCTCTGTCTGTCACTGGGTCCTGGATGTGTGGGTGTGTCTGCCTGGTGTAGAAAGCTAGAGGCAAGGCAGATGTAGATTTGCCAAGTGTGTACAGGATGCTCTAAGCAGAAAATCAACAAACTTTCTTTTGGACCTGATATCAAATGTTGGAAAATCCTTTTTCTCTCTGTTGTTGGGGTAGGGAAGAAGCTATATATCTTGCAGAAGGGCACATTACTGGAAGGTAGGAGTATGTTCTGAGAGTCAAGGAGGTTAAATAGGCTTTATCTTCAGGTGGAGCAGAGTTGGTCCTTGGATAGTAGGGAAGTATGCCAACCTGCAAAGAACTTGACCCAGGGGCTTTGGGTGGAGGCTTGGGTGTCAAAGATTAATAGGAATCTATGTAAGATTGAGATACCTGCAAATGGATTGTGAGATAGAGATAATGTGTAGACAGGAGATTTATTAGGAGTGTTCTCAGGAACATTATCTGTAAAGGAATAGAGGAAGCAGGATTGGGAAGAGGAAGGAGATGAATTGCAGTACAGTAGCAACAAAGGCCTCAGTCAATCCAACTAGTGCTGTGCAGCTGGAAGTGCCCTTCAAGAAAGGAGACCCTGCTTTGAGCAGCCATTGGACACAAGCTGTCTGAGAAGGGGGTATAAACTTGAGTGAGGCAGCTTTCTTTGGCTGAGTTCAATTCTGAAAGAAGGGCACAGCTCTCAGCCATTCACAGCCAGCATTCCCTATAGTTAGAAGAATAAGTTGTTCTTGAGGTGGAGATCTGGTTGGTCCATCACAGCATCCACTACAAAACCTAACTCTTGCCCCCTGTTAACCAGTATGTCCCAATATGAGGGCTGCATAACTACTCTTAGCCCAGCCTGTCTTAAGGCATGAAAATTATTGTGCAACTGTTGACAAAAAATGCTCACAATATTTTTTGTGTGCAAGTTTTTGAGTACTTGACCTGTCTGTCAGTAACTAGAGTCTCTTACTGTTTCAGGTAGAGATTCTGCTCCAGCCCTAGTTCCCAGGCACCCTACCCCTCTCCGATCAAAAGGAAAAGCAAGAACTCTACAATAGGTGTGCCGCACCAAGAGTTGTTTCCACACCCATAGCTTTCACGTAGAGGCACATGTCCATAGATCTTAGTCAAAAAGAGTGGAGATATTCAACACTGCCCTCCCTATAATTAGAGAAAATGTATCACTACTTCTTGGTGGATCCCATGTCTTATTAAAGTGAAAATCTTTGACCCTTTATGTAATCTTAAACCACATTTGCAAGATGATCAAAATTTTATTGCATCATCTTATAAGTTGTATATGAAAAGCCTCAGCTCAAATTATTTCCCTCTCTTCCAACTGTCACAATAATAATCAGTCAATGAAAACATGTAAGACAATAGGCTTCTAAGGCTGGTGTTAATGGTGATTTTGATTTTAGGACCTGAGATATAAACACATAATGAATGACTACTATATTAACTACTTTCCATGTATTCTTTTTCTTTTAATCCAGGCATCATCTCTATCAGTTGACACAATGATACCCCAATTTCACACATGATGATACTGAGATGTAGAGATGAGGTGGTTTGCCCAAATGCATGCAGCTGGTAAGTGGCAGAGCTGTGGCTGGAAACCAGGTAGAACTTACCTTCTACAGTACCCTGATGACCACCAACCAATCCCTATTTTGCGTGGTGCTAAAAAGCAGTACATGAGTAAATATCCTGAGATCTAGAAAATAGAATGTTATTAAACTTAAAAATAAGGAAATAAACTAAAGTTTTTTGTTAAAGTGTGTAGCATTAGTATTCAAAGATCATTTAGACATCAGCCACTGCATTTCCAGCAGAATTTGCTATCATGGGTAACTGTTTTCAATGCTGACACTCCATCTGAGACAGATCAGACAGAGCCCTAAAAGTAATAACCTTTAAATTGAGAATGTTTACTCTAAAAGTTCCTAACACAACCCAAAGCCAGAAAAGTTCACAGCTCTACATTAAAATGTTAGAAAAAGATCACATTGCAGCAGCTGCTTATGTGGATTACCTAGTCTAGCCATTCTGCTAAGGCTTAAAAAAACCTGTCTGAGTTGTAGGAAGAAAAAAAAGAAAACAAGCCTCAAATTATCAAGTTGGTGCTTGTTGATAGAGCTGTGATTTCCCATTTGTTGCCCCAGAAGACCCAGGTGTATCTGAAAGTCAAGATTTTTTTTCAAACTCCGAGGCTGAGGAAGGATTTCTTTAGTGTACTTTCCACCAATGCCCTGTAGCTTCCCTTGAAATTCATGGAATGCTTTGCAGCTGAACCAAAGCACATTAAGAAATCTGTGTCTTCTCATAGCCATTTTATACAACTTCTCTCAATACTTTACAAAGAAATAAAACCAATGTACTCTGCCTTTAACCTTTGTCTTACTATGTAAAGACTAGTGACACTATTAAGTGTGTCCACGTGTGTATGTACACTTGCTCTTGAGTCTTTTGAAATTTAATGTACTTTAATGTTGATTAAGGTTTTGATCCTTAAAACTCCAAGTGTGGATCTCTAAGGCATGATATAATCTCAATTTTACACAGCTTTGGACAAGGAAGAAGCTCTCACAAAGAAATTAGAAACTTTAGTGGGGCTTTCAGCTATCAAATTGGATACCTCTTCCTGGGCTCCTAATGTTCCTTTTTTCTCCATAGTGCTACTTTCAATAGCAACTGTTTCTTGCCTTTCCTCATTTTTGTGGTTATTTTTTGGGTTAATCATAGTAAGAAAAGAGATGAAAGTAGATCCTACAATAGAATATTTCTTTGTGTGGGTGATATTAAAGAGCTGATTTCTGATACCACAAATTTAGTTCCAATATAATCATCTAGACTCAGAGATGAAAACAATACTCTTTTCTGGGTCAGAGGTTTGTTGAGAGGGGAGAGAGTGTTAGAGAGTGAGGGTTCTGGCTCACGCTACAAGTTTTTTACCACAAGGAACAAAATTGTCTATCTAGTTTAAGGATGTTTATGAAAAGTCATGAATTACCTGTAAAGTATCTGTGAACCTGAAAGAGAGAGATCGTGTTTCTCATCTCCTTGCTTGTAATTCAGAGTATTCAGTCGTCTGTTGTGAAATGTTTTCTGAACTTGAAATCTCAGGATTCCTCATGCATAGAAAGAAGTGGCATAAAAATATACACACCTGATGTCACTTTAAGAATGGCCAGTGACATTTATGGTGTTGTTCTTGGAAGATAAACAAACTAAAAAGAATCAGCTTGGAAGATCTCTTGGTTTACTCTTTGCATAGCTTATTGGTCAAGATTTTGTTTGGCTGCATGTCATCTACACTTGAACTACAGTGGCTAACCAAACAGGTTGAATTTTCAGCCTTAGCCGGGAGTATGGAGGTAAGGATCCAGTGTCACTATTCAATAACATCATCAAAGAACCAGGACCCTTCTTTTATCTTGTTCTGTCATCTTTAATATATGGCTTTCATTCTCATGGGTTTAAGCTCTACTTCTAGGCATCATGTCCAAATTTCAGGCGAAGGACAAAAAGCAATAAACAAAAGGCACATATTAGATTACTCTGTCTCTTTTTAGTAATGATAATAATAATTTAAAAGCTTTCTAGAATCTTACCTGAGAGGGTTGCTTTTATACTTCTTTGGCCATAACTTGGTCACATGACCATACACACCTACCTGCAAGGAAGCTGGGGTAGGTATTTTAAAGTAGTGTTATAGTCACTCTAAATTTTGATTTTTGTTAGTAATGAAAAAGTAGAGAATAGTGATTGGATGGAAAGCCAAAAACAGATATGATTAATGCCAAAAAGAAGGAAGGAACATACCTTTTTTTTCCCCTTAAAAATGTTATACTTGATGTGTTATATAAGTTAAAGTGTTCCATCTTCCATGAAGTTTTTCTTTATCCTCACTGTTTAGTCTGTATTCTTGCAGCACGTTGTCCTTTACTTTAAATAGTATCATGGATCACACTGTACTCCAGTTAGTTGTTTACATGCCTGTTTTCCTTAGAGAGTCAACTCCTTGAGGATAGAGACCTAGTTTAATTTGCTTCTGTAATCTCATCACTTACCCCCATGTCTGGCAATCTTGTGAGAACAAAAAAGCCAATTGAATAAATAAGGACAAAGTAAGGTATGGGTAGCTCATGATCCCTAGGAAATGAATGGGCTCTGAGAATCTGGGGTCCATCTACTTGCCTCTTCCCCAGACTTCCTTGAATCCAGTCTTTCATTCTTTTTCCTCCTAAACCCTTGACCATTCTGAACCCCCTTCTCTCACCTGAACATCTCACCCCAAGATTCTGCACATACACTTACCTTGGGTCAGTTTTTTTCCTACACAAGTGGATGATCATCACTGCCTGAAATTCTGTCCTTTGGAAGGATAACCCCTCACCTTGAGTTGGGTTATAACATAGTAATAAGCCAGTTTTGGCTTGTACCACATATCAAGATGACTCATCGGTAAATAAAGTTCTGGTTTTTTTTTTTGTTTTTTTTTTTTGTTTTTTGCTCCTCCAAAATCTGGTAAAAGAGGTTCCCACCTGCAATGGGGCCAAGGTGTGAGCTGAGGAAGAGGCATGGGGGCAGCAGCTGTGGACACATGGAGTCTGGCTGTTTGCTCAAGCAGCTTGTTTGTACTTTCTGGCCCTGATTGTGCCTGATCTCTAGTGTTCCACTTCTGTCGTATGCTTTTCATTTGGTTCGTCTGAAAGAACAATGGCTTGCAGGCCAAATATGGATTATTTTTGTGAATAAAGTTTTATTGTAAGGTAGCCACATCCTTTGTAATAATAATTCAAGTAATTATTGTCTACTGCAGCTTTGACACTCCAACAGCAGAGGTGAGCAGTTGTGATAGCAATCCTAGGGCTCCCAAAGCCTAAAATATTTACCATCTGGCCTTTTACAAAGTAAGTTGGCTGGCCCTGGCTGAGGGAAACCTGGGATTTCAAGATTTTGGGCTGAATTAACTCATATATCCCCTTCCCAATTTTCAGAGTTCCACTCTTTCCTGATCAGAACCTTGACCTTGGCCCAGTAGACCTCTGAGGCTGGGAATTCAGCTTTCTCTGGAAAGCTTTCTCAGTCATTAGGTACTTGGCTTAATCCTAGCTTTTTCTACCCTATGGCTACAGGAGATGAGAATCTCTTTATTAAATGACAAAAAAATTCTGTCTTTTACATTTTTACATTGGTAACTAATCACCTTCAGCCTTTCATTGTCTTTCTCCAATGCACAGATGCATTGACATATTGATGCATTGATGGCCCTCAGGAACAGCCATCCAATTTCATAGTCTTTATAATTATTCTTTTTCATGAACATCTCAAATATTTGAGACATTTTAGCTGCCATTGCATTTCCTTCTCTCAATATCCCAATCCAGTTCACCACTCAAGGCTGGTTTCCAGGATTTACCTGGAGCTGCAGAGAGCCCATGCTTAGTTTAATGTTGTGCAGTTACCATCTTGAAATTTTTAATACTTTTATCTTTGAACTGTGTCTTGTAAGTAAAGTCTGATGGGACAATGGAGATATGCATGAATGGTGTGAAGAGATACTTGAATATGCATGCCCATCATTCTTTGCCATTCCATAAGCATAAAGAGTTTGTGATGTTCATAAATGAGAATTCTCCCAGCATACATAGGAGTTCAAGGAGTTGCAAAGCAAGTAAAATATAAGCATTTAAGTTTGCAACTGATAGGCCATAATTGCCATTTGAACCCAAATTGCTTCAAATGCAGAAAGAGGCAATGACAAAAACCTGAAAGACCAATGAATGCTACTATATATAATTTTGTACTTGTGTTATTTCCTTGTATTAGCCAACCACTTACTGCAAATGATAACAGAAGAAAAGAGAAAGATAGGACACAGATTTTCTTTCTAGTCCTTCCTTACTCATCACTAAGCCAAAGAAAGATGGTGTTGTAGAAGTGTGTGCATTAAGAAGTCAAATGAAAACAGTTGAGTTAGCTGTGTACAGTGTTTCCATTGTTCTGCTAAGAACGAAATGCATGTGCATGCATAAGCTAGGAAATATGATGCAGCCATAAAAAAGAACAAAAACATGTCCTTTGCAGCAATATAGATGCAGCTGGAAGCCCTTATCCTAAGTAAACTAACTCAGAACACCAAATATTGAATATTCTCTCTTACCAGTGGGAGCTAAGTCTTGAATTTCCATGGACATAAAGATGGGAACAATAGACAGGGGATTCCAAAAGGAGGGAGGGTGCAGGGGCTGAAAAATTTCCTATTGGTACTATGTTCACTATCTGAGTCACTACACAGGATGAATAGAAGCCCAAACCTCAATACCATGCAATAAGCCCTTGTAACCGCCTGCACAAGTACCCCCAAATCTAAAATAAAAATGGAAATTGAAAGAAAAAAAGGAAATACGAGTTGTGTAATTTCAGTGTGTTCTAGTCCATTTGGGCTGCTGTGGCAAAATACCATAGACTGTGTGTTTTGTAAATAACAGAACTTTATTTCTCACAGTTCTGGAGTCTGGGAAGTCTAAGGTCAAGATGCTATCAGATTCAGTGTTTGGGGAGGGCCCACTTTCTGGTCCATAGATGGTGCCTTCTCCCTGTGTCTTTATATAGTAGAAGGTACAAGGGGTTTTTCTTGGGCATCTTTCACTACTGTGAAGTTTTGCATAAATGGCAATCAGTATACTACTTACCACTGGTCTTCGTTACTGGCCAATTGGTGAGAGATCCAGCTTTGTAATCTCATTTTAGCCTCTAGGTCCCAGGAAAACAAATGGAAACTATCTTAGATTTGGTTACCCAGGGGGAAAGCTCTAAGAAGGAAATGTGCTCATAGGTGCACCTGGGTACGATCTTGCAGTTGTCTATGAAAGCCAAGGGAAGCATGAGGTCAGAAGGAGAAGTTGCACTGTAATGTGGGACAGGACTTTTGAATGATCGTATGTGGAGCTCTAGAGCTGGGATGGTCTTCAGAATTGTGCCAGTTGAGTCAAGGGAACAAGCCTACCCTCACTTTGATTAGTCATGGCTCGCAGGCTGTTCCCAGAGAGCAGATCATAACCTTTGGTAAGGTATTCTCCTTCAGCTGAGGACAATTCCTGGAGAAAGACTTAGTTGGCAGCAGTGACAACTAATACTTGCAGGAACTGGGGAATGAGGGCCTCTGTCCTGCAGGGGTCAAGGCAGTACAGCATCCACTGAACAAGGTCCACACAACAGCCAGAAACAGGTAGGCATCAACAGACTCCACAAGAACCAAAAGATTTCCTTTCAATCTTACAGTTTTTTAAAAATTCAGACAAAGTAGAGCAGAAAAGAAAAATGCTGCCATTACATACACCACACAAAAACTTCAGTGGTTTAACTGCTGTTATTACATTAGAGTCAGGCAAAATCAATTTTATTTAGTACAACACAACTACTACTCTTTTCCTTTAAAAAATTCACCCTCTTTTTTTTGTTCCAGGGGATCAGTCTCAAAGCCTGTTCCATGTACAGTCTTCACATCTGAAGAAATGTGGAAGCTAGCATACTTCTTTCTAAAAAATGTTAACCTTGTGGCTTTATTACAAGAGGAAATGAGTCAAACCTATCAACTTCATGATACTACAGTTAGGTGCCGTAATCCAAAAGTTACAAAACAGCCTGCAGGACATAATGCAGTTTTAGAGTGAAAAACTTAAAAATGCTTCCCTTATGATTGATGAGTTACAAATGGGATGGGCTGAGATAGCATGTGAACTTGTGCATGTGTGTGGGTATGTTAGTTGGGGGTAGAGTTGGGTTGAGGTTGGGGGGTGGTGGCGGCGCACCTTGCAAGTTTAAACTGGGCAAGCTCAAAGGAATCATGCTTGGCTTAGGTCCCATGGTACAAGTTTGTACTGGGCCATGAAAGACGATGCTTGGTCCTATGTGTGACACCTGGCATATAGGCTGAAAGAAAGGTGTGCCTTGTCAGGGATTTTCCCAGATGCTTTCTGGATTTCTTCACCATTATCAGCAGCTCCTTTTAAACACACAAAGCATGTGTACCATGCATTGCCAGGGCACTGTTCTGGGAGTAGCCTGCTAATTGTTCTTTCTCATTGGTATAATCCTGGTTGAAGGGAGAAATCGGCAAGAAATCAGGTTTTTCTCTCCACCCATCTCCACCCAATCAAGGACTCTATATTTTTGGTTTGAAAGAAAGTATCAGATGGTTTGGTCTTTGGACAGAGTACCCAAGATTATGGTGAGAGGAAGGCTCTATCTCTGTCCATATTGCCTAGGATAGTAGAGTCAGATGAAGAGTTCAAACTTACAAGGACATTGAAGAAAACTCAAAGCCCCAGCCTCAAATACAAGAGAGAGGCTGGACTACTCAGGTCTCTCTTTACCTTACTACTCCTACTCCAGCTTGGGATAGGGTTGGGGAGGGAGCTGCTGGAGAATGTTATTTAACCACTAGTTATAATCTTGTTAAAGGAACAGAATATCACTCGTTTTGGACCTCAGGCTGGCTGGTTTCATATAGTTAAGCACAGCATGAATTGGCATTAAATAAACTCAGAATGGAGGAAACATGTTTCACAAGGCAGGGAGAGATGTGGGTACATTACTGTTGGCGTTTTAAAAGACTAAACTTGGACTAAAGTCTTCTCATCGTGAGCAGAGCAGATTGTCACCAGGCCATCCCCAGCAAGACAGCACCACAGAAATTCACCCCCAGCTTCCCAATGCCTACATCTTCATTGCCACAGAAACAAAATCCTGACTCAAGAGATTAAAAATTTTTGTAAAAGCCTCATTGACAAGGCATTCAGCCACTGTGCTTTTACCTCATCAGATACCATCCCCTCTCACTTTCTAGTTTTTCCAGCACCTAGGAAACATAAAATTGTCATGGTATTCAAGATACTTTCTCTGCTCATAAAACAATAATCACATTGTAAACCCAAGAGTGCTGCAATAGAAGTCTTTCTGGTCCTTTATTAATGCTGCTGGTATTTGTCTAGCCTTTAAAAAGCTTTTGGCTCAACATCCTACTCATATTTTTGGGCTATGACTTGCTAGAGTTGTCAGGACAAGTAAAACATTTCCCTTTCAGCGTTCATTACAAGAAAAAAAATTCTATTGTATTTCTTAAAAGTGACTTGTGACTCATCTCCTTTTTTGGGATAGAGTTATAGCTTAAGGTTGTGCCGGTGGTGTACTTCCCTGTGGTGATAAGTAAAGCAAATGTTCGGAGGTGAGAGATACTGAATTTGGATATGAGTTTTATTTGTTCATTTGCCACACCTACAGGATGCTACAGAACTCTGCAGGAACATTTTAATGAATAAATCTTATGGGTTTTTAGTATAACTCTATAATTTAAGATTGACCTCTGAATTCCAGCTGAAATTTATATTGAGAGAAAGGAACAAAGTGCCCCATTAGTGCAGACTTATTTTGACAAACGTATTTTTATTTATTGTTTGAAAAATGAAAATAGCTTTATTGCTTCCTTATAGTTAGTAAGTAAATGTTTGACTTTAAAAAATTATTATAAGCAGGAAAAGAACCCAGTTATACATGCTATTGCAAATATTTCAGAAAAGACAGTGACACATAAGGAAGGAAACATAAATTATTTATAATTTTACCAACCAGTGATAATCAGCTTTAAGTGATAATCAGCACTGATTATAGGCTACATTGGTTTATAGCCTAACAGTCTATTTTTCTATGTATGCACACAGGTAGATTATATTTTGCCAAAATGAAATTGTACCATACGTGTTGGTTGGTGGCTTTAAAAAAAGATTCATCAATAGATGAACTGTATCATTCCTCACCTTTTTTAGTAAACAGAAAGAGTTGTAAATTGTATGACTCTTTAGACTGCTTGCTATGGCAGAAGTGGAAACATTTTCAGAACAAATGAATTGTGCATCATTTTGTTAGCAAATCGTTGGAAAGACTAGATAGGTCAGAGAAAGCGCAACTATTTCGCTTTGAACTTCTTGCACGATTATATTGAAGGAAATTCTCTGGGGACAAAAATTTTTTGACTGTCATAGAGCCAAACAAAATGGCTAAAAGTTGTTGAAAGCCCTCTCAGAATATCATGGTGCTGTGCATTCCCTGGGCCATCTTGGAAAAGAAGGAATATATTCTTTCATCAACATTAGCATGGAGCTTCTGTCAGAAGAGGCTGTGCAGCACATCTGTGAACCATTTCTTTGGACTACTAAAAGTATAACTCTAACTCCATGATATTATTTGCTCCCAGAACTTTTTCTTTCATTTTTTTTGTAGTTGTCTATAGAACCAAAAAAGAATAAAACCAAGAATAGGGGTGGAAAGGTTATAAATACATTATGTTTGAAAGTGTTTGGCTTACATAGATGAGGTCAAAGTTCTTTTTAGCCAAAAGTTTGTCTTTTTCATTTGTTTGCATCCCATATTTGTGTAAACAAAAGGAAATTACTTGATGAAACTAGAATCCAGTGAAAAAGTTACCTGTTTGGGGTTTTGTAAACAAAGAAGCAAACAAACAAACAAAGACACAGTAGGCCAAATTTGTCAGGTACTGTTGAAGGTAGAAAATCTACAGTGGTTGAAATTTGGCTGTTTCCTGAACCTGAACTTGGTTATTAAGTGAGTATCTGGACTGAGTCACGAGGTGAATGCTAAATAGAACCTATAGGATGTGACTTCTGCTGTCTGCCTGCACATGCCCACACAGCCTTCCAAGTTGATCCAAAGGGGATGCCTCTTTGCTTTGTCATAGTCACCTCCCATATTTCTGAAATGAAGCTTACAACCCAGAGAGGATAAAACTCCTGGGAAAATAGTTGAAAGACTTTGAAATTACCAGAAGTCTTGGCTTATGCTATCACATGACTCTGAAAGCCTTTTGCTGATAGAATCACAGGGCTGAAAATGATAGAAAGAGGTCATTTAGTTCATTTATCTGCCCAAGGCAGAAACATAAATGTACCACTGGTGGCTTTGCTTCTTGTTAAAATGCTGTTTCTTCAAACAAGAAAACATCTTCTTTTTCTAGTAATTACTAAGTTATATTTACTTTGGATAAAGTCTCAATGACTTTATCTCACTGTTTGTTGTAGAGCAAAAACAAGATAATGGATACTGAGTGATTAGGTTTCACATAAAATTAATTTGTGACACTGATGAAATTAAATAGTACAAATGATCTAATAGGATAATAACAAGGTAGGGAACTTGTAAGTATACACACATATTTGTCTATCAGCAATAGCATCTAATTACAGACATATTTTCAAAAATCAGTTTCCCAAAAATTAAGGTTTCAGCTTTTGGAAAATGTGCATGGAAACTTCCTTGAGCATTTTGCTCTACATTCAACTATAATAACAATCACCTTTTACATTTTTCCCATTCATAAAAACAACTAATTCCAGAAGAAATAAATGAAATTGATAGGGTTTTTTTTTTGAGGCTTTCCTAAGTTGAATTCATACCATTAAAAAATCTTTCATGTTTAAATTCTATTTCTCTCTTCAAAATATATCTTGAACAAAAGTTTCATGCAAACCAGTGCCAGATTTTCTGGTCACTTTAGATCAAGCTAAACTCGCATGCAGACACTACCCACAAGAAGATTACAGCTGGATTTGGGAATTAAGGCATAGATATATAAAGAATTAAATAGCAAACTGAAAGTTTACACAAAACTATTGCAGATTTCCAGATGGGCAGGAAAGGCAGTTGCCTAAGGTCAAAGGTGGCAGAAGATCAATCATGTTGTCTCTATTATGTAAGAGCAAGAATAGATGATTTTCAAGAGCTCCTTTAGGTTATGACTCCATGATACTCACTCATTCACAATCGGTGTGACTTGGCAAGACTGGACTCAAGGAAGTTGTGTTTCTTTCCTTGATAATACAGAAAAATAAGAAAAAAAGAAAGGGCTCCTTTATATTGTGTATTATTTACTGGATCCTATGGGGGAAATAGACAGGTAAAGATATAAACAGTACAGAATTTGCCTTAATGCTGTGCCTGTACACACGGACAAACAATGAAGCTCATAACCAGAAAAATAGCCATTAGGCTTTCAACCTCTTTGGTGGTAGCCATCTTGGACACTCCTTGTTTCTTTTCCCTTTGCTTTCATTCTGTTTTCTCACTGCTCACTACATTCCTCTTGCTCTAATGTTCTTGTCCTTTTCTCCTATTTCTGGCCATGTTCTTGCTCATGGCCAGAAATAGGAGAAGCTAGTGGCAACCTTGGCTTTCTAAGTGTTAACCCTGGGCAGCCTCAAGGGTACATCTGGTATTGGCTTTTGGCTTTCTGGACACTGAACTCTCTGTGTTGCCATATAGTCTTCCCCAGTGTCAGCACTCGGTGGCAGTACTTGGACTCTATCTTGAACGATTAACTCAACCCACATGAGATAAAATAGAAGAGCATTCCAAACCAAGGCAATAGTGTATTCAAACTGTATGAAACCATGAAAGAAATTGGCATATTTATTATATTGTGATAATATATTCAGATGTTAAACAATCTTCAGACGGACCTCTGTTGTTCCATTTACAATTCGTTGGGTTGGATCTTGGCAGAACCCATAAACAGGGATGCTACAGTTGCTCTACTGCCTAGGTATCTATAGGCTGAGCATTAGACCTACTATTTTAGGACAAGTTCATCTTTGTCACCATTGGCACTTTGAACAAGATTGCTCTCTTAAAAATCCTCAAAATCTACTCTAGATCACCTATAATCATTTGAGGTGTTTTATGGTTCACCTGCCACCTTTACCACATCTTCTAAAAGCAATGACTTCAATTTTCACCTTACATCAAGAAGGTCATTTTGAAAGAACTTCAGGTTTACATGTGTTGCTTCATTTCTATCCTTTAATTGTAAATCATTGCCAAATTTTCTGGTCACATGGAATTACCTTGGACAGAACTAAACTCACATGCAGATACTACCTTCAAGAACATTACAGTCATATTTGGTAGATATTCCTTTAGCAAAAAATGTCTCCCAATACTTGAAGCCTACTTCCCAAGCTATTGGAGTGTCTCAGGGCAAATCTACAGCAATTTATTCCATGCCTGGTCTTCAAACAATACTTTTTCTTGCAATAATAGTGCACCCTACTCCCAGTTGCCAAGCCCAGTTGTTGGGTGATCCCTGAATGCCTAACACTCATTAGAAAAACATTAACAGACCCTTCAAACCATGTTGTGTTCTTTAAAGAAGAGGCAAAAGACCACAACCAAAAGGAAGTACATGGCAGGGAAGTTAAGTGTCCGTATCTGAAAAGAAACTTCAAATCCTAGAGCAAGAAATGATTGAACACGCTAGGAATATTATGACTACCGAAGAAAAGAGAATGAATATAATTGTCTTCATATATTTGAAAGTTGTCATCTGAATGAGAGATTAGACTCATCCTGTATGTTTTCAATGGACAGAATTAGAACCAACATTGAAGACGTAAGGTAAAAGATTTTGGTTCAGTATGAGCAAGAAATGTCTGATAAATAGAATTGTCCAAAGATTAAGCAAAGAAATTTGAGAGCTCTCCATCACTGAAATTATAGTAAAGGCTGTATTCAAGCATAGGAATGTGAAAGGAGTTGGGGAATGTGTCTTTTTTTTCAAGAGCATGTGATTACTCCATAAAAATTTGACATAGATGTAGGCTTCATTTTCTCATTTACTTATTAAATCTTTGAGTGCTTACTATACCGCTGGCCTAGTGTGAGCTTCTAGGAATACAAAAGTGCATGAGTCACAGCCCTGCCTTCAAAATACTTTCAATCTAGTGAGAAAAGTACATGATAATTCAGACAGAAAGGCAAACAAGCAAGGCAGCACCATCACACTGTAACATGTTTAATTATCTATCTTCCCCACTGGAATCTAAGCTTCTCAAGGGCACATATACTGTGTATTTTGCTTGCCATTTTTTCTCCAGCACTCAGTCTGTGCCTGGCAGATAGTAAACAAAGTTTTATTGACTGAATTTATTGAATAATGTGGGAATCTATTCTGAATGTGATTAGTATAGTGGAATACTAAGGAAGGAATGTTCAATGTTATCTGACCAGAGGGAAGTGTTCAGAGAGAGGATGTGATTCTATGTCTTTAACCTCAGAGGAGGAGTCTGATCTGACATAGAAGAGGAGTTCACAATCAAGAAGAAAGGGCATTTAAGCTTGTTTGAAGGCAAAGACATGAAACAGCACTGTATATGCTGAGATGGACATGAAACAGCGTTGTACATGCTGAGATAACAAGCAGTTTCGTATGACTGGAACATATGATTTAGGGCAGTGAGTAGTAGGAGACAAGTCTGAAAAGGCTGTAGGAGATTGAATCATGGGTTTTAATGAAGAGAGTAACATGATCAGATTTTCCTTTCAGGAGGAAAACTGGCAGCAATGTGGTGGGGATGGGAGAACTGATTAAGACCAAAGTAGAGATAAGGAATAATAGGAGGATATTGCAGTCATCTGGGCAAGAGTGAGGAATGTCTAGAAGAGAATAGTGGCAGCAAAGGCAAAAGGACAGAGATAAAATTTGAAAGGTATTTAAGGTAAGGAGTTTATGAGACCTTGGTTCTGATGGGATGCAGATGGTGGTGAGGCTGGTAAGGTGGTTATAGTGAGAAGTGAGAGAATGACATCTAAGTTAGAGAGGCATAGCCATATAACAAGGTTTGGAAATATAGGGGGTGGAGGATTTGGGAGCTTGTAGCTTATTCAGCAGAGAGAGCCTAGTAGTGGGCAATTGGTATTATGGTCTGGGCAGAGAATAGAATTATAAATCATCACACATACTAAGGTGAAGTGAGTACAGATGAAGTCACCAAAGACAAGTGTGCACAGTAAGAATCGACACGAGGAAAGCATCTGGGGAACAGAAATAGAGGACTGTTGGGAGTTGATGCTTGGCATTGACTAGGATGTGACACCAACACGAGCCTCAGTTCTAAGCAGGTATATCACCAGAGTTTGGCATTGAAACATGAAATATGGTATGTTCACAAAGAGATGTTTGGTTTTGATCGGTAATATTTATCATTAATAGTACCATCGGTAAGGATGAGACATAACTAAGGAGTGCTGTGAAATGGATAAATGGTAACACTTTTAAAAGACTTTTCATAGAAAACCTCAAACAGCAACATTCCTATATTTACAAAATATCAAGTAGATCCATAATAGAGATAATAAAATATTCAGGGAAAAGTTCAGATGAAGAATATGCTATTATTTTCAAATTCTCACATTCTGACTTTAGTATATTTTAACGTATTTTCTTTTGTTAGGCAGTCCTTTCTCCAAAGGGCCATGGGTCCCTAAAATTTATATTCTCTTTCTATATTGGAGCTAATGGCAGTCAGAAGCCTTATTAGCTAAGGCTGATTTATTCAGTCAGTTTGTACAGGCAAGGAGTGGGGTTAAACTTGGGCGTGCCACTAACATGGTCATCGTTTGATAATAAGAAGCCTTACTGCCAAACTTCAGGAGTCTCCAAAGCTCTCTCTAGTCTGCAGGTCATTCTTCAGTTTCTCTAATTCTTGTACAAAAAAACCCACACAAACAAACAGATAATACGCAAATATACTGATTTCTTGTTTTTACAATACGTATAAGCTTTTTGATTCTGCACTGGCAGCTAGCTGGTCTCCTGAGACATGGTTCTGGACTATATCCAAAAACAAATTTAGTTTCTGAGGAGGAACATTGTGAAATCAGTAAGCCAGCAACCTTGCTGATCCAAGTGAGCAAAATGCTTTAGTTGGTGGGTGCTCCAAGCAAAAATGCTTAAAGGGATCCAAGAGTTCTATTTCTCATTTGACTCAGATTCAGTTAAATTTCATTTCTGTGGAATCCCGGATGATGAGCATCACCAAGTGCAGAAGCTGAGTTGGGTGGAACAGTTGCTCACAGTGGGGCAGCTCACTCATTGCCTTGACACATGCTCTTGTTTTGCCATGAACGTAAGTGACCTTAAACACATTTTTTTTCCTAAAATTATAGCAACAAGGGACTTGAAAAAAAATGAAACTCATGAGACAGCTATCTCTCTTGGCTCTTGAAAAGGCTGCTCCTTAATTGCCTCAAGAAAGATGAAATGATGGTACTGACCCTATTTCTCAGGAATAATTGATGGGTCACTTCAGCAATAAATTCAAGAGTAGATACTGACTAAGAACAGTTACAGAGCTTTATTTTTGCCTTATATGTTTATAATGAATTCAACTAACCAGGGCTCAATATAGGACTTGCTTTTTGAATTTTGCAATGATTTCAAATGTAAAGTCACTAAAGACCTCTTGTGCACTTTTAACATCTCTTCCCTTCCCCCATGTTCTATGTAAACAAAGTATGTTTCTTGAATTGTACCATTAACAGTGCCAGATTATCAATGTTTCTCCTGAACAAAGTTTGGATGCTTTCCTTACAATTTCCTTGTAATATAATTATGACATTTGAAGGAAATAAGAAGTCATCAGAAAATATCTTTAAAAATTTACTGGCAATGATATCTGCTTAATTCTGGAAGGAATCAAGGCTCAGAGCTTAAGGGACAAAAATGAATAGAAATAACTACATTTCTTATTTGGTCTTCTAGGTAGAGAAGCCTTGTTTACTACCTGTATAAGGCAAACACAACACCCACCTTTAAAAAAATTTTTAAGTAAAACTTCTCATGGGAAGTGGTGACGGTAGAAAGTATCAAGAGTTTTTGTTTGTTTATTTATTGATTGATTTATGTCCCACATTTTTTTCCAAAAAGATTTAAACCCAAGAAAAGAATATGATTGAAATATTGAAAAGGTTTGTTACAGAAAAGAAATCAAAGTATGTTACTTAAAAATTGTGGTTCTGAACTAGATAGGAACTATTTTTAATGGAATAATTTGAAGGACAATGTCTCTCTCTCTCTTTGTGTTTATTTAACAATTATTTATTGATTCTGTTCTTTGTATAGTCTTAAGTACTGGGGACCAAAGAGAATATATGACTAAGATGGGCTTTCAGCCATTCATTCATTCACTGTATATAGGAGATTGGATGACTGATCTTGACTTTGCTGAGAAATTGCATAAATTATTGTCATTTACAATAAAAAAGAAAATTGTTCTTATATTCACTAGATGCTTAAGTGTCTCACTAGACCAGTGTTTCCCTGAACCTGGCTAATCATCAAATCATTAGAGACACCTGCTAACCATAAATATTCCCAAGCCTCACTGATGGACCCTTAATCCAATGGGCATGTTGTTGGGTAGTGATGGGATTCTCCAGTTTTATCAGGTAGTCAGGTGATTCTCATACTTCGCAAAGTGTAAATTACATGGTACAGGAGTATGAACTCTTCCTGGGCAGGAACCATGTCTTGTTTATCTTGGTGTTTAGTGCTTAACATAGTGTTGGGCACATAAGAGGTGCTCAATAAATGTTTGTTAAACAGAATAGTAAACATCTCCACAAATAACCTTTCTGGAGGGACTCATTTCTTGCTATATTTTTAACTTCATTGCTATGTGTGCTTTTTGTTTCTTGATGTTTTTTCTGCATGGTATAAACATGCTTCCTTCCTACTCACCATTTCTTAATACCTCATGTCATCCAGATCAATAGAATTAGTCTGAATAGAAAACTAATGATCTGGCAGGATATTGCTCAGTGTCTTTGGTGTTTGGCAGGAGGATCTTTAAGTAGCAAATCAGAGTCTACAGAACTGGTTGTAGATCGGTATTAATCATATTATAGCTTGCATTTATGTAGCATCTTTCTCTAGGACTCAAATCCTTCTTCAAACATTATTTAACAAGGACAATCTATTCATCTCTCTGTAGGTGTGTATGTTGTTTTAAGAATGCCTTACTCATGAGTCTAGTTGATTGGACCACCAAGAATTTAGTAGCAATGATCCTTCCACCTGGCTGCTTGGCCTCAGGGTGCCTGAAAAAGGTGTGTCCCAACAAGCAAAGGCATCTTCCTTTCAGACAGGCAATAGTTTGACACTTAGTTTATAACTAGGTGTTACCTTAGCTGAAGTTGTGGGACAGGCCAAGGGAGGAGTGTCTTGGCAAAGGGGATGGGGTGGATGCTAGAGGCTAGTGACAGACTGACCTGAATCTCAGCTGTGAGGACAGGAAAGATCTGACCCAACAGTCTGAAATGACAATTGGTAGAAAGTGAAATTGAAGACTGGCATGCTGAAGAGATTTCCCTGAGGTCACTGGCTGGTTGACACAGCCATAGATAGAACCGAACTTTGACCTAAGTTCCAGTCACCAGACCACATCCTGCAGAGAGAATACTCAACATCCTCAAAGGTCTAATCAGTGACTTTGGCTGGGATGTGATTTGACAGATCACTGTGTTGTCTGGGCAAGGTTAATTGAAAGTTTTTCCTCTGAGAAGTATTTCTTTCCCTCTATTGAGACCTAGATTCTAGGAGAAAAATTCTTGAGGTTATTCATCCCATTGCTTCTGGGAACACATATGTGAAAGAACACTTCTTAGTCAAAATAAATTTCCATAGACAGTTATCAAGCACTAAAGCTTTTCCTGACAAGGCATGTATTTCTATACTGCTGGTTAGTAACCGATACTACCTAGCATCAGATAATATTACATCAAATTTATATTTGTTTGCGGTTTGACTTTTGCATATTCTGAGAAGACAAGCCTGAATCACAGGTATTCAGCTATCTAACAGGTTCCCAGTACTTGCCAATCTTTGTAGTAACTTGAGATTTTCCCAGTTGGCTTCAAGCCAATGGGCCCTGTGGGCAGCACAAGATGCTTATGGAAACTCAGTGTATGCAAATTACTTCCAGGATCTTTGAACCCAGGGGTGGCAAATGTTTTACAATAGTGAAGAGAACTAAGGAGATGTGTATTTTTTTCTCCCCCAACCCCATATTTTCCTCAGGTATCAATCTTATTTGGTATTTTGATTGAACTCATTAATCCTCTATTGAGGCTATGGCTAATGGAGCGAGAATTCACTTTCTCAGAGAGTTTGTGATTTTCCCTCCAGAAACAGAAATCTAATGATGTAATCACTGAAGAGAATTTTTCTAGAATGGAGAGAAAAGTCACATTTTTGGTACACAGGGAAAGTCAAAGACTGTATATAACAAAGGGTAATACCCGAGCAACAATCCCATCTATCATTTTTAACTCATTATTTGATATCGTACAAGCTATTTTACTCCTCCCTCTGGTCTCTGATAAACCTAGAAAAAGCTCATTACAGAATCCAGGGAAACGACATTTGTTATGTATTTTCTAGGAGTCTGAAACTTATTTCTTATCACAATTCTATAGGATAGATAGATATTTTGTGGCCATTTGACCACAAAAACTAAGCCTGAGAAAGGTTAAATAATTTTCCAGGATTACCCAGTTAGTAGTAGTGCTGGAGCTTGACTCCTGTCTGCCTAGTTTCAGAATTCCCCACAGTGCATCTCCTAACACGGTAATGGGAAAATAGGTGAAAATCAAAAGATTGTTTTTTGGCTTGGTTTCACAACCAAGTGCATGGACTTAGAAAATTGTGTTCTTTCCAGCATCTATCCTCTTGTTCACACTGCTTGCTCTCATTTTATCCCCCAGATAAACTTGTGGTGGGGCCTATTTACAGCCCTGGTGCCAAAGTTTCAACCACAGTGAGAGACCTAAGGATTTCAAGGAAAACTCAAAGCACCAATATTCAGTGATAGAAGACTCAGAGGTTTGATGCAGAGTTCACTCTCTGAAAATGAACGTTCAGGTAAGTGCCCAGTTGGCTCCAGAGCTGAGTGTAGATCAGTATTAATAATGTAACTTGTGTTTATGTAATAGCTTTTTCTAAGACTGAAATTTTTCTTCAGACCTATTCAGCAAGTACAATGTTTTCATTCCTTTGTAGGTGTGTATGTTGTCTTAAGGATGCCTTACACATGTCTTCCAAACTATGTTTACTGGTTGGGTGTAGATCAGAGGGTTGTTCTCTCTCTCTAGAGCCTTCAGAAAATAACTTCCAAGTCTGACTCAGTGGAGTTGAAATAGCAGTCTAATGCAGTGGTTAATTTACAATGGTTAACTTAAAATTCCCAGGGATCTCTTTTAAGGTTTTCTGAACTATTAAGGCCCTGGAACTTAATATGAATTACTCTAAACATTTAAGATTCCACCTTTGAAGAAATATATGACCTGAAAATAGAAATTTATAAAAACCAATCAATCAGGGAAGCCTATCTTCTCTGAATAAAAGAGTAAGTCCTGGTTTTCATTTTGTTTAAAGTGTTTCCTAGTGCATCCAAAATACAATTTAAGTTTTAAAAATTGTTTTTTCACATAGCGTTAATCAGCCCTACCTGTCTTCTGCAGCATCTTACAGTGGCAAGGGTCCTGAGTAGCCTGTCAAAACATTTATGTTTTTGTCTTGGCTCTCCCATTAGTTAATGCGTATCCTTGGGCAATTCATCTAATCTCTCTGGATTTCATGGTCATTATTGGTAAATGAGGAGATTGGGCATTTGAGGTTTTATGGTTTCTGCCAGGTGTGAAATTCTATGATCTAACTGTATACCATTTGGTTTCTGGGAAGAAAAGAAAGCAAACAACCAAAAAACCCAAACTAAGGGTTTTCCTATAGAATTATAGGAAATAAATATAGGAATATAGAATAATATATCATATACATTATTACTACTAATAATTTCTTGTTAACTATTTTCTAGAATGCTATGGTACAAATTCATTTGCTACTGGAAAGAGCTCAGGAAATATAACATTACATATTAATATAATTTTTATTTAAGGGGAAAGGTGTGGGGTTCCAAGTATTTCATGAAGAATTAAGTATTGTACTTGTTTATTAAGCTATTAAACACACACAAAGAAATGAGGAATACATGGATTGTGGGAAGCTGGGAGTAACTTTAATTTTATTCAAGAACACATACTTTATTTCTCAATATTTTGGTGTTGGAATTGTAATCATGACTTTGTTCTCTTCATCTCTCCTTTCTGGCCCGATAAGCAGACATGTTGTCTTACATAGCAAGGGTGTTGATGGCATCTGAAAGGAAAACAATCTGATTTTTGAACAGATTGTTTTTTATGGGTCAGCACTTTTGTAACTATAGCAGACCATGACTGATTAAGACAAATGGTTATTGGATGACTTGAAGGAAAGAGAGATTCATTCAGTGAGTGACTATACAGGGTAATAATTTTGGGCTTGGAGAGCTGTGGGTGTCTCCAGCCACTGAGCACAAACTCCACTTACAGAGACCCAGGCTTGGCAAAATCAGATCTCATTTGGAAGACTTTTTTTTTTTAATATACTGGAGTATATCAGCTTCTTAGTTGAAAAGAGGGAAAATTGGTTGATACCTTCATTAAACACAATTCTGATAAGACTAAAGAGATGCAATGAAAAGTAAATACAGTGCATGATCTTGCATGTACTGAAAAAAATTTGGACTGAAAAAATTGTGTAATGGATGTCACTGGGACAAACAGGACAATTGGATTATGGACTTTGAATTAGAAAATAAAATTATATCAATGTTAAATTTCCTGATTTTGATAATTATAATTATGTAAGAGAATGCTTTTGTTAAAAAATACACAGAAGTATTTAGAAGGAAAGGGGTATACTGTATGCTATTAACTCTTTAGACAGTCTATTTAAAAATTATGGACATAGAGACAGTAACAGATAAAGCAACTTTGCAACTTCTTTGTAAGTTTAATTAAAATACAAAGTTAATAAAAAATAGAAGAGAGAGATAAACAGCTGTCTGATTTTGCAGAATTGGGGAGAAAATGTTAACCAATAACATGTTTTATCACCTTCCCTTTGGCGAGGACCAGCAAGCTGGTAAACTTCTGGCCTAGAAACTCAAGGATTTAGCTGAAAATAAAAGTCCTAAACTTATTACGACCATGAAACCATAAACCTCTCCTCTCCATACTCAACATCATAACTTGTTCTTTTGTATCTTTATCCTTTGTTCTGGATCAGTCTGGGTTAAGAGCTTGAGTTAATCAGTTCCACTCCTTCAGAAAGTCCTTCCAATACCTTGCCCTAAATCAGAAGAAATATATGTAAAATCTCCCCAGGAACTGGGGAAGACCAGTATTTTTCAAGCCAGTGGGCCCTTTCTTGTTGTAAGCCAAGATCTATAGATTATATTTCACTTATCTCCCACCCTGGCTTAGTCTCTTCTCCCTTTTATTACCATAAAGGGAAAAAAGTCCAAATCCTGACTTTTGTGAAGCCACTATTTTTTTTTTTTGCAGGAGGTGGGGCATGCAATTTCTGTCATCATTCAGATGATGATTGATAGCAGATCAATCAATGCACAATCAATAATACTTTATGACATTTTTTTGACCTCCGATGGGTCAAATTAAAATGGATACATCTAATCCTGTTTTCTCTAAGAATTTTGCAAAGTTTAGGGGTGGAGTGAAGGGACAGAATCATTGGAAGCTAATAGAGAGAACCACAATTTAGGGTCTTTTATTTAATGAGAGTGTTTGTTTTTACATGTGGGTTTTCATTGCTCCTAGAGTATTAACAACATAATACTGAAGATGCCAGTCTTGTATTTCCAATTCTCACCCAACGAGCTATCTTTGGTCTTATCTGGAGTTCATATTCTGAGAGTCTTAGGGAATAAAAGTCTTTTCTTTCTACTTCATGACAGTAAAAGCATGTCTGATTTGGAGGCTTCATATAAACTGCCTGTGAAGTAGACGCCACTTTGCAGGAATCCGGTCAGCTGTAACATTCCTGAAGGAGGAGGAGGATGGTTCAGAGAATGCGGTTCTTCTTCGAAACAAAGATCCACATCAGAATCATGAGGCTGAAGGAGGTTAGAAGGATACTTTTGCCTTCAGGGTGTCCCATCTCAGCCACTGGGTACTAGTCTGGGCAGGCAGTGCTTTCGTTGACACCTTCAGGATGAGCAGACAGGGAGAAACTTGTAGTCATTTTTCTTGGCAGAAGCTACAACCCAGCCCAAGTTAATTATGTCTGAGAAGAAGAATAATGTCTGGGCACCTGCAATTTTCAATTTGGGACTTCATGTGCCAGTGCCAGGTATTCTATCAAGCCATTCACATGTATCTTCACAAAGTCCTTTTCTGGTTTCATGTCAGACAATGGGAACACTGAGTTTTAAAAACTCCTTTATAATTGTCTCTGTTTGCTAAGAACTTCATATGTGCCAGAGCTGATTAAGTTATGTACCTGCATCTTGCTATTTAATCTTCATAACAACCCTCCGAAGAAGATATTATTATTTTTCCCACTTAGCAGTTGAGAAAACCAGGGCTTAGAGAATATCTTGGCTCAAATCACATGACTAAATAATGTGGAATTGGTGCTTGAAATTAAGCCTATGAGACTAAAAGACTCAAAATTAAGCATACCAGACTTTGCGTAAAGTTCTATTTCTAATATTCCTATTAATTAGAAGGTGGGCATTATTGGTCCTGATTTCATAGTCAGACCTTACTTAGGGATATTTACCCAGAGCTGCAGAGTTGTTAGAGCTAAATCCAGAACTGCTATTCTCTACTCTATTTAACTCTCTTCCTTTCCTTAATAATAAATGTCACCAATCTTGGGGCTCAGAACATGATACCCTAAAGTACAGTGCTTTGGCATGCTGAGTACTTTGAACTGAAAGAGATCAAAAGGGCCTCAGAAGCAAGACCTTCTCCTGCCCTCCTCTCTCCTTCCCCCATTTCTCTCCCAAAGCAGGTAATAAAAACTAGAATTCCTCTTTCCCAAGGCAGATCATAGAAACTACAACTGCTCTCCCTCAAAGCCAGCCATAAAACTAGAAATACTACTCTTTGACTTCTCCCTTCTTCCCTAAAAACTCTCATGTAACAGGTGTCCTGCCCTCTACAGGTACAGGGAAGAAATGATAGAGAAGGATGCTGCACAGAGGGAAGGAATGCTACACAAGAGAGGACTAGAAACCTCTTTACAAACAGGCCCCGCTGGGTTTCTACCTCATCCTATTATCATTACATTATGTTCTTTTTGTCCAATCACGTTTCTACTCAGCTGTCCATTCTTCATCAAACCTAAGCATAAAAATACAAGTTTTCCCTGGGTCTTCACTTTTGAAGGCTCTTATGTAATACAAAGTTTAATATAATAAATATTACGTTTTCTGTTGCTAACCTTTTTTGATTATAGGAGTGTCAACCATGACCCTTGTGATGGGTTGGGAAAATCTATTACCTTTTTACCCCTACACTGGCAGTGTATTATCCATAGAAATGGCTCTAATTTAAGAATTAGGGAAACCTGAGAAAATTAAATTCAAAAATATATAATTTGCCTTTCTACTGACTCCTTCCGCACAATCCATAAATATGTTCAAGTCTCTCATCTAAAACAAAACATAATGAAATAAAGCAAAGAAAACAAGAAAATAAACAACCAAACCCAACTTCTCTCAACTCTGCATCCCTCCTCAGCTCTAGTCCTATTTATTTCCTTCCCTTAGCAGTAAAGCTTCTTGGAAAAAAAGTCAACGATTTTCATTTTTTGGCATTCTACTCCTTCTTAAACCTACTGCAATCTGTCTCTTACACACATCTCCCAACTGCACTAAAGCCGCCCTGAAAGGTCATCAATGACCACCCAATGTCAAAGCCAATGGATCCTCCCCACTTCTCAAAATTTTATTATAAAATTTTTAATTATAGAGAAAAACTGGAAGCACTGCTCAGTGAATACCTGTATATGTAATACCTATATCTGACAATTAATATTTTACTATATTTTCTTTATCAATCCATTTATTTTTTAAAATTGCAATTCCAAGTAACTTGCAGATTTCAGTATACTTCCAAGCACTTCAGCATGCTTAACATAGACTAGAGTTTAGTGCATCCTGATATTAAGTTGGCATGACTTTTTGCCACAAATCTCTGTGCTAAAATTCCCAAATCCATTCTTAATCTTTCCCAACCCTCATATTCAAATGCCTACTGAATAGTTGGCTGTCAGTCTTATAATTCTCCTTTTCTTGTTGTATTTCTTCTTTACCTTTATGGCCTTTCTCTCTCAATAGATCTTCTGTCCCCTTTTTCCTACCAATTCTTTAAATAGTGATATGTTTGATCTCTCTAGTTTTGACTACATTCTTGTGTATCTTTCCCCTTTTCCTCTGTCTTAGGTTCAGTCCCCAAGAAACAGACAATAAAATGGAGATTTGCTTGTGGGAAGTTTATTGGAGAGTGCTCTTAGAAACAACAGAGGACATAGTTGATCTCAAGCAGAGCCCTGTCTAGGCCTTTTACCCTTACATCAGGTGGTGATTGGAAGTCCAGTATCATATCCACCTTTGGGAAATGCACTACTGTGAATTGCTGTGTAATATGACTTAGGACTTTTCCTGGTAAGGAACTGCACTATCTCTGAGAATGATTGTTTGCCCAAGGAAAAGGGAAACCTGTGTGTGTGTGTGTGTGTGTGTGTGTGTGTGTGTGTGTGTCCAGAGTTACCAATAGGAAACTAGAGAGATACAAGAATAATTGGGAAATGTGGACATATCTTTATCACTTACTAGCAGAGAAGCCCTAATGCATGCCTGAACTAGGAAATGGGGTTGTCACATATAGTGATGTAGACTCTCTAATGCAAAACTCCAGGGGTTGCCTTTCATCTCATAACCAAATCTACTACTGTTCCATTCAACTGATCTGTTTTCCCTGATTATTTTATGAGACAAGCCTACACTCTTGAATGTATTTTATTCCCCTTCATTTTTATCCATAATGATCTTTTTGTCTACTTGTTTTATCAATTGTTGAGAGGGGGTCTATTGAAATTTCTGACTATAATTGTGGATTTATCTGTTTCTCCTTTTAATCCATTGGTTTTTACTTCATGTATTTTTAAACACTGGTTTACATGCCTACACACTTATGATTAGTATGTCTTTTAGGCTTCTTTATAATTATTAAATGTCTTTCTTTATCCTGATAATATTTTTTGTTTGGAAGTTTACTTTCTCTGGTATTAACATGACTACCTCAGCTTTCTTACACATAGTGTTTGCATAGTATATATTTTCCCATCCTTCTACTTTTATTTTTTGAGATGGGGTCTTACCCTGTCACCTAGGCTGGGGTGCAATGGTGTGATCTCAGCTCACTGCAACCTCTGCCTCCCAGGACTCAAGGAAACTTCCCAACTCAGCCTCCTGAGTAGCTGGGAGTACAGGCTCGCATCACCACACCTGGCTATTTTTTCATATTTATGGTAGAGACAGGGTTTTGCCATGTTGCCCAAGCTGGTCTCAAACTCCTGAGCTTAAGAGATCTGCCCGCCTTAGCCTCCCAAAGTGCTGGGATTACAGGTGTGAGCCACTGTGCCCAGCCTTCATCCTTTTACTTTTAACTTGAGCCTTTATATTTGAAGTGAGTTTCTTGAAAATAGCATATAGTTGGATTTTGATTCTTAACCAATCTGATAATCTCTGCAATTTAATTTGAATGTTTAAACCATTTATATTTAATGTGATTGCTGTTATAATTTGTTTAAATTTATCACCTTGCTATTTGTTTTCTGTTCATCCTATAACACCTTTCTTCCTCCTTTCCTCCTTTCTTGCCTTCCTCTGAATTTAGTATTTTGTATGATTGCATAACTTCTACTATTGTTTTATTGGTAATAACTCTTTGTTTTGTATTTTTGGTGGTTGCAGTAAGATTTACAATACATATCTTTCACTTATAACAGTTTATCTTCAAAAAATATTTTAGCACTTCATATTTAGTGTAACAAAACATATTTGTCAATTTTCACCTTCTATCTTTTGTGGTATTTTATACGTAAGACTCACAGTATATTGTTATTATTTTTCTTTTTAAGCAATTACTTATCTTCTAAAAAATTTTAAAATTTTCTTATACTTACTAACATGTTTACTATTCCTAGTGTTCTTTATTCCTTTGTGTAAGTCCAGATTTCTATCTGGTATCATCTTTCTTTTGCCTGAATAACTTCCTGTAGTACAGGTTTGTTGTTGGTATATTATCTCAGCTTTTGTTTGTCTCAACAATCTTTATTTTGCCTTCAGTTTTGAAAAAATATTTTCTTTGGACATAAAATTCTAGGTCGACAGTTGTTTTCTTTCATCACTTTAAAAATGTCATATCATGAAAAGCAAGCCCTGGAGTTTTGCTTTACATAGCTTACATTACCATATGTGATTATACCATTTCCCCATGGATACTTCAGGGCCTCTATACTATTTTGTGATGAAGATATGTCCTCCTCCCTCCATTCTTCTTATATACATCTAGTTTTCTATTGGATACTCCAGATAAAACACACATACACAATCACACACACACTTAAATGTTTCCTTGATCAAACTGTAATTCTCAGAGGCAGTGCAGTCTAATTATCTATGAAAGCAGAAAAGCGTTTTCCTCAAGTTAATGTTATCTGCCTGCATGCAGCACTTTACATAATTCTGCAGAGCACATTAAACTTCCCTTCTCTGATGTTTTTGATTCATTCCATCCTGTGTCTAACCCATACACAAGAAATTGGATTAATAGATAACAGATTAATTGATTAATAGTATGAATAGATAACAGAGTAATCTAACTTCTTCTTTTGCTTACATAAAGAACTGTCAAAAATTTTTGAAATTATACTATTCTCTTATATTGGGCCACATCAAGTTTTTATTCTGCTTCTAATCAGAGGAAATAACTAGATATTTGCTTGTTTTTTACTTTCAGATACATTTGTATGACACATTTCTCCTTCCTTAAAGATAGGACTGATTATTATCTCCTTTGGGATCTCATTGCTTTCTAAGGTTCAATCATAACTGTAACACTTCACTGTATTTGTTTATGTGCATATCGCTTTTTATTATATATATTTCTAGAAGATAAAAGTCTATAATTTATTATCTTATTCCTGGAACATTACATGAGGCATGGGATATACTAATCTAAGAAACATTTGTTGAATGAATGAATGAACAAGACACTAGGCAAGTATTTTGGTGCTCTTGTCTGAACCCTGAAATTGATCAAGGATGTGTGATGGTCAGTCTTGCTCAAAGAGTTTTGATTTTTTCAATATCAGCATGATTTCATAATATGCATAGTCAGTCTATTTTGGGAAGCCAATATGAAAATTATAGCAGTGAGACCGTTTTGAAAAATAAACCTGTGACCTCTAGAAGAAATATTCCCATGTGATCAAAACACCTGGAGAAATCATTTAGTATCTACTTTTTGAGAATGTCTGCTGTTTAAAAAAATAAAAGATCCAGTAGAAACCGACAGTGAAGAGTATTTCATTTTAAGTGTTTGAAATATTTAATGTGTGAGGCCAAACTGTGACATAAAAATGCATGAAAATGAATGGGAAACATGACAATGGTGACAATCCTTTGAAAATCCAGGCCTATTCATATAAGCCTCTCTAGATTGGAGGCCTCTATAGGATCAGGAAATTAAGACAGAAGAGTCTCTGCCATCTCCCCTTCTCCGTTGCACAGAGTCTCAGTGGAATGCTTTGGCATAACCTTAGAGAACAACAATTTGTCCAATCTAGATATAGTTAGCCTTAGGAATGAACAGTAGCTCACTGCCTCTTCATAACAGTCCACAGAAAACTTAGTTTATTTTATAAGCTGGCAAGATATGCATTAGCAATTTTTTTACTATCACAGAAGCAACTAAATAGGACTCAGGTATATGAAACCATTTGGAAAAGAAAAAGGAAACAGAGAACATTGCTCCTATGCATGTTTCCAAAGGACTTCTGGGAGGACGTTTATTGGAGGTAAACAGGGATGTTCAAAATTTGGCATAATTTAGCTTGGGAGCTGTTTGTACTGGGAGAACCTTGGCAAGGACTACAAACTAGGGACTTGGACTTAAATTTGATTTTTAGAAAAGGAACAATCTTGCATGTTAAGAGGATGCAGAATTAACATTATTCTGGCCATTCTTTGGTCACATCTGCACTGCAGATTTGGCTGTTAGTTGAGTGGTTGCATTGTCTAGTCCTAGATCTGGGAAAACATGGTCATGAGTTATCATAATTATAAATATGATCTAAGTAAATGCACGCATATGTGTTTAAGCACAAGCATGCGCCTCCTCATAAATGGTGCCACAGTTCTAAAATAAGCTAGACTTTGTGGGTTGTTATTTGCATCTTTGTTTTTCTCTCCAACAAATGACTGTAATTCAGAAGTTATTTGTAAACTGGTTGTAGCTAGAATTAGAAATTCAGAAGCTCTCAGGACAGTGTGTACTTTAATTTGGTAACCCAATTTTTTTGATATGTATGCTTTAGCTTATTACATTTTCCTACCTTATGTAAGCAAATCAGATTGTATTTAATGTAGTTCTGGGGCACATACAGCTGATAAGTTTGTTCAGTTATCATTTATAGGACAGTAGTGCCCTTTTTAGCATGTGATATCAGGTCTGAGCCTTCAACTGAGAGGTCTGACTGGTAGTCTTCAGTATGCCCTGTCTTGGAGGCATACAGCTGCATGTACATCAGACTGTACTTCCAAAGATAAATCTTCAAAATACAGCACACCTCATGCACAAATAGGAATTATGTCTTTGATTATATGTTAAAACATTTTAAGTCCAGAAGTCCAGCTTAGACTAAATACCATGCTCTGACCTTCTTGAACATTTTGCACTGTGATTTAAAGAGTGTTCTCTGGAGTTAGAGAAATTGACTTTGTGAGTTGGTATTCCTACTTACAAGGTCTCTATTTTCTCATTTGTAATACATGGCTATTAATGATATCTATAGCGTAAGGTTATTTTGTGGAGCCTGTAAAGTGCCTTTCACAGTGCTTGGTACCTGGTAAGCACTCAGTAAACCTGTGAACCTTATTACAATTAAAACAATTATTATTACACTACAAGAAGGTCTTAAGTAATCTCTATCATCTGTTCACTCTAAGGAAGGGGTCTGGTCTGCTAAAATACTGGTAAAGTTTCCATTTCATGGAAGATCAAGTAAATGTAAATTGCCATGTTTTGTGCATCTCAGATACAGGGAAAAAAGCCAGATGTGGCCATAAATTTCACTGGGGCTTTATTTCTTAAAAGTATAATGATATGTGAAAGCTAAGTCAAATAAAGAGCTTTATGAAATCAGCACTATTTTAATATCACGTTAGCAATTACATGGGATTATCCTAGCGTGATTTCCAAATGACTTTTTCTATCACCCAAACCAAAGCATTTTGTACAAACACAGACATACACTTGCATGTGAACATGTAACATCCAGTTATTGATTGAGGAACAAAGCCTCCCCAAAGGAGTTTTAAAAACTGCTATGTCCCAGCATGCCGCTTTCTATTTTACATCAATTTTTGAGTCAGCAGAAATGTGTGTAGAATCATATAAAGCCTGAATACTCCCCTGCTAGTCCATGAAGTCAGAGCCCACACATGGGGGTTATCCTATCCTAGGTCTGGAATATATCATTACCACAAAATTCATTGCCTAAGCAATCATCAGGGCTGATGGTAATATAATAGTTGGGGCATGAAACCACAGTAAATTGTCAGGATTGTCTAGCGTATGGTGCATCAGACACAGAGGTATTGCCTTCTGATATCTGGAGAAGCAATAGCATGCTGTAGGCTGGGCAGCAGGCCACTAATTTGGGGCTAAAAATTTGAATTGTTCTTTTGTCACTGACCTGTGGTTTAATCTGCAACTAGTCAAGTGGTTTCTTTGTATGTAGATGAACATACACTTAGAGGCCTATCAATATGGTTGCAAACAGTCTTTAGAATAGATATTAAGGCAAACTAGGAAGGCCTATTCCAAAGTCTTCTGATTATAAGGATCAAATTAACAAATCATGCCATTAGAGGGAAAATGTGATCCAGTCTCACCTTGCTTACCAAAATGTTGTGGGAGAATAATGATAAACTAGCTACTCAACTTTTTTATACCATAGAGTGGCATTCCTGCAGGTTCATCTGGTTGGTATAGATCCTATGGCCTCTTTCAGTGGCACTCAGGCTGCTCAGGGCAATGGGAATAACAGGGATCAGTGTAATGCAATAGTAAAGAACTTGGACTTTGGAGACAGATGGTCAAGGGGTTGGATCCCAACTCTGCCATTTACCATGGTATGACCTTACCCAAGTCAGTTCACCTTTTTCAAACTGTCTGTTCATCTTTAAAAATGGGGAAAAGTAATGGGCTCTTCCTCATAATATGGTTATGTGGATCATATAAAATCTCTGGCATATTGTATACTTCATAGTCAGCTGTCGAGAAATGTACAGTGATGTTATTGTTATGCATTCAAAATGGGGATTGGTAGTTACCATTTTAGACTATGGAACTGTAGCCCACACCTCATACATATTAATCTCCAGGGGATTCTGAGGATTACTTGCCAGGAAGGGTCCAGGAGCCCAGGAAGGCATAATGAGACTTGGAGAATATTGGATGGTCAGTTAATGTCAGCTTTATGAGGTATTGTGAAGAATCTCCAATCCTGAAACAGTTTAGTAATAACTATTCCTAAGGTTGCTGTGAGATTTAGATAACATAGGGTACCAACATGACAAATACACTGCTTGACCTGTAGTAGGCACTCAGCAACAACAGTTTTTCTTCTCTCTCTCTTTTTTTTTTTAAACAACTATCAAGGCAAGATGTTCACTTCTCCTTTTGTTTCTCAGGTGCACCTGCCTTGGGGTTCTGCAGCTTAGGTTTGTCTCAGGGCAGCTGGTGCCACTGTAGGACCTGGCAGTATCCGAGGAGTTTACAGCAGATGGCTGGGCCTAAGGTGTACTTCACCTGAAGGACTTCTAGTATATTGGATTGGTTACAAGACTGCTTTGAGGAGCACAATCCTATGAGAGGGAAGCAGTGTGATATACCAGGAAGATCCTAAGGAAAACTACTCAGAAGTATTGTGTTCTAAGTACAGTAGTTCGACCACTTACTGGCCTTTTCACCTGAGGGCTTTACCGATAATCTAAATTTTGCTTTATTTTCCTTAAAATGGAGGGAATGTTCTATGTCAGAGAGTCTAGTACAAAAAAAATGTGAAAATGTGGCTTAAAGTACTTTGATGATTGGAAAGCATATAAGTAAATGGAAGATGGGAAAGAAGTTTGTTGTAAGCCACCTGGGGCCCCTTACATGTGTCAAAGCTAGATCTCCACCACGTTGCCTGAAGTGGTTGTGGACGCAGTCAAACTCAGGTTTGTTCCTCCTGCATCCTCTACTTGCACTCCTTACATGTCTAAACTTTAGAAAGCCCCTCAGTTCAAATGCCATCTTTTCCATTAAGCCTTTTGATCCCCTGTTCCCACCTCCTCAATGCTGAAATGAATTGCTAAAATCTCTAAACATTTATAATACCATATCCACATGACCACTGTCCAATAGAAATATTGTGTGAGCAACATCTGTAATTCCATGTTTTCTAGTAGCCACATGGAAAAGTTAAAAAGAAATAGGTTTAAATAATTCTAATATTTTATTCAATTATGTTCAATAAATATTTTATTTAATTGAATAATACATTTTATTTAAACTTCCTATTTATTCCAAATATTATAATTTCAATATGTAATCAATATAAAAATTAACGTTGGAAAACACTCTTCAGGATATTATCCAGGAGAACTTCTCCAACCTAGCAAGACTGGCCAACATTCAAATTCAGGAAATACAGAGAACACCACAAAGATACTCCTCGAGAAAAGCAACCCCAAGACACATAATCATCAGATTCACCAAGGGTGAAATGAAGGAAAAAATGTTAAGGGCAGACAGAGAGAAAGGTCTGGTTACCCACAAAGGGAAGCCCATCAGACCAACAGCAGATCTCTCTGCAGAAACCTTACAAGCCAGAAGAGAGTGGGGGCCAATATTTAACATTCTTAAAGAAAAGAATTTTCAACCCAGAATTTCATATCCAGCCAAACTAAGCTTCAAAAGTGAAGGAGAGATAAAAATCCTATACAGACAAGCAAATGCTGAGAGATTTTGTCACCACCAGGCCTGCCTTACAAGAGCTCCTGAAGAAAACACTAAATATGGAAAGGAACAACAGGTACCAGCCACTGCATAAACATGCCAAATTGTAAAGACCATCGACACTATGAAGAAACTGCATCAACTAACGGGCAAAATAACTAGCTAGCATCATAATGACAGGATAAAATTCACACATAACAATATTAACCTTAAATGTAAATGGGCTAAATGCTCCAATTAAAAGACACAGACTGGCAAATTGGATAAAGAGCCAAGATCCATTAGTGTGCTGTATTCAGGAGACACATCTCATATGCAAAGACACACATAGGCTCAAAATAAAGGGATGGAGGAATATTTACCAAACAAATGGAAAGCAAAGGAAAGCAGGGGTTGCAATCCTAATCTCTGATAGAACAGACTTTGAATCAACAAAGATCAGATGAGACAAAGAAGGGCATTACATAATGGTAAACGGATCAATGCAACAAGAAGAGCTAACTATCCTAAATATATATGCAACCAATACAGGAGCATCCAGATTCATAAAGCAAGTTCTTAGAGACCTACAAAGAGACTTAGACTTCCAAACAATAATAGTGGGAGACTTTAACACCCCACTGTCAATACCAGATCAACGAGACAGAATATTAACAAGGATATTCAGGATTTGAACTCAGCTCTGAACCAAGCAGACCTAATAGACATCTACAAAACTCTCCACCCCAAATCAACAGAATATACATTTTTCTCAGCACCACATCACACTTATTCTAAAATTAACCACATAATTGGAAGTAAAACACTCCTCAGCAAATGCAAAAGAACAGAAATCATAACAAACAGTCTCTCAGACCACAGTGCAATCAAATTAGAACTCAAGATTAAGAAACTCACCCAAAACCACATAACTACATGGAAACTGAACAACCTGCTCCTGAATGACTACTGGGTAAATAATAAAATTAAGGCATAAATAAATGTTATTTGAAACCAATGACAACAAAGACTCAACATACCAGAATCTCTGGGACACAGCTAAAGCAGTGTTTAGAGGGAAATTTATAGCACTAAATGCCCACAGGAGAAAGCAGGAAAGATCTAAAATTGACACCCTAACGTCACAATTAAAAGAACTAGAGAAGCAAGAGCAAACCAATTCAAAAGCTAGCAGAAGACAAGAAATAACTAAGATCAGAAATTACTACGATCAGAAATAACTAAGACAAGAAATAACTAATTGAAGGAGATAGAGACACGAAAAACCATTCAAAAATCAATGAATCCAGGAGCTGGTTTTTTGAAAAGATTAACAAAATAGATAGATGACTAGCTAGACTAATAAAGAAGAAAAGAGAGAAGAATCAAATAGACACAATAAAAAATGATAAAGGGGATATCACCACTGATTCCACAGAAATACAGACTACCATCAGAGAATACTATAAACACTCTATGCAAATAAACTAGGAAATCTAGAAGAAATGCATAAATCCCTGGACACATACACCCTCCCAAAACTAAACCAGGAGGAAGTTGAATCCCTGAATAGACCAATAACAGGCTCTGAAATTGAGGCAATAATTAATAGCCTACTAACCAAAAAAAAAAGCCCAGGACCAGGTGGATTCACAGCTGAATTCTTCCAGAGGTACAAAGAGGAGCTGGTACCATTCCTTCTGAAACTATTCCAAACAATAGAAAAGGAGGGACTCCTCCCTAGCTCATTTTATGAGGCCAGCATAATCCTGATACCAAAACTTAGCAGAGACACAACAAAAAAAGAAAATTTCAGGCCAATATCCCTGATGAACATTGATGCGAAAATCCTCAATAAAATACTGGCAAACCAAATCCAGCAGCACATCAAGAAGCTCATCTACCACGATCAAGTTGGCTTTATCCCTGGGATGCAAGGCTTGTTCAACATATGCAAATCAATAAACATAATCCATCACATAAACAGAATCAATGACAAAAACCACATGATTATCTCAATAGATGCAGAAAAGGCCTTCGATAAAATTCAGCACTGCTTCCTGCTAAAAATTCTCAATAAACTAGGTATTGATGGTACATATCTCAAAATAATAAGAGCTATTTATGACAAACCCACAGCCAGTATCATACTGAATGGGCAAAAGCTGGAAGCATTCTCTTTGAAAACCAGCACAAGACAAGGATGACCTCTCTCATCACTCCTATTCAACATAGTATTAGAAGTTCTGGCCAGGGCAATCAGGCAAGAGAAAGAAAGAAAGGCTTTTCAAATAGGAAGAGAGGAATTCAAATTGTCTCTGTTTGCAGATGACGTGATTGTCTATTTAGAAAACCCCATTATCTCAGTCCAAAATCTCCTTAAGCTGATAAGCAACTTCAGCAAAGACTCAGGATACAAAATCAATGGGCAAAAATCACAAGCATTCCTATACACCAATAATAGACAAACAGAGAGCTAAATCATGAGTGAACTCCCATTCACAATTATTACAAAGAGAATAAAATACCTAGGAATACAACTTATAAAGGATGTGGAAGACCTCTTCAAGGAGAACTACAAACCACTGCTCAAGGAAAAAAGAGAGGACACAAATAAATGGAAAAACATTTCATGTTCATGGATAGGAAGAATCAATATCGTGAAAATGGCCATACTGCCCGAAGTAACCATCAAGCTACCATTGACTTTCTTCACAGAATTAGAAAAAACTACTTTAAATTCCATATGGAACCAATAAAGAGCCCAAATAGCCAAGACAATCCTAAGCAAAAGGAACAAAGCTGGAGGCATCACATAGTATGACTTCAAACTATACTACAAGGCTACAGTAACCAAAACAGCATGATACTGGTACCAAAACAGAGATATAGATTAATGGAACAGAACAGAGGCCTCTGAAATAAGGCCACACACCTACAACCATCTGATCTTTGACAAACCTGACAAAAACAAGCAATGGAGAAAGGATTCAGTATTTAATAAACGGTGTTGGGAAAACTGGCTAGCCATATGCAGAAAACGGAAACTGGACCCCTTCCTTACACCTCATACAAAAATTAACTCAAGATGGATTAAACGTTAAGTACAAAAACCATAAAAACCCTAGAAGAAAACCTAGGCAATACCATTCAGGACATAGGCATGGGCAAAGACTTCATGACTAAAACACCACAAGCAATGGCAACAAAAGCCAAAATAGACAAATGGGATCTAAGTAAACTAAAGAGCTCCTGCACAGCAAAAGAAGCTATCATCAGAGTGAACAGGCAACCTACAGAAAGGGAGAAAATGTTTGCAATCTATTCATCTGACAAAGGGATAATATCCAGAAAGAACTTAAACAAATTTACAAGAAAAAAATAAACAACCCCATCAAAAAGTAGGCAAAGGATATGAATAGACACTTCTCAAAGGAAGGCCAACAAACGTGAAAAAAAAAAGCTCATCATCACAGGTCATTAGAGAAATGCAAATCAAAACCACAATGAGACACCATTTCACACCAGTTAGAATGGTGATCATTAAAAAGTCAGGAAACAACAGATGCTGGAGATGATGTGGAGAAATAGGAATGCTTTTACACTGTTAGTGGTGGTGTACATTAGTTCAACCATTGTGGAAGAAGGTGTGGCAATTCATCAAGGATCTAGAACCAGAAATACCATTTGATCCAGCAATCCCATTACTGGGTATATACCCAAAGGATTATAAATCATTCTACTATAAAGACACATGCACATGTATGTTTATTGCAGCACTATTCACAATACCAAAGACTTGGAACCAACCCAAATGTCCAGCAATGATAGACTGGATAAAGGAATTGTGGCACCTATACAGCATGGAATACTATGCAGCCATAAAAAAGGATGAGTTCGTGTCCTTTGCTGGGACATGGATGAAGCTGGAAACCATCATTCTCTGCAAATTAACACAGGAACAGAAAAACAAACACCACATGTTCTCACTCAAGTGGGAGTTGAACAATGAGAACACATGGACAGAGTGAGGGGAACATCACACACTCAGGCCTGTTGGGGGGGTGGGGGCTAGGGGAGGGATAGCATTAGGAGAAATACTAATGTTGATGACGGGTTGATGGGTGCAGCAAACCACCATGGCACATGTATACCCATATAACAAACCTGCATGTTCTGCACATGTTTCCCGGAACTTAAAGTATAATAACAAAAAAATTAATGAGATATTTTACATCTTTTTTTCTATTGAGTCTTCAATACCTAGGGCATACTTTACACTTACTCTACATCTCAATTTGGATACACTACATTTCAAGTGTTCAATGGCCACATGTGGCTGGTAGCTACTATATTGGCCAACACCGGTTTATGCCTTTCCATGTGTGTGTCTTGTATTTGTATAAGTGTTACGGATATGTTATTATTAGACTGTCAACTTTGAGGACGGGATCCCTGTATGATTTGTCTTTTTCCCTTCCACAGCATTTTGCATATAATAGGCACTCACTCAGTGGGTTGAATGAATCAATATATTAACAAAGAAACAAATAAATGAATGAAGAGAAGAATGAAAACTCATAAAGAGCCAGTTTCCTTTATTCATCTGAAAATTTGGTAAGTTGGCACTGTCCGAAATGTTACTTTATTATAGTCACATGATCTATTAGTATTCTACTACTTGATTCAACCAATATTTACTGAGTACTTAATATAAATAAGGGATTGTGCTAAGTACTACAGTTATATCATATTGAATAAAGACACAATTATTGCTCTAAATGACCTTAGTTTTAGTGGTTCCTAAGTTAGAGATGAATTGCAATTTTCTGTGTACCAGTTTTAAAAAGAAAAAAATAGCTCATCATGCTGTTCAGTAATCTAGGGTCTTAACACAACTAAAGAGTTAAATGTATTTATTTAAAAATTTATCATTTTAGCTATGCCAAACAACTTTCATAAAATATGTGAGTTTTTTCCCATATTCCATCATTTTAGAGGTGAACAAAATGAGGGAGTATTTTAAATTCACATTACTAACTTGCAATAAGTTATCCCTAAGGGACTTAAGAACTTAGTATTATTTTGTGCTTCATGGAAAAAAATTGACACTGAGTGCTATAAATATATCAAGGACCAATCCAATTCAATGGCTTGGGCACATAAATTCCTCAGGGGAGTTTCAAAATCCATGTTCTGGCCCTGAATACTTAATTATGTCTTTGGACTTTTAGTCAGTAGAAAATATTTACTTGTCTGAGGCCTTTCCTGAATGGGAATTCTTTGAGGGCCAAGAGTGTCTATCTATCTATCTATCTATCTATCTATCTATCTATCTATCTATCATAGTCTCTCTACCTACCTATCTGTCTGTCTTAGTCTATTTTGTGTTGCTATAACAGAATACCTGAGACTGTGTAATTTATAAAACCAGAGACTTATTTCTTACAACTTTGGAGACTGGGAAGTAGAAGATGGAGGGGCCCACGTCTGATGAGGAACTTCTTCCTGTGTCATCTCATAGCAGAAGGCAGGAGGGCAAGAGATTATGTGTGCAGGAGAAAGAGAGGGGGTGGAAGAGAGAAAACGGGGGCTGAATACATCATCATCCTTTTATCAGGAATTCACTCGTGAGGGCAGAGCCCTCATAATCTAATTACCTCTTGAAGGTCCCACGTCTCAACATGGTTGTGCTGGGGATGAAGTTTACAACACATGAATTTTGCAGACACATTCCAACCCTAACACTATTAATCTACCTATCTATTTACCTACCTACCTATCATCTGTCCAATTGTGCACCTAGCACAATTTCTGGCACATATTGGGGCGTAAATAAATATGTTAAGAGAATAATGCAAAGTAAAATCCATGATGATTTTCATTTGTGATTCATTACATGAATCCTCTAAGTAATTTGCATTTGCCAGATGAGGAGAAAATGTGAATGACTAAGGTTGCACACTCTATTATACTCTTTTTCACTGACTAACTATATCCACAAATTTGTGGTGTACTTTCCTATAATGGTTTTATTTCCTCACACCTTTTCTGCTTCATCTGACTCACATTGTTACAACCCTTACATATTAATCATTTTGAAACCACAGTACTCTGAATCATTGATGGGTTACAATGAAATACATCCACTAGGAAGTGAGAGCACTTCTAGGAAACATCTTGGTGCCACGTGCCTATTTTGATAAGGTTCCAGGCTATCAATCTGGGCCCACCTAGAGCAAAGTACTAGAATTGATCTTCAGTATTCCTATAGGTTAACTGAGAAGTGCAAGGACATTTATTAATACTGTCAGAGTTTCCTGAGGCTATTACATGACTGGGGATGTACTGCATTTTAACCTTATTTCAACCACTTAGGATTTTTATAATCAAAGGTTATAGTATATGATTGAGGAATGAGTTTTTACACAGCAACTCTACAGTGGACATCAAACTTTTCCTTTTCCTGCTCAAGGTCCATTTGCATGTCATTAGAAGCTGAATTTCTGTGGTTTGTTTCTAGACATAAAAATTGGTTGTCAAAGCCTCTTGGGCTTAGAAGCCTTTAATCTTCCTATCTAACCATCTTAACATGGGTTATGTTTGTTTTGATAAACATACTAGTAAAAGATTTTAAGCAGTTTGGGCTCTGTGAGAGACAAATATGCTGGC
This sequence comes from Homo sapiens, assembly GCF_000001405.40. NCBI lineage: Eukaryota > Metazoa > Chordata > Mammalia > Primates > Hominidae > Homo > Homo sapiens. The sequence continues at coordinate 53,302,720 of NC_000005.10, read as the reverse complement.
TGAATAACTGAATGGATTACTGGAAGGCTCTAGAGTGGATGTTTTACTGGTTGTGAAATCAAAGGCTGTTATAATCTCGGTTGATATTTAAGTGTTACAATATGCTGCCTACAGACTAGGAAGGTTACATGTCAATCTAAAATTCTAAGTACTTGATATCTTTATGTATTATCACTCACCATTAGTATCTCAGTACTTTCATTTTTTCCAGTTAAAGATAATTTGTTTTTAATGTTAATTTTTCTCTTAAAAAGTATGTAATAACTGAGCCAATTCTTTGGAAACATTTACAATTTCTCCTGGGATTATAAAGCTCTCCAGGATTTCAACTTCCTCTCGAGCCAATTTGGTAAAATAAAATATGATGCCAGAGTACTGGACATTGGGACTCATGGCTTATAATCAAAACAACATTATCGTTTTGATATACTCCCAGCAAAACCCCTTTCTGTAGGTCTAGTTCTTCTCTGCCCTTGGCCCCATATTTTCCCCCACTGACTCCTAGAAATCATGTCCCTTTCAGTTATAAGAAGAGTTTTATTTTAGAATTAATATGTCATGCCTACTGTAACAATTAAAAAGCAAACAAAAGCTGGGTCTTTACCTAATTTAGGGCTGCTACAGGCCAACCTACAGGGTGAAGGGCATGTTGCTGGCTTCTCTAGTTCCCCTGCCTTGTTCTTCTCTTCCTCTGCTATCATTTCCCCAGGTGGTGTTGGACTCCTGCAAGGTATAAGAAAGATGAGGGAAGGAGAGGCATACTTACAAGATGCAGCCATCATCTGGCACTCATTTCCTGGAGTTGAGGCCATTGTTTAAATCAAACTCTATCCTGGGAGTGCCGTGTGGACCTTCCAGAGATCCTGCAGGGCCTTTTGGAGCACCTCTCTGGACTAAAGCAGTTGGTCACACAATCTCCCTATGCATGGATATCTCAAATCTGTTTCTGCCAAGGTGTCCAGCCCAGAGAGGCATGCTCTTGGGTGTTGTTATGGGTTGTACTGTGTCCCCTAAAGAGAGATGTTGAAGTCCTAACTTTTGGTAATTGTGAATGTGACCTTTTTTTGGAAATAGGTTATTTGCAAATGTAATTCACTTAAGACGAGTTCATCAGGGTGGACCCTAATCCAATATGACTGGTGTCCTTATAATAAGAGAAGACAGAAATACACAGGGAGCGTGCCGTGTGACAACAGAGGCAGACACTGAACTGATGTTATTGCAAGCTGAGGAACATAAAGGATTGCCGGCAACACCAGAAGCTAGGATGACTCAAGGAATGACCCTCCTCTAGAACCTTCAGAGAAAGCACGGCCCTACTGACAACTTAACTTTGGACTTCCAATCTCTAGAACTGTAAGATAATAAATACCTGTTGTTTTAAGCCACCAAAGTTTGTGGCACATTTTCTTGTTATAGCAGCCCTAGGAAACAGAGCTATCCATATTTGTATAGATTGTATGATACAGTTGCACAGCTTCCAGTGACCGCCATTATAGAAGCTAGGAAGAGTCAAGGAAGAGAGTTCTGTCAGAGACTCAGAGGGAGCTGAGTAGCCAGACCAGGCTGACATCTTGATTTCAAAGTTTTAGCCTCCAGAAAGAACACATTTTTTTTTGTTTGAAGCACCCAGTTTGTCGTACTTTGTAATAGCAGGTCTGGGAGACTACCATGGATGGTATCCCTTCCAATGACTCCATCATGATATTATCACTGAGCATTTCCCATACGGTGTCCAGGAATTATGTGCATACAACCCACCACAAGTGAGAAAGTAGTCATTTCCCAGCTTTGCCACTGGGCTCTGTTTTCAAGGATGAGTCAGGTAGCAGCCCACTGTGTGTCCCAGACTGCAGGGGACACATTTTCCCTCACTGGGGCAGGAGGAGGAACTGACATTGAGCCAACACCCTTTTATTTCTAACAGCTTCAACCCTTTCATAGCTTCTCGTTGGCATTAGGCTGTATGGATAAGAGGCCTCTATTGCAGGATCTGCACAAGTCATTCAGTGCCTCACTTTGGAGATTGGAAATACTGCACCTGTTCTTTTAGTTTCTGACTTTTGGAGCTTTTGAGAAAACTGAAACAGAAATTGTCCCATTTCGATATTCTGATTTAAACCTAAATTAATTTCTGCCAGATTTTCAGGTTTATTGATATTAAGTTGCACAGAGTGTTTTTTAAAGTTTAAAAAATCTTCTTTGGATATATTTGGTTTTTTTCTCTCACATGTTTTCTTAATCAAACTTGCTGACCTTTGTTTTGTATTCTGTACTAGTCTCTAAAAAAAGAATCATCTTTCTATTTTACTGATAATTCTACCAATATATTTGTTATCAATTTTACTATTTTTCCTTTTAATATTTATTACTTTCTATCATCTCTCTGGTTTATTTCATTGCTTAGCTTCTAGAGTTGAATACTTCTTTGGTTTTTATGCAAAATTTTTTTCTAATAAATGCATTTTTTTTCCCTTGGGTATCAGCTTGGCCATGTAGGAGACATGCCCAGCCAGCGTTCATCTGCCTGCCTCACCTTTTCCTCTTTTCTACTTGCTGTATGGAACTTACATCTGGTTAGGAATCGGTCCCACTACATTAGATACATAGGGCTGTCATGCCAGTTTTCTATATGGTATTTTTAAAAATTCTGCCTTGTTTCTTCTTTGATCCAAAATTTATTTAGAAGACCTTAGTCTTCTAAATATCTGCTGATGCTTTGGAATGGTTGCTGGCCTTTTGTTGTTAGCTTTTGGGTTACTGACCCTTTGATGTTAAATTTGAATTTTCATTGGATTTTAATTTACTGGATTTTAATAAAATTTTATTATATTTCAATAAGTTAAAAGGGTCTGCATGAGTTGTGCTTTGAAAATTTGTCACCATTTAAAAAAATTTCCCAATATATTGTAAATTTGTGAATGTTCCATCTGTTTGAAAATAACATGTATTCTGTTCCTTGGATACAAAGTTCTACCACAATTTATAGATCAAGCAATTGAATTATGCATCCTAAATTCTCAATATCTTTAATTTGTTAATTAATATTTAAAGATACACTTGTTGAAGTTTCTCATTGTGATTATGAAATTGTTTATTTTTCTTTTAATAAGATTTTTATTTCAAAATTAAGTTGTTAGGAGCACAAATATTCATGATAATAGTAAAGTTTTAATGGAGTTAACATTTTATTAATATGAAATATCCATCTTTGTCCCCTTTCAGTAGTTTTTATCCTGAATTCTACTTTATCTCATTTTAATGTCCCTATATATGCTCTCCTTTTGTTAGCCTTTGCTTTCAATACCTTTTTGCCTTCTTTTATTTTTAACCTCCCTATGTTGTGTCATTGTATTTGGATTTCTGAAAAATAACAAATGGCTGTAACATTTCTCCAGTAGGAGAATCTTTGTCTTTTAATATATACATTTAACCCAGGAAAATGTATCATGATTACTGATAAAATTGACTATGTTCTCAGAACCATAGTTCGTAGTTTATCTTTTATATGCTTTCTTGCCGTCTCTTTTCCTTAACTGCTTATGTGATTAAGTTATTTGTTCCTTTTTTTCCTCCAAATGATTTGGGAGTAAGGCATCCTAATTCTCAGTGGTTAACCTCAAGTCTTTAATAAGTATGCTTAAATATATACAGAAAATCAAATCAAAACCACAATGAGATACCTACCATCTCGCATCAGTTAGAGTGACTATTACTAAAAAGTCAAAAAATAACAGATGCTGGTGAGGTTGCAGAGAAAAAGCAACCCTTATACACGGTTAGTGGGAGTGTGAATCAGTTTAACCATTGTGGAAGACAGTGGGGCGATTCTTCAAAGACCTAAAAACAGAAATACCATTTGACTCAGCAATCCCATTACTGGGTATATATATACCCAAAGAAATATAAATCTTCTATCATAAAGACACATGCATGAGTATGTTCATTGCAGCACTATTCACAACAGTAAAGACATGGAATCTACCTAAATGCCCACAATGGTAGACTGGATAAAGAAAATGTGGTACATATATACCATGGAATACTAGGCAGCCATTAAAAAAGACTGAGATCATGTCATTTGTAGGAACATAGATGGATCTGGAGGCCACTATCCTTAGCAAACTAACACAGGAACAGAAAACCAAATACCACATGTTCTCACTTATAAGTGGGAGCTAAACAATGAGAACACATGGACATATAGAGCAGAAAAACAGACACTGGGACCTATTGGAGGGTGGAGGTTGAGAGGTGGGAGAGGATCAGGAAAAATAACTAGTGGGTACTAGGCTTAATACCTCAGTAATAAAATAATCTGTTCAACAAACCCTCATGACATGAGTTTACCTATGTAACAAACCTGCGCATGTACCCCTGAACTTAAAATAAAAGTTAAAAAAATGTCAAAAGCTAGAGTCAATCAGCATGTATATTTCTCCTCCTGGGATGACAAGAACATCACCTTTCTTTCTGATATCCCTCCCTGTTCTTCCTTGCCACATGCCCCTCTGCAGCCTCCTAGCTCCCAATCAGCTTCATCTCATTTTTCTCTCTCCCTGCAGTGGAGTAGGTGGGTTGGCAGCAGAAGTAATTTCAGGTTCCTCAATTCTTCTGCATTGCTGGTGAGGGTCTTAAGTGCTGAAAGTCATTCATACTGAAAATAGATAATTCTCTTGTCAATACTGACAAACTCTTACAACATACTTTTGATGAATTATTTACTCTAACACAATCTTTGTCTCTTTTCTTCATTTAACCAAAGACTCAGTTCCATGACCCGAAGAAGACGGATGTAGAGAGCAAAGAAAGAGGAGTGGAAAAACTCTCCTATATTGAAATAGCACAACCTTTCAATATTTAGTCATTACTAGATAAACAATAAAAAAAAAAGACAAATCACATAGGCAAAAGAATTTTTGTAGTACCAAAATATATAAAACCTGAATATCAAGGCTGCTTCCGAAAACATTAAGAAACAGAACACGACATGAAACATGTTACTGAAAAATGCAAATGACTGATATACACATAAAAAGATGATGAACATCAGTAATAAGTAATGAAAAATAAATGTAAGCCACAGTGAAATGCCATTTTAAAAACTGTGCTTGTCAGATTGGCAAAAAAATTAAAAAGTGAGTGAAAGTACCAAATATTGATGAGGATGTAGGAAAACTATAATTTTGCTTTTTGTTGAAAGGACTGTAGACTGTTACAGTCTTGTAGATAGATTGGTACAAACTTTAAAAAATATTTTGGTTATGTCTATTAATTTATTATTTCTATTAATATAAAATATAAATTACCTAAAGAACCAGGATCACACTGCTAAGAATTGATCTTATAGATATAATATATTGAATATTTAAAGACATTCCTTCTTTCTTTAAACAAACGTTTTTGACTGCTGACTAAATGTCAGTCATATTCTATGCACATGAGAAACATCAGTGAACAAAACAAAAATCCTGGCTGGGCGCAGTGGCTCACGCCTGTAATCCTAGCACTTTGAGAGGCCAAGGTCGGCAGATCACCTGAGGTCAGGAGTTTGAGACCAGCCTGGCCAACATGGCGAAACCTCATCTCTACTAAAAATACAAACATTAGCCAGGTGTGTTGGTGCGTGCCTGTAATTCCAGCTACCCGGGAGGCTTAAGCAGGAGAATTGCTGGAACCCAGGAAGTGGAGGCTTCAGTGAGCCAAGATGGCACCTCTGTACTCCAGCCTGGGCGACAGAGTGAGACTCTGTCTCAAACAACAACAACAACAACGAAAAACAAAGATCTTTGCTCCTGTGGAACATACATTCTTGTGAGGGAAATACCAATAAATGTAAGCAATTATTCTTTAGTCTCAATTTTCATCTCTAGGATGTGATATTTGTTGGAATGGAAGGCATAGTCAATGCCAAAGATGTCAATACTGGTAATTCTTTTAAATGTAAATAAAATATTTTATAAGACTGCAGAAATATTTCAGATAACTTGACTAAAGCTAACAGATAAAAATCTTATGTGACTTATTTTAGATTCAGTGTGTCTTTTTAACATGGTAGTTAAAACTTGTATAACAAATCTTATCATAAATTACTTATTCCAATTAGACAATTGTCATTTCATTTTATAAAATGATGAATTTCATTTAATATTTAACATTAACTAACATTTATTTAATACGCTAACATTAAACAATATTCATTTTATATTCTCAATCTCATTTTTTAATATTTTCAATTTTTTATTAAGAAAAAATGTACATGTCATGTACTAATCTTAACAGTTTTTAACTGTATATACCTTTATCCTTTACTACCACATGGAAAAGTTTTGATCATGATATACAATTAAATTACTAAAATTATTTTTGATTTTTATGAATGGTTCTCATTTAATTATTCCTTGAAGGCAAACACTGAAGTTTGATACATAAACACACACAATTATACTTCCCAATTAATGAATAACTTATAATTTAGTTACACAAAACATTGCATTTGTTACAAATTAAGTAATGAGATTAATCTTTTTTAAAACCTATTATAAATGGCTGAATTTCTTACACTGGATTATACGATAATAAGTTTGACTTGATTGCGTTTTGTAATCTACCTTTAATATATTTCCTATATATTTATTTGTCCATGGTTTCATAGTCTATAAAACTCATATTAACATGTTTATTTTTACTTAAAGTTAGCTTCTTTTCTGCAAGAAAATAAGTCTGACTTAGCTGAAGCACTTGACAACCATTATTGGGTTTGCCAATAAAGTTGTATGATGGAGACTTTCTATATAAGTTACGTGATAAAAATGATAAATCAACAGGTCTAAAGATATGACAAAATGTATTCAAAATACATAACATAAGAAGAGTCTATTTAAAAAATTATACTGGAGATCAGGCATGGTGACTCACACCTGTAAAATACCGGCACGTTGGGAGGCCAAAGTAGAAGAATAGCTTGAGCGCAGGAGTTCAAGACCAGCTTGGGCAACATGGTGAAGCTCCATCTCTACAAACAAAAACAACAAAAATTAGCCAAGTGTGGTGGTACATGCCTGTGGTCCTAGCTACTGGGGATGCTGAGGTGAAAGTATCACTTGAGCTTTGGAGGTTTGAAGCTGCACTCCAACCTGGGCAACAGAGTGAGACCCTGTCTCAAATAAGTAAAGAAATAAATAAAATAAAAATTATATTGGAAAAAGATTATACAAGTCATGATAATTTAAGTTTTCTATTCTCTCTTAATGTATCATGCTATACAAAAAGCCTCTAGCTGAAAGGATAACAGATTTAATTATCAATAATTTGATAAGTGTTGGTTATGAGAAAATGAATGACTCAAATGAACTGGTAATAGATTTTGCAATCAGATGTTTTCAATTATTTGCATTTAACAACATTTCAGGAGTTCTTAAACAAGTTGTCAGCTCATAGATCAAAATAATTTTTGGTAAAAATCACTATTTGGCACTGCTAGTAATAGAAAATTCTCACTTTTCTTTTCTTAGAAAGATATTAAGTAGCAAATAAAACCACAAGTTAAGAGCGACGTCTCAGAAGAAAGAAAAACGGTTTGTATATTATCTTTAACAGCACTTCTTCCTGGTTTTGGCCAAAGGGTCCCACATATTATTTTGCTCTGGACTTTGCAAATTGTGTTGCTAATCCTGTTCCTACCTCTATTTGGCAAAAGGATCAACAAACAAGCACACTGCCACCCTTTCTGGGAATAGGGGAGATGGGAAGTTGGATGTGAACTAGGAGAGTGGCCACAGTTGCCTGGTTGTCCAACTGTTTTGCCAGTGACTGGGTGGTAAGTTCAGTACTGGGATGGGGAAGTAGACTTTTGATTCCATGCCATGTTCTCCAATCTAGCTGTACCAACAATAAAGTGACAATTTGATCACTATCTGACTCTAGTGTTGCCTCCTGAAGTGGAAATAGACTAAAATTTCAGCAGAGAATTTTGCCTTCTCTCTCTTAGACTATAGACCTCAAAGTCTGAGGGTGTGTTTGTTGTAAAAGTAAGTAAATAAATTATTAGGAAACAATAGAATAATAATCCCAATATTTTGAAAAACTTTTATACTTGCCATTACTAGACTCAGAGGGCAGGTTTTAGTAGGAAGATAAGAACTTCCTTGCTGGCTTAGGGATGCTGGAGCCACATAGTGTAGTGGTGAAAAGGGAATATGAGTTTATGGATTCGCCAGAACTAAACTCAATCCAAGTTTCTGCTATTTCCCCAACATATAACTCAATGCTGCTTTTCTCATGCACATGTAGCTCATAGGCATTTTGTGAGGATGAAAAGAAGCAAGGCTTGGGGTTGCTTAGCACAGTGTATGTTAGAAAAGTCCTCAATAAATAAATGTTAATTTGTCATCATTGTTAAGGGTTGGAAGTAATCTTCACTTAGGAGGGGATGATTCCTGGGTTATTCTCCATTCCTTTTTCATTCTCCCTCCCCAGTCTTCTCATTCCCTATGCCCTTGCTCTGCCTCATCCCCTGAGGGGATCACTCATCATGAACGCAGACCCATGGATCATGATTGGATGGGAGAATGTGGAAATATATACAGAACAACACATTCAGGTAAGATGAACAAAAGCCATGACTCGTAGACATCCTTCCAATTGTACTGAATGATTATCAGTACCCTAGTGTACCACCCCATGGTCACCCCAGTAACCATGTAATGGTACATAGTCCTTCTCCCAACAATCTTTCCTTCCACAAACATTTATTGAGTGTCTATTGCATATTAGGTACTCTCCTTGCATTCAAAGAGGTTGTAATGTAATGGGTGAGTGAATACATCATTTTAATGGGGTATCACAATGCTAGGAGATAGTACTTGGGGAGCCTGTGCGATGTTACCTAATACAGTCAGAATGATTTCTAGATGACTTCTTAGAATAGATAAAAAGTTACCTGAATATTGAAGAAAGAATATAAGTTAACCAAGTGGGTAAAGATGTAGCTGGGTGAAAGGGCTTTCAGTGCCAAATATAAAATCCTGGGAAGGCTTTATAATTTTAGAGACTAAAAGATTGGACAACAACCACATGTTTTCTCTTGTTTTACTGAGTGGTTTTTTTTTTTCATTCATTGATTTATATATCATGATGTCCAAAAAATAAGAATTAGAGACTAGTTTGTGATCACATAAATGGTGAAAATAAGCTTAGATGAAAAAAACCTCTTTGGCTTAAAATGACTTTGTTAGGTTTTTCACATACTCAGACATGGTGAACAATTCTACACTAATATTATTGCTTCATCTCTCTTTATTAAATGATTCATTCTGTACTTTTTGTTTTTCTTGAAGAAATCTATTTTGATCAAATATGCTTATGAAGCAATGGATTTTTATCAAATGCTGCCATTACCTCATTGTAATGACTCTTCATTTGAACCCCTGGACTTTACATCCTTTTGAATGACTTCTGTTATTTATTTGTGGAAATTCCATTGGGTGGAATGCAATTTTCATTTTTACTTTCTATTCATGATTTTGATATTTGGTGATAATTCCTCCACACATACATACTGATCCCTTATTCTGTTCCAGGCACTATGTCAGAAACTGGGAATAAAACCATGAACAAGAAGAGTCTGCTCTGAAGCAACTACATCTAATCTGTGTTTTAGTTAGCATAAGGGTAGGGGTAGGGGCTGAAGCCAAAGTAGGATGGGTGGGAGGTGAGGATACAGAGAGAGAAAAGGAAGTTAAAATGCAGCCATGATATTGGGGTTTGGGGCCAATGCACACGGTGCTTTGGAATACTTAGGGTAGAAAAAAAATATCTCAGGTGAGATAGTTTACTTAAATGAAACTAAGAAATAAGGGGAAGAAGAAAACATACTATTACAAGAAGATGTAACATTTACAATCTATGGAGAGCCACTGACAAATGAAGCAGTAGAGGTATGAGTGAGTCCATTTTGGATTTTCCAGTCTCAGTCAATTTCCCAGACAACTGTAGACACGTGAGAGACCCCAGATGAAACCAACAAAACATTGAGTTGCGTTCAGCCTCAGATTGCAGAATCCTGAACAAATAGATGATTGTTATTTTAGATCACCCGTGTTTTGTTACACACTAATGGATAACACGAACACCTGGGTTAATTATAATCCAGGTGCAAGTTCCTTCCAAAACCTGGTCTGTGTACCATTCACCTGAAAAATCTCTTTCACAGGATGTGTCATTTTACTATCTCTCAGGTTTCTCATGGTGTGGAGACTTTGCCATTCTCTAGCATGCTCTCTTGCTTTCCCACCTTGCCCAGTTTCAGCAAATACTCATTGGTCTGAAATACTTTGGAATACAGGAAGAACTTTAGGGAGTATGGAAGAGCCCAATTCAAGATGCAATTTTCTTCTTGGTTTTATTTAAATGGAGTTTGTTGTTTTCCAACCAAAAATGCCACAACCAAACAGAAATGTCTCTAATTGATTAAAAGAATTGTGTTTATTGCCACAAGGAGGCATGCTTTCTCAAGATTATAAAAGACAAGACATTTTTCTTCCCCTAGAGCAATTAATTAGGTATAGAGTGGGAGAAACCCTTAGAAACATCTCTAGTTCCATCTGAGGAATAAGTGATAAGTGATGCCATAGGAAGAACCAAGCTTAACCGAGATGGAGGAGACAGTGAGCTCTTTGAAGGAACAATGTCTGTATTAGAGGAGGAACTACTGGGCTGTATCCTAAAGAGATTATTTCCTACATACGATTTAACTTCCTTAAAGGAATTGAGGTATAGGTAAGGATGGCTCATGGGGCTGTAATCTTTGTCAGGAAGATCATTTTTAAAAGTTTCCTTAATTAGGTAGCCCAAGATTATGAGTTGTCTTCAACCATATTTTGCAATAGCAAATGGCAAGTTTTGCTGACAGAGACAGTCTTAACTCTGACAAGGTAGTTCTCCAGAATCTTATTACACAATACAAGATTACAGAATCAGCTGTTATTCTGGAAATTTGCAACAGTTTGTGCTCAAGTGACCCTCCCTGAGCTTTGAGTGTTTGACAAAGGAAGTGAAAGATAAGAGGCAAAACAGAGAGTTCAGCTATTTATTTCTTTATTAACTACATGTAACCTAAACAGAATCCAAATGATGACTCCATAGCAATGAACTAGTTTTGCTTAGCAAAGATTTTATGAAATATTTGATCATATGATAATATGATTACATCATTGAAACTTTAGACAGATATGAAAAAACAGTACAGTCTTTTCACTTCTAAGTACTACTATAAGAAAGCTTTGATATCAAGTTCTATTTATATGGCTTATACAGTTTGATTTCTCTGTGAAAAAAGTTTTATTGTGTACTGGACGGTATTCAGGGTGATTTCTGACTTAAAACTGCTTTCTGATAGCATCCTCAATAACTTTGCCCCCTGCCCTTCTGATAATGTATCTACTCAGCAAACCTTTAGTCAACTCAAATGTTTGCCTTTGCTCCTCTTACAACTTGGCTGCCAGAAGCAGTGATACCATTATGCAAATGGTGCTACTGAAAATTCGTAGATAGTTTTCGGTTCAGCGCAACAAATTCTTGCACTAACTCACTAAAGGAGCTGTTCCAAATTATCAAAATTATTCTCAAGCACAAGGAACTCTGCTACCTTCTTTTCTTTTTACAAACAACTGTTTCAGGCAGAATATGTCAAGAAAACAAATCACAGGAGGTATGTTGACAGAGAAAATTGAATATAGGAGATTAATTTCAGAGGAATTGAAAAGCTGAAAAAAACAGAAGGGAAACTCAGCAATAGCCCAGTTGAGATGGGAGAGTTCCCTGCTCCCCGCCCCCCAACCCACCACTGCGCACCTTGCAGGACTTGCGACAGGGGTATGGCTCTCTGTTCTGTCTCTAGGAGCTCAAACCTCTTATGGGAGGGGGAGCACACAAATGGGCAAGGTGCAGGAGCCAGGCAAGCACTTTGGGCTCCACCTTTACTACCAGTAGTGTCTAGGGGTGGGTGTCTGCAACTCCCAAAGCCCAAGTGGGTGTGTTACAGTGGGCTCTTTCAGCTTTGCCATCTGCAGATGGCTTGAATTTATCCAGCTCAGTGGACCCTCTCTGCCTTTCTGCAAGGGCAGAGGGCCAATGGGACAACTTTCTGTATCCTGAGCTTTTATCCAACATCTTGGAAGAATTGGGTCACACACAGACTTGAAGGATGAATGCGGTGGTTTTATTCAGTGGCGGAGGTGGCTCTCAATGAGATGGATGGGGAGCTGGAACAGGGATGGAGTGGGAAAATGATCTTCCCCTGGAGTTTGGCTGTCCAGTGGCCAAACTACTCTTTGACCATCCCCAGCCTGACTCCTCTCAGCACTCAAATGCTCCTTCTCTTCTCTTTTTCTCTGCTGTGCCACTCTGCCATTCATCTGCTCGTCTCCTGTCTCCTCGTCTGCTTCTGGAACCTGGGGTTCAGGGTTTATATGGGTACAAGATAGGGGGTGTGGTGGGCCAAAAGGCAACCTTTTGGATGTGAAAACAGGAATGCCTGTCCTCATTCAGGGCCACGGGTATCCAGGCTTGAGAGTGGGGCCTTTGCCAGGTAACCACCCTCTTCTACTGAGTGTTTCCCTGTCTCCTGTCCATATCACCATCCCTTAAAGCTGAGAAAACAAAAGAGAAAAATTGGGGGTAAGAAATCAAGGGAGGCCAGGTGTGGTGGCTAATGCCTATAATCCCAGCACTTTGGGAGGCTGAGGTGGGCGGATCACTTGAGGCCAGAAGTTCAAGACCAGCCTGGCCAACATGGTGATACCCTGTCTCTACTAAAAATACAAATATTAGTTGGGTGTGGTGGCGGGCACCTGTAATCTGAGTTACTCGGGAGGCTGAGGCAGGAGAATGACTTAAACCCAGGAGGTGGAAGTTGCAGTGAGCCAAGATCATACCACTGCATTCCAGCCTGGTGACAGAGTAAGACTCTGTCTCAAAAAAAAATAAAAAAAAAAAAATCAAGGAAGGGGTTCTGTGGAGCTCAGACCTCTGAGGAGGGCGTGTGACTGGGATGTTGTCAATACCACTTAAGGGATGCAATGAGGTTGAGATAACTCATTGCCTAAAGATACTGGCAAAGAAATTTGGAAAAAATATATTTGCAGAGTCTCAGCACCAGTACTGTAGAACACAGTGTGGGAAGTAGTTTTTGGAGAGACAATAGTCAAATAACTGGTATAATTTATGCTTTTGCTCTGTGTCTTACTCTGCTGTCTTAAAAAAAAAATCCTTAAAACACAGGCTTAGGCACTGCCACATGATTGAGTAGCAGAGAGGCAGAAATTAGGAAAAAGGGGAAATCCTTTGTTGTTCCTTTTAGGTCCTCTCTTCAAGGTCCTTACCCAGATGCTCAGCGTTTCAGCTTTTGAAGGTTCACAGTTGATTTGTGCATGGGAATTGCCCTTGGCAAAAGGAAACTGCCTTACTCAAGGTTATTCTCTCTCCCATGGTGTGCCCTGCAGTCAAAGTCCAGACATTTAAAAGCCCAAAAATCTTGTCTTAATACAATGGCTCCAGAGCTTCTCAGAAGGTTGTCTGAGGTCTCAGTTAAACTGTGTGGCAGGTCAGCTCAACCCTTTGCCTTTCCTCCACTCCTGTCTTCTTCACTTCTTTGCAGGTGTATCTCACAGGAGCAGTCCCCTAGCAACCTGCATGCAACCCTCCATCTCTTGTCTTCAGAAAATGAACACAAGCCAGTGGGATCGGATGGATCCTGGAAACCCTACTCTAAAATGGAATTTTGGAGATGGATCACTCACTGGTAGGTTGACATTGTGAACAACATCAACACTGGTGGTAAGTGGAATGCAGATAATCCTTGGCATGTAAGTGAGGTGCTATTGTTAAAATTTTCACCAGGGATGAAGTAAGATGACATATAACTGGAAGAGGACACACCAGATGCTGCAATATTTTTGGCACTTGAGGTATATGAGGGAAATGGTAACTATAATAACCATGGTCTTGTTTGGCCTTCCTGAATACCATTGAATCATTGGACAGGTGGTGACAGGCATAGAGTGATTATTCATCAATTCATGACAAAAATGTACAAGCTAGATTGTTTCCTAGTGAGCATTCAAGGAAATCCTTAATCTCCTGCAGCCAGAGGACAGAGTTGAGGACCAGGCCTAGAGTTCATATAAGAGTAGTAAGACTTGAGAGAAGGTTGAAGTCTTACCTCCAGAAGATATTTTACATCAAGCTCAGGAAATTGATAGGAAAGGAGTGGGACTCTGAGACTTAGGATGGGAAAATCTGGGTAGATTCACTTCAGAATCCTGAGTTCTCAGAGTCTCCTGAAATCTTAGGTCCTATGGAAATGGTCAATGTTTCCCATTAGAAAAGAGTGATTTCAGCTGGGTGCAGTGGCTCATGCCTGTAATCCCAGCACTTTGGGAGGCCAAGGCGGGTGGATCACTGGAGGTCAGGAGTTCAAGACCAGCCTGGCCAACATGGTGAAACTCCGTCTCTACTAAATATACAAAAAACTAGCCAGCTGTGATGGCACATGCCTGTAGTCCCAGCTACTCGGGAGGCTGAGGCCAGAGAATGCCATGAACCTGGGAGGCAGAGCTTGCAGTGAACCGAGCTCACATCACTGCACTCCAGCCTGGGGTGACACAGCAAGACTCCATCTCAACAACAACAAAAAAAACAAAACAAACAAAAAAAAACACCTGAGGCATTAAGTAGATACCCTAGAAAGATCAAGCCTTAATAGATGGGCCAAATTAGCCCTGTAGTAAACACTACATTAGACACATTCTAGCAGATCTAAAAGCCAAGCCTCAAAATAATCCAGTTGATATACAAGTAATTTAGCTGCCTATTAAAATAAACTCCATCTATCTTTAAAGGAAAAAAAAAATCCAGATGCTCAACATGTCAGACACACACACACAAATGTCCAGCATCCAACCAAAAATTAGTAGATAGGCAAAGAAGCCAATACATGTGAAATTGTCAGGACAAAAATCAATAAGGCAAAATAGACCCAGAAATCTCAGAGAAAATGAAATTATCAAAGATGATAGATTTAAAAGAAAGTATGAACATCA
Organism: Homo sapiens; assembly: GCF_000001405.40. Taxonomy (NCBI): domain Eukaryota; kingdom Metazoa; phylum Chordata; class Mammalia; order Primates; family Hominidae; genus Homo; species Homo sapiens. The sequence continues at coordinate 53,287,619 of NC_000005.10, read as the reverse complement.
TGAGGAGACACAGGGAAGATAATAATAAAGATACAAAAAGAACTTTGATATGGTTTGGCTCTATGTCCCCACCCAAATTTATTTTGTAGCTCCCATAATTTCCATGTGTTGTGGGAAGGACCTGGTGAGAGATGATTGAATTAGGGGGCAAGTTTTTTCCATGTTTTTCTTGTGATAGTGAATGGGTCTCACAAGATCTGATGGTTTTAAAAATTGAAGTTGCCCTGCACAAGCTCTCTTTTTTTGCCTGCTGCAATCCACGTAAAATATGACTTTCTCCTCCTTGCCTCCCACCATGATTGTGAGGCCCCCCCCCAGCCATGTGGAACTGTAAGTTCAATAAACCTCTTTCTTGTGTAAATTGCCCAGTCTCATGTATGTCTTTATCAGCAGTGTGAAAACAGACTAATACAGTAATACAGACTAATACAGATTGTTTAGTACCAGTAGAGTGGGGTGTGGCTGAAAAGATACCTGAAAATGTGGAAGCAACTTTGGAACTGGGTAACATTGGAAGAGTTTGGAGGGCTCAGAAGACAGGAAAATGTGGGAAAGTTTGGAACTTCCTAGAGACTTGCTGAATGGCTTTCACATAAATGCTGATAGTGATATGAACAACAGGGTCCAGGCTGAGGTGGTCTCACATGGAGATGAGGAACTTGTTGGGAACTGGAGCGAAGGTCACTCTTGTTATGTTTTAGCAAAGAGACTGGTGGCATTTTGCCCCTGCCCTAGAGAGCTGTGGAACTTTGAACTTGAGAAAGATGATTTAGGGTATCTGGCGGAAGAAATTTCTAAGCAACAAAGCATTCAAAATGTGATTTGGGTGCTGTTAAAGGCATTCAGTTTTATAAGGGAAGCAGAGCATAAAAGTTCAGAAAATTTGCAACCTGACGATGCAACAGGAAAGAAAATCCTATTTTCTGAGAAGAAATTCAAGCTGGCTGCAGAAATTTGCATAAGTAACAAGGAACCGATTGTTAACCCCCAAGACAATGGGGAAAATGTCTCCAGGGCATGCTAGAAGTCTTCAAGGCAGTCCTTCCCATCACAAGCCCAGAGACCTAGCAGGAAAAAGCAGTTTCGTGGGCCAGGCCCAGAGTCCCTGTGCGTGTGCAGCCTAGGGACTTGGTGCTCTGCATCCCAGCCACTCCAGCCGTAGCTGAAAGGGTCCAACATAGAGCTTGGGCCATGGATCCACAGGGTGCGAGACTCAGGCCTTGGCAGCTTCCATGTGGTGTTGAGCCTATGAGTGCACAGAAGAACTGAGGTTTGGGAATCTCCGCCTAGATTTCAGAAGATGTATGGAAATGCCTGGATGCCCAGGCAGAAATTTGCTCTAGGGACAGAGTCCTCATGGAGAACCTCTTCTAGGGCAGTGTGGAAGGGAAATATGGGTGGGAGCTCCCACACAGTGTCCCTACTGGGGCACTGCCTAGTGGAGCTGTGAGAAGAGGGCCACCATCCTCCAGACCCCAGAGTGATAGATCCACTGACAGCTTGCACCGAGTGCCTGGAAAAGCTGCAGTCATGCAACACCAGCCCGTGAAAGCAGCCAGGAGGGAGGCTGTGCCCTGCAAAGCCACAGGGGTGGAACTGCCCAAGACCATGGGAACCTCTCTCTTGCATCAGTGTAACTCGGATGCGAGACATGGAGTCAAAGGAGATCATTTTGGAACTTTAAGATTTGACTGCCCCACTGGATTTTGGACTTGCATGGGGCCTGTAGCCCCTTTGTTTTGGCCAATTTCTCCCATTCAGAACAGCTGTATTTACCAAATTCCTGTACACCCATTGTATCTAGGAAGTAACTAACTTGCTTTTGATTTTACAGGCTCATAGGTGGAAGGGACTTGCTTTGTTTCAGGTGAGACTTTGGACTGTGGACTTCTGAGTTAATGCTGAAATCAGTTAAGACTTTGGGGGACTGTTGGGAAGGCATGATTGGTTTTGAAATGTGAGGACATGACATTTGGGAGGGGCCGGGGCAGAATGATATGGTTTGGCTCTGTGTCCCGATGATTGTGAGGCTTCCCTAGCCATGTGGAACTGTAAGTCCAATAAACCTCTTTCTTTTATAAATTGCCCAGTCTCAGGTATGTTTTTATCAGCAGTGTGAAACAGACTAACACAAACTTCAAGAACTACTAAATACAATATCTGAAATAATAATTCACTGTATGGGATTCATATTAGATCTACAGTAAATAAAGAAAGATGAGACCTCTAGAACAATGTCAAGCAATCTAACATATGTGTAATACATATATGTAATACACAAAACATATGTGTAATACAAATCCCAGAAAAAAAGAACAATATACAAGTAATCGAAGAAAAAGGCCAAAATTTTTTCACATTTGATGAATCTCAATTACACCTAAGAAGGATAAATATTTAAAGAAGCACAATGATGCATATCATAACCAAATTGCTAAAAACTTATGATAGAAAAAGAAACATCTTAAAAGAAGCCAGTGATCAAGATACTTTACTGAGAAGCAAGGTAAGAATTAGCATAAAATCCTCATCATAAATAAGAAAAAACCAAAGAAATCTTTAAAAATCTAGAATCTTAAATCTTCAAAATGAATAAATCTGATAAGTTAAAAAATATTCATTTTCTTTCAAAAATGAAAATAAAATAGGCAATTTCTCAAACAAAAGATGAGACAATGTATCACTATAATATCTTTACTAAAAGAAATACTAAAGAAAATTCTTCAAACAGTAGGAAAATAATAGCAAATAAAAATTTGGATCTACATGAAAGAAAAAATATATTTTCCCTAATTTCTAAATTTTAATAAGATAATTGACAATATCTTAAGACAAAAACAACAAATTGCAGAAGAAACATGTAGGAGAAAATATAATGAGAGTTACACAAAAGATTGGAGAAGGGACTGGAAGCATTACCTTGTAGGCTCTTACATTATATGTGAAATGGTAGAATATTATTTGATGGTAGATGTGATAGATAAATGATATATTATAAACCATAGGGCAGCCACATACACATATAAACACATACATGCACACACAAATAAGGATGTATAGCTAATAAGTAAATGGTGTGATAAAACAATTACCACAAAAGAAGTCAGGAATAAAGGAACAAAGAACAGAGGGGACAAATCAGAACCATACAGCAAAGTGAGATTTAAACTTGACCAAATTGATGATTACTTAAATGCAAGTTGACTACACGTTCTTACTAAAATACAGAGGTTGTCAGACTAGATATAAAAGCAAGACCAAATTATATTCTGTCTGTAAGAGACACACTTTAAATATAAAGACAGATAGATTCAAATTAGCAAGTGAAAGAGATGTAGTATACAAACATTAATCATAATATATTGGTGTGACTATATTAATAAAAAGATCAATTTATTAAGAAACAATTCCAAATGTGTGTATACTTACTAAGAAAGATGTAGAATATATGAAGTAAAAACTGACAGATTATAAGAAAAATAGAAAGTAATAGAAAATAGAAAATCAATAATTGTCTAGAAGACTTTAACAATGCCATCAACCAACTACATCTAATAAATTTTTATAGAACACTCTATTTAATATTAGGAGATTATAAATTATTTTCAAGTGCACATGGAATGTTCAATACAACAGAACATATGCTGGAACATAAAATAAGTCTCAATAAATACAAAATGGTTTAAATAATAGTGTGTTTTCTGAACACAACAAAATTAAATTAGAAATCAAGAATAAAATAATACCTGGAAAATTCTTAAAAATTAATTAGTGGACACTTAAAAATAGCCATGGAAAAAGAAGAAATTACTAGGAAGTTAATATACATTAATTAGATTAATTAATAATAATCAAAGTTTCCCTCTTAAGAAACTAGAATAATAGCAAGTGAAAGGCAATGTAGAAGAAAAGAACTAATGAAGGTGGAGCAGAAATCAGTGAAATAGAATATGGACAATGAATTTAAAAAATCAGTTTAACCAAGAGCTGAATGCTTGGAAACATTAATGAAAGTGATAGACCTCTAGCTAGATTGATCAAGAAGAAAAGTGAAGAGATATAAATTACACATATTAGAAGTAAAAGAGAAGATAGTACTACAGATACTACAGAAATTAAAACATCATGCCAATAATTCAACATTATAGTGAAACTGACAAATTCCTGGAAAGAAATATATTACTAAGACAGCTTTAAAAAGAAATATTAAAATGTCAATAACCCTACACCCACTAAAACAATTAATTAATTTGCTTTTAATTCTTTCTACAAAGAAAAATGGAATTTGCAATTAATTCTTTCTATAAAGAAAACTCTATCCTAGGTAACTTTACTGGTGAACTCTACCAAATATTTGAACATGAAATAACACTAATTATACAAACTCTTTTAGAAAATAGAGTGAAAGGGAATATTCCTCAACTTGTTTTAGGTGGCCAGCATTTATCGTTTTAAAAGCGAAAGTCAAACATTTTTCAAGAACAAAAATTCTTCATAAAATTTTGGCAAGTTGAATCTAGTTATGTCTAAAAAAGACAATACACCATGATCATTTTATTATGGGATTTATCTCAGAAATAAAAGATTGGTTTAACATTTGAAAATCAATCATTATAATTCATTATACAAACATAATAAAATTGAAAAACAATGTGATTATTGCAATAGATGCAGAAAAAAATATTTGACAAGGTTTAACATGATTCATGATCAAATTATTTAGCAAACTATGAATAGATGGGAACTCTCTCAAACTAAAAAGGACGTCTATGGAAACTTATAGCGAACATCATATTTAAAGGACTGATTCCTCGGATTGGGAATAAGACAAGGTTCTTCAATTTCACCACTTTTATTCATCATTTTATTCAATATCTTAGCCACGGCAAAAAGTCAAGAATATGAAACAAGAGGCATAAATCATGGAAAAAAGAAGTAAAATTGTTTTTACACTCAGATAACATGATTATGTATGCAGAAAATGCTAAGAAACTTACAAAAACTTTCTGGAACCAAGAAAGGAATTTAGCAAGGTCGTTGGATAGAAGTTGAATATGCAAAAGTCAATTGTATCTGCACATATTAGCAATTTGATTTTTAGCAGACCAAAACATGGAATACTTAGGCCTAAATCTATCAAAATATATGCAAAACCTGTATACTTTTACGAAAATTAGACCTCAATAATTGGAGAAATACACTGACGGATTAGAAGGCTCTCTATTGTTAAGACATCAGTTCTTCCCAATTTGATCCATTTATTTAACCTTATGCCAATCAAAATTTTCAGATGTTTTGGAATAAATACTCAGATGGATTCCAAAATATGGATATTTGTGCAAAGGACCTGGAATTATTGAAACAAATTTGGAAAAAAAATATACAAGAACTCACTACTTTAAGACTTACTTTAAAGCTATAGCAATCGAGACAGTTGGCATAAGAATGTACATGTAGGTCAATGAAACAGAACAGAGTGATACATTGATATTATATTGATATTATATCTTCAACAAATATGTCAAAGTAATTTGGTGGGGAAAAGGATAATCTTTTCATAAAATTGCACTGGAAAAACTAGATATCCCTATAGGAAAAAAATGAATCTTAACCTTTACACCATACACAAAATTTATATACCACACACACAAATTAATTCAAATGAATCATAGGCCTAAACATAAAAATTAAAGCATATAAAACTTTTGGAGGAAAACATGGGAAAAAATCTCCAGGACTTTGGAGTAGGCAAAGATTTCTTAAATAGCATATCAAAAGCATGATTAATTAAAATAAGTATGATTGGATATTATCAAATTAAAATTTCCTTTTTGTGAAAGACATGATTTAAAAATTAAAAGACAAGTCACACACTGTGAGAAAACATTCATAGTACATGTATTTTTCAAAAGTCTTATATTCAGAATATATGAAGAACACTTACAACCTAGTAATGAGAAGACCAGGTTGTAAGTCTATTTAAAAATGGGGAAAGCTCAAAATATACACTTCAACATTGTCTCAGCCCAAAATCTCCTTAAGCTAATAAGCAACTTCAGCAAAGTCTCAGGATACAAAATCAATGTACAAAAATCACAAGCATTCTTATACACCAGCAACAGACAAACAGAGAGCCAAATCATGAGTGAACTCCCATTCACAATTGCTTCAAAGAGAATAAAATACCTAGGAATCCAACTTACAAAGGATGTGAAGGACCTCTTCAAGGAGAATTGCAAACTACTGCTCAAGGAAATAAAAGAGGATACAAACAAATGGAAGAACACTCCATGCTCATGGGTAGGAAGAATCAATATCATGAAAATGGCCATACTGCCCAAGGTAATTTACAGATTCAATGCCATCCCGATCAAGCGACCAATGCCTTTCTTCACAGAATTGGAAAAAACTACTTTAAAGTTCATATGGAACCAAAAAAGAGCCCGCATCGCCAAGTCAATCCTAAGCCAAAAGAACAAAGCTGGAGGCATCATGCTACCTGACTTCAAACTATACTACAAGGCTACAGTAACCAAAACAACATGGTACTGGTACCAAAACAGAGATATAGATCAATGGAACAGAACAGAGCCCTCAGAAATAACGCCACATATCTACAACTATCTGATCTTTGACAAACCTGAGAAAAACAAGCAATGGGGAAATGATTCCCTATTTAATAAATGGTGCTGGGAAAACTGGCTAGCCATATGTAGAAAGCTGAAACTGGATCCCTTTTCTTACACCTTATACAAAAATCAATTCAAGATGGATTAAGGACTTAAATGTTAGACCTAAAACCATAAAAACCCTAGAAGAAAACCTAGGCATTACCATTCAGGACATAGGCATGGGCAAGGACTTCATGTCTAAAACACCAAAAGCAATGGCAACAAAAGCCAAAATTGACAAATGGGATCTAATTAAACTAAAGAGCTTCTGCACAGCAAAAGAAACTACCATCAGAGTGAACAGGCAACCTACAACATGGGAGAAAATTTTCGCAAACTACTCATCTGACAAAGGGCTAATATCCAGAATCTACAATGAACTCAAACAAATTTACAAGAAAAAAAACAAACAACCCCATCAAAAAGTGGGTGAAAGACATGAACAGACACTTCTCAAAAGAAGACATTTATGCAGCCAAAAAACACATGAAAAAATGCTCACCATCACTGGCCATCAGAGAAATGCAAATCAAAACCACAATGAGATACCATCTCACACCAGTTAGAATGGCAATCATTAAAAAGTCAGGAAACAACAGGTGCTGGAGAGGATGTGGAGAAATAGGAACACTTTTACACTGTTGGTGGGACTGTAAATTAGTTCAACCATTGTGGAAGTCAGTGTGGCGATTCCTCAGGGATCTAGAACTGGAAATACCATTTGACCCAGCCATCCCATTACTGGGTATATACCCAAATGACTATAAATCATGCTGCTATAAAGACACATGCACACGTATGTTTATTGCGGCACTATTCACAATAGCAAAGACTTGGAACCAACCCAAATGTCCAACAATGATAGACTGGATTAAGAAAATGTGGCACATATACACCATGGAATACTATGCAGCCATAAAAAATGATGAATTCATGTCCTTTGTAGGGACATGGATGAAATTGGAAATCATCATTCTCAGTAAACTATCGCAAGAACAAAAAACCAAACACCGCATATTCTCACTCATAAGTGGGAATTGAACAATGAGATCACATGGACACAGGAAGGGGAATATCACACTCCGGGGACTGTTGTGGGGGGTGGGGATGGGGGAGGGGTGGCATTGGGAGATATACCTAATGCTAGATGACGAGTTAGTGGGTGCAGTGCACCAGCATGGCACATGTATACATATGTAACTAACCTGCACAATGTGCACATGTACCCTAAAACTTAATGTATAATAAAAAAAAGAAAGAAAAAATATATACACTTCAAAAAATAAGATATAAAAATGACCAATAAGCATGTGAAAAGATATTCAACAACATTATCAGGCAAATACAAATTAAAAGCACATGAAATACCACTGCATACCAAAATCCAGAAGGGTTAAAAGTGAAAAGACTCATAGTACCAAGTGTTGATGAGGATATGGAAGAACTGTAACTCTTACATTGTTGGTGGGAATGCAAAATGGTAAAACTGCTTTGAAAAACAGTTTAACAGATTTATACAAAGATATATTTATAACACAACCCAGTAAATTACACTCCAAGATATTTACCCAAAAGAAATGAAACTATGTGTTTACACAAATACTTCCATGTGAATACAAACATCTTTATTCAAAATAGCTCAAACCTGCTCATTCCTGCTATTTTCTTACATATGAAAGAACCTTCTATTAACATAATCTTGGCCTCTTTTTGCTCTTTTATTCACCTTTTTCCAGGAAAGAAGTTACTTTCTTATCTAACTGGTGAATTTGGGACAGCTTCTCCCTGTCTTTTTGAGATCTGCCTGACTGCAGAACATACACGTTCTGCCCTTTGCTTGTTTGATACAAACCTTCATTTACTGGTCACATCCATAGTTTTTCAGTTTAATTCTGAAGCTCAGATATGAAAACTAGCTTTGCAGCATATTTAATTCATGTTCTCCAACATCAGCTTTAGTAGTTATAAAATTTACATTTACATTTTGCTTTTCTGCTGTCTGACCTCTACTATCCATCTCTCAGTTGGTTTTGGATGCCTGTGGGGAGCTGAGAGAGTGTTATATATTCACTTCCTCACATCCTAAAGGTTTCCTAGATGGATTTCCACTGTGAGATGAGTAGATACTCCCTCCTCTTCTCCAGCCTTGTAGGTACACTTGGCCCAAATATCTGCTGAAAGTGGAGGTATCGCCAGAATGCTCTGAGCCATGGCCCCCTTCTTCAGGAGCCACCAAACCTTGGTAAAAGGAATTACATATCATCACCCTTCCTGGGTGAGCTCCCTTGTGAATATCTATAACTATTCAAGCAAAGGCCAGGGCATGGGCACTTCTTCTGGAACTTTAACCCTTCTTAAGAACAGATTTTCCCAGCATCAGGATGGTTCCACTAGCCCTGTCCTCATTTTGGAGAAGGTAGAATTGAAGCATAGAGAAAGCAAAGCTGTATGTTTACTCACTTAAAAAATGTTTTCTTTCCACTTTACCTATAAAACTACAACTTTTAAGTAAGAAGTATGTACATTTCAGTGCAGTCTTCTTCAAGAATTATATTCTTAAAAAAAGAGTATCAATTCAGCAGTTTACAAATAAAGTTGTCACTTAATCAAAACATTCCAAATCAAGGTTCGAATATGAAAGTCCTAAATTCATATGTAACCTATTTGACTATGCTACTTTTCTCAAATGGGTTAGATGGATTTTTAAAAATTTTCCTTCTGCATCATTTTGTGCATTCAAAACATCTTGCCAAATCTTGTAAGTAGACATCTAGTTTTATTAGTCTACTAATTTTTTTTAGCAACCTGCATTCCAATGAAAATGTCCCCAGGTACTAAAAATGAAAATTGGTATTATCTAGTTATCCAACACCAATCATTTACATTAAAAAAATCAGTGGGTGGCTATAGGCAAGGCAGTACATAGATTTAAAATGGGGAAACAATAATACCAATTTTAGTATTAGCAATTGAGATGGATATTACATGCTTTGGGAACTATGTTTGTATTACACGTCAAATCCTATTACAAAATAAGTCATTATAATGGAAAGGTTCATAGCAAAAAGGATGTCCACACCCCTGGCCAGTGACCCATTTATTTCAAGTGACATTCAATACAAAACAGAGACATTTCCACTGTCTTTGGAATTCACTAATATATCTGGCTTGTATTGCCATATACTTCCTGCCAACGGATTCACATCTAGTGCACATTTTCTGTGCATTGATCCTAGAACTACATTCTTCATGATCCCTTTCCACACTCCCTTGAATTCCCTCTTCACATTCCTGCTAGGCTCTTGAACTAGACCATGGATTTTACTTGTAAAAAAGTTTTCAAAATGGGTGAAAAATATTTAAGGCAAGCCAGGAACTCTCTAAGAGCTTTGGTGAGATCTAATTATTCCAGATGATAAAACATTGCCTTCAAATACATGTCAGGATTGAGTAGTATAATCTGCTGATATCTAAGGAATGTAACTCGGCAATCAGTTTGGTCTTTGGGCTTTGAAGGGGATTGATTTAGATGGGCAAGTGTTCCAGTGCTGAATCAGAATCCAATTTTAATGACAATTTCAGCATCTCTGGGAAAAAATAGAGCCAAGGTATGATACAAATATTCAGCCGAACAAATCCACAGTATAAGAAGTAGCATGTAAACATCTCCTAGGAACAAAATTTTCCTTCTCAATCAAGCAATTTTACATACAAAAGTTGTCACCTAATTTGTAAAGTGCCACAACTAGAGTAGGAGGAACTAAATCTGAAAAAGAAAGTACTCGTTGGCATTCAGATGGACAGAGTAAGAAAACACTTGAATGACCTCTAAAAGGTTTGATTAGAAAGAACAGCTGAAGCACAAATGTTGCGTCATTTCTGATATAATGAGGACCTTGGGAAGTTGCAAGTAGAAATGTTGCGTCATTTCTGATATGATGGGGATTTTGGGAATTTGCAATTCTACTGATTTATCAGAGGCCAGCTAAAGTGCTCACCATGAATCTGAAAGTCAAGGATGCACATCCAACATCCAAAGCTCTTTATTTTAGTCCCAGAGGCTTTCTAGACTGACCACTGACAGCTCTCAAGAGACAGAAGGGAAATAACAGCTTCTGTTCTAAGAATTTGTCTACTTTTTTGCCAGCAAAAAATCTTAGGGAGATTCTTGTTATTTACCAACGTGTTCAGTTCAAATTAAAGTTTTCTTCTCTCAATGACACTTAGTGTGACTTCTTTGAACAGTTGCTGTGCTTTTATTTTTCTTGCTTGTACTTTCCAAACGTCCAATTTAGCCACTAAACATTCAGGGCATTAGGCCATTCTTTAGATCTCTCATTGTATGAAAAGGCTTTCATACAATATTTCACATGCCAAAGAGGTATATCACGTCCTACATATCATAATTTGGTTACTCATTAGTTTTGGAGTTGTTTAGGGGTTGTCTCTGGTTCATAAAACCTATTTATGTGTAGATACTCATTAAAAAACACTTTCCTTATACATATTTATATTAATCAAATAGGTCTTTGTGCTACTTACTACACAAGGATTTCAAAGTATAAGTATCCAGTGACCAAGGATGGATGCACAATCCAATGCAGTAGCTACCAGTATCCACTAGTAGCTTGTTAAATCTAAATTAATTAAAATTAAATTAAATTAAAAATTAGTTCATCGATCACACTAGCCACTTTTCAAGTCCTCATTAGCTCTATGTGGCTAGCAACTACCATGTTAGATGGAGCAGATAGAGAACATTTTCATCATCCTAGAAAGGTCTATCAGATTGTGCTGTCTTAGAGCACTGCATATAAGATTATCATAATTTTTGCTCTTTTTTAAAAGGAGAAAAAACAAAACCCACATTATAATGTTGTATTTTTATGTTTCCAAGGGCAAATGATATGGGTCCCAACAGCCAAAATTCTAGGCAATCAATAGGAAATCCTTGTACAATCATGTGAGTTTTACTCTGCATTATTTATCTTATTTTACAGTTCAGAAAACACCAACAGTCACAGGACTTGTCCCATCATCCTCACAAGGTTGGTGAATGGCTCAAGTAGAATGAAAACTGACAACCCAGACCACTTAATCTGTGGAGAGTCCAGGGGCCAGACACAATAAGGATAAGCACTGCAGGGAAGATGATCGCAAACCCCAGCCTCTGGAAAACCCATCCATACACCCTGCAAGTTCTCTTTTTACAGACTGAAATGGAAGTGTGTTTATTTGGTTTTCTTTACAAAGTTTCTTTGGAACTGAGGGTTTATTCACTTCATTACCTCCAGTAGACTTATAGTGGCTGTAGAATTTATCAACAAATTACTTAATATGGAAATTTGGCAATGTAGAAAATGATTTTACATTCTTAAACTTGAACAAGGACATTCAGACACCAGGAAAAACTAATTAGTTTAACCCTTGATAACAGAATAACTGACTTGATTAGGAATTGAGCATGGGTGTAGCAATGCTCAGTTGTACTGGCTCACAAGAGCAGAGTCCATTGTTAAAATTTCAGAAATTCTGCAAACTGGTTGATGTCATAGAGTCATTGTTAAAAATTTAATTATGTAGACTCACAAATAAATTACATCAAAAACAAAGCTAAAAATACTTGTTATTATTTCCTCATGATGTCCTACATTTTACTATCTATACCTTGAGATTATTTGCATTTACTATATCTGCACAGCAAAAATACTATGCAATAATGTGCCACTGCACATCTTTTCCCAACTCCACATTCGGTGATGTCATGTTAGCAGATTGAAATTGGCTATAGTTGGTGTATTTACACCATGGAAATCAGCAAACACTAAAAATCATGGCTGGATTTATTGTTTCTTGAATATTTAGACTTAAGAAAGTGATGGAGAAAATGTTGATAGTGCAGATTAAACCTTAAGATGTGTTGTATCTGTTGCATTGTGAATAGTACAAAGAACTGACAAAATGTTAGTATTTAAAAGCTATTATCTCATTTAGCAAAGAAATTACATCAGTGACAAACACTGGAGTTCTTAGATCTACATACATTGTTTTCCAAAGAGTCAGTTGTTAAACATTTACCACACAACTGCACTAGGAATACTTTGATTTTAATAGACTTCCAAATTAATTTTTGTAATTTTATGTATGTAGAGTGCCTAGTTTGATAGAATGATTTGGTGTCACTGAAGCCTGAAGATTGGGCTAATGATTACATTAGAGGGTAACAATGATATAACAGAATTTTTGAAATGTAATTATAATGCCAGGGAGACTTATTTTATCCACAGTATAGCTGCATATATATATGTTATAGTTATTTTAGAGAGAAAAAAAATTAATGCTGAAAACCACTATTTTCTTTTAAGCAAAGTGTATCTTGTCAAATAAATGGATCTATGAATCTGATGAACAGGATTAGATATGCAAATGTGGACCGGAAACTGAATGAGAGAAAAAGACTGAGTGCTAAATCCCCCTATAAAAAATAGAAATATAAGACCTTGAGTTTTTGATAACAATCTTTAATAAGAGAAAGCATAATGTAATAGGGATGCCAAAGAAGTCAAAGCAATATTTAGTGTGACTTTAATGATAAGAAAAAACTGAGCAGATATAGCCAAAGACTTATAAGAAGAGGGAAGTTCAGTGTTTAAGATACATAATCTCACTTCATGCCACTTAACCTGAGTGCTCCTCGAACTTTAATGTGCATATAAACTTAATTCCAATTCTGTAGGCTTGACGTAAAACCTGAGTTTTGCATTTTTATTTTTTTATTTTTATTTTTATTTTTTCATTTTATTATTATTATACTTTAAGTTTTAAGGTACATGTGCACAATGTGCAGGTTAGTTACATATGTATACATGTGCCATGTTGGTGTGCTGCATCCATTAACTTGTCATTTAGCATTAGGTTTATCTCCTTAAGCTATCCCTCCCCCCTACCCCCACCCCACAACAGTCCCCAGAGTGTGATGTTCCCCTTCCTGTGTCCACTTGTTCCCATTGTTCAATTCCCACCTATGAGTGAGAACATGCAGTGTTTGGTTTTTTGTCCTTGCGATAGTTTGCTGAGAATGATGGTTTCCAGCTTCATCCATGTCCCTACAAAGGACATGAACTCATCAATTTTTATGGTTGCATAGTATTCCATGGTGTATATGCGCCACATTTTCTTAATCCAGTCTATCATTGTTGGACATTTGGGTTGGTTCCAAGTCTTTGCTATTGTGAATACTGCTTCAATAAACATACACATGCATGTGTCTTTGTAGCAGCATGATTTATAATCCTTTGGGTATATACCCAGTAATGGGATGGCTGGGTCAAATGGTATTTCTAGTTCTAGATCCCTGAGGAATCAACACACCAACTTCCACAATGGTTGAACTAGTTCACAGTCCCACCAACAGTGTAAAAGTGTTCCTATTTCTCCACATCCTCTCCAGCACCTGTTGTTTCCTGACTTTTTAATGATTGCCATTCTAACTGGTGTGAGATGGTATCTCACTGTGGTTTTGATTTGCATTTCCCCGATGGCCAGTGATGGTGAGCATTTTTTCATGTGTTTTTTGGCTGCATAAATGTCTTCTTTTGAGAAGTGTCTGTTCATGTCCTTCACCCACTTTTTGATGGGGTTGTTTGTTTTTTTCTTGTAAATTTGTTTGAGTACATTGTAGATTCTGGATATTAGCCCTTTGTCAGATGAGTAGGTTGTGAAAATTTTCTCCCATTTTGTAGGTTCCCTGTTCACTCTGATGGTAGTTTCTTTTGCTGTGCAGAAGCTCTTTAGTTTAATTAGATCCCATTTGTCAATTTTGGCTTTTGTTGCCATTGCTTTTGGTGTTTTAGACATGAAGTCCTTGCCCATGCCTATGTCCTGAATGGTAATGCCTAGGTTTTCTTCTAGGGTTTTTATGGTTTTAGGTCTAACATTTAAGTCCTTAATCCATCTTGAATTGATTTTTGTATAAGGTGTAAGAAAGGGATCCAGTTTCAGCTTTCTACATATGGCTAGCCAGTTTTCCCAGCACCATTTATTAAATAGGGAATCCTTTCCCCATTGCTTGTTTTTCTCAGGTTTGTCAAAGATCAGATAGTTGTAGACATGTGGCATTATTTCTGAGGGCTCTATTCTGTTCCATTGATCTATATCTCTGTTTTGGTACCAGTACCATGCTGTTTTGGTTACTGTAGCCTTGTAGTATAGTTTGAAGTCAGGTAGCATGATGCCTCCAGCTTTGTTCTTTTGGCTTAGGATTGACTTGGCGATGTGGGCTCTTTTTTGGTTCCATATGAACTTTAAAGTAGTTTTTTCCAATTCTGTGAAGAAAGTCATTGGTAGCTTGATGGGGATGGCATTGAATCTGTAAATTACCTTGGGCAGTATGGCCATTTTCATGATATTGATTCTTCCTACCCATGAACATGGAATGTTCTTCCATTTGTTTGTATCCTCTTTTATTTCCTTGAACAGTGGTTTGTAGTTCTCCTTGAAGAGGTCCTTCATGTCCCTTGTAAGTTGGATTCGTAAGTATTTTATTCTCTTTGAAGCAATTGTGAATGTGACTTCACTCATGATTTGGCTCTCTGTTTGTCTGTTATTGGTGTATAAGAATGCTTGTGATGTTTGTACATTGATTTTGTATCCTGAGACTTTGCTGAAGTTGCTTATCAGCTTAAGGAGATTTGGGGCTGAGACAATGGGGTTTTCTAGATATACAATCATGTCATCTGCAAACAGGGACAATTTGACTTCCTCTTTTCCTAATTGAATACCCTTTGTTTCCTTCTCCTGCCTGATTGCCCTGGCCAGAACTTTCAACACTATGTTGAATAGGAGTGGTGAGAGAGGGCATCCCTGTCTTGTGCCAGTTTTCAAAGGGAATGCTTCCAGTTTTTGTCCGTTCAGTATGATATTGGCTGTGGGTTTGTCATAGATAGCTCTTATTATTTTGAGATACGTCCAATCAATACCTAATTTATTGAGAGTTTTTAACATGAAGGATTGTTGAATTTTGTCAAAGGCCTTTTCTGCATCTATTGAGATAATCGTGTGGTTTTTGTCTTTGGTTCTGCTTATATGCTGGATTACATTTATTGATTTGCATATATTGAACCAGCCTTGCATCCCAAGGATGAAGTCCACTTGAACATGGTGGATAAGCTTTTTGATGTGCTGCTGGATTCAGTTTGCCAGTATTTTATTGAGGCTTTTTGCATCAATGTTCATCAAGGATATTGGTGTAAAATTCTCTTTTTTGGTTGTGTCTCTGCCCGGCTTTGGTATCAGGATGATGCTGGCCTCAGAAAATGAGTTAGGGAGGATTCCCTCTTTTTCTATTGATTGGAATAGTTTCAGAAGGAATGGTACCAGTTCCTCCTTGTACCTCTCATAGAATTCAGCTGTGAATCCATCTGGTCCTGGACTCTTTTTGGGTTGGTAAGCTATTGATTATTGCCACAATTTCAGAGCCTTTTATTGGTCTATTCAGAGATTCAATTTCTTCCTGATTTAGTCTTGGGAGGGTGTATGTGTCGAGGAATTTATCCATTTCTTCTAGATTTTCTAGTTTATTTGTGTAGAGGTGTTTGTAGTATTCTCTGATGGTAGTTTGTATTTCTGTGGGATCGGTGGTGATATCCCCTTTATCATTTTTTATTGTGTCTATTTGATTCTTCTCTCTTTTCTTCTTTATAAGTCTTGCTAGCGGTCTATCAATTTTGTTGATCCTTTCAAAAAACCAGCTCCTGGATTCATTAATTTTTTTGAGGGTTTTTTGTGTCTCTATTTCCTTCAATTCTGCTCTGATTTTAGTTATTTCTTGACTTCTACTAGCTTTTGAATGTGTTTGCTCTTGCTTTTCTAGTTTTTTAATTGTGATGTTAGGGTGTCAATTTTGGATCTTTCCTGCTTTCTCTTGTGGGCATTTAGTGCTATCAATTTCCCTCTACACACTGCTTTGAATGTGTCCCAGACATTCTGGTATGTTGTGTCTTTGTTCTCGTTGGTTTCAAAGAACATCTTTATTTCTGCCTTCATTTCATTATTTACCCAGTAGTCATTCAGGAGCAGGTAGTTCGTTTCCATGTAGTTGAGTGGTTTTGAGTGAGTTTCTTAATCCTGAGTTCTAGTTTGATTGCACTGTGGTCTGAGAGACAGTTTGTTATAATTTCTGTTCTTTTACATTTGTTGAGGAGAGCTTTATTTCCAACTATGTGGTCAATTTTGGAATAGGTGTGGTGTGGTGCTGAAAAAAAGTATATTCTGTTGATTTGGGGTGGAGAGTTCTGTAGATGTCTATTAGGTCCTCTTGGTGCAGAGCTGAGTTCAATTCCTGGGTATCCTTGTTAACTTTCTGTCTCGTTGATATGTCTAATATTGAGAGTGGGGTGTTAAAGTCTCCCATTATTATTGTGTGGGAGTCTAAGTCTCTTTGTAGGTCACTAAGGACTTGCTTTATGAATCTGGGTGCTCCTGTATTGGGTGTATATATATTTAGGATAGTTAGTTCTTCTTGTTGAATTCATCCCTTTACCATTATGTAATGGCCTTCTTTGTCTCTTTTGATCTTTGTTGGTTTAAAGTCTGTTTTATCAGAGACTAGGATTGCAACCCCTGCCTTTTTTTGTTTTCCATTTGCTTGGTAGATCTTCCTCCACCTTTTTATTTTGAGCCTATGTGTGTCTCTGCACGTGAGATGGGTTTCCTGAATACAGCACACTGATGGGTCTTGACTCTTTATCCAATTTGCCAGTCTGTGTCTTCTAATTGGAGCATTTAGTCCATTTACATTTAAGGTTAATATTGTTATGTGTGAATTTGATCATGTCATTATGATGTTAGCTGGTGATTTTGCTCATTAGTTGATGCAGTTTCTTCCTAGTCTCGATGGTCTTTACAATTTGGCATGTTTTTGCAGTGGTTGGTACCGGTTGTTCCTTTCCATGTTTAGTGCTTCCTTCAGGAGCTCTTTTAGGGCAGGCCTGGTGGTGACAAAATCTCTCAGCATTTGCTTGTCTGTAAAGTATTTTATTTCTCCTTCACTTATGAAGCTTAGTTTGGCTGGATATGAAATTCTGGGTTGAAAATTCTTTTCTTTAAGAATGTTGAATATTGGCCCCCACTCTCTTCTGGCTTGTAGAGTTTCTGCCAAGAGATCCGCTGTTAGTCTGATGGGCTTCCCTTTGTGGGTAACCTGACCTTTCTCTCTGGCTGCCCTTCACATTTTTTCCTTCATTTCATCTTTGGTGAATCTGACAATTATGTGTCTTGGAGTTGCTCTTCTCGAGGAGTATCTTTGTGGCATTCTCTGTATTTCCTGAATCTGAATGTTGGCTTGCCTTGCTAGATTGGGGAAGTTCTCCTGGATAATATCCTGCAGAGTGTTTTCCAACTGGATTCCATTCTCCCTGTCACTTTCAGGTACACAAATGAGACGTAGATTTGGTCTTTTCACATAGTACCATATTTCTTGGAGGCTTTGTTTGTTTCTTTTTATTCTTTTTTCTCTAAACTTCCCTTCTCACTTCATTTCATTCATTTCATCTTCCATCACTGATACCCTTTCTTCCAGTTGATCGCTTCAGCTCCTGAGACTTCTGCATTCTTCATGTAGTTCTCGAGCCTTGGCTTTCAGCTCCATCAGCTCCTTTAAGCACTTCTCTGTGTTGGTTATTCTAGTTATACATTTGTCTGAATTTTTTTTCAAAGTTTTCAACTTCTTTGCCTTTGGTTTGAATTACCTCCTGTAGCTTGGAGTAGTTTGATCATCTGAAGCCTTCTTTTCTCAACTTGTCAAAGTCATCCTCCATCCAGCTTTGTTCCGTTGCTGGTGAGGAACTGTGTTCCTTTGGAGGAGGAGAGGTGCTCTGCTTTTTAGAGTTTCCAGTTTTTCTGCTCTGTTTTTTCCCCATCTTTGTGGTTTTATCTACTTTTGGTCTTTGATGATGGTGACGTACAGATGGGTTTTTGGTGTGGATGTCCTTTCTGTTTGTTAGTTTTCCTTCTAACAGACAGGACCCTCAGCTGCAGGTCTGTTGGAGTTTGCTAGAGGTCCATTCCAGACCCTGTTTGCCTGTGTATCAGCAGCGGTGGCTGCAGAACAGCGGATTTTCATGAACCATGAATGCTACTGTCTGATCATTCCTCTGGAAGTTTTGTCTCAGAGGAGTACCCAGCCATGTGAGGTGTCAGTCTGCCCCTACTGGGGGGTGCCTCCCAGTTAGGCTGCTTGGGGGTCAGGGGTCAGGGACCCACTTGAGGAGGCAGTCTGCCCGTTCTCAGATATCCAGCTGCATGCTGGGAGAAACACTGCTCTCTTCAAAGCTGTCAGACAGGGACATTTAAGTCTGCAGAGGTTACTGCTGTCTTTTTGTTTGTCTGTGCCCTGACCCCAGAGGTGGAGCCTACAGAGGCAGACAGGCCTCCTTGAGCTGTGGTGGGCTCCACCCAGTTGGAGCTTCCAGGCTGCTTTGTTTACCTAAGCAAGCCTAGGCAATGGCGGGCACCCCTCCCCCAGCCTCGCTGCTGCCTTGCAGTTAGATCTCAGACTGCTGTGCTAGCAATCAGCGAGACTCCGTGGGCGTAGGACCCTCTGAACCATGTGCAGGATATAATCTCCTGGTGTGCCGTTTTTAAAGCCCATCAGAAAAGTGCAGTATTGGGATGGGAGTGACCCGATTTTCCAGTTGCCATCTGTCACCCCTTTCTTTGACTAGGAAAGGGAACTCCCTGACCCCTTGTGTTTCCTGAGTGAGGCAATGCCTCACCCTGCTTCAGCTCGTGCATGGTGTACTGCAACCACTGTCCTGCGCCCACTTTCTGGCACTCCCTAGTGAGATGAACCTGGTACCTCTGATGGAAATGCAGAAATCACCCATCTTCTGCGTCACTCACGCTGGGAGCTCTAGACCAGAGCTGTTCCTATTCAGCCATCTTGGCTGCCCCCAGCGAGTTTTGCATTTTTAACAAACTCACAGGCAATGCTGATTCTGCTAGTCTGTGGGTCACATGCTGCGTAGCAAGGACCTTCTGCCTCCACGTATGCAAATCAACATATGCAGAGGTTTAACGTATGTGTTTGTTGCTGTTGTTTTTGGTAGAATTGACAGGAAGTGACTAAGGGACACAGCTGGATGACATAATGTGGACTAGGAAGTAACCTGCACAGGAGGGACAGAAAAATCCCTAAACTCAGCTGGTTTAAAAGAAAGAGGTGCTCAGACTCAAACATCCATAATACTATTACTCCTGGAAATTCAAAGTAGGGTGCTTCTGCATGATGTGGGCTGAGGTGTTGAATTTATTTTATCTAAAGTGGTGAGAAGACCTAGATAACATCTGGGTTACAGAGGTTTTTTTTGTTGTTATTTGTTTTTTGAGATGGAGTTTTGCTCTTGTTGCTCAGGCTGGAGTGCAATGGTGCAATCTCAGCTCACTGTGACCTCCACCTCCCGGGTTCAAGCGATTCTCCTGCCTCGGCCTCCCGAGTAGCTGGGATTACAGGTGACCACCACCATGCCTGGCTTTTTTTTTTTTTTTTTTTTTTTTTTTTTTTGTATTTTTAGTAGAGATAGGATTTTACCATGTTGGCCAGGCTGGTCTCAAACTCCTGGCCTCAAGTGATCCACCCACCTTGGCCTCCCAAAATGTTGGGATTACAGGCGTGAGCCACCACGCCCGGCCCTGGAGAACTTTTTGAACATTATAAATGCTCTATGTTTCTCCTTCTCTATGTTAATGACCATGGTATTTTTTTTCAATCTGGAATACCATCCTTAGCACCTTTCCTGATTCCTAGCATCATCCACATGCATGGAGACCCAGCTCAAATGTTCACTTTGCTCTCTAAGCACTTAGAGAAACAAACAACAGATGTAGGACTCCAGAAGGCATCTCTAATTCTTCCTCATCGTTGTATAGCATGATTCTTTGATTAAAAAAAAAAGCACTAGATGTAGGAGAAGTTGAAATGGTGAGTAGGCAGGTCATTTTAGTTACAGGTATTTTTATTGGTTCTACTTAAAAATAAATTTGCTGAGGGGATTTAAATAGATAAGCCTTAAACATTGAAGTGAAGTCAGTGACTGCTTGATATTTATATCCTTACTTCACTCTTAAATGAGATGGTCAGCCCATTAACTTAAAACATTCTTTCATGGAGAAAGAACTTCTCTTTAACTTATTTCTCTGACATTAATTTGGTCGATTATTTATAGATATCCTGATAAACAGTCAGGGACACATTTGGGTGAATGGCTTTGACCTTGTTTGTATTCCTATCAAGGTAACAAGTAAGACTAGGTTCCATACACTAGTCCAGCGGTGAATAAAGGATAGTCACATGTTCAGAGATGTGGGAAAATGGAGTGGGGGTGGGTAGAAGGAGTACTTGACACACAGTAAGAAAGCTAAAAATCCAGTACTGGCTTCAGCAGTGAGACTGTTGGGAAATTTTACTTTATCGCATGTCCTCTTTCTAAATCTCTTTTGTGATCAACCATAGGACCAAAGAATTTCTCAAATCACCAAGAGCACTCAAGGTTACTTACCTTGGGACCTGATGGAACCCCCCAGAACTGCTACAGCTTCTCTGAATTTACATAATCTTGAATCCAACACATTTTTGTAAGTTTAAGAGAGTACCTTTGGTTCCCAATGATTTTTCTCATCTTACCATTTTCTTAAAACTTTCCCCGGTGTACCTACAACACTTTACTCGTCTGAGCTCAGTTTTATCAGCGCCACTATTGTTGTTCCATTTATTGCAATAAAGTGAATGCATCAGTTCCCTGTGTTTAAAACAAATGCTACATAAAGACATCTCTCATTTTCTTAATGGTCCTATAAGCTAGAATAACCTGCCTTTTCTCTGTGTAATAATATTACAGGAAAACTAAGAATAGTTTATTAAAGATCAGAAATAGTTCTTACACTTCAGAATAAACTGTGCTTCCTCCTGAGTCCAGCCTACCAAAATCAAGCCCAAGTGAATTGTAGTTTTTTTGCTGTTGTTTTGTTTTGTTTTGTTTTTTACTCCTTCCTACCTTCCCACAAGGATGCATTTAATTATCAGTCTTTATCAAAGATGTGGTTTCCTTATGCTATCTTTTGCTTTTATAGGTCTTCTTCAGGGCCTGACATGCTAAGGTTACTGTCTGTGCCTCAAATTTCTCTCCTTCTTTTCCATTTCTCCCAAACACCTGTTCTAACATTGGTTCAATCAAAAGATCTAGTAAAACAATTCACAATAAGGCATTGATGACTTTGGTCCTGTCAAGAAAGTTTACACCTTCAGGGCTCTTTCATTTACGAAAAACAAATGAACCCATATTCGAATTATCAAGAGACTTGTTATCATTCCTAAAGTCCAAACCAAACCTTCATTCCTCCTATAGCTAAGGGTAGACCTTAGTCCAAAAGGCAAGTAAGGATAGCCAGTGTTCAATAGGACACAGAATCTGAAAGTTGTGCATCAGGGCCCCAAGGAGACTGCTCTTCAAGGTAACCAGCGTTATTTCTTTAGTTTCAGGTATATAGTAGACTCTCCTGGTTTCCATTCAGATCCCATTTACATGGTTGCATACCCATTCCTCAGCTATGATGACTGCTAGCCCCTAATGACTCACAGCAGCCTCCTTCTCTAGAGTTACTCTCAACCTAATGGGATCTGCTTTACCTTGAACATTATGCCCCTGAGAATAGGAGGAGGGTCAGGACAAACTCCCTCCCTCGAGGTAGTAACAAACCTATGATTCATCTAGACTCATCTATACTCCAGAATTTCTTACAAATCAAAGGAAGCTGATCTCCAGATGAGAATAAGCCTTTGCTTAGTTTTACTAAGGCCTTTACTGCTTCTTTTACTCCCTTTCTCCTGAAAGTAATATCTCAATAAATCATTCATTGAAGAATTTCCATCTCAGGCCCTGCTTCTAGGACACTGGTACTGGGAGCAGTCCTAAGAAAGAAACCCTATAGCTGGAATTCTGGAGTTGAATTATTTACTGGCCAGACGGTAGTGCATCCTGGGTTGGTGGAGCCATGATAGTTCCTGGCTAAGATGTTCACCCATGGTGAACTGGCAGGGGGTGCACATGAAAGGAGGGACACTGACTGATCAAATATCTCTGGCATTTCAAAGGCATATGGAAAAGGGTAACTCTATGGGCCATGGAATTGTTTTGCTTTTGCTAAATGTTGTAGATCTAGAGATCATGATAATCTCAGATCTATTAATTCACAGTTTGATGTAAATATGAGTCAGAGGGCCTCCTTAGGAGCATTTAAAGAAATCCTAATTTCTGTAAATGGAGGGCAGAGAAAACTGATGGCTTGAAACAGAACTTAATTGGAAGAGGCAGAAAATTTTGGAGAAACTTGAATTCTCAACCTAGGGAAGTTTCCTAAGCCAAAGTCAGAGTTCTGATATGGGAGTGAAAGCACAAGATGGGAATATCTGGGTAGATTCACTTGAGCGTCTTGAAATCCCAGATTTCCCTGAACTCTCCAAGTCTTTAATATTGACTACTTTTATTGGAAGATAAAATTCCCTTTTCCCTGTGTGAAGACCATGTAGAGTTCTCAGAGCAGACAGGAACTCTTTAGGAAAGTGCTTGCCTTGCTCAAGAACTGTTCCTACTTCTCCTTTTGCTCATCAGGCCCATAACTTGGGCCAAATTTCAGCAAAATTATACTAGAAAGTGCTAGACTGCTAAAGGAGAAGCAGTATTAAATACCAAAACAGTGGCTGGACCTAGTTAACACGTACTGACAGGAACAAGGACATAATGCCTGGGAATCCTGAAGAAGCCAGCTGAATGAGGGAGTAATATAAGACTGGAGAAGGAATAGAGTGTTGAAATGGGGGCACCATTCTGTGACCCAGGATTTGACACTTTGGTAAAGGGCCAAGGGGCAGTTTTAATGCTATACCAGGGTGGTGGTTAGAAGATTGGGAAAAGTAATGCCCTCCATCAAATGTCAGCAAACTTTCTCTGTAATGGGTTAGGTAACAAATATTTTAGGCTTTGAAGGTCATATGGCCAATATGTAGACAAATGGGTGTTGCCAGTAAATTGAGTGTTTCAATAAAACTTTCCTTACCAAAAAAGGAAACCGGCTGGATCTGACTTGAGAGCCAGAGTTTTCCAAACACTTCATTTAATGTAGAACATTAAATGAAGTAGAGATGCCAAAACTTCTGTGGCAGACTGTGAAGAAAGGTATTAAAAATTTTGGGAAGTGGCCATGCTAAGTTGGGCTACTAAATAAGGCTGGAAAAGCCACCATTTGAGTATATTCCTTGAGAGGTCTAGGGGAAGAATCTACTTATCAAAGCAATAAGAAATGTGGTAGTGAAGAAGAACTAGTATCTTTGAGAAGCTTAGAGGTGGCTGTCCTCTACACTGGGCCTCAATAGGAGATGCTGTTACAGACATGCGAGTTAGGATCCAGAAATGGCCAGGTAGCTGCACTTCACTGAGAGAGGCAAGGCAACTGTAAGTATCATAATGAGCAGAAGCTTGGAATGGAAGCCAAGAAATGTTCCTAAGGGCAAGATAGATGGGCAGCCAACAATGGTGTTGCTTAATATATGTGCACAATCAAAATAGTTCATAAATGTGTGAGTAGAAAGCAGAGGGCAGCTACCACAATGGAAAGCCACACTTTCTTGTCAAGTATGTATAGTGAAGCAATGCTTAGACATAGAACCTGTCAGCTGAAAGAGTGGCCAGATATCTACAAAAAACACTCAGCAACCCCAGAAGCCATACAGTAGGGATATATTCAGTCCTTCCCTCTGGGGGAAACTAGGCCCTTTGGAGAGGGACACGCCTTAACAGTTTAAAGACTGATGGATCAGGGTCTGAGCTGATCCTCATACCAAGGGAACAAAAGTCCCTCAATCATCCTCTGTTTGACTAGAGGCTTATGAGGGCCAGGTAAAAAGATGAAGTCTTGGACTATGTCTATTTCAATGTGTTTATTGGGGTTAAAGGCTTACCTGCTGGACATTTCCTTTGTTTTTGAACACATAAACTGAATGAACATACTTGGTAGTAAGCAGAAGTTTCACATTAGCTCCTTGACCTTTAAATAAAAATTACTGTAGTCAGAGAAGCCAGGTAGGAGCACCTGAAATGGCTTCCACCTTGAACAAAAACGTAAGTGAAAACATCACTTTTGAAGAAGTTGGAAGATTAAAAATTTAAGGAATGCAGAGGGTGGTCATCTTCATCATATCCCCAATTAATTCACTAGTCCTGTTCCTGAAAAAAAAAAAACTGATGGCTATGGCAGGATGATATTGGGCTAAAGAAAGCTAATTGCAGTTGTTGTGTCAAATGTGGTATCTTCACGAGAGCAGAGCAACACCGCCTCCTTGTGTAGCATGAAGGGATGAAGCTGACAAATTCATTCTTTTCAATAGTCATCAGAAATGATGATCAGTAACAATTCACACTCACATGAGATAGACAACTGTACCTATCTACAGTCTTACCCAAGGGCTATGTTTATTCTCCTATCCGTCACATTATAAACTGAAGATAGGTGAATCATCTTGACTTTCTGTAGAACATTGCACTACTGATCCCTTTTATTGATATCTTGTTCGTTAGACCTTATATGCAAGAAGTGGTAAATGTAAGCCCTGGTAAGACACCTGTGCTCCTGAGGGAAATAGATAAGTTCTAAAAGAGTTCAAGGGCCAGTCACATTAGTGACCTTTTTATGTGTTCCAGTGTTATAAGGCATGCTGGAATATCTTCATTCAATGTGAAGAACAGATTGTTGTGCCTTATACTTCCTAACACTAAGAAAGAAGCACATTCCTTGGTAGGCCTCTTTGGGTTATAAAGGCAACATATTCTGTACTTGGGAATACTTCTGTGACCCATTTATTACAAAGTGAAACACTGCTAGTTCTGAGTGGATCTTAGAGCAAGAAAGGACTCTGAAGCAATTCTGGGCTGTGGAGCAACCAGTGCTGCCTCTTGGGCAGATCCTATGGTAGTACAGGTATATCTAGTAGAAAAGTAATGCCTGTTCAACCTGAGAAAGCTGACTGAAAATAAAAATAAAAATATAGAAAGATAAAACACTGCGTGGAGCCTCTGGAGAGCCACAATAAGAGAATTGTAGCATAGGATTCTGGAGCAAGTTTATGCCATCTGCCACAGAGTATTACACACCATTTGAAAAACATCCTGGCATGCTATTAGACCCTGGTAGAAGATGAGCATCTATTGATGTGTTAACAAGTGCTCATTCAGCCATGTCTTTCCATTATAAGTTGGATACTGTCAGCCTACCAAGTAATAAGTTTGGGCTCAGATAAAATGCCAGTAGTAGATCCAGGATGGGGCTTGAGATAGTTCAGAGAGTGAAAGTAGGCTGCATGGCACTTATTTCCATGTCACATGCTAGTGTTTCACCATTGCCTCTTTCTCAGCTCACAGCTATGGTCTCTGGGGCTTTCTTTTCAGTGGCCAATGGAAGAGGCAAGAGCCTGAGCTGGGTTCATGAATCAGTCATGTTGGTATGTGGGTATAAGCTAATAACGCACTGCCGCTCTACTACAGTCACATAGAAAGTGACAGTGGTGAGAGATAACTCTTCAAATGGGCAGCTCTTCAGTGAGTGATCTGTTTTAGTTCCTTTGTTGGAATGGGACGTGGACTAGGATTAAGATATCTCTAGACCCGTAGGCAATGGTGAATGGCTTAGCTGGTTGAATATACATAAACTCATGGACAGTGGTAAATGGTTTAGTTGGTTGGTGAGGAGCTTGGAAGGAACCAGACTGGAAGGTCAACAATAAGGATGTCTGAGGAAGAGGCATGGGGTTTGACCTATAGAAGTAAGCACAAAGTATGAGTAACTTAGTGTAACAAAATGTAAGTAACTTTGTACAGAAGAGGTGCTAAAAAAAAAATGAAAAGTGGGCAAGATAGAGATCAGTTTGCCTCTGTTCTCAGCCATCTCAGGGATTGTGCAATGGGCTTTTGAATGGAGTGGACCTAGTGGCAGAGAGTGAGGCTGAGGTTCTCTCTCTCTCATGAAGGCTGATCAAATTACTTCTGTTACTAATATCCAGCCTATTGCCACCAAGACCAATGGCGATTCCCTACTAAGACATCATTTCTCAAGGAGGCCAAGCAACTACTTGGGGGCAAGTTTTTACTTTGGATCCTCTTCTGCCCTAAAGGAACAGTGATTCATTCTGACAAGATTGTCTTGTATTCCAGTGAGGGGTGACCTTTTATGCTTTGGTCAGCATCATGATTCAAAGGTTCATGAAGTATCTCATGTACTAACATGGGATCTCACATGATACTTCCTTGAACAAAGGAACCAGTTTTAGTGGCAGAAGTGGGATGGTGACCACATGACCATGGGATCCACTATTTCTAACACACATGACATCATCCCAAAACCAGTGGGATCACCTCTTCTCAGCTGAGGTACCAACTTGGAGATGACACTCTGCAAGGATGGGGTGCTATCCTGCAATATGTGGTATGTACATTAAACCAAAGGTCCTTGGCTGTTCTGTCCCTAATAGGTAGAATATAAAATTCAGGGACCCAAAGGGTGTAAGTAGAAGTGGCTCTACTTAACATCATTCCCATTGACCACTTGGAAACTTTGTGCTTCTCATTCCTGCAACCATAAGCTTTGTTGTTGTGGAGGTCCTGGTTCCTGGAGTGGGAGGGACTCTTCCCCTCAAAGACACATTAAGAATCTGAATAAACACTTGTTGTGTGGTCATTTTGGGGCTCCTCATGGTAGTAGACCAGCATGCTAAGAAAATAGTTACCTATTAGAGGGTAATTTACCCCAGTCATCAACAGGTTTGGTTGCTGCTATATAATAGAGGAGTGGAGAATATTTTTGTCGTTAAGTTGATCCATCTTGACATCTTTTGGTTTTCCCATGTCCACTTTTAGGTGTAAATGCAACCATAGTAAGCCCAGCCTGATAAGGACATAGTCACTAGGGATTCAGACTCCACAGGGATGAGGGCCCGCAAAGCAAACCACCTTGACCAGCACAAATGCTGGCTGAAGGAAAGGAAATATGCCCTGGGTGGTGGAGGAGGAGACAATGAGTATCAGTTACAACCTTGGAATCAATTGCAGCACTTGGGACTGCAGTCTAATCTATCAACCTTCATTTTGGAGTTCTCCCAGAATGTTTCAGTGGTATAAACGTTGGAGAAGTTGTACCTGGAAGAATGGGAGGTAATGTGAGAATCAAGTGGATCTCATGGAGTGCTGCTGAGACTGCAGTGGTGTTGCTGGTGTCCTCCTCAGATCCACATCAAAGAAAGGCACACTTAACTCCTAGCTGCTGTGAATGCTTGTCAGCTCTCTCCTCTGGAGATTTGCTCCCAGCCAAATGGGAGCCCTCTTCCCTGGGGGATGATTCCCCTCCTTGGAAGGCTAACATGGGATGCAAAAATATGGCTCCCTTGATTCAAGATGGTTCCAATTCTATGGCACAATTCTTGCTCTGGAGCTCCTCATGGGATCAGGCTGAAGCGAGTCACCAGCTGCAATTATGTCTTTGGTTAGCTTCCCCTTCCAACCTGGACTTTTGCAATTAGAGCTACAGGTATTACATGACACAACAACTTGTCAATGGCCAAAATAAAAGGGAGAGATCATTTGCCTTACTTTGCATTTCTTATTCTCCTTCTTCTGATATCAGATTCTCAGTAAATTCTTGCACAAGAATCCTAATCACTAGCTGTATTTCCAGGGAAACTGACTTAGGAAAAGGTATTATACAGAGAAAATGTTCATGACTCTTGATGGTTAGTAATTACAAACACAACCAATTACAAAGGATTTTCTAGTAAGGGAAGATACACACACATACATACTCACACACATACATATAAATATATATGTAATATACATTATATATGTATATATGTATACATATAAATATATTATATATAAATATACATCTGAATTTATACACATATACCCATCTATGTGAATATATATAGTTTGTTTTTTTAAATTTTTAATATACATTTTATTTTATATTCAGAGGGTACATGTGCTTGTTTGCTGCATGGGTATATTGCATACTGGTGGGGATTGGGCTTCTAGTGTACCCATTACCCAAATAGCAAACATTGTATCTGGTAAGTAATTTTTCAACCCTCACGCCGCCCTCACTTTTCCCACTTTTGGTGTCCCCAGTGTTTATTATGTCCATGGGCACCTATTATTTAGCCCCACTTATAAGTAAGAACAGTGGCACTCAGTTTTCTGTTTATTTCTGAGTTAGTTCACTTAGGATAATAACCTCCAGCTCCATCTATGTTGCTGCAAAGAACATAATTTCATTCCTTTTTATGGCTGCATAGTAGTCCATGTTGTATCTATGCCACATTTTCTTTATCCAGTAAAACATTGATGGACACATAGGTTGGGTCCATGACTTTGCTATTGTGAATAGTGCTGCAATGAGCATACAAGTACATGTATCTTTGTGATATAATGATTTCTTTTCCTTTGAGTAGATACACAGTAGTGAGATTGCTGGGTTGAATGATGGTTCTATTTTTAGTTCTTTGAGAAATTTCCATGTTGTTTTCCATAGAAATTGAACTAATGTACATTTCCACCAACAATGTATAAGTGTTCCCTTTTCTCCGCATCCATGCCAACATCTGTCATTTTTTTGACCTTTTAATAATAGCCTTTCTGACTGGCGTAAGATGATGTCTCATTGTGGTTTTAGTTTGCAGTTCTCTGATGTAAATCACAGATATATTGTATGTTTCAATGGGCAAGTCAATTTCTACTTTTCCCAAATGGTCTAGGAATGTCTGCCTTTTAGCAACCAGGAAAAGCCAAAGTTCAAATACTGAGTGATGGGCATGCCTGTTTCAGTGACTTGTAGGCACATGTATCTTCTCTGTGGAAAGGAATGTAGTTGCATGCCTGCATGGGAGTGCCTGGTATGAATGCATGACTCAATCACATGTCTTGGAAAAGAACCAGTAGGTACATGGCCTACTGAGCAGAACACAGGTGAAGCAGTTTTTAATTATAAATGTACTTTGGAAAGATGTTATATTAGTGTACTTTTACAATTAGAGATATAGCATTACTAAGAGAATTTATAAATAGCTAAAAAGGAGAGAGATAAGATCATCTGTCCTGTAGATAGAGATGCATGTATACTTTTAAAGTTATGATGATGAGAGAATATACTTAATGATCTGCAAAAAGCAACACTTAAGCAGGAATAAACAAGATCGATAAGAAGATCTCAATCTGAAAATAGTCCAGAATTGAAAAAAAAACTTTATTTGCATGTTAGAAGCTCTACTGAAGCCACATGTGCAGTTACTGAAATATTCAATAAATGTCAAAGTGAATCTGGCCCAACATTTTAATACATTTGGTTTAGTTTCATTAACTATTTATTTTTGAAGTTGGCCTTATCAGCAGTCTCTTATACACCAAAAATACCAACAGAAAACTTAGAAAATTGATTTTATCTCATGATAAATAAAAGTTGTTCAGGCCCTTTTCTATGAATGTGAAGATGTTTTACATCCCTTGGGGGGATATACCCATCAAGTTACCTAGAGTGAGGAGAACAGTTGAAAAGAATGTCCAAAAAAAGGGCTAATATGGAGTGGAAATAAGACTTCACAGGAGAGAAGGGGCCCATGAGAGCAGTGCCTGAATATTTGCTCTGAATGGGTGAAAATGTGCAGCATAAATAAGGGGGCTATAGGCTGCAATTTTTACAGATTCTACTCACTAAATGCCCTACGAAATTTCTTTCAAGCCTTTGAAATCCTGTCTCTAACAGTATTCCCTCCAAGTTCAGCTGTATGCGGTCACCCTGAGATTCCTTCCTACTTGATTATTTCTCACAGACTTAACCAAGAAAATATCGTTCTGGAAGATTGCTAGGCAGGCTTTTCCATTGCATTGCAGGACAACTCAGATAATGCAGGTCCAGTCCTCTGAGTCATCCAGTGTGGGCTGGAGGTTTGGAACCTGGAAATGTCTGATCTAGGCAAGTAATAAGCTGACGTCAAAAGACTTGGTGCACAGGTCTATTGAAGCACCTAAGAGGAAAGACACTTCTTCAAACCTCAAATGCTCTTTACATCCAGCAAATCTGGACTGGAAGTCGTTCAATAAGATGACTTCCCATGAAATGTCTGGTACTTCATGTTTCCCGTCAGGTCATAAATGCCACGAGAACAGCTTTTCCTCCTCCATTTAAATTTGTCCAGTGCCAGTTTTGGTCTTGTCCCAAAGCCAAAAACTTTGGAGACATTGACAGAAAAGAAAGTAATTAACCATATTGGAAGAGCCCAGAGAGTTCTGTGTAGATTCTGCTGTAGATGCTGGTGAGTATTCTTACTTTTGTAAGCTGATTCTCTCATTCCTTTAGCAAATGAAGAGTTGTGTATAGGTGGTGGTTCTGATGGGTATCTGGCTGACAGCTGCTACAAGAATCATCCCTCTGCTGAGAAGCAGCTTTTTCAAGTCAACAAGGTTGGAACACTAATAGAAGAATCCCAATTGGCACATGGAGGTTAGACTTGCAAATCCTTAGTCAAGTGTCAATAGACAGCCAAAAAACGTACTGGCTGAAAATTTCATTATCTTCTGGAATGTGAGAAACCATTGGGATTGCAGTGTGGGATTTACAGGGATAAAAAGACAAGGCAAGATTGTGAAGATGGAACATTGTTCTGAAAGGGGCAAGGATGGTGGGTCAGGGAATGTGGTGGCTACATACCTCCTCATACTGTGAGGAGGGCTCTGAGTATGGAAAGAGGTACATCATTGCTCTGAGTCCCCTGATTTCTAACAAAGTATCCGATTCCAGTTTCATGGAGATTGGCAAATGTTGGGATTCTTTTTTATGACTTTTATCTTTTTAAGAGTCTTTGAAGTAAATAGAAATGAACTTAGGTGCAAAGGCAGCAAATGCCCTTTAACTGATTAAATTTACTGCTCATTCATCCACCAGGAATTCCAAGTAAAATGTAAAACAAGGGCACGTTCTTATTTTGCATATCAAATGAATTCTACTTTTCTCTGTAGCATATTGGAAAATTGTTTATTGGTTCAACATTCATTGACTAAGGGCCTACTCTCAGATTCTGTGTGCAACACTCTCTGGGATTACAAATATGAATAAGAAATAGATAGTTGCCCTCCAAGCAGGGCTGGCTTCATGGGCATGCAACCTGTGCAGTCACACAGAGTCCCTTGCTTAGGGGGTCTGATGCTTGGCTTAATGCTCGGATGTTACTGTCTTGAAATTCTTAGATTTTTGAACAAGGGGCCCTGTATTTTCATCTTCACCGGTCCTTGCAGATGATGCAGCTGGTCCTGCCTCAGTAACTTGTTTGAGAAAAACACATTCCATGAACAATACAATAATATGTCATACAATGTAATAATTTTTTTAAAACACAGAAAGAAAATGGCAACAAGTATATAGCAAGCACCATGTTATGAATCCCAGAGGAAGATGTATCTATCTGTGCTTGTGGGAGGTCAAATGTTTTAATTTAGGATGTGTTATTTTAGTGAGAATTTTAGTAGAAATTTATACTTTATAACTGTTTCCATCTTGCCAAGACAATGCAAAGTTGTATTAGTTTGTACTGATTAGGTTAATCCAGCAAAGCCTATAACAGGAAAAGACAGAGATTATGATTTGTTGACTAACTTGACTTCTAATTTGTCACAAACTCTTCTTACTTCCCATCACCTGTCCCATAGACCAAGCTTTTGTATTGGGTAGTGGGGAAAGAATATGATGCAAAGAAGTGTGTGTGTGTGTGTGTGTGTGTGTGTGTGTAAATGTGCACACAAGTAATTCAACTGGGGACATGCAGACATTTGTTCATTAATTGTTTTGCTTTGAGTTGTCAGTGGATTGAGTTGGTAATAAAATAAGCCTATTTTAATTGCCTCAGGTGACTGGATTATTGATGGGGAAGTGCTAGGGGTTAAAAAAAAAAGGTTGAGATTTGGTGCTGGTAGAGATCCATACTTGGCGACAGAACTTTAGGACAGGTAGGGATGAAGATAATGAGAAACTAAAAATAAAATTACTATATATGCTGTAATACAGTAATCCATATTTTGTATTCTAGTAAGTTTCTTTGGTAAGTTAACAACAATGGCCCTCTGTCTTTTCATCAAGTGGATGGATTTTTTAAAGGAAATAATAAAAATGTCAAAGTTGAGCTTTGGAATACCGAAAGTTTCCATTCTTCTCTAAGATGCTTTTTGAAGATGCAGGCATATATATCATCTTTAAAGAATGTTTTAGTGTATTACGCAGGCAATTCTCAAAAATCTTTTATCATAGGAGTTTCCTTTTCATTTTGCCCAATATCACCCAATGATCCCTTTTTAAAAGTTCAGTCTCCTTGTTCTTTATTCCTTCCAAAAAAGAAAAAAAAAAAGAAAGAAAGAAAGAAAAGGAAAGAAAAAGGGGGAAAAAAAGCAGCAAACCCAAAAGGAAGGACTTCTATGACACTTACGAAGGAAGAGTAACATTGCCTTTTATTTTGTTTTCAACTATTTTAAGAAGATCGAGTTTTCACCTTAGCTGTTGTCTACACATCTAGAATTATGTTTGATAAAATAAGGGTAGATTGGATTCTGAAAGAACGGCTAGCTGAGAAGGAAAGGCAGAGCCTTCCTTGGTAATAATTCAATATAATAAAAATGGTGAAGGAGATATTTCAAACCTAGAGACTTAGACAGGAGAAAAGAGATAAAGTCAGACACATTGAACTATTCAGTTTGCCTAACACACATTGAGGTATTCAGTTTAGGCATCATCAAATGCTAAATCAATATTTGCAGGTCCAAGTTAAGTGAGGTGTTTGCAGAGATAAAGTTTTGAGGAGAGAAATATATTGAAAAAAAATTTCTAAACATTCAACATAGATAAATCCTACAGAACATTGTTATCTAACACCAGAGCATGTCTGCAAGGGTAAATTGTTGGAAAATAAAGTAACATGAATAACTCTTACAGTTTTGCATATCAGAAAGATGACTGATTAAAGTATGTGTTTATTTGAATAGGCCAGGAGCATCTGTCTCAGTTTCATAGATAAGCGTGTGCATGTTTGTGGTTTTTTTAGAACCATAGATAAGTGTGTACATGTTTGTGGTTTTTTTAGAACCAAGATGCCCAGAGGGTGGAGCACACAGCTGTGGCTCTGCTACCTTCATCATTGTCACCATCACCGTGATAGATAAACAGGCACTGTACATTCTGGGATGCTGAGCCCCACAAGTGGGAACCTAATAATCAGCTGCCTGAATGTTTACAATTTTTTCAGATGACTGAGGTCACCCTCTCCAGCCTCAATGCCAACCAAGAAATGAACATTCTTTACCACATTCCTTATCTCCAAAATCTTCATGAGGTGGTTGTTTCTTCTCATTACTCCCTGTCTCTGCTGTGAATCTTGGCTTGTGTGACTGCTGTTCTCTCCCTTCTTCACACCAGTTTGCTTCCTTCTGGACGCTCACTGCCTTGATTATTTCAACTCTCCAAAGTGCCAATGACACAAGCCTGGGTGTGTAGCAGACTTTTACTTTGAGGATAATTGCTTTGGATTGAATGTTTCTATCTCCCCCAAACTTATATATTGAAAACCCTAATCTCCAATGTGATGGTTTTTGAAAGTGGGGCCTTTGGGAGGTAATAGGTCATGAAGGTGGGGCTCTCATGCTGGGGTTAGTAGTGTCCTTATAAGAAGAGACAGGAGAGAGCTCACTTCTTCTCTGCTTGTAAGCACCAAGGAAAGACCACTTGAAGACATAACCAGGAAAAAGGCCTTCACCAAAATCCCAACCATCTGGCACCCTAATTTGTACTTTCAGCCTCCAGAACCATGAGAAATAAGTTGTTGTTTGAGCCACCAACTCATTTGAGCCACTGTGGTAATTGGTTACAGCAGCCCAAACTGAGACAGTAATGGAGAGATTACAGGGTGTCACTGAAGAGACAAAATGCGAAATAGAATGTTAATCACCATGCTCTAACATTCATTAACAATTTTCTGTCCTCCCACATTTTTGCCATCTATATGCCCTCCTTAAGTTTTGCCTTGCCTTCATCTTCTTGTCCCTGGTCCCAGTCTACCTGCTAGACTCCAGCCCCAAAATTCTCATTAATTTTTTATGCAATGTAATTTTGCTTTCTGTACCCTACTCTTAACCAGGCATATTGTTGAGCATGTTTTAAGATAAAAGACTTTTTAATGTGGGTGACTACCATTTTACAGCAAAAAATGTTTAAGAATATTTGCTAACCTAAAACAAAACATATGCCAAAAAACTAGCAGAAGTTCTGAAATTTTATTTTTTTCTCTTAACATGATCAAAACCTTAGACAAGATTCCATATCCATTGTTAGAGCATAAGACACAGAGTATTTTTTCTTCCTCTAGAAGCAGAAATTAAACACAAATGATCCTTGTAGTCTTAATGATCACACATTCAAACAAATGTAAATTGGGTAAATAAGAAAATCTATTATATAAAAACTTGAAGCAACTGTATATGTCAGACTTTGTTCTTGAGACTTTCACATGCATTATCTCCTTAATTTTTACAGCAACCTAGTAGTTAGCTTTTAGTCATCTAGGTTTGCATATTGCTAAGGTATCAGGTGGAGTTCAGTTAGAAATATTGATTAATGGGTCACTACATTTCAGGTTTATACTTGGTTTATCAACTTAATAACCTATAGAATTGTATATACTCTGAAATGATCAGGATTTCAGCAATGGTCTCACACTACCTAAATTCACACAAGACCGATATAAAGTCATGTGCCACATGACCTTTTGGTCAATGACAGGGCACATATACGAAGGTGGTCCTACAAGATTATAATGAAGCTGAAAAATTCCTATCACCCAGTGATGTCCTAGCCATTTTTCTAATGTCGTAGTGCAATGCATTACCCACGTGTTTGTGATGATGCTGGTGTAAACAAACCTACTGTGCTGCCCGTCCTATAAAACTATAACACATACAGTAATGTACAGTACATAATACTTGATAATGATAATAACTATATTACTGGTTTATGTATTTACTAAACTATGTTTTTTTTTTTTTTTTGAGACAGAATCTGGCTCTGTCACCCAGACTGCAGTGCAGTGGCACAATCTCAGCTCACTGCAACCTCTGCCTCCCAGGTTCAAGCGATTCTCCTGCCTCAGCCTCCCGAGTAGCTGGAGTTACAGGCATAAACCACCATGCCTGGCTAATTTTTGTATTTTTAGTAGAGATGGGGTTTCACCACTTTTGGCCAGGCTGGTCTTGAAGTCCTGACCTCAGGTGATTCGCCTGCCTAGGCCTCCCAAAGTGAGGGGGTTATAGGCGGGATCCACCATGCCCAGCCTAAACTATGCTTTTGATTGTTATTTTAGAGTGTACTTTGTCTACTTATTGAAAAAAGAAAAAAAAGTGAACTGTAAAACAGCCTCAAGCAGGTCCTTCAGGAGGTATCCAGAAGAAGGCATTGTCATAGGAGATGACAGCTCCATGCGTGTTATTGCTCCTGAAGACCTTCCAGGAGTAGGTAAGATATGGAGGTGGAAGACAGGCATATTGATGACCCTGAACCTGTGTAGGCCTCAGCTAATGTATGTGCTTGTGTCTTAGTTTTTAACAAAAAAGTTTAAAAAGTTAAAAACAACAACAACAACAACAACAACAAAAAAAAAACTAGAACAAAGCTTATAGAGTAAGGATATAAAGAAAAAATATTTTTGTACAGCTGTGCAACGTGATTTTTAAGCCAAGTATTACTACAAAAGAGTCAAAAAAATTAAAAACTAAAAAGCTTATAAAGTAAAAAAGTTATAATAAGCTAAAAACTTATTATTAAAGAAAGATTTTGGGGGGTAAATTCGAAATTTGTGTAAATACACTCTATGATGTACACACAATCACGAAATCACCTAACACATTTCTCACAATGTATCCCCTTTGTGAAGGGACAAATGAATTCAGAATGCCAACATTTTAATTCATAATATGACACATCAATTATCATCGGTGTACTTGGGAGTTATGGCCTCTCTCCTGGAATCAAGGTATTTGGGAGTCAGACTATTAATCGGAAAGTTTGAGAGTCAAACCATTAGTCACAAATAGGTAACTGGAAAATAGAAAATAGGAAGTGGTGTTTGGAGATATTCTACTTAAGTTCAGAAAGCTTTGATGAACTATTACTAACCCAGTGTCTCTTCCAAAAAGACATTTTTTCTTTAATTCAGGCCGCCCTCTTTTCCTTGAAATGCATTTTCTTAAGATCAGTTAATATTACTTATTAATATATAAATTAATATATGGGACTGAGAAAGAGTCAATTCCTTAGGCTTCCAGGGTTACCCCCAAATACTGGTTTATACACATCACAGAGGAAATGAAAGGCTCAGATTAAATGACCCAAAGAGTGTCACATAGTTAGCAGGTGCCATAGCTGAGCTCTGCCCTCAGGTTTTCTTTAAACTTAGCGCTTGTGGCTTTTACTAGTCATTGAGAGAGAGCTGCTGTTTAGAGGCTACAGCATCAAGAGCTATTCTAGGGGATAAATGAAGTCAACATGTGTGATGAAATTATTAACATGTACTTAGGACACATATCATTGCCGAATGTGTATGTGCAGTCTGTGCCCTGCTCCCACTCTTGTCAGCGGGAAAGATTGTTGTCCTTTGCATCAGTTTCTGGGCTCCCCTTTGGATCAGAGAACCTTAGTAACAGTCAAGGCAGAGGAAAAAATGAAAGAAAACCAAGTGGCTGAGTTGATTTACACAACAGCTGAGGGAGAGTGTAGAGGGGAAGGAAGAGAGCAAAAGCTTTATGGGGTTGGTGTCAGGGAGAACATATTTTGCTGCAAAGAGGAAAGTGAAGAGAAGAATAAACGACTATAGAGAAGCTTGGATGAGAGAGAATTGTAAAGTAGAAGACTAGGAGTTGAAAAATTATTGCTTTGAGTTGTGAGTTAAATTCTCTTTGCATAACACAAGCAAATAATAGAATTATTTTTCATTACTCATGGTTATTTTACAGGACTGTTTCTTTGAGTGAGACTCCTTGGCAAGGCTTGTTCATGTGGAGTCTCAGGGTTTATTTACATCCTGGCTGGAGGAAAGACACATCATTCCTCAAGACTGATTCATTTGAAGTAGAGGTCGGGCTGGCTTTATGGGGCTTGTGGCCAGCAGGACTGTGCAAGGCCCATGCTCAGAAGGACCTCATGTTTTTCTATTGCA
This sequence comes from Homo sapiens, assembly GCF_000001405.40. NCBI lineage: Eukaryota > Metazoa > Chordata > Mammalia > Primates > Hominidae > Homo > Homo sapiens. Next base: position 53,249,615 of record NC_000005.10, on the reverse strand, counting down.
GTCCTGAAATTCTTAATAATCTTATTCCTGAATTTGCGTTGTATAGGTGAAATATGATGGGACATGGAGTGGGGGTGGGAGAATGGGGGAGGCTTGGGCTGGACATACAGGAGGACAGGGTGGGAGGCTGGTGGCAACTGGAGGCAGCTCCGGTGGCAGCCTTTCCAGCACTGGTGAACCTCATGCATTCAGCCTATTGCCTACCCTGATCTAGGGACTGAGCGATTCTGGGTGGAAAGGTTTAAAGATTCTTGGACTCACCTGTCTGCCCTGAGCTGGGCCAGTGGGAAGGGGAGATGCCTAACTCGACTTCTCCAAGGGTGGCTGGTGGGACCTGAGATAGCACACTACATGCCCCATGTCTCTGGACTGGGTCCCCAGCCAGGGCTTTGTAGTGAGGGGTGGAAGTAGGGTGGAGGACGTCTACTCTCTCTGGCAAGTATACCTGTGGCTTGGACTGCTCCAGGGATTGGTTCTGTGTTTTGGGGAGTTCTCTCTTCTTGCTTCCAACCTTCCTGAGTTTGATATGCATTTTCCCTTTCTGGTCAGCTCAGAGGGCCTGCAGGGTTGAGCCAGTAAATATGAACTGGGAAATTTTGGAGATCTCCTACCAGTTAAATGCTCTTATATTTACATTTAAAATTGGCATGGCACAATATGAAGGTGAACGGTAAAATTTATGTTATTAACTTAAAATTTTAATTTTTCTTGACTTAGGATGGCATTAGATAGCAAATAAAAAACATGACAGAGAGGGATCACTAGAAGAAAGGAAAAAGCTTGATATTTTAGTACTTTTAATGGCAACTTTTTCCTGTTTTTTGACCAAGGCGCCTTGGGTTTTCATTTTTCACTGGGACCAACAGATTATGTAGCCAGTCTTAAGCAGGGAAATTTATAAGACATAATTGCCAGAAGTCTGGAGAGAGCTGGCTGAAATGGTTTCAGATTTAAGATGGAAATAGAGTCAATGCACCTTGCTACTGGAAATGGTAGGACTCTTTTGGATGGATAAAATGCTGCAGAGCATAGGACCCTGTCAGATTCTGTAGTAGGGCAGATATTAGCTCAAATTCTGACTTTCCACAGTTTATTAATAAAACTTAATATTTCCTGGCAAATGAACTATTCCATCAACTGTGCCATGGGGTGTTGCTTGAATATAGGAGCCATACGAGTATGCTGGTACTCACTGAATTTTCCCAACACCATTACTTCTTTTCCCACGGTTACACAGAATCACTGGCTCTAATTAGGATGGTGTTTGTGGGATTGTCTGCCGAAACTTGTGTTCCACCTTCCGTAATGTAGCATTGTCACTGAAAAGTGACAGCACAGCTAGGAACTACATCTCTCTGTCCCCTTTGCAGCTAGGTGGGATAATATAATCTGCTGTAATTGAGTAAACATAAGGTGTGCCATTTCTATGAAAGGTTTTTTACTAAGTGATTGTCCTTTTTCTTTTGTGGATCAGGTGCAGAGGAATCCAAGGTGTAGGGAATGAAAGAGCCACAAGATGTAAGAAACCTCAGTTCCTCAATGTAGACATGGAAGAAAGCTTCCGGGAGCAGGCTCACTGGATTTGGTCACATAATGATCACAGAATAAACTCTTGTGGTAAGCCTCTGAATTTGGGATGTTTTGTTAAAACAACTAGATGACCCTAACAGTTTTCACCAAGGTCAGTAATCGACTGATTTAAGTGTTTCAAAAAATCTTTAAACAAATTCAATTGTTGCTTTTAATTTTATAGATAAGGAAATCAAAGTCTTGGAAACTCAATTACTTTCTCAGATAAATGCAAACAGCTGGTAGCAGAGCCAAAGACAGATACCTGGGCTCGTGTCTTCTATTCCAGCTCACTTTCTTCTTTGTTGATGATAAATTTTAAAGGACAAACTTGCTGTGAATATTTATTTATGCCATGCTTTTGGAAGTACTGTTAGGCAGAGAACTACAAAAACATTTCATTCTTAAAAATCCTAATAGAACTAAGCTGGTCAATATATATTTTTTCATGATGTTATATTGAGTGTTAATGTTAATTACGTTAGTCACAAATTAACCCTTTTCTTTTAAATGTAACTTTAAAGGTTTATGAAATTCTAATCCTTTGTTAGACATATTTAATTGTTAGGCATATTTAATTTTAAATGGAAATCAGAAGAGAGATTGTTTCACTTGCCAGCAATTTTCTTTATAGCAAACTTTCTTAGAATATATTTAGTAAATTCTCCTGAACGAAAAAAATGTTAGTTATGAATGCTATAGTTTAATATTGAATAGAATTTTTGGAGAATGTCAGGAAATTTCTATGAACTCCATCACCAAAGACCATGCTTCTTTAAAGAAAGGAATTAGATCAAGGAAGAAGGAAAAAAAGCATAAGAAAAAGAATGTGAAAACGGTGAAAACAGTCTTGTCCTTCTGGACTTTTGCTAGAAATTGTGATCAAATAATAAGTTTGTAGAAAGAGGATGTAATAATATATGCTAGTACATGTATAGAAAAAATATTTTGCTTGGGAAATGGTGATATGCAGTGAATATTGAGAGTGGTTCTCTTTTTGGAGGAAGGATTAGGAGGTTTTCATCTTCTATATTAAGTATTTCTATAAGAACAGAACCTTGAAAGTTCATAATTGCTTCTATAAACACACAAAATTTAATTTAGGCATACAGACCTGAACTATACCACACATCATGTCAGTTCTGCAAGGTGTTGAAAGAATTCTGAAACTCTCTTTCATCCCATAGCCAAGGAAACGATAAGGCAAAGTTTTAAGGTATAAATGTGTCCATGGGAGAGAATTTAAAAAGTAGTCACATATGGAAGCTTCTGGAAAAACGAAACAAAAAAACATTTTTTAGGATCTCATTTGTGATACAGGCATATCGTCATCCCTTTTATTCAAATCTTTTCTGGCTATTCAGACTTCCTCATAACTATTTTTACAGTGAACACTGGTTTCACTACAGTTTTGGAGTGTGGGTGGAAACGGAGACAGAAAGGAGGAGCATTAATAGTGAGAAAAATTATTCCCCAAAGCAGGGTATCGTCTGTAGAAGAATTTCAGGAGCGTCTCTCTAAGGCACTCCTATTCTTAATTTTGGTTGAAACCGTGCACACCTTTTGTTGTACTGGGTCTAGTAATACACACCTTCTTCCTTTCCAACCAGCCATATGAACTTATCTACATTACAAGCTTCTGCCAGAGGCCAGGAAAAAGATGTGTACGGTAATTCCAAACACAGTCAGGAAAGGAAGTGGCTCAGTGGTTTTCTTAAAAGTCAGTGACACCTATCAAATGGCATTAGAAATATTTAGTAAGGACTATTCACAATTGCTTCAAATTGACAGGATAGTGCCTGCCTCAAATGAGATTGCACATTACTGGATGATTTTTTAAACATTCATCTGCAGTCATGCGGTCAGCAAGATAGTTTCAACTGCCCAGAAAAAAACAGATGTTAAGTGGTGATTGTGCTTTGAAATAGAAATGAAGTCAAGGATCTCCTATTGCTTTTGAGCAAGTCAAGCTGTCTAAAAAGCAAAACAATTTAAATGAAAAACATTCTTTTTATGCTGTGGGTTTTTTCCTCATAACTTACACTGTTTTCTGTGCATGCAGTGCTATCTATCTTATGTAATTAGGAGAAAATCTTAAAAGCAAACATTGTACACAGAATTGCTAATAAGATCACTTGTATGATGTTGGGCTCCAACCATTTTGTTATATTATATTGGAAGTAAACTATTGATTATAAAAATAACTATAGTCAGGCACAATGGTGTAAACCTGTAGGCCCAGCTTCTTGGGAGGCCAAAGCAGGAAGATCCCTTGAGCCCAGGAGTTCAAGCCCAGTTTAGGCAACATAGCAAGACTCTGTTCCCCCGAAAAAAAAAAACCTGTTTTTAGTTTTAATGTTGCTTCTGATCAATGTTGATTATAAAAAGAAAACTGTGTACTGTTAGGCAAGCATAAAGTTATCACCTGTTCAATTTATTCATTAAACAACCATAGATGTGCCATTATACATGAAACATTTCTGGCTCCATATTTTAAAAACAGTCTTTTTAAAATTTATAAAAAGACAGTGAGAACACATGGACACAAGGAGGGGAACAACACACACTGGGGCCTGTCGTGGGATTGGGGGGCGAGCCAAGGGAGAGCATCAGGACAAATAGCTAATGCATGCAGGGCTTAAAACCTAGATGATGGGTTGATAGGTGTAGCAAACATGTAAACCTATGTAACAAACCTACATGTTCTGCACATGTATCCTGGAACTTAAAGTAAAAAAAAATATTAATTAAAAGAAAATGTTGGATTTTTGAAATAGTACTGCCCTTTTAAATTTCATCAATAATGCCTATGTGCTAAATTGAGACATGCTCAGTCGCACTAGGAAGCATTTTGCTGTGAAAGCATTTATTTTTTTCCCATTGTGCTGCATTCTTTTAATAACTCTTAGGGTATAAGACTCCAAAAAGCAGGTTGCTCTTGTAACCTGTCCCCTTCAGTATTTCAATCTAACAGCTTCAAGTGTCTTCATTCACTCTCTCTATGTATAGAAATCACCATCAGGCTTTCCTAAATGAGAGCAGAAGTTTCACTCAGCATTCTTTTCCTAGATGGGGGTTATGATGACATTTCCTTATTGTTTAAGGGCAGCCCAAACTCATGATTAATTTGAAAACTAATTACCAAGAATGTAGGACTAATGTCTTGCTCTAGCACTGACTATCCAAGAGAGTTTGGCCAATTCCTGTATATATGTGCATGTATGTTTGTATGTATGTATGCATACATCTTATATGTGTGTATTTGTATCCTTACAAGAGAAATATAGGTTTACCAAACATACTGATTTTAAAGGACTAGTTAATTTTTAAGTATTAATTAATATATTCGCCACAAATATACACTCTCTGAGATGTAATTTAGTCCAATATTGTTTGGACTAAATTAAATAGCACTGACAGCCAAAATCTTGCTTACCAAGTCTGAGGCTGTTGCTCAGATGTTTCAAACAATATTGCATATTTTAAAAAATGAATTAGGACACTTCCTTAGAGAATGTATTAATAAGACTTTCTAAAATTTGAAAACCCAAAACTTAAAATAATCAGCTGAGCTTTTCCAAATTCCAGGATGTTTTTTGGCATTATGCAGCTAAAATGCCTACCTAGATGTTTTTGTAGAGAACCCGTCATCCTATTGTTTGAAGTCAGGTAGGTATGGTCTATGTCAACTATGAAAATAAGCACTGGAGGGGCCAGAACTTTGTCCAAAGCTCATAAGTGATCATTGTGTGCTCAAAGGAATCAGGCGATGTGCTTAACGGAAATCAGATGCCATGCCTTAGAGACATGAATTAGACTCTCTTCATCTCCAAAACATGGGAGTTTATGTTTGGAGAAAGCACAAACTACTGTTACCCAAAATAGTAGTGTTTTCTTGAATTAGATTCCATTAAAAGGCAAATATATGATGACATGTATTACCTTTTTCTAGCACAGCCTTCCCCTCTTTCTGTCTCTCCATCATCAGATTTCACTATTTTTGCTTCGTTCAGTCTTCCAGATTTGGACAACTAAACATGGTCTGTTTCTTCAAGGCCCAACTCTAGACCCTTTCAAAGAACGTTAAGTGGATTATCTTATCCATATTATTATATTACCTCTTCAGTTAAGGTGGCTGTAGTTTTACTGATGATCCTTTCTATGTCAGCTTCCAGGGAGGTTAAGTTGTAGAACTCAAAAAATACAAAATTTATAGTCAAAATATTTGGGTAGATTTCTGATTTTTCTACCTCACCCTAGGATTCAACCTTTTATTTAGTGTTCTCATCTATAAAGCAGAAACACTTATAATTCCCACAAAAATAGTGGATGCATTTTTGAGTTATCTGCTTAACTTATTACATCTCCCTTGTTCTGGAGTTGCCCCCTCGCCCACAGGTGAGCCATGGCAGCCATTTTTGTGGTAGATGGCTCCGCCCTGCTGGCCAAAGACAATAGAACTAGGAAAAGATAACTTTTCAAATTGGGGTGATCAGAGCTACATTCTCCTGGTAATTTGGAATTGAAACTGAGTAACGATAATTCAGCTGGGCTGGTCACTTGATGACAGGAGAAGTAAATTAGGAAGGTTTGATGGCAAATTTGGGTACAATGAATCAGGTGCACATAGAAAAGTAGAACAAAAAACAAAAATACTGACCTTGGTACTTCCTGGCCTTCCAGGTCCCTGTTCCAGCCTTTTTGGAGGCCAGTTGCCTTTGGGTTTCATGAGATGCTGATGTTGATGATAATGAAATGTCCTCTTTTTCTTAAAGTTTGACATAGGTTTCTGTTATTTGCAACTAAAATGCTTGACTAAAGCGTCATAGATGTGCTGTGAGGATCAATTCGTGTAATATTCGAGATACTTTGAAAATAATATAGAACTATGTAAATATTACCTATGGTTATTATTAGAAAATGTCCTAATCTAAGTGGGTAAATGTTCAATAGGACACTGCAGTAGGTACTCGAGGGCTGATCAGATCCTTAGAAGCTCTTTAGTGTGTCATGGAGATAAGTGTTACTCTATTACCTTAGGTCATTGTTGTTGTTAATCTAGTAATAAAGTGAGGAATGAAATTAAATTTAGCCTAGAGGTGGAGGAAAGTAGCTGTGGAAAAGTGGGGAATGGCCTAATTTAATATTTTTAAGACAAATAATTTGTGTCATCTAAATATTTTTGAAAGTGATTTACAGAAACCCAAATCATAATAACCTAAGAAAATTAGTAGAGATCCTAAATATTCATATATAAAAGTGAATCAATTCACAGAACTGAAATTAGTGGTGCAGAAGTAGAAGCATAACAGTAATTGTTAACACATTCTTTTCATTATGTTGTTTATCTGTGACATATAAATATGTTTTGAGTCAATGGTTTCCAACCTCGGGGCACGGATGCCTGGCCTAAAGTCATGGGAGGACAGAATAGATTTTTTAAAAAAGGATGCTTAAATTTGTGTATACAGGACACATTATCTATGGATGCAATAAATATTTTATATAAAAATAACAAATTTATAAATTATTTGTATGTGTTACATAATTTAATTCTTACGACCAGCCTATATATTATCCTCTTGTTATAAGTAAGGTATTTTGGACCTAGAGTGAATTAATAACTTGTTCAATGTCAGACAGGTAGTTAGTGACAGAACAGATTTTTCGCTCAGTCAACATGACTCCTAAGCTCTTAACCACCATATTACATTGCTTCCAGCATAGATATTATTAGGTTAGACCACATGATATGGTCATTTTTGTAGGTCAAGAACACTCAAATATTAACAATTTCATGATTCTATCTCATTGTGTTTTGACTATTACCTTATTTTAAAACATAATTGAATTTAATGTATTTTAGCAACATGTACTTTCTCACAATGCAGAAATTTAAAATACAGCTACTGTCTTATTGATGGCATTTTAGTCTGGGTTTCCTAAAAATTAGAGCTAGCAACAAAGATGAAGTGTGTCAGCTTTATTGGAAGGTGGAATCCCTCAACAACAATAATAGGGGATAAGGATGAATGAAGCAGGAAGAAAGGAGAGCAAATACTAGATGGTAAATTTCTGAGTTGGCTACAGCCTAAAACACACACACACCTATGCACACACACACACACACACACACACACACACACTCACACGTAGCAGGTTCTTCAGGCATATGGGACATCTTCTTGTACATATTATGCCAGAACAGTCCATCAGGAAAACGAAAGCAAAGGAGTTCATCTGCTGGTTCCTTCCCATTTCCTGGCCCTCGCTGATCAAAATCCACCCTTTCCAAGTTGAGTTATCTGCATTCTATGGGCAAATTTCACTCTCGTCATCTGAGTCTGGAAGTCGTAGAGAAGCCAGAGCCACCCATAAGTTTAGTTTGACTGGATCACATCTGTTCTGGGCTCTGACACAGCAGGTTTGCTGAAGGTAGTGCTAAAGCCCAGTTCTCACCCCAGAAGATCCTGAGACAACCTGCAGCATTTATACATGAGGTCAAGACAGCAACTGCTGGGATACTCCACTGAGCAAGCAGTTGAAGCCCCGGGGTGGGGAGAACCCAGCAAATCTGGTCAAGGTCATAAACTAGACCTGGTACAAGAGAACCTCAATTTTATCTGGAGGTGTGAAGAATTTCTGGTAATTAAAAAAGCTGAAAATCAGGAAAACATGGGCTTTTTCTCCTGCTGATAGGTTGATAATTATTATCCGCTTCTTTTCTTGGGTCAGTCTTATTATCTGTCATTCATAATGAAACCAGGAGGTTCTAATGTCATACTTAGAAATATCTAAGGGGAAAACCCAAAACACTAGCAAACAAAAATAACCTTAGCCTGCAATTCAGGAAAGATTGATTAAGAATCTTATCTAGTACAAAAAAAAAGGAGTAGAATCATTCATTTGAGAAAACAAATGATGCTGTGCCTTTTTTTGGTACTAGACAAGGTTCTTAATGTCCAGGGCTTATCTCCATTTGAGAAAAGATATTTGCCATTTTTAAACCCCTCCAGTGATTTTGCCTTTCTCTTTGTTTGGAAAGGCCACATCTTCCATAACACAGTCCCCCAAACAATGCTGGATGGAATAGATCTGGAGAAGCACTCAGTTCCCTGGATAGTATTTGACCACATTTATATTGCTGTTGGATGAGTCTCACTGCAGTATTGGCCAGAACTGACCTTTCACAGTTAATCCTTTTTGAACAGCCCATGGCTCAAGGTGTTAGGATGTCAGCCAATATGAAAGAAATATGATCCTAGAACACAGTGTATTGTTAATTTTTTTTCTCTCTTTAGGTAGGTTTTTCAGAGGAGCCTAGGGATGAGAAAGTTGAATAGGAGAGGAGGAGACAAAGAGAAGGTGAATAAAAGGCATTTTCCATAATTGCTCATTCTGAGGTTGCCATAGTGATCAGCCAACATGATGGCTGCCAATGGCCTGGTCCTGACTACCCAACCCAACAATATTAGAACAGTCCCTGCAGGTGGAGAACAAATGACAAGATGATGTGTTTTGTCTGTCCGGGTAAGGAGCTTGCATGTAAATTCAACAGAGCTACTCACTTTCAGAAACTCTTGCTTATTCTTTTCTTTTGTAAACAAAACTTTTCCCAGCTGAGGCCTGCCACAGAACACAATCATGATGAAAAATGTTTCCATACCTGGAGGCGAGGGGCACTTGGAAACCTCATTTACTTGGCATCTGCCTTTCAAAACTTGACCAGGTTTCCTAATTTTAAGACTGTCTATTAACTTTAATTGTAATTCACTGTGGAGCTGGCTATAATTCAATATCTAAAAGGGGCAAAATTCAATAACTAGAAGGTCAAAATACAATTACATAAGGAATGGGCAAGTTTGATCAGTTTGGAATTGGCTGAAAATTTTTATCCTATTCTTTCATGGCCCTAGATTAGGATATTTCTTAAAGTTTAAAGCAGTATATTTTTTGAGAAGCAATAGGGAGGAAAATGAAATTAATTTCAAATATTTTCTGAAGTGATATGACAAGGTACAGCATGATTTTTTTAAGTCTATAATAAATACTTGGACAATATATTTTCCTTTCTGTAATTTTCCCCTCAGAATTACACTGCCTTTTTAGTTCTTCTGTGCCCATTCATTTTGAAATATTAAGAACATGGAAGCAGTAAAAATGTACACAGTTTGAAGAAAAAGACTGAAACATCTCACCACAGTTTATCCAGTAGCTCCTGACAAAAACTTAAGTCCTAGAAACATCCTGGGTCAAAGACCTAGAGTTTTTCTAGAAACCACTAAACCCTTGGAATCATTTCATTCAATTCATTTCTTTTTAACCCTTGGTGCCTGGCCAGTGATGGGCAATCTGAAAGACAAGAGAAGGTATCCAGTTCTGTCATGGACCTTGAGTCAAGCAATATACAGGAGACCATTAGTGACCCTTCAACAGCACATTGTTCCGCTCTTCCACCTCTACAAAGCAATTTGCACTTTCCCAGGACTCACTTTATTACAACCCTCTGACACACTTGGCTTAAGCATTATTTTCCCCAAAGTTCTGGCACATCCACTGCCAAAATGAGTCATGAAAATAAGAACAGAAAATTCAAGTACAGTGTGGGTGTGTGCAAGTGTGTGTGTGTAAGCACATGTACATATGCATATATACATATATATACACATATATTCAATGTCTATACATTTTTTCCCTTTCAGTCATCTACTTTGTGCCAGATATTATGCTAGGTGCCGGGAGTGCAGTGCTGAGCATTGATAGAATAAATAATAAAAGAAATGTATATATATTAAATTCACGATAACATACAACTTTTTGTCTCTGACAAAAATTGCAATTATTTAAAATTGTAATTTTAAAAAATCAAAATGGACAGTCATATACAACTGACAAGAATATAAAATTGTATAAACTTCTTGAAAAGCATTTTGGTAATCAAAATGCACTGAATACAAAATGTATGTACCTTTAGAGCTAGCAGTTCAACTTTTAGGAATCTATCCTAAAGACATAAGGATGTGCTCAAGGTTTAACTACTAGGAAGTTTATTATAGCATTACTTATGAGAAGACAACTGTGAACCTGAATGTCCAACAATAATAAGAATATGTCTATATATTGGCCGGGTGTGGTGGCTCACACCTGTAATCCCAGCACTTTGGGAGGCTGAGGTGGGTGGATCACGAGGCCAGGAGATTGAGACCATCCTGGCTAACATGGTGATACCCCGTCTCTACTAAAATTACAAAAAAAATTAGCTGGGTATGGTCGTGGGCACCTGTAGTCCCAGCTACTCGGGAGGCCTAGGCAGGAGAATGGCATGAACCCGGGAGGTGGAGCTTGCAGTAAGCCGAGATCATGCCACTGCACTCCAGCCTGGGCGACGGAGTGAGAGTCTGTCTCAAAAAAAAAAAAAAAAAAGGAATATGCGAATATATTATATATATATATGAATAATGAAAACGATAGTTATTACATCATACATGCTATGTGTTGGCATGTTCTAAGTACTTTACCTGTATTAATGCACTTAATACTTGCAGCAATTCTATGCAATAGGAACTATTATTAACCTTACTTTATGGTTGAGTAAACTGCAGCATAGAGAAGTGAAATGATTTGCCCAGAGATACACAGTAAAGAAAAAGACCAAGATCTGATCCAAACAGCCTGCCTCCAAAAGACCACTTCTCAGTCAGTATGCTTACTTCTGATGTGTTCCTAACATGGAATTCTATTCAGCCATGAAATATGATGTCAGAAAAGGATCCAGAAGAGCATATTTTAAAGTATTTATTATCATTCTCTTGGCGTGTGAAATTGTGAGTATTCTTCATTTCTCACTTATATTTTCTATTAATTGTTTGACATGTATACAATATTTTTGAAATTACAAATAACATTACATAAAGCACAAAAGGAGCCAAGAAAAGATTTTGTATTGAAAGAACAACAACAACAGCTGGACTGCCGTCTCTGGCTTTCACAGTGACACACCGCCTTTGGGTATCCACAAGCCAAGAGTAAGAGGAGCTTCCTCTTACAAAGCTTCAAGCCTCATGTAAAATACCCCAAATGCGTATATACTTTTGCCAATGCAGACCACACATTTTGTTACAATGCGCACAATAGCACATGAGTGTCCCAAGTAAAACTGAGCGGATGAATGAAAACACTTAATAGTACCCTACGGAGACAGAGAGAAAGGAGTGTAATTAAAACTTTGGAGATTCACCAGAAGTCCTTATTTTATTATAATGGACACTAAAGTGGTTCACTATAGGCCATTGTAACTGAGGTTCCAGCCACAGCACACTGAGAACACTACTGCGAAGCTTTGCTTGTTCCTGTATTTACTGCTTCATTCAACATTGGGAGTGGTAGCAAATATTAATCTCCTTCAGGGTGTCCATGTCATATGGGAATATGGGAATAATAGACAATCTCAAGGAGACAAAGGTGAGAGCTCCCGGCCACAAATACATTCAGTCCCTTCAAGACTAGAACCCTCTTAATATGGCTTATTCACCCAATTATCAATTAACTTTGATGTCAGAAAGCAACCTCATGGATTCTAGCAGGTAGAGGCTCCCAAGACTCCGTCCTTTTTGCCTTCAAAACAGCATATCCAGAATGAGCAAAGCACCAGGGAAATAGAAAAGCAGGCTGCCCCCTCGCAAGAGAAATGTGCAAGTCTGAAAAAAAAGCTGTATGTACATGGAGCACAAATGTAGACAACTGGGATTGCCTAAAGAGCTCACAACATTGGAACCAGTGTTGTCCATTTTGGGTTTTATTTCATGGTCCATGTTATTTTACAATTTAGATGTTGTGAAAACTAAAGTTCAGAGATGATAAGTTGGTTTTTTATCAAAATAATGGATACATGCTAATGTATTTAACATATCAGTAAGGTGTAAAAAAGTAGGCAAAGGTTCATTTTTACTACTGTCTCCCCCAACCACTCTCCAGTGAACAAACAAAACAAAACAAAACAAAACAAAAGACTCAAAGGGGAAAATTGGGTGCATCCTGACGGAATTGGAGCAGAGCTGGTTTGGGCTAAGTGCTACCTTCTGAACCTAATCCCTGGTGAGACCAGGTCTCATTACACAGAGATGTGCCAGACAGTTCAAAGCGTGGGCCTGACACTCACTATGTTGCCAATGAAGAGTGCCAGTGCTCTATTGATCTCGAAATTAAAAATGGCCAAGCATGACCCTTCCTTAAACTTCTGTGTTTGTTCTATGCCCAAACTTCTGTTTGGAGGATCACAACAATGGTCACTGTGTCAATGCAGAGTTTGATGATAGGCAGGGCAATCAGTGCTCACTGAAGAATCACTCACTGAGTCTGCCAGCTTGTGTTTTGTCTGCTCTGGGGCCACCTCCATGAGCAGGTTCTTCTGTTCATAAGTAGATATATGCTGCAGTTTCATTTGGTTCAGTGGAACAGCAAACTTGGGAATTTGGTCAATGTTGTGAAACATTCTGATACACAGGCTGTTTTGTTATTTTTTGAAGATTCAAAATGGTCAACCAAATCTTGAGAAAACCATTACTGTCCTGAAGTTTATTAAACAAGTGGTGACACCCCTGAATTAACCAACTTAGGGGTTCACAAAATCTTTGGATGTTAGGCATACTTAGGCCTTCCTGAATTCTTTGGGTGTTAGACATACTTAGGCCTTCCTGAAACCTTTGGGTGTTAGACATACTTAGGCCCATTTTCCTGGAACATGTGACCTAGACTGTGTCCAATAAGTCCATCAATGTAAGGAGCAAATGGGTGTCCCAAATCAACTTCAGCAAGGCAGGTGAACTTAAGGGACTACCAGAAAGCAACTGGGGCCGCACTTAGTGAAAAAAAGGCAATTAAAGTGACCTTTAAATAAGATGATCCCAAAGCTGGCATGCATATCTTAATACTTCATGGGAGTTACACTCTATCGAAGTGCAAATCAGCCTAGGTAATCACACTGGCAGTATTTCATCTTGTTTTCTATCCATACATGTAACATACTTACCAGTGAAGTGTGAAAGGCTGTAGACCAAGTACAGTGTTCTCGTGCTTGATAAAATTGTAATGATTGGTGCTTTGACTGTCATAGTACTTTCCCTATAACAGAGATTATAATGAAAGGCAGAGGAACATGAGATTTATGAGCAGTGACACTCCTTTCCCAGGATGTAGGGTACCTGAATACTTTCAACTGGAGGCATTCACTTAAATGCCATTTTTAAACTACAGGAAAATGAAATGTTTGAGAATAATCTCACTTGTTAAGTAAATTGTGTTATGCAAGGGAGATCAGGTAAAATTAATAGTCATGATCCCAAGATCAGGGAAATTGAAATATAAACTTAAAATTCTTATACATTTTAGCAATATAAGCTTAATTAAGAGTTATACTATAAAATTCAGTGACTTCTGAATTTCAGAGATGTAAGTAAAAGGTTTTCAGTAAAAAGGTATTATAATTTGATACATTGACTATTTCCTTTCAGTAATAAATGTATTTTGGATAAAGTCTTTAATAAGTATGTAATTAAAAAATAAATAGAAATGTATCCAAATGAGGTAAAACTTGATAAATCATATATAAGTATTTTACATTGGGAAATACATATTAAAAACAGATCATTGGGATATGTGTTTTTAGATTAATTGGCCCAAATTGCTTTGAACTGCTCAAAAGTTAGCAAAATAGAAAGTTTCATAAAAATGCAAACATTTTATAGACATTATACTGCATAGGAACTGCTGTAAATATGTCAAATATTTTTAAGAATATGAGGCTGGGCACAGTGGCTCACATCTGTAATCCCAGCACTTTGGGAGGCCGAGGCAGGTGGATCACCTGAGGTCAGGATTTCAAGACCAGCCTGGCCAATGTGGTGAAACCCTGTCTCTACTGAAGACACAAAAATTAGCTGGGTATGATAGCGGGTTCCTGTAATCCCAGCTACTAGGGAGGCTGAGGCACGAGAATCACTTGAACTTAGGAGGCAGAGGTTGCAGTGAGCCAAGATCACGCCATTGCACTCCAGCCTGGGTGACAAGAGTGAAACTCTGTCTCTCTGTCTGTCTGTCTGTCTGTCTCTCTCTCTCTCTCTCTCTCTCTCTCTCTCTCTCTCTCTCTATATATATATATATATATATATATATATATATATATATATGAATTTGGCACCTGTTTGTTTGTAACTGACATGATCTGATCCACACACTCGGGTA